>NC_000007.14:30240242-30865242 GCF_000001405.40 Homo sapiens | reverse complement strand
ACACTTACCCAACCCACCCTGCCTCACATGTGACCTGGGGGAAGATTCAGGTGAGAGAGGGCAAGTGAGCCACAAAGCCAGGTGTCGGTGCAGAGACGGGAGCCCATGGGTCAGGCTCCTGGTCTGGGTGGCTCTGTTCACACCTCATTATTCATTATTCTGGGCTGGCAGAGGCTCAGCAGAGTCCCAGGTAAGCTGACGAGCATCCCATGGACCCCTCCCGTTCAGAACAGCACACTTAAACCTCCAAGAGCCCGTGATTCTCAAGGGGAACAGCCCCTGTTCACATCTCACCCCACGAACCACCCACCCCCGTGATTCCCCCCAGAGGGTCTCTGACGGGGTGAGCACTGCCCACAATTGCTGGAACAGAAAGCTTGGTGATCTCTTTTCTCCATTACTGAGAGGAGCCTGGGGGCCTCCATGAAGGCTCAGCCCACCCCAAACCCACATCTGCTCTCCTGTTCTCAGATACCTGTTTCCTGACTCTGCCCTATCCCTTTGCTAGCAGATGTGGTGGCCTTCTCTGGGCAGTGACTGCCTTTTGGGGATACCCCATGTCCATATATATGTGATGGTGCAGCCCAGGCCTGGCCACGGCAATCACACCAGGAATGGCACCCAGCACCCAGCAGGCTGAGGAGCTGCTGGAGAAGGGCTCCCTTGAGCCCACCGTGCAGAAGGACCTTCCTGAGAATGCAGCTGGGACAGAGGAGCCAAAAGTGAAGAGACAAAAGAACAGACACCAATTCCCAAAGACAATGTCTGGGTTCCTGGATCCAGCCCCTCTTAAAGCCTGGGCTTCTGATAGGAATCAGTCAGTAGCTTTGTTTCTGCTTACACTGGCTGGGAATTGAGCTTCTGTCACTGTCTTTCCAACCAACACTCACAGTTGGCTTTTGTTTCAGGACTATTTGCACAAAGGAATCAACTATTTTGTTGCTGCCATTGCTTTTAATCTCTTGAGGAGAGTTACAAAGAGCCACAGAGTGACATGGCGTGGGTCCTGCCCAGCGTCATCCCTCACCCTCAGCACCTAGCTTGTGCTGTTCTAAAACTGTTTCAGCAAATGAGAAGCTACCACCTCTTCCGGACTTTCAAGACTGCCTTTGGGCAGCTGAACTTGCTGCTGTAATGAAGGCCAAGAATCTACTGCATGAAAAGGTTTTCACCCCCACTGGACCTTCTCAGGGCCTCAATGACCTGGCCAGGTCTGTGCTCCACTGAGGCACCAGAGCAGCCCATGCTCAGTGCTGCCCAGGTCTGGTTCAGAGCTGGTCCTGACCCCAGGACCCTGAGCATCCTTGGGGCTTGTGAGAGCTCCCTGGGGAAAGTTCTAGCCATGTGGTTTGAAAAGCAGCAAAGCTTGGCAAGCATGAAATCCTGCATGAGATTTACCGGAAGCAATTCGAGATCTTAGAAAAGAAAATAAACGGCTTGAAATCAAGTGGAAAAAAAACCTTCACAAGGCTTTGCACAGCCTGGGATAAACAAACCTCAAAGGTCTGTTTCTCGACTCTTCTTGGGGCCTCTGACAATGAAGTGGCCAGGCAGGCAGTGGTCGGCAGCACTCGGCTAGGTTTACATCTGTCCATGATGTCCTCACCCTGGCTCTGGTCTGGGTTAGGAATGGCCAACAGACAGGAGGCACTGACTTTGGTGCAAGGGCCAAAGAAGAGAAGCCTCCAGTGCCCAGGCATGAGTCAGAGAACCCTCACCAGGAGGGAGGAACGACTATGCCCTCTCCATCACACATCACAATCACATGCACATGTACACAATCAAGTCACCCTTCACACAATCTCCAACACAACCACCAACACCCATGTCATCTCACACCCGGCCATACAGTGTCACCAATCTCTCCCATCCGCACACACACTATCACACCACCACGAATGTACACATACACATGCTGTATTTGTAAAGAACTGGCTGGGTTTTCCCAGCCCACCACTCTGCTTCTCTCCAGCTGAACTGCAGTTGGTCCTGGAGACTCAGCTGTCTCTTTTTGCTACCAGGACATGTTTTCAATTGCCCAAAGTGGTAACAGATTGCCCTGAAATGGCATCAGAGGATTCTTTGGCAAAGCTGAATGTGAACCCCAGAACAGGAAGGCCCTCGGCGATCATCTGGTCCCGAGGTTTTTAAGCTGTGTATGCAGAGCTGGGGCTTCTCCAAAGGGGGGTCTCAGGGACAGTGGCTGGAGAGCAGGGGTTGGTGCTGGATTGGCAGGCTGGGGAGGGGGGCAGCAGGGGCCTCTCCCTCCCACCTCTGCCGCTCTAATCAAAGTCATTCCGCTGCATCTGCTTCACACAGTGAGCTTGAAAATAAAGCTTATTTGGGTAAAAAAAATCAGATTTTGTTTTCATTACAAACATAGTTTAAAAAAGCACCAGACTAACCCCTCCTGTTAGATAAAGAACCTAAGGCACAGGCTGGGTTAGCCACACGGCTGTGGGTGACTGAGCTGCGCTGAGGACCTAGGTATCCTGGTGCTTTTCTTGTGGTCAAGAAGTGAGTGCTTTCCTGTGACTTGCCACCTCACTGGGCTTCCCTGGACAAACCTAATGGAGCCTGAGGTGGGTGACATTTGCACCCAAGTGTCCAAATGTCTGTAGAGAAAGGCCTTTGCCAGCGGCTAGCCCCGGAGGCAGCAGGCAGAGGTGGGATTCCAGCCCCAGAACTGTTATCATTGCCCTGCGAATCACCGCAAACCTTCAGCAGAGCCTGGTATCCCTCAGAGAGCCAAGGCTGGAGGTGCCGGGATGCAGGGAGCGCCGCTGGAGTGCAGTGTGCCTGGCACGTGAGAGGAGCAGGCTGTTCTGGGGACTACTCTCTGGAAGGCCAGAGAATGGCTTATTCACGGGCGCACTCCCACATGCAGGAATGCTAGCACATTATCTGAAATAATTTCAGTGTGGCTGTCTCATGGGATCTGGGCAGTGCCACGACTGCCCGGGCTATTCCCATCCTTGCTGGCATTCCCGTCTTTCCTCTTCAGGAGTCTCCCCTGGGCTCCAGGTGGGGTAGGAGGGTTAGCTCCACTCAGATGCCCACATCTCCTGCAGGCCCTCGGGGGAAGCATGCAACAGTCAGGAGGGAGCACTGGAGGAGCCCCCAGGCAGCACAGGCTGCCCAAGGCCTGCCCTGTTCCTCACTTGAAGCCCTCAGTTTAACTACAAGCTTAACTAAAGTTCTTTTGAACTTGAACAAATCAGAGAGAGCTGGGTGTCTTCTCAAGTACACCTCTGAACTGCATGCCCCTGGGCGGGGCTTGGTCCCATGGTCCCTCCTCACACCCCCAGTGGCACTCAGCACAAGATGCTCTCGGTTGCTCTGGACATGCCTGCCAAGGGTGAGTGTCACCACAGAAGCCCCATCAGGAATTGCCGGACATCCCTGTGGCTGTGCCTACTGAGATGGCAGCACGGCCTCCACCACAGGGCCCCAGGCCAAGGCTGCAGGCAAGGAAACACAAGAAGACACACAGAGCCATCTGAGCTCCTGGGATACGGTTGGACCAGCCGTGGCCATTATTCCCGGCTTGTACCCACCAGGAGCTGTGCTAAGCACAGCTACATCTTATGAGGCAGGAATTCCCACTCCCACTTTAGAGGAAGAAACTCCAGCTCTATTCAGAGGAGTAGAGAGTCAGGCCTAAAACCAACCAACTTTTTCCAAAGTTCAGGTTTTCAAACAGCAAACCCAAAAAGCCAGCTCTAGGGCCAGATGGCCTGGGTGGGGCCCAAGGCCACCAGTTTTACTTGCTGTATAATCTTGAAGCCTACTCACCTCCCTCAGCCTTGCTTCCTCCTCTGAAAAACAGGGATGGTGACAGCACTCACAGCAGCACCCACCTAACAGGGCTGCTGTGGACTCGATGCGTTCATGTGCAGAATGTTAAGGCAAGGGGCCTGGCACATGGGAAGCTTCACAGACGCTATCCTTACCGCTGGCAATGAGACCTGCCTACACACTGTCGTCTTAGGAGAGGGGAAGGGGAGGCCACAGTGTAAGACAAAGCCCAATCCATGCCTGCCTGCCTGGCCCGAACACCATAGCAGGGCTCTATTTGGGCCCTCTGGGAGGCAGAGGCCTGTACTGCCCCAGGGGCCTTGACCATCTGCCTGCAGGACCCAGGGAAGGGCCTCAGATGTCCTGGAAGAACAGCTGGACTATGTGTCTCTGTGTGTGTCCATGTCTTTGTGAGTTTTCGTGTGTCTGTGTGTGTGTGTCTCTGTGTGTGGCCACGTATGTGCATCTGTATATCTGTGTGTATCCATGTTTGTCTTTGTGTATGTGTGTTGGCAGGGGTGTGACTTCAGGCCCATAAGCATGAGGCTGTGAAGGTCCAGCAGGGCAGCATTCCCCACACTAATTCCCCACAGGTGCCCAGCTTGATTGGAAAGGGTAGGGAGGGGGAAGAAGCAGCCCTAGTCCCCCAGCTGTGCACAACATGAAGACTGGCCTGGGCATGGAACCCTGAAGCCCCTTTCAGAGGGACAGGGCTACATGCAGGAGCATGCATGTAACAAGGCGCCCACTCCCAGTGACCACCAGAACTGACACACTCGAGCACAGAGCCCTAGACTCCCAGAGCCAGAGGGCCCCCGCATGGATGGGGGCGCTGAGACTGGCATCATTGAGCCTGGCCCTCCTGAGAGTGCAGCTTCCCCTCAGGGAGATCTGGAGACTCCCACCCAACCCGTCAGCCCAGAAATGAGCCAAACCAGGAGCAAACCCAGTCCTGGGGAGAAGGTGGTGCAGCTTATGGTCTCCATGCACGTGAGTCCACGCCAGGAATGAATCATATCATTATGGCAGGATTAGAAGTTGGAAAGCGCTGTGTACTCACACGCATTTAATAAGGTCAGAAGCAGCAAGCAGCAGGCAGCCTGGCGCACGAGGCCACAGAGCCCCCACTGTCCTCCCCCGAATCCACAGCAGAGGCCCCTGGAAACAGGGAGGGCGCCGACCAGACCCAACCAGGCCGGGAAAGAAGTGTCTCCTGCTGTGACCTCCCGCCCCTGGGCACCACAAGGCTACTCACCCTGCCTCCCCACTTCCCAGGGCCCACCTGCTGAGAGCTGTTCCCAAGTCCTACCCCACCTGCATCCCTCAAAGTAAGATTCACTCTCCCAGGACTCCAGGCCCCCAGGGCTCTGTCCTCTGCTTGAAAGTGAATGGGGCAATTGACTGTACTTTCCACAACCGTTCATGCGCTATTAATCTGCTACACTTCCTGGTGACATGCCCAGGTGACAAATACAGACAAAGAGGCCTAAAAAGCTCCTAGCAAATGAGCTTCATGGGGAAACTCCGGCTGTGGAGCAGGCTGGGGACCATGTTCCACCTGATACAGAGTCAGCATAGAGACCCTGCCAAAAGGGGTCAGGCAGGGGAGATTAGGACAAGCCGCCCTGCCACCTCTCCCTGCCTCCAGGGCCTCCTGGCCACCGCCCATTCACCACCCAGGATGCCAGCCTTGTCCACGCGACTGCAGGGCTGCCTTGGTCTACAGCGAGGCCTTCCTGTCCCGAGCTCTAGAGGGCCCTCAGCCATCTCCTGGGTCTCAGCCTCAATTGTCCATCCCCTGCACAAGTGCCAGGGGCATCCCCCTGAGTGCTCAAGTGTGCATGCACTGCAGTTCCAGGCAAGCTCCTCAAGGGCTGGTGGCGTGTCTTTCAGGTTGTCCACCACACACATGGTAGCCCTGGACACGTGTATATGTAGAATGCCACTACTTTCTCTCCTCCACCAGCAGACCTTCCCCTACTCCACTGCTTCATTCATCCTTTCCACAATACTCACAGAGCCCTCAACATGTGCCAAGCACCATCCTGGGCTCTAGCGAGGCAGCAGTGAACAAGACAGACCAGCCCAGCCCCAGGGAGTTGAGGGAGAAAGATACTCACAGCTCTGTAGACCTGGACAGGATGGCAGAAAGGGTGAGCAGGATGCAGCCATAGGGGCCCACTTCAAACTGGGAGGGGGAGAGAAAAATGAGCTCCATCCCATTTGCACCTCCCTCTTCCCAGCCCCACACCTCTGTGGGAGCCACACCCCAGGGAGCAGCCTGCCCTGAGCCAACTGCCTCCAGCCCAGCCCTGGGGTTGCTGGGTGGCCCGAAGGCTGACCTCCTAAAGGATGGGACATTGCAACAACCTGAATGACAATGACAGCAGAGCGAGGGTGATGCAGGGGCCACCAAAGAGAGCATCAGTGACCTCAGAGTCCTCAAAACTCACAAGACAGCAACAGTCATGGCCAGCTCCATTATGGTGCAAGCATCTAATGGGCATTATCACCCCGAACACTCTAACAGTCCTGGGGGACAGTACTATGATTACTGCCCTCTAGCATATGTGGAACTGAGGCTCAGAAACTGAGTGACCAGTTCAAGGCCACACAGCTTGTCAGCAGCACACTGGGACTCCAGGGATCTCTAATTCCAGATCCCTTACTCAGAAGAACTGTGCTGTGCTAAGAGCAGCAGAGAGCAGGTTTGGAGCAGAGTCAGGATCTGGTGAGGCGAAGGAGGCAGCCATGTAGATGCATGTCTTAAATTTATATATATATATATATATTTTTAAAACATCAACATTTTGGTATTTTGTTCATTGTGGATTTTTCTGATAAACTCTGATTTTTAAAAAAGATAGGTTTTGCTAATTTCTGAGATTTTTGGCACCCCCTTAGATTTTGCATCCAAAGTGAGTCCTCCTCCCAACTCTGGTTTGGAGCTGGTGTCCCGGGGCCTGACCGCCTAATTTAAATCCTCGCTCTGCCACTCCTTGCTATGTGACCATGGAAACACTCCTGGACTCCTCTATCCTCAGTCTTCTCATCTGTAAAAAGAGGGTAATAATCACAGCACCTACCCTTATCAAGTTGTGAAAATTACGTGAGTTAATCCTTATAAAGCATTTCAAACAGGGCCTGGCACCTGTGTTAGCTGTTAAAACAAAGCTGGCTCTGCCCTGCCCATCTGTCCAGTAAGCCCAGTGGGCCACAGCCTACTGGGATCGGCCATGTCACTTCTGCTCCCCGGAGAAACACCATCCCCACCTTCAAGTCAGTGTGAAGGCCTCACTCATTCCACTTTGGAAACCATGAACTGTGACTGAAGACACCGCCTGTTATAATAGTCAGTGTTCCTTATGTGTAATCACATTTTGGACTTAAAATTAGAAAAAAAAAATCCCAACTTGTTTCTCCTGGAACAGACAATGAAAATTATAAAACTTACCATGTTTACATTTTTGCCTTGGCTGCCAGGAAGCTCAGAGCCAAATATGGTGCTCTACTATGGTAACTATTGCAGCTCAAGCTTCTGATAAAATTACCTTTTCTTTTCCTCAAAATATACTCTTTATTGTCATCCAGGAATTCACTTGGTCAATTAGTCTTTTTAAAAAGATTGTATTGGTGAAATTTCTGTGCCAAGAGGATGCTCCTGGCTAAGGCTGTACTTGTTAACAAGGTGGATATGGCCGGGCGCGGTGGCTCACGCCTGTAATCCCAGCACTTTGGGAGGCCGAGGCGGGCGGATCACGAGGTCAGGAGATCGAGACCCCGTCTCTACTAAAAATACAAAAAATTAGCCGGGCGTGGTAGCGGGCGCCTGTAGTCCCAGCTACTCGGGAGGCTGAGGCAGGAGAATGGCGTGAACCCGGGAGGCGGAGCTTGCAGTGAGCCGAGATCGCGCCACTGCACTCCAGCCTGGGCGACAGAGCGAGACTCCGTCTCAAAAAAAAAAAAAAAAAAAAAAAAAAAAACAAGGTGGATATGGATCTCTCCTCTTGGGGAAATAACTTAGGGAAGAAAAAACAATAAGCACCTTGAAAAGGCTGGGAGAAGGGGTTCTGCCATGACAGAAATGCAGGCTCCTTCAAAAACACACAGGAAGGGCCTTCAACACAGACTTCAAGTTCGGGGAGGGAGTATCAAGGAAGGGTTTTTGGAGAAAGCGATGTCTGAACAGAAACCTAAGGGACAGTAAGGAATCAGAAAAGTGAACGTCGCTCCAAAAGGAGAAGCACGTGCAAAGGTCCACAGGCAAGAGAGGGCAAGCTGACTATGCGGGGGCACAGCAGAGCCCTGAGGACATCATTTACTTTTCAAAGCAACTTCCAGTCTTTTTTTGGAAGTAGGAATGGAATGAATGAATCAACAACAATGTTAAATCAACCTCGTCTTCATTCTGTGATCTCAGGCCAGCCACTTCATTTATGCTGCCCTCAGTTTCCTCTTTGCAAAATAAGAATAATGAAGACCCACCTGGCCTATTTCCTTGGCTTATGGTGCACATTCTTGAGACAATGTCTGTGGAAGTGCTCTGACAATGGCAAAGAGTAATGCTGATGTCTCCCCCTGCACAGGGGGACACAGGCTCAGGAGGACTTGGGTCACCAGTCCCTTGTACCAGCTCTGCATGCTGCCTAGGGAAGTCACGAAGCTCTTGGTCTCGGTGTCCCTTTCCATAGAAAGCCTACCTAATCTGCCACAAATTTCCATCTCCCCTTGGACAGTCACAAAGTGTTCTTGGTCTCAGTTTCTCCTTCTAGAACTCTTGCCTACTTCTGCCATGGACATACATGCAGTCCTGGGGCAGCTGCAGTACTTTCTTGGTCTGTGGTCTGTTTCCCCTTCCGCCAATGCCTGTAACGCCTACCTACCTGCAGTGAAGTAACAGACACAGAAACCCACTGTAAACCCCAACTCTGTGTAAATTTGGGGAACTATTATTACATTTATGCCAGCGTTGCCCCCAGTCCTAGGAACACCCTCAAGGGGACCCCTTGAGCCCTGGACATGCCTCTCTGCAGTGGGTGGGGAAGAACCCTGCTTGAGGCTTCTTGCCCTTGCTGGAACACACTAAATGGCACCAATATTCCATTTTGTTTTTTAAAACTTTTATTACAATTATCTCATCAAATTCAAGCTGCCAAGACATGGGAGGCCACAGGGCAACACGCCTGCATTGAAAGGCGAGGTCAGGCAAGGCAACTGGCCTGAAAACTGCCATCAGGGTCTAGAAAGTGGTGCCACTTGGGAAGAAGGGGCTATTCTTCCAGTGCTACTCTGCACTCCACAGAGACCTGAGTCTACCAAGGAACTCCAATGGGAGGCAGAGGTGGGGGCATCCTCCAGCTGGCCAGGAGCCTGCCAGACACCTTGCCCAGAGGGTGAGCAGTAATGAAAACACAGCAAGGAGGCTATTGATTTTGGGCAAAGATGGCTTGGTATACATTTCCAGGCCTGGCACGAGGAACCCCTCTTAGGCCCAGGCCATGAAAAATGAATTTGGTGAGGGCAGTGCTGAGGCAGCTCAACTGCTTCCAGCAAAAACATGAATTAAACTGCAGGGGGAGAGCTGCCTTCCAGAGTGAGGAGGGCCGAATATTGACCGCCTGTACCAAGGACCAAAGCCAGGCGAGGAGGCGACTGCTTTGAGTCCAGAGGCATCACTGAAAGGAGGCCCCCTCGCCCTGGAACAAATCCCACTCTCTGAACCCCTTCCACAGTCCCTGTCTTGGTTAGGCTTCATCAAAGCCCTGGGGTACAGGCTGAGGGGGAGGCTCCATCTCATAGACAAGGATGCAGAGGTCCTGGTGCTGAGGGGCCACCCCAGTCCATCAGTGGGCAGCTACAAGCCTCAGGATCTGTGGTCATTTGAGCAATCACCCTCAGGCTCCACCTTAGCCCCTGAAGCCTCACCAGTCACTTCCTTTTCCTGGCTCTGGTGGCTCCACGTTCTGCTTCAGCTGGGAGTGTGACCAGGTGATCCCATTCCTGGCCACCCTGGCCAGATCCCACACACGGATGCCATCAGGCTCTGCTCGCCTCTCCTGTGACTGCTGCACTCTCACAACACTCCGGATCAACAGCAGGTCTCCTTTCTGCTCCTTCAGACTGCCTAGTACTGCATTTGGAAGACACCCTTCTCCAAGTGTTTAAGGTTCTTCTTTGAGGACCACCCTTAGATGATGAAGAGCTGGAAGCTACCTGATAACTGCTCCATCTTCCATTTTCCAGATGAGGAAACTGAGACCCAGTGACTTTCCCAAGGCTACATATGACTAAGGAATAAGCCAAAGGGGGCCCCCAGGCCCCTGCTCCAGGCCTCCTCTGCCCAGGCCAGGCGGTGGATGCACCGCATCAGCAGTTGGCCTACTGAGTGACTCCAGTGAAAAACCAGAGCTGGGGACAGGCAGCAAAGGACAGACAGCCTGGGGCTCCCGATGCCCCGGCCAGCACTCCTTCTCCCATGCGCCTGGACAGAGCAACCCACGTAGAAAGGGAGCCATCCTAATCCATGCTTTTGGGACAGGCCCTGAGGCCTCTCCCCAGGCTGAGGGGTGAAAGCACTTCAGGTGGATTGCCCCTCCGGTGACCTCACCTGCCTCCTTTTGTTCCTAGGGTAGGCCCCATTGCCTACCCAAGGGACATCTGGTGCTGCCAGGGCCTGATCATTTCCCAGGGCTGTGCCCAGGCCTTCAGGGTCTTTGGGAAAGTTCTGCGGAAGGCAGTCTGACAGCAGGAGCTTTAGTCCTGGTCCCATTTCCAGCAAGTTCTCCCACTCTCCGGCTTACCACCAAACCCTCCAGTGCCTTCTGTGGGGCCAAAAAGAATGGATCCCACATCCAGAAGGTCAAAGGGAAGGCAAGGTGAGGCTCAGGGACCAGCCAGCACACCAGGAGAGAAAGGTCTGTGTTCTTCCTCTGCTTCGTAGTGGGGGTCTCAGAGGTCGCGGGTCTGCTGGCCTTAGTTCAGGCCACACCTGCCTTCTGTAATGCTTCCCTCTCATTTCTACATGTCTACAAGGAACCCATCTCAAGGCTGCCCTTAGAGCATCATTACAATGGCAATCCTAATGTCAACAACAGAAGCTAACAACTACTGAGAACATCAAGCACAGCCCAGCTGCCCTAGGCTCTCTGCGCGATGCTCTGAGGCAGGCACTGTTCTTCTGACCCACATTTTACAAATGAGGAAAGTGAGGTACAGAAGGATTCAGAAAGTTGCCTGAGGTCAGGGAGCTACTGAAGGGTGAATCTAGATTCAAAGTCAGGCCAACTGGCTCCAGAGACCGTGTTCTTTACCCCTGGAGTGTGTAGCCCCTCCCCACAGAGTCTGTGATACCACAGCTCTGCCATGACTTCCCGGAGCCCTGTGATCTGCTGCTGTCTGGCCCTGGCCACGTCCCGCCCAGCTCATGGCCAGGAGTGGATGTACAGCTCTCCTCTGGCAGGCGGGGGGGCTCCAGAGCCCCCACCCAGAGCAGCCCTGCCACCCCAGGGATACTAATCAAGGTGTGTATCACACTGCTAAGCCCTCCAACCCACCCAAGAAGCCGCTTTCTGGTTACCTCACCAGCTGGTCCCAGGACCCACTCCACTGACAAAGAGCTCCTGTATTCCAGTGGCGGCTGCTTCCACTCAGACAGAGAGAAAGCTCTGGTGACCTCCATCTAACAGCTGCTTCCTGTGTCCTGACCCCACCCGTCCAGCTCTGCTGTCAGTAGTCCTGGCTGTGGCTGCTACCTGTGCCCTGCCTCCAGGACCAGCTCTTGAGGATGCAATGGCAGGAGCCAGATCCCTCACCCCAAGTCCATTCTCCTCAGCCCCCAACCAGGGGCCAGCATTACTCCTTCCCAGCTTCCTCGCCATCCCAGGGTGGGACGACAGGAGAACAACTCCAGTTCACAGCATTGTTCCCACAGTGAAATCAGAAGGCTTAGTGACGCACATCCCACAGGAGTAAGGCATGCTTCATACCTGATGAATGCTTTGTTGAAGAAAAGTCACCAGGTCCTCATAGCAGGTCAAACTGTGAAGCGTAAGCTGAGAAGACACAAACACTCAGGATGAGTGGCCCAAGCCCCACGCAGTGCCCCATCCTGAATTAGCTTCTGCTCCCTGGCTTTAGTAGCTACAAAATCCAACTTGGGAATGTCCCTGCGTCAGAGAGCAGCATCTCCAAGTCAGGGCTGAGAGGCACGGCCATACCTGTATGTGAGTGAAAGGCTGGCCGGTACCGCTGGAGTCGTCAGGGTTCAGGTGGCCCTACGGCAGCTCTGGGCCTGAGACCCCAGAATTCCAGCATCCTGTGTGGCCCCAACAGGGGAGGGCTGCACCCCATGGGCGAGTCACTGATATCAGAGAGGCGGCTGGCAGGGAGGTGGATAAGGCAGGGGCCATATCCAAATCACAATAGCCAGGCCAGGTGGAAGCCAACAGGCTGTGTCCTGAGTTCAGCAGGAAGCAGCCCTTAGGAGTCTCCTTTGCTTTTTCAGGCAGGCCAGGAAAAAACACTTCAAGAGAAAACATTCAACAATGCGAGACCCTCAGTTAGGGTCACAGGGCAACACGTGCCCAAACCGAGGTCAAATGAAACTAATTTGTTAAAACAAAAATTCTCAGTGAAGAGGTTGGCAAGAGGTAGCTGAAAAACTTCACTGCTCTTATATTTTACAAAATACAAAAATGTATGTCTTCCATTATTTCCCCGATTGTGTATGACTTAGATCTGGCTTTATGGCTGGTGTTCCATGCTATTAAAGTTCCTCCCCACATTCTAACTTTCTCTCCCTCTCCTTACCACCCCTGCCCCACCCCCTCCCACAACAATCCTGGAGCAGATGCTAAAGAAAGAGGAAGAAGGACACAGGGAAGCCTGGGGCTTAACCAAAAGGCATTCCATACAGACTTCAGCTCTGCACACCCTCGATGGGACAGGAAGCCAGTCAGCCTTTTGGCCGTAAAGCCAGCTCTAGCAGGAGCCCATCCCCAAAGCCACCCCACGTCTGTCCCCACCCTAATCCCAGGATGAGGATTCCTGGGACCTGGGCTGCGGAAGGCCAGCCTGTCCCCAGCTGAGGAAGGATTTACTTATATGAAAGGAGACAGTCCCCAAACAAAGCCAAAGTTTGCGTGATAATTTTCCAGAAAGTCGTACTGTTTCTAAGACTCCATCTGCTTTGTATTTCCCTGTTGGACTGAACTGCTGTGTTCTCGAAGCCCTAAAAAGGAAAGGAAGGTGCATGAGTCCTCTGAGTGGAGAGAAGGCGTGCCCTCCAGCCGGGGCGAAACCACATGTGTCATTAAATAAGGACAAATAAGAAGGTGGCTCCAGAGAGAAAATGGAGCCAAGAGTTTCTCATTTTTCCCCACTTTGAACTCACCCACTAGGCTGGGCCCAGAGAACTCCAATAGCAGGATTTAAAAGAAAAAAAAAAGAAATGGAAAAAAGACTGCAAAGGGAGAGCTTGGAATAACCAAACCCAAACCCAAGCCCTGGCAGTAGGAAGTCTGACTCTCACCCACAACTGACAAATGTGTTTCCAGACTGCGGAATGCTGACTTGCCCTTTGTTTTCACTGATGGAGGAACTCCACCTCCATCCTCTCCGAGGCTCCCCCTGGGTGTGCAGTCCCCAGGGGTGTGTAGCCCAAGACGTCCAGGAATCGGAGCCGGGTTTGGGGCCCCGTGCTCCTTTAGTGGCTGTGTAGCCTTGGACCAGCCACCCTCCCTCTCTGGGCTTCTGTTTCCTAATCTGTAAAACAGGGAGAAATTGAATTCCTGCCCCATCTGTTCTCAGGGCTGCCCTGCAGATCCTAAGGGCCGGGGTTAATAAGTTAACTGGAAGGTGAGTACCAAAGACAAGTGACAGTAATAATAACAAAAACAAATAACGATATCTAAAACGTGGTGCTTAGTATGTGCCAGACACTGTCCTAAGCACTTCGCAATTATTATTATTTATCAGCTATTCATATTGATAAAATGATTTAAACTGATAATCATATTTATATCATTTCTTTATACTGACTCATTTAGGTCTCACAGCCATCCAAGTAAGTAATTGTTATAATCATCCCCATTTTCCAGATGAGTAAACAGAGCGATTACATCCATTGCCCAACGTCACACAGCCAATAAGCAACAGCATTGGGAGTCTGACCTAAGAGTCCTTTCTCTGAAGCAATATGCTACAGTGACCAACGTGCCCCCAGAGTATGGTCCTTGGCCCCAAAAGTGATCTCCTTATACTACCGCTTAGCCTCACAGCTGGGACAGCGATGCTTCCACTCTGACGGATCAGGCTGAAGACCCAGCAAACCTTGCATGTGGGTTATATGCAGTAGAATGGGGCCAGCGGTGAAGAGACGATGCGGGTCAGGATAACTGGGTCCAGGGCCTGGGCTCCACCTCACCTCCCTGAGTCTTTATGGGATGGGGACCCAAGTGACAGAGCAAATGGCAGTGTGCTTTGGGGACTGGGAAGAGCAGTACAGTGGGGTCAGGACTGACTCAACCTGAGGGGCTATTTCCTGAGGCCTCCAGATCAGAGAACTATAGAGAGGAGCTGGCTGCAGGGGTCAGAGGCTTCCTCTGAGGGGTCACCCCAGAGCTCCTCAGGAGGAAGGCAGGGCAGACAGACCACGCCTTCCAACATGAGAACTGGAGCCCAGAGAGGGCATCGCAGGGCCGCATGGAAGGCCAGGGCTCTCCCTGAGTCTGCGGCTGCTCAGCACATCAGGCTGGCTTGCAGGGCTCATCCCAGCATGTGGCACAGGGTGGGTAACGGAAGGACCCAAGGATAGGAGCATACACAGCCAGCTTGCCGGCAGCTGCCAGCAGACGATGAGCCACGGCAACACAGACCTCGGAACCACTTACAGTGCAACAACGGCTCTCTCTCGGCCCCCTGCCCGCCACACAATGTCTGCGAGGGCCAGGACGAGGCAGCGGGTCCGGTGGGCATCTGAAGGCTGCAGTCCCCTGCGGACAAGAAAAGGAAGGCATTTATGCCCATGTGGACACAAGGTTGAGATGGTGCAGCTCTACTTAGTGTGGTCAGGCAGTCCCCTCCGCAGATGGCCTGTTCTTTCTCTGGCCTGCAGAGGGGCCACCTGCAGCCCAGGAGCCCCAAGGCAAAGCCCAGGAAAGAGGGGTCTCCACAGCTGAGGGCCAAAGGAGGTGCCTTCAAGTGGGAGGCCCTGGGTGGGGCTGGTGAAGGAGGAGGCAGAGGAAAGGGCCCACAGGAGCAAAGAGGGCTCTGCAGGCTTGGTGGGGCCCAGAAGTGTGTGAGAGAAAGTGCCATGAGTTCTGGCAGGGACTGGGAGGCCCAGCCAGCAGTGCTCGGGAATGACTGCCATCTCAGGACCCTGCCCTGGCCCTGGCCATGCCCACCTCCAAGCCTCTGGAGTCAGTAGCACGTACAGGCAGGTGCTATTCACTGCCAGGGCCAAGGGGACAGCAGCCTCACTTGCTGGACATTTAGACACAGAGAGTGGGGGATGAGTGGCAGGACAGATTCAAGGATGAGCTCTGTGTTTTGAGTGGGCACATGGTGGTGCCATCAAGCAAAATAAGGACAATGTGGCTGGGAAGAGGTAGCTGGAGATAGAAGATAAAGAGTCACACTTCAGACTTACTGAGTTTGAGATGCACTCAGATCTTTAGATAAGGCTGTCAGACATGTAGAAAGCCCAAGAGAGCAGCTGGGGCTGGGCACAGATTTCCCAGAGACAGAATGAGGAAAAACAGAGACCGTGGCCAAGGGTGGAACCCTGTGGAACTCTAAGGAATCAGCGGAGGCAGAGGAAGAAGGGTCAGAGGGGCAGAATGAGGAGAGAGTGCCACGACACAGTCGTAGGATCAAATGGACAGGCAGTCAGCTGTATCAAACATGGCAGAGACCTCTCTATAATAAAAATGGTAACTAAGAGGTCCCTGGTGCCTGAACTGAATGAGAGGGAAGGGAAACAGCCGAATATACGTATTTCTTTCCATTTCATATTCCCAGGACTCCTTCGAGGTGTACTTCTAGGCTTCTCTTGGATTCTGCAAATTTTTAAAAAACTCATACGGAAGCTAGCTGGTCTCTCCCTAACAAACAAAAGGACTTGATGAAGACTCTGCTAGGGCTCAAAGGAATACAGAGGAGGGGGTTCTCTGCCTTCAGTCACCAAATAATTCCTGAGCTCCATGCGGAACTGTGCTGGGGAGGAAGAATACTGAAGTTCGTCCCTCTTTTCCAGGACAGGAGAAAAGAAACCAGACCAGAACCCAGCCCACCACAGTGGGCAGCATGTGGTCACTGCCCAGTGCCTGGGACACATAGCCAGTGACCTACACCTAGGCTGCTGTGGTCCAATTACTTTAAAAGGTGACAGAACACAGTGGCCCCTCAGTTTCCTCATCCATAAACTGGCAATGACCACTGCACCTCCCTCGTGGCTTTAAAGGAGATGTTTGTAAGGTCCCTGGACCAGTGGCTGGCACGTGGTGACTATTCAATCAATGGCGCGTATGACTATTGTCTTTATGAAACCATTAAGTCCCCACTTGGGCCATGACAAGGGGAAAGTGGATTTCCAACATCTAATATGAAAGTGACACCAAGCCTCTGACACTGGAAATCCTTCAAATCCAATGAGACAAGCAACAAGCACTCAAGCACTTAAGAAAATAAAACAGCTACTGCCTGACACTTCTTTGGCCTCAGGAAGCCCATCATGTTCCTTGGAGGAAATAGTTACCAAGCATTCACCGAACCGGATGCCCCAGCTGCTGGGAGCACTGGCCCAGGTCACGGTTCACTATGAAAACCACCATGAGAAAACATTGCTCTAGGTTTCAGGAGAGCCCACACCAAGGACTAAGGGGGCCCTGGAAAGCAGAGCTTATCAGAAAAAGGAGAAAGGACTGGACTCAGAACCCACAAATGTGACTCCATCACCCCCACAGCTCCTGCTTCATGCCCTGCTCTCATACAAATGATGGCCATGTACTGTCAACTGCACATCCTGAGTACCTCATGCCCACCCTTCCCCTGCTGTGTGGCCCAGGCCAGGGTGTTCTGCCCTCAGTTCAGCTGTTACAGCCAGTGCCCCACCAGCAGTTTTGCTCCATCTCACCCCACCGTCCAATCACCATTGCACATACACATGGGGTGGGGGTGGGGGCGTGTCTTCCTACAACACAGGTGTGACCAGTGTTCCCCAACATGGATAGACGTTACACAAAATCGTGCCTGGAGTGTACTTTCTGCCTAGAACACCTAAGCTGGAAAAACTCCATATCTGGAAGTAAGGAGACCCCCTGTCAAACACTTCTACACTAACTTACTGAAGCAGGTAATTCTCAGTTGGAAGCTTCTCAGTGTAGCAACAAATAAGATTTTAAAAGCCAACAGTGGCCAGGTGCAGTGGTTCATGTCTGTAATCCCAGCACTTTGGGAAGCCCCAGGTGGGAGGATCGCTTGAGGCCAGGAGTTTGAGAACAGCCCAGGCAACATAGCGAGACTCTGTCTAGAAAAATCAAAAAATCAGCCAGGTGTGGTGGCATGTGCAGTCCCAGATACTCAGGAGGCTGAGGCAGAAGGATTGCTTGAGCCCAGGAGTTGGAGGCTGCAGTGGGCCATGATCGTGCCACTGCATTCTAGCCTAGGTGACAGAGTGATACCCTGTCTCTAAAACAAAAACAAAAACAAAAACGAACAAACAACAAAAAACACACACACATATATAGAGTATTTATCATGTGCCAGACACTGTTATAAACTCTTTCCATGTTATTTCATCAAATTGTTAAAGCAACCCTATGAGGGAGGTACCATTATATCCTCTTTGTAAAATGGGGAAACTGAGGCATGGAGACACAGTGATTTACTCAGATCAGATAGTTAGTAAAAACTGGAAAAAATAAACACTGAGGAAGGAAGGAGAGCTTGGGTAAGTAGAACCAACTGCCGTGGGCACCTGGTTTCAGGAACCAGCCTCCTTTGCCTTTGACCCTGTCTTTTCAGCACCATGTAACACAATCAAGAGATCTTGCTCTTGGGCAGGGCCTGTCCCCTCATCCTACAGGCTCTGCTTACAGCCCCTTTGAACCACCATGTCTCCAAGCACAAGTCCTCATTCTTTTCATTGGCTTCCAGTTAGTAACTCTGCCAGTCTCTCTATTCTTCCCTGGGCCTTCTCCATCTTTCTCTTTTGAGACACAGTTTTCTAGAAAACACAGTAGAGTTGGAAAAAGTACAGTGATCAGACAGGTAAGAGGCTTGGGCTGGATTCCTGGTTCACAGGTTCTGGTAAAACCGTTGCCCTCCCTGGCCTTTGTTTCCCTGCCCACCTACAAATGCAGACACTGGGTCAGATGCCCCCAAAGCATCATTCCAACACTGCCATTCTGTCTTTAACCCAGGAGTTCCCAACCCCCAGGCCACAGACTGGCACTGGTCTGTGGCCTGTTAGGAACCAGGCCGCACAGCAGGAGGTGAGCAGCGGACGAGCCAGTGAAGCTGCGTTCTGCCTGCTGTCAGATCAGCAGTGGCATAAGACTCTCGTGGGGGCAGGAACCCTATTGTGAATTGTGCATGCGAGGGATCTAGGTTGCGCGCTCCTTATGAGAATCTAATGATAAATGTAATGCACTTGAATCATACCGAAACCATCCCACCCCCACCTCCAGTCCATGGAAAAATTGTCTTCCACAAAACCAGTCCCTGGTGCCAAAAAGGCTGGGGACCGTGGATTTAACCCACCCCAGATTAGCCAGGGCTGTATGTGCCTGCGTGAGAACCTGCACCCACAGATGATGACAGGGAAAGGTCCTGCGTCTGAATCACCCAGGCCTTTACCAGATAGCTCAGCGCACGCCTTCACTGGCAGAACCCAGGTGACAAACAGGTCTGCATTTCCTGATCAGTCAGACTCCTCCCAGGAGGCTGGCACCTGGCCAGGCTCTTAAACCAAGAGAAGTTTCTTTAAGAGTCGAATTCCTCACAGGTGAAGTGCAGGAAAAAGACATTTATCTAGAGATAGGGAAAATAAATGATCTTGAGGGAATAATACATCCTGCTTTTACCTAAATTACCCAAGTGTTTCAGATGAAAGAGATGTTTCTACCCTAACTTTCTCAAAATAGCCTCACCTGTCCACTGTGACGTGCCCATGGAGCCATGTACAGAGTCTATAATTTGGGGGAGCTCCCTGTCTGCTCCCTCTCAGGGTCAAAAGCTGCAATAGGGGGTAGAAAGGCTGGCCTGGGGCTGCAGGACCATAGGTTCTGCTACCAATGTCCACAGAGGCCTTGGGCAAGCACCTCTCCTTATCTGGGCCTCGAATTCCCCAACTTCAGAGGGGAAGTGGAAGTGAGAGGAGGACTTCCTGGATTCCCCGACTCTCAGATCCGCACCCGCCTCTGAGGGCCGTTCCTGGCCTGTGGCTCTCTCCAGGCCTTCAGGGGGATCAAGAGCTCTTCATCTCTTTCTGTGAGCCAAGCCGGCACAGCCTCTTCTCAAGTGGAAAAACACCAAGTACTGCTGCCCAGCTCCATCCTTCCCGACTGAGGAGAGGCCGGCTGCCGGCCTGATGGAATGAGTCGTAATGAAGCCAGACAGTCCTGCAGAAAAAACACCACCACTGCCAAGATGCCTTTATTTCAGCGTGACTTCCCTGGAGGGTGCGATCCCATCCTCCATCTGCTTTCACAGAACCATTTCCCCACCAGATGTGGTGGGCAACATCTGAGGTGGGGGCCTCCAGGGCCAAGGCAGACCCCGCACACAGGCAGGAAAGTGCAGGGGCTGCCTCTGGGTCCACAGGGCCTGAGCTCCCCAGAGCCGCAGAGCAGATGGCAGCTGATGGCAGGTCATCGTGGTGTTCCTGAAGAAAACAGAAGAGCTTGCCCTTTTTTTTTTTTTTTTTTAAGCTGGATCATGTCTGAAATCCTAGAATTTCAGAGTCAAAAGGGAGTGCTGAGGCCTCACACCCAACCATTCACACATGGCTTTTGAAGGAACATCAATAACACAATCAATCAATGTGAAAACTATATAAGTCAATGAAACCGAGGAGCTGAGGACTGAGAGAGGTTCCTGCCCACGTGACCCAGTGTTTCCCTTTGCTCGTGTGGGGCAGGGGCTCTGTAGGTGTTTGCTATGTTGCTCTCTGTACTCTTCTGTGTTCATCTTTTCTAACTTAAAGCCAAAGGGGAGGTTCCACCGTGAAGCCGTTCATGAACAGAGCCACCCCTTGGTCCCTAGGAGTCTGTGTGGGTGTCCAGCGATGGAAGTCTAAAACTCAGAGCCCTCAGCCTTCCTCCTGGCCTCCCTGGGCCCCCACTGCTCCATGCCTCTTGCAGGGCACAGCAGCACAATGTGACACAGGGGCACCAGGTGCCAGTCTTGGTTCTGCCAGGGATGCCAGATGTGACCCTGAACAACCATCTTTCCCTCTCTGGGCCTCAGTTTCCCCATCTGTACCATGGCAGGCTGAGTTCAATGGCCCTACTCACTTATAGAGCCCTTGAAGATTTACAAAGGACTTTGCATTTTCTTACTGAGTCCAATTTAGGCAAGCCAGAGATGACTATTCCTAGTTCACAAACGGAGAAAGTGATGCTCTGTTTCCACACAACCATAATCCAGGTCCTGACCCGGTCTGGTACCCTCTTCAGCACCCTTCCCCTCTCCCAGGGTGGCTGAGGGGCACAAAGCCAGGCATTCCCCCTCCCAGCCTGGGCACCAACATCTACAGGCTAGACACCCACCCACTTGGCAAGGACAACCTTCTGTAGCCTCTGACCTTCAGGGCCTTGGCAAAGCAGTGACATGGACTCCACCTCCCTTCTCTTCTCCAGGCCCCCGACAGCAGGCCCTCACTCCCTGGTCTTCCGGGTCTTCACTTGACAGAAGCCCTAACCTGTCCTCAGGAGGGTTCTTCCTCCCCAACCCCTATCTACCTGCGACCTGAGGCAGGACCAGTGCAGGAGAGTGGGAGGAGACTGGGGTGGGAGGGCTGGGGAGGGCATCTGGTGCCTGCTGCCCAGGGCCCATCACCAGGAGGAGGCGAGTCCTTGCTGGGGTCAGGGGAGACGGTCTCTGGGCCTCCCCAGCTTGTCTCCCTGTGACAGCTCTGCCTGAGTCCCCTGAGGCTTTTTCAGCGAGCTCCATAACTAAGCCAGGCTCTCCACTCCTCCCTCTCAGGGGAGTCTGAAGAATGTCCCCTGAGGCCTGCTAGGAGGTCTGTGGGAGCAGGAAGTCAGACCGCTTCACTCAACCTGCACAGCACAGCACCTCTGTGATGGGGCAGCAGCCGGTAGGGGTGGGCTACAAGCAGCACCCAGTCCAGGGGGTGGGCTACAAGCAGCACCCAGAGTTGCAGGGCTCCAAACAAAAGCGAGGTCACTCTCCTACACCATGAATCCTTCCAGGCTCGCTGGAGAAGGTGGCCCTGGCCAGCAGGCCGTGCTCTCCCAGCTGCATGGCACAGACCTCCTCTGGTCCAGCCAGGCAGGCCCCCCCATAAGGTCTGGCTCCTTGGCACCTGGCACACCTCCACACATGATGACCCCCAACAGGCCAGCAGCTCCTTCTTCCCTCCTCCTCTGCCCACCCCCACAGCCCCAGGACCCACTGGGCTGCACCATCCTTGGCCTGCAGCTAGGAGGTACCTGCCTGGCCGGCAACGACAGATAGAAAACCTCACTCCTCCAGCTTAGCAGTTTTCTTTCTACCCAGACACCCCCTTGGGATCCCAACCTGGATGGCTTTTGCCTTCTAAGGCCTGGCTTCCCTCCCTGGTGTGGACAGCAGTGGGCTTCCACCCCATGGATGTGGCCTGGGGGTGGGGTAACAAAAACCAAGTCTGCCTTGTGCCCTGAGCAGAGTCGGCTCTTCCTGGAACATGCTTAAATGCCTTGTCCTGACTGTTGGGAAACCATCCACAAGTTCCCCCAGAAGCCCACGGTGAAGTTCAAAAGCAACTCTGAAGGAGCACTAGGCTGAAATGAGTTTAGAGACAATCTCCTGCAAGGGCCAAGGCTTGATCCAAGCAGCTGGCAGCACCCAAGGCCCCTCTGGCAGCCTGGCGCTGACCTGCCACTACCCCAGCTCCCACCCTCCTCCTCCAAATGCTGCCCTAACCACCCCCAGTGACTCCTCCACTCCTCTCACTGCCCACAGGCTTTGCACATCTTGTTCTCTTTACTGGAATACCATTCTGCCTCCCCTCCCTGTTTGGATAACTCATTCATTTGTCCATGTGTTCTCTCAACAAAAATTCTGAGGGCCTCTTCTGTGGACCAGACACAGGGCTGGATGCCAGGGCCCTGGCTGTGAACCAGCTCAGGAAGGTCCCTGTTCTCACGGGGCTTGTGTTCTGGAGTGGGGTGGGCAGTAGTAGGTGGCGGCAGATGTGGACAGGTAACCATATCGATGAGCAAGAGCACCAGCTGGCAGTGGAGTTATTAGAGGCAGGGCCTGGTTTTATCTTAATGGGGGAGGTCCCAGGAGGCCTCCACAAAGATGTGGCCTCTGTGCAATGAGAGGAGCCAGCAGGCACAGCGCCTGAGCACAGAGCCTGAGGGCTCAGGAAGGTGTTTGAGAATATTTGCTGGGAAGGTGAAAACAATTTGAGGGGGAATAAGAGTGTGCAAGGATGCATATGAAGGGGAATCAGGGGTTCTGTCCATCCTTCCTATCTCCGTAAGATGAAAATGTCAGTCCACCAGGCTGCCCGCCCTGAGCCACTTCATGTCCAGATGAACCCTTAGCACCGTGCATGTCCCCTGTAACCACCTGTTCCTGTCTGGCTCTCCTGTTCAATCATAGGTGCCATGAGGGCACCTGTATGTGTCTTGTTCAGCCCTGTATCCCTGCTGAGGACCTGCTAAGCACACTCTGCACATTTTTTTCAGTGCAAGGAAGGAAGGTGGGTAGGTAGGTAGGTGCATATGTGCTCAGTATCCCTGTACCCTCTGAGGGCAGCCAGCGGTTCTTACTTAGCAAAGTTCCACCCAGTCAGGAGCATTCCTGAGCATACAGGACTGTGTTGAGCCCACCAGGGAGAGCTGATGGCAGGGTCTCTGCCCATGACATTCAAACCTCCCAGCCCTTTGTGGGGCTGAACTTCCAGAGCAGGCAGTGGGGCATGATCCTGTACAGACAAGAGCCACGAAGGATCGACCGGAGAGCAAAGGGGAGGGGAAGCAGAGAGAAGAACAAGGACAGGTGAGATCTTGCCACGGAAGTGTTACATTGCTGTGCTTCTGATTAGCATTTTTGGTTGGAGAGGAAACACCTCAATTATTATTGTGCAAAACCATTGGAAAAAATTTTAAGATGCCAAGCATGAAAAGCCACCTTCACTTGAACCCTAACTAAGGAAAAATCATCCGTGCTGGTGAAATGTGTTTCATTGGAGTACCAAGCTTGGCTGGATGGCTCTCCTAGTGAACAGTGTCGTTCCCAGGAATGCATGGGAAATGGGTCTTGTTGTCTGGGTAACACCTAGGCTTTTTTAAAAAAGATTCTCAAATGCTTATTTCAAAGAACAAGTACCTTTCAATAAAGTTCAGGAACTGGCAAGATTAAGCTATGGTTTTAAAATCCATTTAATTATTAATATAACTTCAGGAGAATAGGGGTACCTGCTGGGTACCAGAGGATGCTTCTGGAGTACTAGAAATATTTTTTCTTAATCTAGACAATGTGTTCATGGGTGTGCGGTTTTGTGATAATTCATTGAGCAGAACACACATAGTATAACTACTGTGTATATGTTATATTTTAACTAAATTTTTTTTTTTTAAAAAAGGCCAATTGCCAGAAGTTCTGTAGCTCTGAGGGTGACTCGGTACAAGCTGGTAACCGGGCCTGCAGGGAGGGAAAGAGAGGCAGGTCACTTCCTCAAGAAGGCCTCGCCTCCAGCCCCACCAGTGCCCTGCCAATCCTTTCATCTTGGCACCAACGATGGTATGGGATTGGGGTTTTCTATCTGCCTCTCAACCTCATGGAGCATTTCTGGAGAGGACAGAACTCATCTAATTCTCCCCTGTATCATTTGTGCCTGCACAGAGATGTTCCAGGAATGTGTGCTGAATGAATGAGAATAAGGTGCTCATGTGCAAACACTTAATGTGTGAAATGGAAACTGAACGGCTGCAGGGAGTGGAAGTGATGATCTGTGGGGCGGCCTGGAATGTGTGGTTATGAATGTTGGCAGAGGGGAGATAGCGTGGGGAGGGAAGGGAGGCCCGGACGCAGTCGAAAGGTCGGCAGGTCGACCTGGTGGGTGGAAGGGATTCGGGCAGCTTGCCGTCTGAGGAGGGAAATTGGTTTTGATGTCGTTCCTGCAGCCCCTTCCCAGGTGGAGCACCACTGAGAACCCTCCCCGCTTTCAGAAACAAACGCGCACAAGTCCCCTTAACACTGGTCTGCGCAGGCCTTGTCAGCTAGCTGCCATTAACCTCTCCTTTCTTGACCTGCAGAAGACAGGAAATATCAGGGAACACACATGCTTCCTTGCTTGTTTTTTCTGGACACTCTGGGGAAGACTTGGGAAAATAAGATATTGCCAGAAAGAGCACTGACTTACTGAGCACAGTCGGCTTTGCTATCTCCTTCAAACAGGAGTTTCTGTAGGACACAGCCTTGGACAGCTGCCAGGACTCCGCAAGGACCACCCTGCAAAGAATGAGACCATTGCTGCCAGTGAGAACTGGCCTGGGGCAGAGTTTTTGGTTTCACCCAAACCCACCCCAGAACCCACCTGATAGAGTAAAGGGGCCCTGCCTTCTGCAACAGAAGGGCCTCTGATGTGGCAACTGCTTCTACAACACACTAACCTTGGGCCACAGAGAGGGAGTGACAAGACCCTTTGTCCACTCCTAGGGGAAGGGGCCAGTTGTCAGTGTGTCATGGGAGGAAAGTGACTCCTCATAACCAGTCAGCTGTGAAGCCAAGGACATCACCATAGGTTTTCTATCATCTAGGGAAATGTTTCTGTGTCTACAGGTTGAGGGTGTTAATTGTCTACCCAGCCTTCAAGGCCCATCCTAAAGTTCTCCTCCTCCAAGAAGCCTTTCCTGACCATCTCGGCTGGCAGTGAGCCCCTTCAACAGCCTGTGGTTACATGAGCTCTGCGCTCTCTTCTGCCCCACTTGTGGCCTGCTTCAGCACCACATTAGGTGTATCTTTGTCCTTTCTCACCCTGTGGTGCAGAGGCTTCTTGAGGAGCTCATCTCTGTAGGCATCACGGGGCTTAGCACAGGATCTGACTCCTGGGACACATTGGCAAAGGCTAGTGGGACTGAACAACACAAACAGACCTCATCCAGGTTTAAGGATTGTCTGAACGGCAGGTTGGGGTGCTCATGAAGACCAGCTGAGTTTGGCCACAAGAGGGAGGGACAGAAGCTGGTGGTCCTGGGGCTCGACCTCAGGCAGTGTGGGGCAGGGGAGGTTCCTGGGGCTTAAGAAACTGAACCGGACCAAGCTGCCCTGCTCAACTGCTGATTCTTGATCCTGGGTTTAGCTTATTTTCTGCCCATGAGTATAATGTGGGAACTGGGTATAAGCCATGTTCTAGGCCTGCAACCATTGGCCTCCGCTGGCCCAGCTTCTATTACATCCTTCTCTTCAAGCACTTGCTCTGCACACTTGATCCCTCTGCCTTTTCATGCAGCCCCTAGACTTTCAAACCGCCTCCCCTTCATTAATGCTGCCACCTGCCTGGAGTGCCCTTTCTCCAGCTCTATCTGCAAAATCCTGTGAATCTCTCAATGATCAGCCTAAGAAGGCCCCTCTAGTGGCCCCAAGCAGACTGAAGGCCTCCTACTGCTCTCTCTCCTGCTGAGGATCCCAGCACCTGCACCACTCACAGCAAGTGCTCCTTAAATCCATGTTCAATTTTAACATCTCCAAAGCAGAGGGTCTTATTCCCCAGCTCTTGCTGCACCAGCCACATCTGAAGTGCCTGCACCAAGTGACAACTCAGCACATGTGGGGCTGGCTGGTCCAGAATAGCTCAGCTAATGCTCACAGGATTAACCAAAACTGGGAGGTACACCCACCCCTATGCATGATGGCCCAGCAGAAAGGTCCCAAGGAAACCTAGGAGCAACCTGCCTTGTTCTGCACTATGCCGTATTTTAATGAGGCTGTGTTACTAAAGGAAAAACTCTGAAGTTTCCATTCTTCATTGAAACAGCAAAAGCTGGAACCAAACAGAAGGGTCTTTATTTCCTATAAAAAGAAGAGAGAGTTTTACTGGTTGTTTTAAAAGCAAGCAACAATACGATGTTCAGTGTGCATATTCCTGCAGAAGTTGTTCTTGAATTCTAGCAGGGAAGCCCATTTTCTAGCATGGTTCATCTCTTCTCTTTTTATTTTTCAGGCTCATTCTTCTTATATTTGATGAAAGAGAAACTCAATAATGAGGGTCTTACCTCTGGAACATCTTTAAACCAAGCTAGCCTGTGCTGACATGGGCCAAAATCTTTGTAAGCTCCTTACAGGGGCCTTGAGAAACAAAATTTTAGATTTGCAAGGGATCTTGGAGGTCCTCTGATCTTCCACAGGCAAGACTAGGGGTTTTCAAACTCGACCTCACATTAGAACCATCTAGGATACGAAGTTCCTAAAAACAATCTTGATGTTCAGAAAACACACCAGCCAATTAAACCCCAGTTGCTGAGGGTGAGACTCCAGTATCAGTAGTTTTAAGATTCCCCCAGGTGATTCCACAGTGTGCCGGGTTTGAGAGCCAGTGCTCTAGTGCAGGGTTACTAAACTGTGACCCACAGGCCAAATCTGCCCCCACCACCTGTTTGTAAATAATGTTCTACTGGCACACAGCAAAGCCCATTTGTTTCCATACCACCCATGGCTGTGTTCATACCATGATGGCAAAGTTGAATAGGTGCAGCAGAGATCACACTGCCAGCAAAGCCAAAAATACACTATTGAGCCCTTTACAGAAAACACCTGCCAACTCCTGGTCTAGTACAACTCTCTACCATGCGTAAGAACCTCCTCTGTGATGCCGCCCATGAGTGGTCCCCCGTGAACTCTGCTTGAACCATCCCAACCCCCCAGTGAAGGGGTTCCCACCACCTCTCAAGGCAGCCCCTCTACTTTCTCACGGCTGTCTTCTCCAGACTTCTGGCTGATAATGAGTTCACTGTTCATTTCCCATCAACCCACGCATCACCCTCCAGAGCCCCCAGAATGGTCAATCCCTTCCCCATGGACAGGCCCTCAGATGAGAAAGGCAGCAGGTCCCCGCCCACTCCCCTCATGATGGGCCCACCCTCTCTCTGCCATGGTTTTACATCTGAGGGGGTCTCTGAAGCCTTGAGTGAGCCCCAAGACCAGCAGGTGGATTCTACAGCCACTTCCCTGTACCCCCTCTCTGGGTCAGACCTTTCCTACAGACTCATTATTTTCCACCAGAATCAGCTCTTTTTTTCCTTTTCATTAAATATAAGGAAAAATCTCTTTGACAGAAGCATTTGTCCACATGTCATCAAATGTGGGCTGGTGGCACACAGGAGAAAGGATGTGTGGATTCATCTGTCAGGGCTCAGAATGACAGCTCCCGCTAGGCACAGTGTGGTCAACAGAGCCTGGGAACCTGGACTCTGCTTTCCAGAGGCCACGTGCCCTGGGCCCTCCTGTTTTCTCTGCAGGCCTCACTTTTTCCAGTTGCTTTTGGAGACGCTACTGCTGCATAGTCTTTAGGAGCCTGAGGGGTCTGCCCCAAGCATAAGTGCGCTCTGCAAAGACTCATTGCATGGTGACAGATGACAGAGCACCTCCTCCCAGGTTTGGGGCCATTTAAGTGTATCTGACCCTCTGTAGCTTCAAAAGAGAGAATGGAAGAAGGGGGAGATATGAGAGAGAAGGGGAGAGGGGAGGAGAGGGGAAGGAAACGAAAGGACAAAACCTCTAGAAAAATATTTTGCTCTTTGATTTGTATGCTGAGTAAATATGTAGTAAGTAGGAAGAGAAGGAAGTCAGCTGTGTCCCTAGGAGTTTTATTTTTCCCTCCTGGATCTTGGTGAAAGGCCAGAAGAGGACAGCGGGAATGACATTCCATCCTGCAGGAGCCTCTGGTCACGGGAGTGGTGAGGCCACCCTGGTAGCCGAGCATGGTGAGCAATCCCAGACACCCCTGCAGAAGAGGCTGCTGTGGCCAGGAACCTGCTCCTGGTCCCCTGTGACCACGGGGCCCTTTAAGTGGCCAAGGGAGTACACCTGAACAGTGCTGAAGAATTGTTAACACCTCCCTGTCCTTCCTTCACTGCAACCTGGCCAGGGCTTAGGAGACCAGTACAGGAGCAGCGCTGCTCTAATGGGGACAACTGGACCATTTCCATCACACCCTAACGGTGCCCACAGGGACATGATGAAGCAGCTCTATTCCCACGGTATTTGGAGGGGAGGACATAACCTCCTCCCTCACCTTTTGTCTTGGAGAGGGAACGAGAGCTGCAAGGACTAGACTGCAGTTTTCCTGACTCTCGGTTCACATTTTCTTCTACATCACACCCAAATTTCCATTTCAACAATGACCAAGAGATTACAATGAGCTGGATTGGGGCAGAAACACCAAAATCACGCCATCTATATCCATTCAAATCAAGACACATTTAACCCAGGAGTCTCCTTACACTTACCTTTGCTACTGAGAGGTCAATTGGTTTTGATGCTGTCTGCAACTTGAGCACTGATGGGACTGGCGACAGGATGACCTCTTCCCTTATCAACTCATCCTCCACATCCTCTGAAAGAAAACCATGGCCATGTGAGCCCTTCGTTATGACTCACGGAGAACAGAACATGAAGTCACTGAACACCACAGACATTGCTAAGTTTGTAGAAGGTTTGAGTGAAAGGAGGGTTCCTCCCCGCATTCATTCACCCCAGCTCTGTTCTGAAGTTCCCAGACCCTTAGCGGAAGGAAAGCAACCAGATCAAGAGAGTCCATGCTCCTTGTCACAACCCTGCTCTGTTCATACCACGAGGATGTTGCCGAGTGAGACTTAGCTACTGGTCCACTAGAAAGTTCCACGCATGGACATAGAGTGGAACAAGTGCCTGGGTCCTAAGCCATCGAACCAGGACCAGGAAAGCCTAGCTCAGACACATTTCTTACAAAAGGTGGGCATGACTCGAAAGATCATTCCCCCAAGGACAAAGGTGAAGAGGACAGGACTGGGAAAGAAAATGGAACCATTGCTGATAAAATAATTATTGCATATAATCACTATTGTAACTTGCATTTATTGACTGCTTGAATTTGATCACCTTCTTCCACAACAGCCTTATGAGAAAGTAATTATCATTACCCCCACTTATAGATGAGGAAACTGAGGCTTAGAGGAGTTAAGTAACTGGCCCCAAATCAATCAAATGGAAAGTGGCAGAGAGAGTGACTCCTAGTAACTCTACCATCCCACTGTCCTGGACCTCCAGCAGGGACCGTAAGCCATATTCCAGATATTGTTTTCTCATAGTGGGACAACTGAGGCCTAGAGAGGGTCCCAGCTGTGACTTCCCCGTTAGCTAAGGCCCCCTTGTCATTACACCTGCTGCCGCTGCATTCACCAGAACACAGTGATAAAGGACCCAGGGAGAAACAATGCCAAGGCAATGGTGCCGGCAAGGCTGAGCAGAGTGAACTCCAGAGGGTAGCTGAGGGCTTGGCTCTGTGAATCCAGCTCCCTAGAGGGGCCTGCCAGAGTGGGCCTGTGTGGGCGGGGGTGGTATCAAAGGCCACCATTCCCAGGACACACAGCTTATATCTTATGCTACAGCCTCCTTTCTCCCCAGGGCGACCCAGCCACAGCACAAGGGGAACTCCTAGAGACTCAGGCCACTGAACAAGCACATAGATTCTACCACTGGGCTGGGGAATAAAGTCTGGAATTTAAATATGAACCTGAACTTAGATGAGAATGCTTCTGATATGGTTTGGCTCTGTGTCCCCACCCAAATTTCATTTTGTAACTCCCATAATTCCCATGTGCTGTGCGAGGGACCCAGTGAGAGATAACCGAATCATGGGAGTGGGTCTTTCCTGTGCCGTTCTCATGATAGTGAATAAGTCTCACAACATCTGATGGCTTTAAAAAACAGGAGTTTGCCTGCACAAGCTCTCTTTGCCTGCTGCCATCCACATAAGATGTGACTTGCTCCTCCTTGCCTTCTGCCATGATTGTGAGGCCTCCCCAGCCATGTGCAATTTAAAGTCCAATAAACTTTCTTTTGTAAATTGCCCAGTCTCAGGAGTATCTTTATCAGCAGCATGAAAACAGACTAATACAGTAAATTGGTACCAGTAAAGTGGGGCGCTGCTGAAAAGATATCCGAAAATGTGGAAGTGACTTTGAAACTGAGTAACAGGCAGAAGCTGGAACAGTTTGGAGGGCTCAGAAGAAGACAGGAAAATGTGGGAAAGTTTGAAACTTCCTAGAGACATGTTGAATGGCTTTGACAAAAATGCGGATAGTAGTATGAACAATAAGGTCTCAGATGGAGAGGGGGAACTTGTTGGGAATTGGAGCAAAGGTGACTCTTGTTGTGTTCTAGCAGAGATTGGCAGCATTTTGCCTCTGCCCTAGAGATTTGCAGAACTTTAAACTTGAGAGAGATGATTTAGGGTATCTGGTGGAAGAAATTTCTAAGCAGCAAAGCATTCAAGAGGCGACTTGAGTGCTGTTAAAGGCATCCAGTTTTATAAGGGAAACAAAGCATAAAAGCTCAGAAAACTAGCAACAGAAAAGAAATGTAATAGAAAAGAAAACCCCATTTTCTGAAGAGAAATTCAAGCTGGCTGCAGAAATTTGCATAAGTAGCCAGAAGCCAAATGTTAATCCACAAGACAATGGGGAAAACGTCTCCAGGGCATGTCAGAGGTCTTCATGGCACGCCCTCCCATCACAGACCCGGAGGCCTAGGAGGAAAAAATGGTCTCATGGGCTGGGCCCAGGGTCCCTGTGCTGTGTACAGCATAAGGACTTGGTGCCCTACATCCCAGCCACTCTAGTGATGACTAAAAGGGGCCAATGTACAGCTCAGGCTGTGGCTTCAAAGGTGCAAGGCCTAAGCTTTGGCAGCTACCATGTGGTGTTGAGCCTGCAGGTGCACAGAAGTCAAGAATTGAGGTTTGGGAACCTCCGCCTAGATTTCAGAGGATGTATGGAAACACCTGGATGTCCAGGCAGAAGTTTGCTACAGGGGCGGGGCCCTCATGGAGAACCTCTGCTAGGGCAGTGCAGAAAGGAAATGTGGGGATGGAGGCTCCACAAAGAATCCCTACGGGGGCACCACCTAGTGGAGCTGTGAGAAGAGGGCTACTGTCCTCCAGACCCCAGAATGGTAGATTCACCAACAGCTTGCACCATGTGCCTGGAAAAGCCACAGACACTCAACACCAGCCCATGAAAGCAACTGGGAGGGAGGCCGTATCCTGCAAAGCCACAGGGGCAGAGCTGCCCAAGACCATGGGAACCCACCTCTTGCATCAGCATGACCTAGATGTGAGACATGGAGTCAAAGGAGATCACTTTGGAGCTTTAAGATTTGACTGCCCTGCTGGATTTTGGACTTGCGTAGGGCCTGGGCCCCTTTGTTTTGGCCAATTTCTCCCATTTGGAACAGCTGCATTTTCCCACTGCCTGTACCCCCATTGTATCTAGGAAGTAACTAACTTGCTTTTGATTTTACTGGCTAATAGGTGGAAGGGACTTGCCTTGTCTCAAATGAGACTTTAAACTGTGGACTTTTAGGTTAATGCTGAAATGAGTTAAGACTTTGGGGGACTGTTGGGAAGGCATGATTGGTTTTGAAATGTGAAGACATGAGATTTGGGAGGGGCTAGGGGCAGAATGATATGGCTTGGCTCTGTGTCCCCACCCAAATCTCATCTTGTAGCTCCCATAATTCCCACATGTTGTGGGAAGGACACTGTGGGAGATAACCGAATCATGGAGGTGGCTCTTCCCTGTGCTGGTCTTGTGATAGTGAGTAAGTCTCATGACATATGATGGCTTTTAAAAACAGAAGCTTGCCTACACAGGCTCTCTCTTTGCCTGCCACCATCCACATAAGATGTGACTTGCTCCTCCTTGCCTTCCACCATGATTGTGAGGCTTCCCCAGCAACGTGGAACTGTGAGTTCTCTATTAAACTTGTTTCCTTTGAAAATTGCCCAATCTCGGGTATGTTTTTATCAGCAGCGTGAAAATGGACTAATACAATTTCTTAGTTAGGGTCTCTGAAAAGCTACCCTATGACCATGGCCTTACATAAATAACCTAAAACAAAGATCAGATGTCTACCCAGCAACAAGAATGGGACTTAAAAACATGGTGCTGGGTAGAGAAAGTAAGAAACCAAATGAGATATATAACACAATGCTATCTATGTCAAGTAAAAATGATGCATACAAAACAGTATAGATTTTGCAAGAACATACACAAGAAAAAGATATAGATTAAGCATAAGAGAATGGTTGCTTATGGGAAAGGAAGGTAATAAGAGTATAAGGGGTAGGGCTAAAGATAAATAAGGAAAGAAAGTTAAGAGGGAGAAAGGGAAGGAGAGAGGGAAATGTAAAAGGGAGGGAAGGGGGCCAGGCACGGTGGCTCATGCCTGTAATCCCAACACTTTGGGAGGCCAAGGTGGGTGGATCACCTGAGGTCGAGTTTAAGAGCAGCCTGGCCAACATGGCGAAACCCCATCTCTACTAAAAATACAAAAATTAGCCAGGTGTGGTGGCACGGGCCTGTAATCCCAGTTACTCAGGAGGCTGAGGCCTGAGAATCACTTGAACCCAGGAAACAGAGGGCGGAGGGTGCAGTAAGCTGAGATTACACCACTGCACTCCAGCCTGGGCAACAGAGCAAGACTCCATCTCAAAAAAAAGGGTGGGAAGGAAGAAAGGGAAGAATACTGATAGGCAGGCTTTGCAAAGACCAACATTGAGAATGTTCTCTGGAGGAAAAGAGATGTGTGATTAATTCCACCTTAGACATCTGAGGCCCCAGACAAAGGGGCAGGATAACCTGAGTGATTCCAGATTACTGGAGGACTGACCCTGAAGGGCTTCTTGCAATGCCTTGAGCCAGATTGTTTCCTGGAGGCACAAAGTGACAGTATTTAAGCCTATTTAGAGGTTTCTATTTAGTCTGAGGTTGTCAGGGAGGGATCCAGGCCTGAAACACGCTCTGCCTGGGTCCCATGAAGTAAATCTGGGAATGAAGGCTGGGGGCCCAGGAAAAGCAGACGCCAATGGAGCATAGGCCAGAGTAAGCCCCTTGGAAAAGGCAAACTCCTTTGGCTTCTACAGGGAGGAATTGGCCCAAGTGCAGGGAGTTGGTTTAGGACCATATAGCAGGCCTCGGGCCCAGACGTGGTGGGAATGCCATGCAAGGGAAAAACAAAACACTCCAGAACGACATGTTGGCCAGGAAGACAAAGCCATCTGTAAATGTCAGTGGTTTGAGAATGCTATTTCTAAGGTCCTGGTTTAAATGTCGAATTGAAAAGAAGCAAGGGGTTTTGTTTCCCATACTATTTTATGTGCTTTTTGTAGGATACATGTACGTATGTATAAAGTAATTGGATTTTATTTCCATAGGGAGTCAAAGATACCAAGGGGAATGATGTTCATAGGAAGATTCCATAGGGAGAATGGGCCACACAGCTTTTTTCTGGGAGCCTGTGCAGAATTTCCTACTGACCACAAGATATCTTCTGGAAGTGCCCCAACACCAGAAACTCAGAACCCTTCCTGGCTTCAGTTTCAATAAAAGACCCCATCTCTCCTCTACCCTTCTACCAGAGCCCCAGGCTGAAACCTCCACCCTCTCTCACCCACCATGCCGGTCCAGCCTCTGGATCACTCTGCCTCCAGAATGTCTCATATCCTGCCCCCCTGTTGCCTTTCTCTCTCCACTGTTACAGGAATATGTCCTTATCTTTCTATTTGCTCAGCAAGTGCATTCTTTAGCACCCATGATGGACTAGGGATGATGTGGGACAGAGGTAAGAGATGACTAAGGCCCCACCCCTTCATTCAAGCAGCTGCCTGCCAAGGGAGAGATAGAGCCCCCTGAAAAATTACAACATAACCTAGTAAGTGCTGAAAAAGGAACGAGTGCAAGGGTTTTCAGAGCAGAGAGGGAGGCAATTAATTCTGCTATAAATGCTCAGGGAAACTTCCTATAACAGGTGAAATTCGGGCAGGTCCTGAAATACCCATTGGATTTCCCAGGTAAGAGGGGTCTCATTACCTCTTCTCTGGACTATGCCAAGAGCCCCTCACCAGTATCCCAACATCTAAGCTTGTATCCCTAAAGTCTATTCTACACCTAAGTCCAGATATAGCCCCCAAATGCGCAGCCCTAGGTATCTCACTAGCACAGAATCTCTGCCCAGTGACTTGCTGTCCAGCTCTTTAGCACAGCACTCAAAATCATCTTGCCCAGCCCAGTCTTCATTTCAGCCTCATCTCACACTGACCCCCACATCCTCCCCAACAGGGCCATTACCTCCAACCAATCTTTCTCATATATACACCAGGCATTTGCCCATGTGGCTCCTTCCACATCGCTATTTGACAAGACCTTGCCCATTCTTCAGAGTCCAGACTAAATACCTACACACTATGGAAGCTTCCAGAACTGATATGGTTTGGCTGTGTCCCCACCCAAATCTCATCTTGAATGGTAGTTCCCATCATCCCCACATGTCATAGGAGGGAACTGATGGGAGGTAATTGAATCATGGGGGCGGTTACCCTCATGCTATTCTTGTAATACTGAGTTCTCATGAGATTTGATGGTTTTATAAGGGACTTTTCCCCCTTTTGCTGGGGACTTCTCCTTCCTGCCACCATGTGAAGAAGGACATGTTTGCTTCCCCTTCTGCCACGATTGTAAGTTTCCTGAGGCCTCCCCAGCCATGCTGAACTGTGAGTCAATTAAACCTCTTTCCTTTAAAAATTACTCAGTTTCTGGTATGTCTTTATTAGCAGCATGAGAATACACTAATACAGAAACCCATCACAGAACCTGGCTTATTAAAGCACTTAAGCACTGCTGGGCATCTGCTTCATGTGTTGCTATGGGAAGATACCTCTCTTCCTTTGTCCTACCCACCCCACCCTCCAAAAAGGCAAGGCCACCTTTTATTCACCTTGGTCTGCCTTCTACCGAGCCTTGCATATGCGCTGGCAGGTAATTGCTGACAAGAGTTTACTGAATCGAACCAAAGTAAAATGAACTGGGGTGGAGGAGGAGTGTTGTTCCTCTAACCAAATTTGATTTTTGTTTCTGAACTGCTCAACCCCCAACCCCCTGGCCCCCACAAGACTTCTCCTTCCTTTCCTTTCATGAACTCTCTCCGTGACTGGGTTCCATGGCCTCCTATCCTTCACCTTCTTCTCCTTTCCTAAATCATTAGCTGAGCCATTAGCAAAGAGGGGTCGGCCTCCCTCCAGAAAACATGCACACACACACTTCAAACAGCTGCTTCTGAGAATTGCTAACAGCCTTCCTTCCAGTAGAAGTTCTCTGGGTTCTGAAGACCAGGAACCGCTTTTCTTGTGTCCAAACACAAGCAGCTTTCACTGCAAAATCTTAAAGTGCAGTGGTGCACAAAAAGGGTTTGGATGCCAGCACCTCCTGACTCCATGCTGTACTCTGCACAGCCATGCACAGACATCTACCCCATCTGGGGAGCTCTGAGGATCTGCTACTTCTAGGATCAGTTAGGCAGAGTAAACAAACCCCCACCTCCACCTCCGCAGCTCAGAGGCCTGCACCTTTCTTTCAATCTCATCAAAGCAAACTGTCAGACTACACCTCTCACACAAGAGAGTTCTAAATAGGGGCACTGCTTTCTTCCTTCAGTTTAAAAGGGAGAGTTCAAAAGGGAGATGAAGAGCATGTGAACAGCTCTTGTCTGCCCAAATGGTGCAACAGGTAAACTGTTGGCTCCAGAAAAGGAGCAAATGTTGGCAGCACTCAAGCCTCATCCTCTCACGGCCAGTCCTTGGTCTCAACATCCGCAGTCTCTAGCTGCTTCTGCAAAACCCTGCAAATGCATGTCTTTGGAGAGTAGGGAATTACAGAAAGAGAGAGAAAAAAAGTTTGCTTCAAAACTAAAGAGTGGAAGGAAATGTGCTCTATATTGATCTTAGAGAGCAGTTACACAGATGTACACAGAAGTGAAGATGCAGACCAGGGCACTTAAGGTTGTACACTTAATGCCTTCACTGTTTGTGTCTTATGCCTCCATAATACACTGATAAACTTTTAAAAAGGACGGGCCTTCCCAGCCAGAGCTATACTGATACTTTGAATGAGAACTGTTTTCTGGAGACCTTAGTTAACTTACTAAGAGGCCATTACTGAATGGCCCTAAAAAAATACCAAAAGCAGAAAGAGCTTCTCTGGCCCCACAGTGTAGATCCAGAAATGACTGGTCTTCTTACTAGGATGTCCCCAGGAGAGAAGGGCAAGCAGTAGAAGACATCAATCAGAGAGAGAGTAGTCTACTCTACTCACTTGACCAGCCCCACTCGCTGAGGTCAGGTGGAAGGAAAGGGGCCCCCGACCACCCATCTCCCAGACAGAGCCAACGAGGACCCCTTGGGCCCTGATGGGCACAGCACAGAGGCACCCGCTGCACCTACCGAGCCGCAGGGCACCCAGCTCACCATCCACCTTGTCAGACGGCAGCAACTGATTTTTCCTGGAAAATAGAAAATATCAATGTACCAGAGGAGACTGACAGAGAAATGTAAACGGCAGAGAAGACTGTTAAGAGCGATGGATAGGCATTCAGGAGACAAGTCTCTCTAGTCTTGGCCTTGCCTCTGTGTGCCTTGAATACTCCCCCTCTCTCAGCCACAGGTTCCACATGGGATGGGACCAAATAGCCCCCATGATGCTTGTCGATTCTGTGTTCTCACAAAGAGACTCATACACCAGCCAATACAGGATGGTCAGCTCTGTAGGTTGGCGTTTGCCAAGCACTGCATGTAGGCTATCTCGCCAATTTCACTGCAATACTTCTGGGAAACACACACACACACACACACACACACACACAAATCGAGTTCTTGTCATCATTGCCCAGAATTTGTTCATCTCATCTCTATGTTTTTTGTTTGTTTGTTTCCTCTCTCCTAGCTTTCTTGTAAAGCCATCAGCAGCTATCTATAAGAAACCTCTGACATGCACCAAAGTGTTTAAAGGAACCCTCCTGTATCTTCCTGTTACTTAAAACATTGCCCTGTGATTCTGATTTGTAAATTCAGGTATGTGCACACAGAGCTTTCTTAAAAGGGTCCACCTTTTAAGGGTGGACCCTTTGAGGGAGCATTTTCTAAAGCTCCCTTTAGATTTTTCTGTTCTCCAGCATACATTGACCTGAACTAAAGTAAAATCATTTCTAAACAGAATGTATTAAAAATAACAATATTACATCACTCTCTGAAAACCCATTTACTATGTTAAAAAGTGACAGCTCTTTTGAGTGTGGCATTGAAATATATTTTCCTTCAACATCCTTGCAGGGTAAGATATGATTGAAGTAACAATCGTAATCTTGCCCTGGTGCACTCCATTGAATTGGTTTCCTCCTGAAGATGTATGAAGGGGCGTGAATGGAAGAGCTAGAGGACGCACAGTACCAAATCTCTGAGTACACACTTCTTCAGACTCCAGGTTTCTTTCACTGGCGCTAGAACACAGAACTCCCTCACCCTCCCTCCCAGGCAGTCCTCATCCTCCATGTGTCCTCCTCAACTCAGTCAAGTCATTTGCCTTAATTCAAAACCACAAAACCCCTCTGCCCAACACCACCAGGATTCTACAGGCATTCCTGTGGGGACTGGTGGAAGAATGAGCTGGAAAGAGGAGTTAAGGCATAGAGGGGTGGTTAGAGGGATGTGGAAGGGGCAGTCGACACTGAGTTTGTGTCAGAGCACCCCCACCCATGAAGAACTGCACTTCCATCAGAAGCCTCTTCCAGCCACACTTCTCCCACCTCCGCCTGCTCTGCAACAAAGGGCTGAGGACCTCGGTTCTACCCTGCCTATCCCGTCTGTCACTGTTTCATCTGGAGATGAAGGCAAGGCATCCTCCCCTTGCTGTGCCTCAGTGTCCCTTTCTGAAAATCAAGGACTAAGGCATTGGTACTAAGCCTCTAAAATCCTCCTTGAACCATTTCAAGCAGGGAACAGCAGCAGCAAAGACATCTCTCCAACATCCTGCATCCAATAACATCTCTCTTGAACCCCCACCTCTGCTCTCTGCCTCTTCACCTCTCACCTAGATTATTTTAATAGGCTCCGAACTGGTTTCCCGACCCTTAGTGTCACCCACCCTTGGCCCCTGACATCTTTATATGGCTGCCAAAGTCATCTTCCTAGAAAGCAAATCTGACCACGACACTGAAGCCTGGCTGAAATTCTTCAAAGAGTCCCCATCATCACCATCAATAATAACAATAATCACATGTATTAAAATAACAGCAAGAATGCCAATACATTCCTAAAGGCTCCCTTGACCGTTCCACACACTGTGCTAAGTGCTTTGCAAGCCTCAAAAGTCATCTGCTTCTCAGAACAGGTTTATGAAGCACTTATTTCACTGAGCCTCAAAGATGTTTAGTAATTTTCCTAGGGTTACACAGCAAGTAACCCTATCCCGTGGCAGCACAGGAATTTAAACCCAGGCGATAACTCCAAAGACAAGGGCAATAACTACATTTACTGCTTCCTTATAAAAATAAAATCCAGGCCCATGAAGGTATCCTGCAAGGCTCTCCATGATCTGGCCACCTACTGCCCAGCCTCGTCTCACTCTGGGCCATCACACTCTGCCTGCATTTCCTCCAAGCTGAACGTCTCAGCTCATGTCTCTATATCTTTTCATAAGCTGCTCATTCCATCTAGAATACTCTGGCAAACAAACTCACATTAATCCTCTAAAGCCCAAGTGGAACATCAGCTTCTTCTCAGCTCCAAAGAACACATTCATTCATTTATTCACTCACTCACCCAGCACACATGTGAGGCTATCTGGCAGGCCTACCTCACTGCCCAGAAGAAACACATTACACAGATACGTAAAATGAACAGACGCTAAATGCAATGTCACGTGGTGTCATAGGCTGAATAACGGCCCTCAATTATATCCACATCCTAATCCCTGAATGTTACTTTACACGGCAAAAGAGATTCTGCAAATAAGAATAAGTGAAGGATCTTTAGACAAGGAAATTATCCTATATTACCTAAATGGGACCAATGTAATTATAAGAATCCTTATCATAAAGAGGTAAAGGGAGAAGAGAAGGCGATGTGAACATGGAAGCAGAGATTGGAGTGATTTACTTTGCAGACAGGAAGGAGCTACAAGCCAAGGAATCCAGGTGGGTACTAGAAGGTGAAAAGGGCAAGGAAACAAATTCTCCCCTGGATCCTCAAGAAACAACCAGCCCTTTCAACACCTTGACTTTAGCTCAGTGGAAATTCAGCCCTCCAGAACTATGAGATAATAAATTCATGTTGTTTGAAGCCACTTTGTGGTAATTTGTTATGGCAGCAATGGTAAACTAATACACATGGTAACAGTTATAAGCAAGGAAGAAGAAACGACTGCAGTATTCTCTTGGTCTCCTCTGGATCCCAGGTGTCCAGCATGTAGCCAGTGCTCCATAAATGGGTGCTCAATGCCAGATGATTCTCACAGAAGTTAGGTGGCTTACACAAGGTCACACAACTTAGAAGTGCCAGAGTCAGGATTCAAACCCAGGCTGCTGGCTTCAAATGCTCTACTTTGGTCTTGCCTCTATTTTCCACATCCTTCCCCTGCTCAGAAACTTCCATGGCTTCCTGCAGACCGCAGGACAAGGGCCAAATCTCCCAAGTGGTTCCCTTGGCTCCTGAGGGTAGGCAGGTGGCCATGAGCCCGCTGAGATGGTGGGAATGTTTCCACTGGGTAGGGTACAGCTTGGCCTCTCTCTCTGGTCATGGGACTTCCACCCAGAGGGCCATCCATCAGCACAAGAGCCCAGCTCAGATGCTTTGTGCCGGGTTCCCATAGATCTCATCACCAGAGGAGACTTCAATTATGCTTCCACATAGAGAATGTACTTATTGTTCCTTTCATGTGTCTCTTTGTGGCATAAGCTTTACAAAGTTTAAAAGGTCAGTTTAAAAGCATGTTCTTGCCTTTGAGTGAAAACTATTCTGAACAACAATGACAAAAAGATAAATCAAGGGACTCAAAACACTTTTTCAAAGTGTGATTGTGCTGATAACCCGGAGACATGTATCAAAGCATGCAACTAATAAATTCATGGGGGCCAAGTGGCAGAACTCGGCTCGACCCTCTGCTAAGGCCTCCACCTCCCACCACAGGTCCTCTCATGCCCCCCAGAGAGAGGCATGAGCTGGATTACTGCTGGTGTTCTGGGCTCCATGGGACCAGGACTCAATCTCTGAATAACTGAATCCTTGGCTTGGTGGAAAGAGCCACTCTCACATAATAACAGAGAAGAAGCAAGGTGTGGTGGCTCATGCCTATAGTCCCAGCATTCTGGGAGGTGGAGGCGGGATGATCACTTGAGGCCAGCCTGGGCAACATATCAAGACCCTCTCTCCACAAAAAATAAATAAATTAGTTGAGCGTGGTGTCACGCACCTGTAATCCCAGCTACTCAGGAGGCTGAAATGGGAGGATCGCTGAAGCCCAGGAGTTTAAGGCTGCAGTGAGCTATGATCACGCAAGCCACTACCTCTAAAAAATAAAAATAAAAATAAATAGCAAAAAAATAAAAACTGAGAAGAGGAGATGCTTATTCCTCTGTGTTTGTTACTAGATTCTTGGCTAAATTAGTTATGGGCTCTAAAAGAAAGGCATCTCATGAAAATAAAGATACTGATCACTTACTGCTATGGTTTGAATATCTGACCCCTCTAAAACTCATGTTGAAATTTAATCCCCAGTGTGGCCGTATTCAGAGGTGGGGCATTCAGGAGATGATTGAGTCATGAGTGCTTTGCCCTCATGAATGGATTAATGGGATCATAAATTAACAAGTTGTTATGGGAGTGGGATTGGTGGCTTTCTAAGAAGAGGAAGACAGATCTGAATTAGCACACTCAGCCTCCCCATCATGTGATGCCTTGAGCTACCTCAGCACTCTGCAGAGAGCCCCCACTAGCAAGAAGGCCCTCATTAGATGTGACCTCCCATCCTCGGACTTTCCAACCTCCAGAACTGTAGGACACAAATTTTGTTTCCTTACAAACTACTCAGTTTCAGGTTTTCTGTTATATGCTACAGAAAACAGACTAAGACATTTGCTATATATTTGATGAAATATCAGAACCCAGTGTCAGTGGAGTTCAAATTGACCCCATTTATATGGCACAAGAATCTAGAATATAAGAAATTAACATAAATTTTTCCCAAGTCAGTGATACCCCAGCACACCTAACCAAAGCAATGTAAAATTATCTGGCAGAGCATTCCTACAAACCAGTTCAAACAAGATTCCCTAGAAGAGAGAAGTTTTTTGTTTTTTTATTTGTTTTTTTAAGTCCTACTAAAATATGCTCAAAACAAAAAACTCTTAAACACATGAGAAATGATGTACCATGTACCATGAGTGAAAGCCAACAGACACAGCAAATAGGACTCCCAAAGACTCAAGATGGAGCAAAAATCTCAGAGAGGCTGTAAATTAGAAAGATTAGAGAAACTTTTTAAAAACAGGAATGGAAATCATAAGAAAAGAGCTAGACATTATGAAAAAAGAATGGGCAGTTTTGAAGAGTAAATGCAGTCATTGAAATAATGGGCATATAACAATGGTGATAGATGATACATTAAATATTGAAAAAAATTCATGAGTCTGCTACTGAAGGAGGAAGGAATGAAGGGAAAGAAGGAAGAAGGTGGGGGGAGTGCAAGGAAAAGAGAAAGAAGATGGACAAGCTCTTTTCTACAGAATACCGTCAATGAATGTAGAAGGAATTATAAAATTAGAAAATCATCATTTTACACACTCCAATGTAATCATTTATATGGGAAAGGGTCATCAGTAGATGCCAATACAACTGGATGGAAGGTTTTTGAGGAACAGGATATTCATATGGTCTAAAACTTTCAGATTACTTATTAATTGCAAAAGGGAAAGTTATCTTTACAATGATAGACAGAGTGACATACACCACGTTAACAGAGTGATCCAACTTAGCATCATCAAAATAAAACAAACTGACATTAATGTGGTCCTGATGTGATGTAACAGGAAATATACAACATCACTTATGTATTGTCCCTGCCAAAAAAAAAATGCTTAATGTAAACCTAATAATGAAACAAACCAACAAATCTAGAATATGGGTGTTCTTAGGACAAGCCCATTCTCTTCATGAAAAACTAAAACTGAGATTAAAATAGACTAGAGGCTGGGCACAGTGGCTCACACCTGTAATCTCAGCCCTTTGGGAGGCCAAGGTGGGCCGACTGCTTGAGCCCAGAAGTCGGAGAACAGTCTGGGCAACATAGTGATACCCCATCCCTGCAAAAAAAAAAAAAATTCAAAAATTAGCCAAGTGTAGTGGTGCATGCCTGTAGTCCTAGCTGCTCGGGAGGCTTCAGGTGGGAGGATCACTGGAGCCTGGGAAGTCAAGACTGCAGTGAGCTGTGGTCATGCCACTGCACTCCAGCCTAGCAAGAGTGAAACCTTGTCTGAAAATAAATAAATAAATAAATAAATAAAATAGACAGGCACGTCAACCAAGACAATGGGCAAACCTCGAATGGATCCTGGATTGAAAAAAAATAAAGCCTAAAAGAATATCTGGGGAACACTTGAGAAAGATTTGATTATGGGCTACATGTCAGATAATGTTATTGAATCAATATGAAATTTATTGGGCCAGGTACAGTAGTTCACACCTGTAATCCCAACACTTTAGGAGGCTGAGGCAGGAGGATCACTTGAGCCCAGGAGTTTGAGGCCAGCCTGGGCAACATGGCAAAACCCTGTCTCTACTAAAAATACAAAAATTACCCAGGCTTGGTGGTGTGAGCCTGTAGTCCCATCTACAGGACTGTGGGAGGATCCCTTGAATCTGGGAAACGGAGGTGACAGTGAGCCAAGATCACACCACTGCACTCCAGTCTGGGTGTCAGAGCAAGACTCTGTCTCAAAAGAAAAAAAAAAAAGAAAGAAAGAAAGAAAGAAATTTTGTGGGTACTGTGGTTGTGGAGGAAAATGTTCTTGCCCTTAGGAGACGCATGCTGAAATATTTACAAGTGAAATGTCAGGATATCTGTATTTTACTTTAGAATGAATCATCAGAAAAATACGTGTATATATAAATACGATTAATATATATTGGGGAGGAGGAGATGAGAGAAAGAGAGAGAAAGAACAAATGTGACAAAATCATACCAATTGCTGAATTTAAGTGAAAAGTCTACAGATATTCATTGTACTCTTCTTTCAAGCTTTTTACAGGTTTGAACTTCCTTAAAATTTGGAAAAATATTTTGGTAAACATAAACAGTAGATTAGTGAAGACATCATTAACTACTAAGAGCTATCAGATGACATTACTCAGAATATCACCATCAGGAGAGAGATAAACTGCACGAAGGAGCAAATAAATAAGAGAAATGGAGGAAAAACTTCTAAAGTCCAACATACATATAAAAGAAGCTCCAGAATGAAAGAATAAAGAGAATTTAGGAAGGGAAATACCTGAAAAGGTAATTGCTAAGAACTTTCCAGACATGCATTCTCATAGAAACATGAGATTCAAATGGACATGTAAAAATAAATGCATACCTAGACATGTCATTTTAAAACTACTGGAATACAAAAGACAATGAGAAAAATCTTAGACAAAAGGCAGATTACCTATAAACAGTTACAGCAGACTTCTCAATAGCAATGACAAGGGCATAAGACAATAAAATAACATCTTCAAAGCTGAAAGAAAAAAACTGTCAACTTTGAAATTCCCAACTAAAACATCACTAAAAGTAAGAACAAAATGAAGACATTTTCAGTCAAGGATTAAAACAGTTTAGTATCACAGACCTTCACTGAATGAACGATCAAGGACTCATATCAGGAAGAAAAGAAATCGGCAAGCATTTAGATAAACCTAAATGAGAACCGACAATAAAAACAATTAAAATAATAATAGCAACTAATTTAAGAGTAGTTAAAAACAAAGTGAAACTAAAACACCAGACATAATAAACAGGAGCATGGGAATGGGAAACAATCATCAGAGTTAAAGCTTCTTAAAATCTCACATTTTTTTGAGGGGGTAGAGGGATTGATTAAAGTCAATTAAGATTAAAATTTTAGAAGTAACCACTAGAACAATAAAAACATAGTGTATAATTTCTAAATGTGAAAAGAGTAGAAAAAAAATACATTTCAGTTAATTCACAAGTAAGTGCCACTGTGGAAAACAGTCTGGGAGTTCCTCAAAAAGTTAAAAATAGCATTATTCTGCAATTCCATTTTTCAGTATGCACCCCCAAAGAACTGAAAACAGGGACTCAAACAAATACATGTGCGTAAATGTTCACGGCAGCACTATTTACAATAACCAAAAGGTGGAGACAACCCAAATGTCAATCAACAAATGAGTAAATAAATAAAATGTTATATATCCATACAACGGAATATTATTCTGCCATCAAAAGGAATGAGGTACGGATACATGCTACAATATGGATGAACCTCAAAAACATTATGTTAAGTGAAAGAAGCCTGACACCGTAAGTTTATATATTATATGATTCCGCTTATGTGAAATATCACAGATCGGTAGTTGCCAGAGACTGGGGGTTGGGGGAGGAATGGAGAAAAACTGCTTAATGCATAAAGGATTTTCCTTTGAAGAAATGAAGATGTTCTAGAACTAGACAGAGGTGGTGGTTATACAACACTGTGAATGTACTAAATGCCACTGAATTGTTCACTTTCAAATGGTTAATTTAAAAAATAAGAAAGCAAGAAAAGAGGAGAAATTATATAAAGAAAAAATGTGGCAAAAGGGAAGTATGAAATATAACAGGACAAATAAATTCAAGTAAATCAGCAATTATACTAAAGGCAAAAAAAAAATTAAACTTGCCAGTTAAAAGAGACACAGATTGAATTTTACTTTTAAAAATTATTGGCCGGGCGCGGTGGCTCACGCCTGTAATCCCAGCACTTTGGGAGGCCGAGGCGGGCGGATCACGAGGTCAGGAGATCAAGACCATCCCGGCTAAAACGGTGAAACCCCGTCTCTACTAAAAATACAAAAAATTAGCCGGGCGTAGTGGCGGGCGCCTGTAGTCCCAGCTACTTGGGAGGCTGAGGCAGGAGAATGGCGTGAACCCAGGAGGCGGAGCTTGCAGTGAGCCGAGATCCCGCCACTGCACTCCAGCCTGGGCGACAGAGCGAGACTCCGTCTCAAAAAAAAAAAAAAAAAAAAAAAAAAATTATCTATATGCTGTTTTAAGACACATGATACAAAAGCTTAACAGTAAAGCATGGCAAAAATATACCACTTGTATACTAGCCATTTAAAAGGTGATGTAGCTAAATGCTATCAGATAAAAACAGATTTTGGGATAAAAAGTGTTATTAGTGATAAACTTACTTATTAGAGAATAATAAAAGGAAAAATTCAACAGAAAAATGTAGCCATCATGAAACTCTATGCTCCTAACAACAAAGCTTCAAAACATATTATCAAAAATTTGACAGAACTACGAGGAGAAACTCTTCAATCCGTGAGCATAATAGAAAATTTTAACACATCTCTCCCAGCAACTAACAGATCAAGCAGAAAAATAACATTAATAAGAATAAAGACTAAAATTTGAACACTAAATTAACATGTTTGATCCAAAACATCCAACTGTTAAATAATATATTCTTGTCAAGCACAAATGTATAAATATTGACCATACAGCAGTCCACATATTATGTCTCAAAAAATTCCAAACTGTGTTTCTGATTACAAAGAAATAAAAAAAGAATTCAATGATAAAGAGATAGCTCCTCTACACTCCCCCAAAATAACCCATGCATTAGAAAATTTTAAAGAAATAATGGCAGAAAATATTTCAAAATGGTTAACATTAAAAACACAACTTATAAAGTCTTACGGGAAGCAGTTAAAGTAATATGGAGAGGGCAGTGTATAGCATAAAGGCACCTATTATTGTGGAACAGTGGAAAGCAAAGTAAGCATCCCCCAGCAAAAGAGAACAACAGAATAGACCAAAAGAGAGTAGGAAGGAGGAAAAATAAATGCAAGATGAAAAAGTTAATGAAATAAAAAATAATAGATTCAACAACCTTCAAAACCGATTCTTTTAAAAGATTAGTAAAAAGGCAAACCTTTGGCAAGATTGATAAAGAGAAGAGAGTATAAATAAACAATACTAAGAGTGAAAAGGAAGGATAAAACTAAACATTATCAATAGGAGCTTTTCAGTAAGAAGAAACTAGTATGAATAAGTTCAAACCAATACATCTGAAAACTGACAGATGGGACCATTTTCTAGAAAAATCACAAAACTGACGAAAAAATGAACAGAAAATCTGAAACTACCTATAATCATTTTCTTAAATCATTAATTTAAAATTCACCCCCATTTCCAGCCCCAACATATACACGAAGAGTTTTACTGATGTGTTCCACCAAATATAAGAAAATCTCCCCAGTTTACATTCCCAAATAGAGTACACTCGGACTCTGGAACCACCCATCCCAGCTATGAATCTCACTGACACACTAAAAGTCTGTGCAGGAGAGGCAAGTGTCCAGCTTCTCTGGGCTTCAGATTCTTCATCTATTCTTTATTCTTCATCTAATGGGGCTAATAATAGTCTTCCCTCAAAAGACTGTTGTGAGAATTAAATGAGTTAATACATCAAGTACTAGGAATAGCACCCTACATACAGAAATTGCTACGTGTTAGTTGAGATAATGATGATTAATGAGGTTACCACAACCTTGATTCTAAAAATCTAATACCTGTAAACATAAAATACAAAAATATAAAATAAAATAGACAACTGTATCAGCCATGAGTTTGAGAGAAATTATGACCAAATAGAAATGCAAGACTATTTTAACAGTAGAAAATCTAATAATGTAATTCATATCAAGAGATTTAAAAAATACAAAATAATCTAAATAGATGCAGAAAAAGCACTTGATAAAAATAAATATCCATATATGTTTCTTTAAAAATAATTCTTAGCATGCTCAAGGGAAGGAAAGGGTTTTATTTGAACCCTAAAGAACATCCTACCTAACGCTGAGGCATTGGAAGCATCCCTGCTAGAGTCAGTAACAAGATGAGGATGTCCAGCATCCCACACATACCCAATATGCTGGTGATATACATACTAGAGGGCAAGCAACAAGGCGAGTGAAACTGAAAACCCCAGGACCAGAGTCCAGGTTTCCTGAATACAAATTCGGCACTCCTACCACTCTCCCACGTGAAACAGAACATCATTTTGCAATGAACAAGAGGGTTAGATTATAATGAATGAGAGAGTTGTTCAGACATGGACAGACATATAGGAAGTGGATGGACACGCACATGCTAGGTAAGACTGGCATCACCTGGCAACAGACGCATTGCCCCTAGTCTCAGCCTCCCTTTTGCCGGAGTTGTCTTTGAGGGGCTATAAGAACCACAAAACTTCGGGAACCCGGGCTTCCGCTTTTCAGACCCAGCCCCTCCCCACCTGCAAGCACTTCTTGGCCAGGTATGCACACAGCAAACACTGGAGGTGCCCACCAGGGACAGCGGTGCTGTACTCCTTCCTCGCTTCCATCAGTGACTCTGTATAACCCCCATCACTTCAACAGCTCTCATGAATGACTGAACTGCTGGAGAAGCAGTAAGTTTTTGTGAGTCAGATCCCTGAGGGCAAGTTGATATAAAAAGACTAAAAAAAATTTTTTTAATGTAGAATGCTAAAAAAAAAAAAAAAAAAAAGACAAACCCAAGTTCTCCATGGAAGAAAAGCTTTTTTCCTTTCACTTTCCTGCTCTCCTTTTTTCTTTGGTTTCCTGTAGCTCCTCAGCCAAGCTCCTCTAGGTATAGGTGGAGTACAGAATTGTGGTTAGAGCTGGATGGCACTTAGACGTCACCTGGCATGACCTTTGGTGTTACAGACAAGGAAACCAAGCTCCAGGGAGAGGATGGGAGTTCTTCAGTGTCTTCATCTCCTGGGAGCTCAGTGGGACTCTGAGCCTCCGGAGGGGCTTCCTCTACCTCCCTTGGCCACTGGATATTCACATGCATTTTTCAAATTAAGCCATAAAGAACATGAGGTCTCATGAAGGGTTGGGTTATCGAGAAGTCATCGCGTGCACTAACTATCACAATGTGTAGCAATTTTAACAGATCTTAAGTTTATACCCTGCAGTTGCCAGTTCTCAAACGGTTGACCTACAACATATAAAAGGAATATTTTTTTCTCTCTGTCTTTTCTTTCCTCTTAAGGATGTGGAAAACCTGACTAGAATTGCTGGCCTGACATTTCCTGTGAGAAAAGCTCTCTGCTTGGAATCCTGTGAAAACAATCTGCCTTAACAATTCAGCTCAAATAAATTATCTTCCTGAAACCAGTGACTCCCTTAATTGGGAACTGGGCTGCATACCCAAGTCTCTCTCATCTGGGTCCATGATGACAAAGGTGGACAAAGATAGGGATCGCCCAGTGAGGACAGATTTGGGAGGCAGGGGGGCGGGAGGGAGGGAGAAACGGATGGCCCCGCATCCTCCTGGAAAAGCCATCGGGCCCAGGCTGTTCGGCTGCAGAGAACACATGCTGTACTCCAGCCTCCTAAGCCATTGTTCTGTCGGGGTGATGGTTTCTCAGCTTAACTCTCTTTCCGTATGTGTCCCTCCCGACAGGCCTTGGCACACGTCCTTCACAAGAAGTATGCAGAGCCAGAGCAAGATCTGAAATCAGTTCCAACATTTCTCCTTCCTGTATCTCTGTTCCTTGAGTCAGGCTGGATTCTGGAACATTCCAGGAACGGAGAACAAATTTACCACAGTCTCAGACTCAGAAGTTTTCTTCAAGGGCATACAGTTTGCAAAACAAAACTGTACAAAGATGTGACCTTCCCTCATATTATTTCCCTATTCTTCCAATTTGGCATATGAGACCCGGGCACGCAATTGGTATTCAATGGATGCTCCCTCTGGAAGCTGAGGAGTACTCAGAGATCACCTAGATACAGCTCATCCAGCTGGAAGGGCTGAAAAGGCTAATCCAGACCATCTAGTCTAATCCTGCAGCCCTGCTGGAGGTGGGAGTCAAGGACAGAGCTTTCCCAAGGCCCCTGGTAAGTAGGCAGAAATAGAGTTTTAAGCTCCTGACTCTCATCTTGGTTTATTTTAATCTATCCCATGCTGGATATTTGAGGCACTGCCTTCATTTTCTTAAGACCCAAAAATGCATTAGGACTGATTGCTCTTCCCTTGGGGAGACACACACCAGGACTTTGTGGCCCTCCCAGTTCACACCTCCCTGCCCTTCTCTCAGGCTGGTTTCCTGGGCACGGCTGAAGTCAGCTCCAAAAGGTGACTGGTACAAGAGGCAGGAGTTGCTCAACAGGCAGTGAAAGGGTGGGTAGATGTGATGTTACCCCAGGGAGAGAAAAATATCTTCTCGAAGGAAAAGTGATCTCTATGAAGCATGTCTCTGGAACACACTCAAATTCATTGAGTAACCACTCTGGCCTGGGGTATGCAGTTCACCAAGCAAAATGTTGCTAGCCCATGATCTCCCTTCATCTTGGTCTCACCTCCACCCCTCTGCACACTAGCCCGTGGCTACTGGACCTGACCAAGCCCACCCATCATGAGATGCTGGATGAGACCAGTGACCAGGGCCAGTGCTAGAGATGTGATGGGGTGCCTGGCCCACAGCATGAGGTGTCCCAGGTGTGGGTGGGCCACTAAGGCTGCCTCTGATTAGGGCTTCCTGGCAGCCCAGCCTCCCTCCCCAGTGGTCTCTGAGGCTGCCTCCCAAGGATGGTGTAAGAGCCCAGGATGGAAAGGATTGCCTCTACAGCCTTGGCCCTGTCCCAGGGAGGTCTAAAGTCATCCTTGGCATGACAAAAGGGAAGGTTCTGACAGGCTGCCTGAAGGAGTGGCTGCCTGAAGGAGTTGCTGCCAGTTTCCACAGTGGACTGAAAAGCTGTGTGGAGATGTTTACTTAGCTGCTAGGAGAAGCCACTCTGGGGCACCAATCCTGCCCATGACTGTCCTTATAAAGACCAACCAACGTGTCAGGGAAGTAAGCTGCACCAACGAGAGGCTGAGTCCCACAAAACACTAAACTCACTTAGGCTCTGTTTGGTTAAATATGTCAAAGCATGGCTTAAAACAACTTCTAGGATGAAGTATTTTCCTTTCAAACTTATAAGGCATTCCCCTGCGTAAGCATTTATATAAGAGCTGTGAGCCACATGTTCGAAACAGCTCTGACTGGGTCCAAGGTTGACCTCATAGCCATTTGAAAAGAAAGATTTGGGTTCATTTACTTTTAGAAAGGTGAAGAGGCTTACACTTAAATAACACTTATTTTTGGAGCTCATGCCTTTCTCCAAGTGACCCTGGGCAAATATTCACCTTCCCTGGGCTTTGATTTACCTTTCTATGACCTTCTAAGGGTGTTAAATGTTCTACAGCTTTGCCCTTACAATAATAATTGCTTATCTAAGCAACACCTTCTACTTTTCCTAGCACTTGCTAAGCACGTTTTAAAATTTAATTCTCACGAAAGTCCTGTGTAGAAAGCAGCATAAGAACTTTTTAGCCCTATTTTTTACAAATGAAGACACTGAGGCTTGGAAAATTACCAACTGTCCAGGACACACAGGTCCATGGTGACGTGATAAAAATAAAAAACAATGCAGCGAAATGTTTCACAAAGCTTAATTTGTTCATTCTAAAGGTTGACATAATCTTGAAATAAGATTATGTCTACCTCAACTGGTAAAATTTTATGAAATTGTTTCAATGTCCTTACTTGGTCAGAAAAAAATGATAATAACCCGAATAGCATTTGATTTACCATGAAGCTAATGAAGCTTAAGCTTCAGGGACCTTTCTAAGAGGCCCTAGAAATGTGTGTTCACACGGTCTTGTATTTTTGGAAAATTTGCGAAAATTAAATACTTTCATATTCTTTCTCTTAAAGAGGTCACTCAGATTGTGTAAGTTTCAGGCCCACAATGTCTGACTCTGCTTCTGAACCTGACGCTGGTCCTCCAGTATTTTTTAAAGTAATTTATTTTACTGACTGCACCAAATGGATGACCCAAAGGTCTCCTTGGGCACAGAGACTGATTCTCTGTCCTGCCCTGGTTTGGCCAGAGCAAGATCAAGTCAAGACTGGTTCCTAGAGCTATGCTTCCTTCCACCCTACACTGCCCCATCATGAAAAAAGAACCTCCAGGAAATTTTGACCTACACCCAAAGCACAGAGAAATGACTGTTTTCTGGGCATTTTTAGAAGAAGGAGAAAGAAACATGTTGCTTTAAACCCAAGTTAGCTTTGCAAATTTTGAGCATTACACCACTCATACACATAAAACCAGAGAGCTGTGGAATTTCCATGAGGCAGCCAGCCCCAGTTCGGACAAGTACACCCTGGGCTAAAATTAGCTGTGTCCCTGAGCCGGCCTGCCAGCCCCCTGTGCCTCTCCTGGCAGTCCCCTGGAAATGGGTTGTGAGGGTCCTTGGGTAGCAAACCGTGGGTCCCATTCCTCCCTGCCCCCACTCTGGGGTTACGGCCTCTTGCCTCTGCTGAGGTTCCTCAGCTGTTCAGCACAGGTGGCTGTGAATGGAAAACCCAGCAGGTGAGGGCATTCACTGAGGGGCTGGACATGGCTGAGAATCCAGCCACTCAACGGTGGAAAGGCTGTACTGAAACTTTCCATGAACCCCACAGCACGGGAGCACAAGGCCCGCCTCACACAGAATTCAGGACCTGGGGATTGAACACTTTAACACAGGGCAAGTTTCCCTCCCAGATCCTTAACAGGTAACAATAATTCACATGAGTTTGTAGAAGTAGAAAAGAAAAAATCGAAGCAGCACAATCCCTTTTCTCCTGACGATGAATCTTCTACAGAGGCGGAATGAAGCCCTCTGACAGGGCTCTGGTTCTCTGGTTTTTAAGGATCTGAATCTAATGCAAGCATGAGGCTGAAAGTACCCCCTCCAAAATCCCGTGTCCTTGGTTCTCCAAGCTGCACTCTCCCACCATCGTCTCCCTCCCCAGTGGAACAGATGTGCAGGTACCTACAGACAGCAACCCCTTCTGGATGGTGTGGGCGAGAAATGGCCCAAGCAAGGCAGACGCCAGGAAGAGCGCTGACCAAAGGTATCTGGAGCTTTTTCCAGAACAAATGGAAAACCATCGGAAGCAGCTGGACCCATTCTGGGCAATCTCCTGTTGGAAATGTCATGTTGAGCCTCACGATGGGGGTGGAATCAAAGGTCCAGAAGTTTTGACAAAACAACCAGAAGGCTGGGTGAGGATTCCAGCCCCAGCTGGTTAGAGGGGGTAAGACTGGTCTGGAAAAGGGGGGTGGGAATCAGCTTCCCAGGGCTCAGCAGACCTACATGAAAAAGCCTGTTTTCTATGCACCTGGAAAACATGTGCAAGCTGTTGTTTCTGTAACCACTGATTCCTTGGAGTGCAAGAGCTTGCGGATGCCCATGTAACAAGAAATTCATCAGCTGCTCCCTCAGCGTGTTTTGGGCTAGCCTTGGGTTTTATACCATCACCTCACCCAGATTCCAGCATTGAATAACAAACCTGGTTCCACTTCTTTATGATCATTACCCAGAGATAAGAGATAGATCCTATTAGCTATTCATTTTTCCTGTCTATTCCATGTGTTTTTTAATTCTCTTTTTTATTTTGAAAAATGTTAGACTAACAGGAAAACTGAATGAAAAATAAAACACACACCAGCATATACCCTTCACTTATAGTGACAAATTGTTAACATTTGCCTTACTTTTTTTTTCTCTCAATGCATACATACATACCCCCCCCCCCTCAACACACATACACATTATTTTTCTTTTTGCTGAACGATTTGAAAGCCAGTTGTGGACATCATGATATACCATCCCTAAATATTTCAGCCTGCATCTCCTTAGAATAAGGACGCTCTCCTGCCAAATCCACATGGGGTTTGTTTGTACGACAACACTTTTTAAAACCAGGATCCTTGTCTAAGTTCTCCCAGATCCTTGCATCTGGTACACGTGCCCTTTTGTAGTTATTTTCTTTAAAAAGAAGAATAATAAATCAGTAGTAATGTCTTTATTAAACATTAAATGGACTGTAGCAGGACAAGCCACAGACAAAACCCCTCAGACATTGAGTTAAAGAAGGAAGGGCTTTATTCGGCCAGGAGCTTTGGCAAGACTCACGTCTCCAACAACCGAGCTCCCCAAGTGAGCAATTCCTGTCCCTTTTAAGGGCTCACAACTCTAAGGGAGTCCGCATGAGAGGGTCGTGATCGATTGAGCAAGCAAGGGGTATGTGACTGGGGGCTGCATATACCAGTAATTAGAACGGAACAGAACAGGACAGGGATTTTCACAGTGCTTTTCTATACAATGTCTGTAATCTATACATAACATAACTGATTAGGTCAGGGTTCGATCTTTAACTACCAGAGCCAGGGTGTGGCGCTGGGCTGTCTGCTTGTGGATTTCATTTCTGCCTTTTAGTTTTTACTTCTTCTTTCTTTGGAAGCAGAAATCGGGCATAAGACAATATGAGGGGTGGTCTCCTCCCTTCTTCCCCCACTTTGAGAATCTCACTCAATAGTGGGAGTTCTCACTTTCATTCTCACTACCCATGTCTTCTTGCAAGACAGATCGGTAGTGACTGATATAGTACACTTGTGCTGAAGCATTTTGGTGAATGAAGGTAGCGATGAAGCTTTTTATCATTTGAAGAAGTATAGGTAGCAAACAAGGGAGCTGTAAGCAGGTTTCTATTACTATTATAACTCCTATTACAAGAGTTTTAAATCTTTTTAGTGCAGCTGAGTCTTTCCACAGGAAGGGTGTCTGTCTTATAGTATAAGTTACTATAATACATGTAACACTGTTAACTGTTAACACGTTGACTTGGGTGTGATGAGTCCATCCCTTTTCCGCTGAATGAACAGCAGTCTCGGTGGTTAGCAGCACAAGGTAGGGTCCTTCCTAGGCTGGCTCAAGTTTCTTTTCTTTCCACCCTTCGATAAGAAGTGATCTTTAGGCTGGTGCTGGTTTACTGGAAATTCTAGGGGTGGTACCTGTGCTAAAATACTTTTAGTTTTGAGGGAAAGAAAAGTGGAAGATAAACCAAGTATATAATTTCTAAGAAACTGACTTTTTCTTTCAAATGTGGGGACATCAACAGAGGACTTTATAGTCTTTGGTGCCTTCTTACTGAGAAATTTCCTTTAGCACCTATTTTTATTAGTTTTTAGACCAAAGAAAGCCAAACACCATTTTATATTTAGTAATGCTTCTTATATGATTTTTATACCAGATAAGCTAAATTTCACCTTTATATTAGTGTGCTATTAATATTAAACTTAGTTTTAATAAAACTTTGTATACATATTTATTCCATTTTTAATGTTGGACCATAAGGTAAGATTTTTATAGACTCTTTTTAACCTTTTATAATCTTTGTTATAGAGCAGGTTAGTGCTTTAAGAAAAACCGGTCGTGTTTTTACTTTAATGTCCAGTTCACAGAAAAACTGGATGATACCCCTTTAACTGTAGCTAATATGTTTACACACAGAATTTTTTGTATATAATTATGTTTTAAAACTTGCTTAAACCTTCAAAAAAAGTTTTTTTAACCTTTTAATGTAGGTAAAAATTTACATTCTTATGCCTCCTTATAATCCTTTTACCAAAGGTATATTTTACTTTCCTTGTACACCTTGCACATAAACTTTTTTTTTTTTTTCAATAGTTTTACATTCAGGAGGCCTAGCTACTTTTAAATTATACAACATTTCTTGCATAAATTTTTTTATAACATTTTTCTCTTTCACGACTTTCGCAGACAACTCTTCGACATGCCTCAACTTTCTGACTTATTATAAACATTTCTTTTTTTTTTTTTTTTTTTTTTTGAAACAGAGTCTTGCTCTGTCGCCCAGGCTGGAGTGTGTGGCGCAATCTCGGCTCGCCACAACCTCCGCCTCCCAGGTTCAAGCGATTCTCCTGCCTCAGCCTCCTGAATAGCTGGGACTACAGGCAGGCACCACCATGACTGGCTAATTTTTGTATTTTTAGTAGAGGCAGGGTTTCACTATGTTGGCCAGGCTGGTCTCGAACTTCTGACCTCATGATCCACCCACCTCGGCCTCCCAAAGGGCTGGGATTACAGACGTGAGCCACTGCGCCCGGCCTAAACATTTCTTTCTTTAGACTACCAGTTAATTTATTTCAGGACAAGAATTTGCTATATAACACTCTTTTTACATAAATTCTGCCCCCCTTTTTTTTCCCCCTTTTTTTTTTCGAAGATGATAACCATTCTTTTCCAAAGCAAACTTCCTTTATGTCTGTGGACTAGATTGTCTAAGGCCACAAGATTAGAAGTTACTATAATACATGTTACACTGTTAACTTTTAGCAAACTTTACTTTTGTTGAAACACTTGTAAGTTTGGGATTTTAATTATCCTTTGCTATTAATAAGACCTTGTTTTGTCCAAATTAACTTAGAATTGTATAGATGGCTTTTTTTTTTTTCCTTCAATTACCTGGGAGGAACCATCGATGGTCCTGTCCTGAAGGGGTTCCTCCTAGGTCTGGTCGGGCCTTTGTATGGTAATTAAGATTTAGATCCCCTGTTAGGAAACCTGCTGGGTTAAGGGAATTTTCAGTGGTTAATATTAAATCATCCTTTTTTTTTTTTTTTTTTTTCCTTAGGATACTTCTGAACTGGTGAGGTGTGCTCACAATGAGGTTTCCTCTAACAGTTATTTTTTAAATTTTTTCTGTTAGCTAAGCAGTTGCCGCTACAGATTGAATGCATTTGGGCCATCCGCAGGTTACTGCAGGTTACTGGGTTAAGGAATTTTGATAGGAAGGCCTCAGTGCTTTCGGGATACACCCTTGTTTACACTGACAACAAAGTGGTACTGGAGTGTTATAGGGTTATGGAGAACACCTTCAATCATCAATTACAGGTTTTAAATTTACCTTGGCTTTTAAAGGAATAGGGTACACTGTTTTTTTTTCTTAACTACTTATATATCTCTCTCTTTCTTTCTTTCTCTCTTTGATTTTCTGTCTCTTTTTCTCTTTTTCCTTTTCCCATTTGTCTCTTTCTCTCTCTCTGCCTCTCTCTCTCTCTCTCTCTCTCTCCTTGACTCCCTCTTTGTCTCTCTGTCTCTTCCTCTTTCTCTCTCTGTTGGTCTTTCCTTGACTCTGCCAGCTGTTTATGCTGCTGTTGTCTCAGCCATTGTGCGGGGTGGGGAGGGCCGACGACGGGGCTCTAAAACCAGCTGTAACCAAGTGTCTATGTACAGGAACTGGTCTGGGTGCCCTGGCTTACAGGTTACCTTGTGCCATACCTTTGAAACAAGGGACCTGTCCAGGCTTCCTTCTGATGGCCAAACCACCTCTAATGCTGGCCAGTCTATCTTACACAAAGTTTTAAGTTTTCCTGGTGTCACAGTACTCCATAGTTTCCCTTAAATCCTTTCTTGAAATTTTTCAGCATAGTTCCTAGTGGGGTGGGCTTACTTTGTGCCTGACCCATGCTTCTTCAAGACAAAACACCACGCTCACACCACATGCACAACACAAAACAAAGAACGAGTAAAAAGGGCACCCACACACACACACTTTTACAGTTTACACCAAACCAGAATCAAAACCAAAATCAGAGTATCAAGAAATCCAAGCCATGTGAAAACCAAAACCAAAGTATCAAGCAATCCAAGTCAAGTCAAAAACAAAAACCAAAGTGCCGGTATAGGTATGCCATGGGTGATCAGGCCACGCTTCCACTCAAATGGAGTGGGCAAGTTCCAAAGACTAGTCTTACCAAGTTTCAGATGTCCGGACTCCAAGTGCCAATTCCTTCCTGGTGATCAGCCACCACATTGATCCTCCACGGGGGCCTGCCACGCACTGCTCTGGCAAGGCATTCCACCGGGGCAGTTGCCTACCCGGGAGCGCTCTCAGGATCTGCGTCGCTCAAGCTGGCCAGAGTCCCCCACAGGGCAGGCCTAAGCCGCCTAAGGGGCTGCCTTGACCGTCCATTAATCACCTTGCTTCCCAGTCAGGGAACCAAGAAATGTAGCAGGACAAGCCGCAGACAAAACCCCTCAGACACTGAGTTAAAGAAGGAAGGGCTTTATTTGGCCGGGAGCTTCAGCAAGACTCACATCTCCAACAACCGAGCTCCCCGAGTGAGCAATTCCTGTCCCTTTTAAGGGCGCACAATTCTAACAGAGTCCGCGTGAGAGGGTCGTGATCAACTGAGCAAGCAGGGGGTACGTGACTGCGGGCTGCATGCACCGGTAATTAGAACAGAACAGAACAGAACAGGACAGGGATTTTCATAGTGCTTTTCTATACAATGTCTGTAATGTATAGATAACATAACTGATTAGGTCAGGGGTCAATCTTTAACTACCAGGCCCAGGGTGTGGCACCAGGCTGTCTGCTTGTGGATTTCATTTCTGCCTTTTAGTTTTTACTTCTTCTTTCTTTGGAGGCAGAAATTGGGCATAAGACAACATGAGGGGTGGTCTCCTCCCTTAGACCAGACCGGCTTTTTTTTTTAAATCTAAAATGGATACTTTCAACTTCTCTTTTCTTCTTTTAATATACTCCTAGGAGTGTGTTGAATTTTAAAGATATCTGATCTTCCATGTCAAGGCTACAAAGTGACTTGAGATCTGTTAGGGAGCTGAGCAGGGGCAGAGGGAGACTATGGGTGTGAGAATTCTGTGTGTGGATGGGTTTCTTTGGCAGATCCAGGGGTTGATTCCTAGATACCTGCCAAAATGCCCTTATAAGATCATTTGCCCTCCATACAGCAGCTTCTGGAATACGGCCACTCAGTGTGCCACTGCTCCATGAGGAGGTGGACATGAAATAATGGACGTGGCTCTCAGCCTTGCCAAACAGCCTCTAATCCTCAGATGGTGGCAAAATACTTGGTCTCGGTTTCCATCTGGGACTTTTTCAGTTTACATGATTTCCTTTTCTTCTCATTCAAAAGAAATTTTATTTAAAGAAGAAAGGCTAAACAAAGTGACACTGGGACCAAAGGAAGCAATATCAGTTATAGAAATGCCACTGTCCTCTCTTAGACTTTCCATGCATCTTGACCCTTTAAACAATTGAGTGAAACCCTGGGCTCAAGGCAGAAGCAGGGACATGGAGGACCACAGCCACATGGGCCTAGGCAAGTGGAGCCAATTGTGCCAGCCCATTGTCCAGGCCTGACCTGGGAAAACCTTCTAGAAGAGAAGAGGGTAGGAAGACACATCTGCCTCACCCTCCAGAGCTTTCAAACAGACCCACCTTCCCCTAGCCTTCAATAAAAAAAGAAGGAAATGCCTCAAGGCAGGCAAATTCATTCAATCCACAAACGTTTCCAAAAGCCTGCTATATGCCTGACCCCAGGGGAAAGACATGCCCAAGGGCACAGGAGCCCTGGCCATGGCTCTCACAACTAACCTGAACATTTCTCTTTTGACCATCACAATCTTCCATAATCTGACTCCAACCTCACTTTCCATCCTTCTCACAAAATCCCCATCTATTCAGGAATATATCCATCTGTTTTTTTTTTTAAATGGGTGTTTTGGCTAACCAAATAGCTAGAGTGGGGGGAAGCTAATATTTATTAAAATAACCATTGTGGGCCAAATATTTGATATATTTTATTTTACTTATTCCTTATGACAATCCTAAAAAAGTTAAAAGAGGCTAAAAAGTTTTTGCCTTTGCCCTGTTAGTATATGGCAGAGCTAGGATTTGCACCCAAATCTGTTCAATTCTAAAGCGGGGCCCTTTCAACCTCACCATGCCAAGTTACTAAATATGTGAAAGATGGCGAGCCAAGTTTCAAAGTCTCAGAATACAATACAATGCAATGTTTCCCAAATAGCAGATCTCAATAACTGAACAAAGCTTTGCTTAATTGGAATAAATTTCAAGTAACTCAACAACTCTGCTGAGTAGAATTGACTCTTTCATTAGAGATTTAAAAGGCACTTCAGGAACTTGTAATGCCCTGGGCCCATCATTACAGACATCAATTATCGTTACTGAGCGTAACAGAAAATGACTCTGGTATTGTCAGCACTGTCCCCTTCCGGGCCCCACCCAAGCCCGTGCACCCTGCCTCTGTGAATGGTGAATTTCTTGTCTCTGCTGCTGGTGCAAACATGGCTCACAAACATGCACAAATCTCTCTTGTCCTGAATAAACGGCCCTATTCCTTAACCTTCTTCTTTCTTGAGCTGCCACCCTGTCCCTGTGTACCCTTCATCTCTAAACTTCTTTCACAAAGGCTCTCCACACATGTCCTCATCTCCTCCCATTCCTCAATACACGACAGTTGACTTTCTGCCCCGGAGCACTTTGCTCAAGGTGCTCTCTCCAAAGCCACCTGGGAACCGCCATCACCAGGCCCAGTGACCTCCCAACCTCTCCTAAGGGTCCGAAAATGCAACCTCCTGCCTCCAGGAGACTGGCTCTTCCCTCGCCTTGGGTGGGGCTCTGCTCTGACCACTCCGTTTTCTTGCCCTGCCCCACACCAAGCACGTGGTCTCCACTGCAAGATACTGACCTTGGCAATGTCCACCCTCCAAGGAATTCAGCTTTCAGCCCATGCCAGCTCCTCCCAACATTCCCTGGGATCTGCGTTTCTGCCCCACTCTTGACTGTGGAAACAAAAGCTCCACTGGACATATCCAGAAACAACTCATCTTCTTCCTGACTCAAGCAGCACCTCCCCTTCAGGTGCCCCTACTCCTGCTAACTGCCTGCCCAACCTCCCCTTCCTCCAGGCCCACAGTCCTCCTTGACTGCCTCGTCCTCTGGATTCTCCTCCTCAGCTCCCTGGCTCCTTACCCCTCTGGCACATCCAGGCCAGAGCCCACTTGCCTTCCCGGCAGGGGCCCTGCTGCCAGTCACCTTTCTCAGACCTGCTGCACCCCTAGACTCACCTTGCGGCACATCTTCCTGGTTAAAAAACAACAGAACCCAAAACACAAGAGAACTTTCTATCCCTCTCTATTGCCTAGAGAAGAAGGTCTGGCTCTTGGGGCACCTGTCGGGCCTGCAGTCTACCCTCTTCCCACCACTCACACATCCCCTGGGCTCCAGCTACACCAACTTGCCCACCTCTTTGCTCACAGCATCCCCTCGGCTTGGGATTCTTCCACTCTCTGAACTGCCAGACCTGCCCTCTATGTCCTTGCTAATGCCAGCTCTCAACAGTCCTCTTCCCCCAGGTCAGGGCCAAGGATAATGATTAAGACTAAGGCCCCAAAAGCCAGAAAACCTGCATGAACTCAGACTGCTTGGTCATTTTGTGCCTCAGTTTCCCCACTTGTAAATATGTAAAGTTGCTGTCAGGATTAAATGAAGTAATACATCCAAAGCTCCTATAAGAGGGCCAGTCAGATAGTGAGGACTCAACAGATATCGACAGCATAATTATCCCTGAAACTATCCAGACTCTATCTCTGTGGAACTCTGCCAGATCCCTTATCACACTCATCTTTTTCTTAATCCTGTAGTACATATTTGTCGGGATGTCTCAGCCTCTTGGGAGCAGGAACCTCATCTTCAGCATTTCTCTCCCCAACACCATTCGAACAAGCAAGAGGCACTCTATAAATGCTTTGTTGAATAAAATTAAATACCATGTATTTAGATTGAGATCAAAAACTGTTTACTTTATTGGGAAAAGGCCCCACTTCTGAGGGACCTATGACCACAAAACTGGCCTCAACAGGAAATGAAAGAAATCCCATGGCTTTACTAACTTCTTGTGGAATGAGTAGAGAAAACAAAGTAGAATTTTCTGGAATGAGGCACACACATGGAATCTAGCCATACAGGAAGCTGCCCTGGCAGATCATCTTTGTGATTTGAGGAACTCTGCCCAATATGCCCCTAACATAACTCAGCATCAGGGGCCATCTTTCCAAAATGGAGACACCACCTCTGACAGTCACAGCAGAATTCCATCCCTCAGCCACCATTTGAGAAAACCAGCCCAAGAGTCATGAGGGAAGGCATACACCCAGTACTCCAGCAGGACTGAATGGGATTTGGCAAGGGAAAGACTTTGGCTCTCTCTATGTCAGGCCCCAAGGCATCCAGCCTATCACAGGGTAGGAACAAGGACGCCCATCTTTTCCCTAAATAAATGCCATGATCCTTAGGTGGAGCTATGAGCTTAGGTTTTCTCCATGACCCACCATAAGTGTACATTATCCAAAAATGTCTGCAAATGCAGCAAAACCCAATGCAGGCCGTAGAAAAACACGCTGGGGAAGAACAAGAGAGCTGCTTCAGTCTTTAGGAATGAGACCCCAGGGATACCAGCAAACTTTCCCCCCTACCCCAAAAACAAAACCTCAGGCTTAGAGCAAGGCACAGAAGAGTGATGAATATGTTCCAGGCACAGTAATAAGGCCTGAAGAATAAGACTGCCCCCTGCCACACAAAACTGGGTTATTCAAACCCACTCAGCCTTCAAGGCTCAGCTTAGCCCTGCTTCATCCAGAAAACCCCCTCCCTCTCCTCTAAGCTCCTACGGCATCTCAATTAGCACCATCCATCTGACCCTGAAACAGATCTGCCTGCTATTTTTAGTTGACTTTTTCTGTGTGCTAAGTCACTAATTCTGCTCTTCTATGAACTTCTTAAGTTAAGGAAAGACCTCATACTTCATTCTCCCCTTCCAAATTCCAAGCAAAGTCAAGAATCCATCTCAATTCTTATTTATTGGAATAATTCTGAGCAAAACTCAAAAAGGTAGGGACACAGACAAGTCACCCCTATACTCAGGCAGCTGACAGTCCAGCAGGAGGAACAAAGTAGCCTGTCAACTCTCTCCAGCGTGACATGTGCCATGAGAGGTCTGAGAAACAGATCATGTCCAAGTATAGGTACAGTGAAGAGATCAGGAAAGGCTTCTTGAAGAAGGCAACATTCCAGACGACTTAAAGATGGGGCATCACAGTTGGGACAGTGAGTTGGCTGGTTTGATTGGGTGGGTTGGTTAGTTGGTTGGATGGAATGGATGTTTGGATAGTTTGTTGGTTGACTAGATGGTTGGTTGGCCGGGTTGGTTAGGTTGGTTGGTTGGGTGGGTTGGTTGGTTGGGTGGGTGAGATGATTGGATGGGTGGAATGGTTTGTTGGATGAATGGATGGTTGGATGGTTGGTTGGGTTGGTTGGTTGGTTTGGTTGGTCGGTTGGGATGGTTGGTTGGTTGGGTGGTCAGATGGCTGGTTAGTTGTTTAGTTGGCTAGATATATGGTTGGGTGATCAGGCAGTCATGTAACTAGTTTTGTATGAACAAAAAAATTACTGAGTAAATTAATGAATGCCAACAGGCAAACTAAAGTTCAAATTGTTTCAATTATATGAAAGACTTACCACTTTTAAGTTTCACGATACTATCACAGACAGATTAGCATAACTTTCCCTTCCATTCTCCTTGCTAAGTGCACTCTCTCATTTGCTTGGCACTTATTATTGCCAGGTACAGAGACATGGCTGAGTAAAGACAGAGAAATAAGGCCCCATTCCAGGCCTCAAAAAGTTCATGAATATAAATATGAGTTATCAAATCATTGTTCTATACTGAGGGTTGTCCAAGATACTGAAGGAACAAAAGAAAGCAGCCAAACTCTGCTAACCAGGATAGGATTAGGGTGAGATAATCAAGAAGCCTAAGGTGCAAAATTTTAAGAGACCTTCCCTCTCAGGTTAATGCAGGTGTCCAGCCTGCAGCTGAACAACTGTGAGAGTGAGTAGCTCCTTACATTTTGCATCCTAGATGCTTCACCTCACTCAGCCTTGTTCTGGTCCTACTAACCTCTATGTGGGCCTTTATATGGGATTCTGGTAGCCAGGAACTGCTGGAACATAGCTAACAGAGCAGCACAAAAGCATCTTGGAGTGAGAAAAAAAGGAATACAGGAAAGATTCTCCATAATACCACTCCTGCTCTCTCACACTCATCTCCCAAATATTATCTCAGAGCCCAACAACTTCCTTCCATCTAACAGCTGCTACTTCTCCTGCATGGAACATCTTCCCAGCCTGTATCCCAGGACTCAGAACCTAGGATGGAGCTGGCAAGGGCCCAGGTGTGGTCCAAGGGAGATCTCAGAGCTGCCATGCTGATGTCCACAGATGGACAATACAAGATCACTCATCTTCCCTTCCAGGGGGATGTGTGGCCACTCTCTCACTTCTTTAGCCGCACTTTCTGGATCTCAAAGGAAATCTGAGTCAAGGGAAATCTCTTTCCTCTGCAGACGCATCAGATCAGAGACTTGGAAACCATGGAACTGAAGGTACCTTGGGGTTATAATAACCACACAAGGTTTAGGGGTCATCAACCCCATTTTTGGAGGGCTCAGAGTGGCCTGTAACATGCACTGGAGCTGTTTCTCATGTTTAATCTCCTGTGCCTACTTTCAGGAGGCCAGCAATCAGAAGGAGAAATGGCATTCCACTGTGGACTGGGGGCACATGTATAGGGTAAAATGTGATCAACAGGCTGAGAAGTGGGGAGAAGTGGCTGAGCATCGGGCATCAATGGCAGGTGTGGAGGACAGCTGTATCCACCACAGAAGAGAGGTCCCCAGAACAGGTTAAGAAGGTGAGGCTGAACCAGTGCAAGAGCCCAAGCAGGCCACTATCCACACAGGATGACCGGCATGCTGGAAAGGAAATAGGTATTGTGTGTCTCAAGAGTCAGATTTTGAACCTTAATAGTCTGATGTGAAGTCCAAATAATGCATAAAGACAAATTAAAATGAAAATTCTCCCCATTACTCATCCCATGAGGTGCAGATGTTTTCAGAGCTGGGATGCTCAGAAGCAGGGAACAGTCAATGAACCGCAAATGCCACATCCTCTGTAAGCCTCCTCCAAGTCCCGGCTGGCACAATTCATTCCCCCTCAGGACACAGAGAGGCATCTGTGCGCCCGTGGCTTTCACTCCAGATCTGGGGGCCTCCAGAGGCTCTAGAGGACCTGGGAGAGTTTGGGATGCACTTGTCTCTCTCCCCCTGGACTGCTTAAGAAAGGTCTGGTAGGGCCTGGTGAATGTCCCCTGAATTAAATTATGCAACAAGGGCAACGAGACTAAATCGCTGGGGTTGGGAGGATTGATGAAGATCTGCTGCCATCTACTGTCCATTCTTCTGCAAAACCTGAAAAACTGCCAGGCATCCCCAGTGTCAGAGGAGTGTTTCAATGCAAAGGCAGAAACACTGAGGCTTTGGGCCCTTGGCTGTATCAAGGCTGCAGAGACCCACAGCAGAACAAGGCAGGTTAATCTTCCCCTGGATCTGTGAATTAAAAGTACAGCCATTCCTTCTCCAATGTTACTGGTTTACCAGGAAGTCTTTTGCATTAAACACTGCCTCTCCAAGCCCAGGGCCCTCCTGCCCCCTCAATAGCGTCCCTTAACTGCTCCCTGAACTTCCACTCCTTTGTGAGGGCCACAATTTAGCACCCAATTACACAGGGCATCCCAGTGCACCCTGGGCTTCTGGAGGCAGGGAACCATATCATGCACTGGCATCCCCAGTGCCTACCTGGGCTATGACACCTCTGAACTCACTAAGACAAAAGGACGTGACCCAGCCACAAAGCCAGTAATGGGTAATATGATGCTCTTGCAGAGGGCTGCACATGTCATGATGGGAAAGGCTGTCTGAGCCTGGAAACAGTTTCGTTTCAGTCTCACCTTCTGGAGTCTGTATCCTAACCTGTAAAAGATCCCTGCTTGGCCCATCTCACCAGGGCATCCAATGCATCTAAGGTGATATCCAGGGACAGGCTTTGCAGTTTATCTTTACTGTAATACCTAGGGGTTGGGTGAATGCAGAAGGAGCCATGAGAACTGACATGGAGGCCACAGGTGTCCCACCCAGCTGCCTCAGACAGGTAAATACTTCCCAGCTGCTGTCAATGTCAGCTGCTAAGGGCTCACAGCTGCATCCTTTTCTGGAGAATCGTCCTTTGCCAAACTCATCTAGGAGGTTGCACACTGCCCGCCCCACTCCAGGATGGGCAGCCCACAGCCAATGACTAAGAGGGGCACAAAAAGCTCACTCCCTTGCCTTAAACATGGGACTAACTCTGAGTCAATTCATGCTCCACATCTCCCCAGGGGATCAGCCTGAGCCCTTAGCCCTCACACCTTTGCTGAGCTCCTTCCCCTGCCCAGTTCCACTTTCCTCACCCCACTTCCTCCTGAGAGCATGCCCCCAACAAATTACATGTACCGGAATCTGACTCAGGCTTGGCCCCTAGGGCATTGCTTCCCAAAGCTTGACACGCATGACATCACCTAAAAAGCTTGTTAAAACCCAGATTCCTGGGCTCCACCCCCAAACTTCTGACTCAGTGGGTCAGACAAGCTGTTTCTAAAAAGTTCCCAGATGATGCAGATGCTGCCAGTCCAGAGATCACAGTTTAAGAACCATTGTTCTTAGGAACCTAACCTGAGAAACCATTCAACAAGTAATAGGCAAAGGGGTTAGGGATGGTGGAATTTAACCTTGCCCTAGTCAGCCTGCCTTCAGCTCAAAATGCTGCAGCCAGGAACAGCCTGGAACAGGCCTCCAGTGACAGATGCTCATACTCAGGGCTGGGAGTGATTCCAGGTTGCTGTGTCCTAAATCCATTTACTATATACCCACAGGTGCTCAGAGGAGCCTATAGTCTAGGAAGGACTCCAAAGTCACAGGACCCTGGTTTACAGGCTCATTATTTACATAAGATGAGCCTTAGAGAGGTCAACTGAATCAAAGTAATTCAGAGATTACAAAAGAAGTCAGAAGTCTGGTCTAGGCATGTGTAGAGGGTAGAATTGGGGAGCCATTACAGAGCAGCCCATCCTACCCCTTCATTTACAGACAGGAGCACAGAGGCCCAGAGAGGCCTGGAGGTCTGCTCAGCAGACTGCAACCTGCAAGCACAAGACAAAGAAGTGCATGACATAAAGGCAAGATGGGGACTTGCTTTTACTGTCCTTAGACAGTAGCTGTGAGCAACCCTACTAACTTGGGCTCTAGTAATAGTCCTGGTGTGGAAGCCTCTTAAACAGCTTCAATAAAACCCCAGTGCCAGAGGAGAAATGTCACAGCACAAAAGTAACAGGACAGCTCACTGCTCACATGTGTGGACTGCAAGCACATGGACCCTGAACTAAGGCCACAGGAAGGCCAGTTCACAAAGAAACACCACTGGCCTGATAGAAAGTAAGATGCAGGGCTGGGCGCAGTGGCTCACGCCTGTAATCCCAGCACTTTGAGAGGCCGAGGCGGGCGGATCACAAGGTCAAGAGATTGAGACCATCCTGGCTGACATGGTGAAACCCCGTCTCTACTAAAAATGCAAAAAAAATTAGCCAGGCGTGGTGGCGGGCGACTGCAGTCCCAGCTACTCGGGAGGCTGAGGCAGGAGAATGGCGTGAACCCGGGAGGCGGAGCTTGCAGTGAGCCAAGATCACGCCACTGCACTCCAGCCTGGGCGACACAGCGAGACTCTGTCTCAAAAAAAAAAGAAGAAAGTAACATGCAGACCAGAGGTATAAATTATGGCCCAATGACCATGACCTAAACCTGCTTCTCCCACAGTCTTCATTTCAGGGAACGGCAACCCCCCTCTTACAGTTGTTCAGCAAAATCTTTGCAGTTATCCTTGCCTCCTTTCTTTCTCTAACACAGCACATCCAATCCATACACGAATCCCAATGAGATATGTGGTTTCGGTCAATATCAGACCACATATATCACAGTGGTTCCATAAGATTATAGTATCATATTGTTACTGTACCTTTCCTAAATTTAGATGTGTTTAGATAAACAAATACTTCCCATTGTGTTACAATGGCCTATAGCATTCAATACGGCAACATGCTGTCCAGGTGTGTATACTAGGAGCAACAGGCTAAGCCATTTAGCCTAGGTGTGTAGTAGGCTGCACCATCCAGGTCAGTGTAAGTACACTCTATGATGTTTCCACTTCAGCAGTCTCGAGGAGAGAGACAGGTGCACCCCAAACTCTCCCAGGTCCTTCAGTGCCTCCAGGGGCCCACAGATGTGGATGCGCTTCTGAAAATGCACTTCTCAGAACATAGCCCTGCTGATGTATGTCTGTATGTATGTATACACCCATATTCTAGCCCATGTCTCACCACCTTCACTGCCATTTCCCTGATGCAAGCCACCACCAGCTCTCTTCTACTACTGCAGTTGCCTAACTGGTCTCCCTGCCTCCACACTTGCCTTCCTCCTTCCACACTTGAATCTATTCAACACAGCAGCCAGAGGGACCCTATTAAAACACAAGTGAGATCACAGCATGTCTCTGCTCGACCTCCAAAGGCTCCCATATCTCCTAGATGCGGGAGTATCCAAAGTAAAAGCCAATGCATTCAGCAGCTTCCAGGCCCCACATGACCAAGCCCTTGCTTCCTTTCTTGCTTTTTTTCCTCTCTCCCTCATGTAGTCCAGCCTCAATCAGTAACATGCTCCCACTGCAGGGCCTGTGCACAACTGCTGTCGGCATTTGCGTCCAGAGATCAAAGTGCAAGTTCCCTGTCTCCTTTCTGGCCTCCTCTCAAGTGTAACCCTCTCTGGTAGGTTTTCCTGGCTACCTCTTTATAAAATAGCAGCTCTGTCCCCAGGGCTCCCTGTCACTCTTCCATGATTTATTTTTCCCCTTAGCACTTGTAATCCTCAGATATGTTATATATTTCCTTGTTTTGGTGTTATTGTGGGCTGCCTCGTCTCACTGGAAGTGGAAGATCCAAGAGGGCAGGGACTCAATCTGCTTTGTTCACAGCTGACTGGCTGGTGGGTCTGGCACACAGTAGGCCATCGCAGGTGGTGTGCTGGTAAATGTTAACAACTGGCTCTCCAGGGATGGGGACCTTGATTTGCTGCATTTGCCAATCTCCATGGTATAAATATTCTAAACATGACCAATTCCAAGCTACCAATGTGATGTCACTGAATGCAAAGTTAAGAAGGGGCACTAAAAATCAGCATTCGAAGCCAGTACAAGCCATCTTTAACATACTGCTGGTCCTTGCTAAATAGTTGTTGAATAAATTAACTGAATAAATGAGTATGTCTGTGAATTGACAGGGTCTTTTTTTTTTTTTTGAGGGTATGACTCCAGGAATTCAGAGTCTGAAATCAAGTCTACCCAAAACCAAAGGATCTGTAACATGAAGAGCAAGACATCATATGTTGGTTAGTGACATCTGTGATGGAGGCTTTAAGTGAATACAGGAGGAGCATGCCTATTTAAAAAGAAAGCTTTAAACATTAACTACAAGGGAAAACAGAGTTTATGAAAATAACTTTGCTACACCTGCAAAAGCTCAAGTGAGTCATTTCCTTTCTGTTCTCTGGGGCTCTATTTTCCCCGCCTGCCAAATAAAGGGTTTGGATTCTAAGGATCTTTCCAGCACTGACAGTCTATGAAGTTAAGAATGTAAACAAGTCCTAAAGATGCATGTATTCCACCCTGCTTTTTAAAATGCTTAATTTAAAATCTTTTTTAAAAGTCTAAATTAGACTTCAATTGCATGGACTATATCATACTTCAAGGCTGTATTCTGGGAAGATACTCACTTTCTCCAGGACAAAATCCATTTCATGAAATTAATGATGACCCTAAGCTCCATGGACTCACCACAGCAGGCCCCAAAGCTAGACATCCTCCCCTCACCTAAGCCTGCTGCTTCTGGGGATGGCATGGCTGTGGGTTTCCTGTTGCCTTTTCCACACAAGGTCCAGATAAAAAAGAGACAGATGTGACAGTGAGACAGGGGGAAATGTGAAAAACACAAAAAAATCTTTTGAGAGTGGTCAGAAGGGAGATTGAGAGAGTAGATGAATATTTTAAAAACCATAGTGAGACAAAAAAAAAAAAAGTACAGTGCTCCAACAAACAGCTGCCCTCTGTGGCAGGCATAAAAATGACCCCCTCCCTCAACTATGTCCACATCCTAATCCCAGACCCCCTGAATGTGTTCGGTTACATGGCAAGGGGGGATTAAGGTTGCAGATGAAATCAAGGTTGCTAATCAGCTGACCTTGAGATATGCTGAGTGTTCTGGATCAACCAGGTGGGTCCAAGGTAATCACAAAGGTCCTCAAAAGCAGAAGAGGGAGCAGGAAGGGGAAAAGCAGAAAGAAGGCAGCCTGAGCAGGATTCAGCCAACGTCACTGGCTTCAAAGGTGAAGGAAGGGAGCCAAGGAATTCAGGTGGCCTCTTAAACCTGGAAAAGGCAAAGAAACAGATTCTCCCCTAGAGGCTCCAGAAGGAATGCAGCCTGCTGACACCTGGATTGCAGACCAGTGAGACATCCTTCAGACCTCTGACCTCCAGAACCATCAATCTGTGTTTGTCCTCAAGCCACTAAGCTTATGGTAATGCTACACCAGCAACAGGAAACACATGCACCCCTCTATTTGCCTATACTGTCAGGTCATCTGGTCCCTGACCCTGATGGCCTGTGTGACCCTGGAGAGGTCTGTGCCCCTCTCTGGGCCTCAGAACCCTCATTTATACCATAGGCCTTCATATCTTGGTACCCCTGGATCCCACGGCTCCATGGTTGAAGCCATGTGACAGGGCACACATTTGCTCACCAGCCCTGACCCTTAGATGTCAGTGCTGTGGCAACTGCTGTGGGTTGAATTCCTAAGGGAGGATAAAACTCTTCTCAATTCATGACCACAGTTACACCCAGGTTTCTGAAGCTGACTGAGCAAGTAAGTGGCTGGAACTTGTGCAGCCTATGCCTACACCTATTGCTAGATGCCCAGCATGGTGTGTTTTGAGTTAATCTGCAGAAAGCCAACTGTAGGAGTGTCCATGTGGCCATCTGCAGGTCCAGAAACTCACTCTGAGGGGCCCTCAGACAAATGACAGGCCAGCACACCCCAACGGAGGGCTGTGAGCAACACAAGTGAGGTGCCTCCAAAGAACCCACCTTCACAAAGTGCCCCTGAGGAGCCAAGAGGCTTGGAAGACCTAGCCCTGGGGGGTTGTAAGTAAAAATTTCCTCTCCCATGCTCCGTACTACATCTGAAGTTTCCTGAGGGTCTACTCAGGTCAGGTGTGTGGGTGACAGCAAGAGCCACAAATGTGTAGAGAAAGGCCCCCGCCCGCAACACAGCACTCTAGCGAGAGGGAGAGAGAGACGAGGGTTAGAGGACTGCCCAGTCAGGGCCAGAGTCCCCATGGTTCTGAGTGATGGTGAGAGGAACCCAACAAGGGCAGCCCTGACAAGCCAGCGACAAGTGACAGGTGGCCCCAAACAGCCACAACCCCCACAATGGGAGTCCAGGTGACATATTTTCCAAGCATCTCTTGATATCAAAGGGCACAGAAGAAAAACAAAAAATAAACCAGAAAATAGTCCCTTCAGCTCCCGGAGTCAGATCTGAGGAGTGTCAGAGTTAGGAGGGCCTGACTGCACAGATACTCACACCGCCTAACATCTCAGCAGGTTGCATCCTCCACCTGCCCCCTAACCCCACCTGTGCCCCTAGGTGTGACTTCCATGGATTTTCCTGAACCTGATGTTTGGAGGCCCAAAAAGGGCCCCAAGTAGCTCCCTCTCCTCCAGCTTCCTTAGGACAGAGCGGTGGAGCTGGCTCTGTGCATATGGCCAGCTCTGATGCCATCTCACTGCACTTTCCCACGCTTTAGAAGAATTATATGTGCACATGTGTGTCTCCCCTTGAAGAACTCACAGGACCTGGTACACACTAGGACTGAGACCCATGTTTACCAAACTGAATTAAACAAAAAACAAGGGGAAGGGGGCACTGATGGAGGGGAGTTGGGAAGGGCAGGGGATGCAGATATATTTACCATTGGGATTACTTTGGCCCTGGTTTCAAATCAAGAGCACTGTGTAGAGTTGTGTAGTATGTGCACTACACAAAGACGCCTCGCTGAGGCAGTGAGAGAGAGCTGAAATCCAGCCCATATTCCATTTGCCAGTCTGTGTGCCCTTGGATCTGCACCCACCCAGAACCTTGTCAGGTTCCTTGGATTCTCTGTGCCTCAGTTTCCTCATCTGTGAAATGGGGATAATAATTGCTGGGTTGAAGGATGCTTTTTCTCAACTCCCAGTGTTTTCTAGAAGTTTGAAGAAGGCTCTGCTGGTCTGGCCCACCTGGCCATTCTTCCCCTCTTTAATCACTCCACCCTAACGGAGGAAGTGTGAATTATATGACTGATAAATTCCATAAAAAATAAAAGGCATTTAGGCTCAGCTTTACCCTTTTTCCTCTTAGAAGTGGGCTGCTCTTCCACGGGCAGCCCCTCCCCACCATGTATTATATGAGAATACCTGCCCTGGGCCCACGATGGGAGGCTGGCTTGAGCCCAGGAGTTCACAACCAGCCTGGGCAACATAACAAAACCCCGTCTCTACAAAAAATACAAAATATTAGCCAGGTGTGTGGAAATAAGTGCATCTGTGGTCCCACGTACTTAGGAAGCTAAGGTGGGAGGATTGCCTGAGCGTGGAAGGTCAAGGCTGCAGTGAGTTGTGATTGCGCCACTGTGCTCCATCCTAGGTGACAGAATGAGACCCTGTCTCCAAAAAAAAAAAAGCAAACCAAAGACATTTCCAAATAAAAACTAGAAAAAAAAATTTAACATACCTGCTAAAAAAAAATACTAAAGGAAGTTATTCGAGTAAAAAGAAAATATAAATGCCATAATTATTCCAACTAGAATAAAAAATTATCGACTGGATTTAAAGTTCCAAATACATGCTGTTTATCAGAGATAGGCTTTAACTATATACTAGAAGGAAATCTCAGCAAATATCAAAGGATTGCAATCATAAAGAATAATACATATATAAACAATTAAATAAACAATATATATAATATATATATAAATATAAACAAAAAAAACCCTAAATGTATGAAATTAGTAGTACATGCCTAAATAACCCATGGGTTAAAAAAAAAAAAGAAACCACGATGGGAATTAGAAAATATATTAACTAAGTTATACGAATATGTAACGTATTAACTTACGGAATACAGACAAAACATTACTTACAGAGAAATTTGCAGCTTTAAAACATATTACAAAAGAAGAAGGCTGAGAATCAGTAAACTAGAAAATAATAGCAAATTAAACTCAGAGAGAATAGAATGAAGAAAATAATAAAAATAAGAGCAGAGGTCAATGAAATAGAAAACAAACATAAAGCCAAAAGTTTTCTTTGAGTATATTACACAAATGATAAATTCCCAGTGAGACTAGTTAAGAGAGAAAGAACATAAATTACCAATCACAGGAATGAAACAAAGACATAACTACAGATCTCACAAACTTCAAAGTGATAATAAGAGGATAATATAATTATACAATTTTATACCAATAAATTTAAAACACACATATAAAGTGGCCAAACTCTTTGAAAAAATACAACTTGCCAAAACTTACACAAGAAGAAAGTTGAAATTTGAATTAAAAAGTTTTTAATTGAACACATAATTTAACACCTTTCAACTTAATGCACAGAAAATTTCTCCAGTAAATTCTCCCAAATATTTAAGAAAGAAATCACATCAATCTTACACTCACTCTTCAAGGGGATAGAAAAAGAGGGACCACTTCTAGCATAACCTAGGTATCAGCATCTGACAAAGCTGTTGCAAGAAAGGAAATCTGCCAGCCAATCTTCTTCATAAACCTACACACAAAACCCCTACACGAAATATTAATAAGTCAAATCCAATGATATATAAAAAGATAATATATCATAGCCAAGTGGGATTTATTCTTAGGATGTAAGGTTGGTTTAACATTCAGAAATCAATCAATGTAGGAATCATTAAGGCTTATTGTAAAGAATAAAAGTAAGGATAGGATGAAAAATAAAATAAAATAGAAATAATGCCCAAAGGGAGCCTTGTGGGAGCTGATTCATCACTGTATCTCTGGCTTCCCACAAGAAACTCTTAGCCACGTCTGCCTGGCCATGTTGCTGCAGGTATGTTTTGGGACCATCTGCTAAAGCAAGCTTGTCCAACCCGCAGCCCACATGCAGCCCAGGATGGCTTTGAATGCAGCCCAACACAAATTCATAAACTTTCTTAAAACATTGAGTTTTTTTTGCAATTTTTTTTTAGCTCATCAACTATTGTTAGTATATTTTATGCGTGGCACAAGACAATTGTTCTTCCAATGTGGCCCAGGGAAGCCAAAAGGTTGGACACCCCTGTCTAGAGCATTCTTCAGCTTTCCAGGTGTGTGAGCTCTGGCTGAGTTTTCTTCCTGGTTGACCATAACAAACTCTACCTTGCCGGTTACTTCGCAGGCTTGTTCTGAGAGACCAAGGAGACTAAGAAGTTCCCTTCGGAGCCATTAGGGACTAGACAACATGTGAGAGGTGGAGCTTCTTTTTGAAAAGCCGTCACCTTTGCATAGCACACTCACCTGACAGGTGCGGGCTGGCTGCCCTGCCGTTTGAACGCTCTTTCCAGCCTCTCCTGGGTCATCCTGGAATTACCACCAGGCAAGTAGAGCTTCAAGGGCATCCTGTCCGTGTCTGTGCTGCCGTCCACTGCTGGGGTGTCCTCGGAGGGATCCCTCGGCCTGGCCCTGTCCCATGGGGGCAGCCGTTTGCTGGGCAGATGGGGAGGGCTGCTGGCAGTGGTTTTCTGCCTTTCTACGGTCAGTTCACTAAGCTGACCCAGGGAGGTCCTGGAGGGGGAGCTGTTGCTCGAAGCCAGAATGTCCTGTTGGGTGCAGACAAAGAGCTCAGGGACCTTCCGGCTCTCTTCTTGGGGTTGGGTGGAGCTGCTTGACGGTGAGGACCGTCTCAGATAGTGTCTGTGAAAAGAATCCTAAAGGGAGTAAGGACAAAAGCAGTGAGGACCCTTTGAGGGGAGCTGGAAAACAAAGATCCCACTTCAAGCATTTGCCCATGATGTGATGTCTCTCCCAGGAATGTCTTTTCCCACCTCGGACTCTTTCCCTTAAAATCTTGCCTATTATTTAAGGAGCTACTCAAATGCTCCCACCTCTGGGCTTTCAGTGATGCACACCCCGCCTGCTGGAACCTCAGAGCAGGCCTGGGCCTTTCTCTCGCAGCCCTTACAGAGAGCAGGTTCATGCAGCAGGTGAAGCCGTCGCTCCAGTCTGCATCACCACCTACCAACTGTGTCACCTGTGGCAAGCTGCTTAACTTCTCTGTCCCTGATTTCCTCACCTGTAATATAACCAGTCCACAATCCACTACCTGTCATTTCTAAATCCCAAAACCAGGCTGGGCATGGTGGCTCATGCCTGTAATCCTAGCACTTTGGGAGGCCAAGGCGGGTGTATCACTTTAGGTCAGGAATTCGAGACCAGCCTTGCCAATGTGGTGAAACCCCATATCTACTAAAAATACAAAAAAATAGCCAGGCTTGGTGGTGCATGACTGTAATCTCAGCTACTCGGGAGGTGGAAGCAGAACCAATTAAACCCAGGAGGCAGAGATTGCAGTGAGCCGAGATCACACTACTGTACTCCAGCCTGGGCCAGCAAGACAACCATCTCAAAAAAATAAATAAATAAATCCCAAAACCTCTGAAAATGAAAGGTTTTTTAAAATCCTGTGGTAAATTCTTAACTGCTGTGAGGCTGCTTACAGTCTTTTTAAAGTGTGAATATTCATACATGGAGTTGCTGAAATGGTCATGTTTTTTGCTTATGGGTGCTACCACAAACCCTAGTAAAGGCAGTATGTGGTATGTGGCTCATGCACTGTACTTCCTTTCCAAAATTAAAAAAAAAATTATAAATTCCAAAAGACATCCAGCCCAAAGGTTTTGGATGAGGGATGAGGCACCTGTAGTACTTCTCCCCAACAAGACTGTAGGGAGGATGAAATGAGACCTGTGCAAGGCACTAGCACAGAGCCAGACGTATTGCAGCAGTCAGCAAACGCTCACTACTCCTATGCGTATTTGCCCTGTGCCCACTTACATATGGTCTCAACCCCCTCCTGATGGCAGAGGTCATTCTTAATTCGCCTCTGGTGTTCACAGAGCACACAGCTCAGCAGCCTATACCTAACAGGCACTCAAGATTTGCTTAGTTTTTGAAATGAAGGAATTCTAGAGGAGTCAATTGAAATATCCAAATATCCTCCCTTACCGTCAAAGATGAGTAGAGGAAATGGGAACTCATGTTGTTATTAATGGGAGGGTGGGGAGACAAAAACAGACCTACCAGGCTTTTCCTTGGTTTAAAATTCTGAACCTCTCAATATTTCCAGAAATAATCCAAGACCAAATAGTAAAGCCTGGACTGGAATAAGGAAACCTTAATTTTGTAGTGTTCTGGCTAAGCAGACATTACTAAGCACTATAAACCTCCTCCCAAAGCCACTCAGGACATCCCCTCCACAAAGTGAGGAAGACATTAGTCACCATTCCCGAGGAGACTCAAACTTCTGGCTGAAGGGAGCTGGAGCTGCTGCAGGGAGCCCAGCCTCTTAAGTCATTCTTAAATACAGAAGTGATGTAGTAAATATGATGAAATACCCAACAATCTTTGGAGCTTTTCTCCTGAGCAACCAATAAGTACGGCCAAGGTACTCAAAGGCCACAATGTCCCTTCTAGAGAATCTGGCGAAATTCTATAGCAACCCATCCTTCAACATCCTTTGTGGGTTTCAGATACCACCTCCCAAAACAATTACCAAAAGGAGAAGTTTGCAGCAATGCCCTTGGCAGTGAAGCAGGTCCAAGCCATCTCCCTCACACCACAGGTATAAAGGGCATCTCCACTGGACACGCTTGATGATCAGGACGTCATGCTAAGACAGGACCCTGGCGCTCCTCTCTGGTTCACCGGTCCTCAGAGTAGTCCACCAACCCCTAAGAGTCCCCAGATCCTTTTAGGGAATTCAAAACTATTTTCATAGTAGTAAGATGACACAATTTGCCTTTTTCCACTGTGTTGACTTTGTGCACAAAGCAACAGTGGGAAAAACTGCTGGCCCCAGGCATGAATCAAGGCAATGGCAACAAACTCCACTAGTGCCCAAGGCCCTCTTTACCACCAACACACTCACAATGAAAATAGGTGAATAAAGTGCTGACTTCACCGAGGAATGTCCATGCTGACACAAAAATTATTCATTTTATGCCCTTAGACTCTCCAGCACACACCTCTTCAACACCCTGAGTGACACAGTGGGAGGGACACGGCAGGCATTCCGCTGACCGTGGAGGATGGCAGCTGGCACTGCACGACCATCTAGGCTGCGAGTGAACTTGCTGGTTTTTTCATGGAACCACTGACAGACAAACTATGGTTACTCAAGCGTGGGTATTTGGCAGGCATTTTCTTGAAAATCAGTTGAGCCTGTCACCTCAAGGGAAACAAATAGTGTATTTTTGTCAGTGATAAAACACAAGCTGTCAGGTAAAAATTAGAATTTTGGAAAACTTCTATCTGCCACCGTGAGCTTGAGAGCTTTGCAATACTTAAAAACTTCTTGGATGAGCTGGGGGTGACATCAATGAATGAAATTTTTTGGTGTGATTTTCTTTTTGTCTAATGAGATGTGTCCACATTTGGAAGATCTATATAACTCACTAACCAATATTTTCCAAATGGCCAATATATTATGTTACTAAATCATTCAGGGGTAAAAACTTCAAAGTGCAAGACATATCAAGCGAAACTGATAAGGTACAAAAAGTTCACTGATATGGTTTAAGATTTCACATTAAGAAACTACAACTTGTCTAGTTTTGGTGTAGTATCAAAGAAAAATATCTCAGTTTTCTGAAAAGACTATTAAAATACTTTCCCTTTTCCAGCTGCTTATCTGTGTGAGGCTAGATTTTCTTCATACACTTCAACCAAAACACCATATTGCAACGCACTGAATGCAAAAGCAAATATGAGGCTTGAATTGTCTTCTACTAAACAAGACGTTAAAGAGATCTGCAAAAAAATGCTACTCATGTCACTAATTTTTTGTTTTGAAAAATATAGTTATTTTTTCATTAAAATATACCATGTTACATGCAACAGGTTTACTACTGTTATTTTTAATGATTTTTGTAAGTAAATATTTTTAACTTCTCACTTTTAATTTCAAATATAGTAAATAGCATAGACACACCCACATAAACAAAAGCTCTTTGCACTCCACAATAATTTTAAGAGTATAAAGAGAGCCTGAGGCTAAAAGTCTAAGAACCACTGATGTGGTCTAAACTGTCACCCAGGCAGGGCTCCTTCCACAGTGTCCCCAGCAGATGGGTTACCTAACTTCCCTTTTACATAACTAGCCGAGTCCCTTCCAAAACAACCTTTTCCACTGCTGAGGTGGCTCTGACTAATGGAAGGCTCCCATACCAACCTCCATCCACTGGTGCCAGCTGTGCTGTCTGGAGCTACTAGGCAAGGCTACACCACTCAACCCAATAATGGTGCCAGCAAGCACACATGATGCACTACACAGAAACACAACAGTGTCCTGCTCTCAGGAGGCTTACAGACTAAGCTCAAGATTGCAAATAGAGTTTATCTCACATGGAGATGGGCTATTCCAACCTCCATATTCGAAGAAATCTCTTACATTCTGCCAACCTCCCACAAGATTAAACATCTCCAAATCTTTTAATTTCCTCCAAACTGTTCACCATTCTAGCCCCTTTCCCCTGGACAGGGTTCAGTTTATGAATGTCCTTCTCCAACAAGAAGGCCTAGAATGGGGTATGACATCAAGATGTGGCCTGAACTACACAGTGGCGGGAAGGCTCTTCCTTGATCTGGACCCCAAGACTGCATGATCTTGACAGCACTGAAATCCCAGAGCCCTAAGGGGCCTTAGACAGCTGGTCTAATAGAAGAGACTGCAGCCAAGAGAAATAAAAACCTTGACCAAAGACCCCATAAGATAGAGCCAGGGGCAGGGAGAGGACTCACTTCTTTCCATCCTAATTCCAAATGAATTGGGAGAACAGTGCCAGCACCTGCACCCACACCTAAACATACAGCAGGTAAGTGAGAGCGCAGGTGGACACAGACACCCTGTTTTTGATTGGCTCAGGCTCCCTGATTTGACTGATACGGCACTTTGAGTTTGGTGTTTGCTTTTGTTTTGCTTTTCTGATTGTTGTTTTACAAACTTCTTTTACATTTGTCTCTCATTTTGTTTTGTCTCTCTGCCTAATGGAATTCTACCATGGTCACCCTGTAAGAGAGACTATAAAACAATAATGTGAAATTTTTATAATCTTTCTTTGAAAGAGAAAAAAATAAAAGCAGAATAAATGAAACTATAAGGCTTGGGGGGTTTAGCCCCTTTTGACTATTGTGTTTTAGATTTATTTTAAAAGATGCTGTTTTTTCCTTTTTTTTTTTTTTTTTCTTTTTGAGACAGGGTCTCAGTCTTGCCCAGGCCAGAGTACAGTCACATGATCACAGCTCACTGTAGCCTCAACCTCCCAGGTTCAAGCAATCCTCCCCACTCAGCCTCCTGAGTAGCTAGGACTACAGATGCACATCACCCCACCTGCCTAACTTTTTGATTTTTTGTAGAGATGGGGCGGTGGGACAAGTGTCTCCTTATGTTGCCCAGGCTGGTCTCAAATTCCTAGGCTCAAGCAATTCTTCCACCTTGGCCTCCCAAAGCATTGGGATTACAGGTGTAAGCCACCACACTCAGCCTAAAGATGCTCTCTGAACCTGGATAGGTTCTCCACTCCTGAACTGCAAAGACAAAGCTGAGTAGGTATTCTTACCCAGCAGAGGAACAGAAAACCATGGCATCCACCTCACAAACAAAATGGGTAAGCTAAGGGCAGGAAAGGAGGCCTGCTCAAGGCCCCACGTGTCATTGACAGTAGAGCCAGGGAGAAAACAGAGGCACTGTTCTTCCCACCCCACACACAGACCCTCTTCTCGGACTGCCCTGTGGGGTACCCCAAATAAACCCAGGCGTGCCTTAAGCCCAGCCCAGTTCTCAGCCTCCAGTCCCATAACAACAGAAAGAGCAACAGCCCCACCTGTGGGGAGCTGGCGATGGGCCCAGACATCATGCCTCGCACAATCAGACCAGACTTTGGCCTGGAATTCTCTCCCATCCTCTTCACATCCAAGGAAGGCTCCGAGTGAAGCTTGTCTATCTTCTCCCATGCAGAAGTCAACACAGGAGTTTCACCCGGGACCGTCTGCATGGGCTTACTTTTGTGCGGGGGCCTTTTAGATGATACAAAATTACCAAGTACATCTCCATCAAGATTGTCATGTCTGTGAAAAAGGAATATTTCCATTAAAACAGACTCCCCAAAAGGAATCAGTAACAAAGATAGCAAATTCCACATTCAATGTGCATTCAAAGCAAGCCCATTAATAAATCTATGATGACTTCTAACCAGCCAGTGCGTTATCATGAAAGACAAGGAACAGAAAATACTCTGGTATCAAGGCAAGTCTGCCCTATAAAATAAGACCAGTAAACAAGCAAACAAATTCAGAGATGATGATCCATAACAGGACCCCTCAAGTCCTTAAGACTAAAGAGCATCCTTAGTCTTCCAGACCTGAATGATTAAGGAAAACTATAACCTTTCAGTACAGTCATGCGGTATGCGAAGCCCAGCCTTGCCGCACACCACTGAGAGGCGTGGAGAAGACCCATAGCAAACTTGGCATTCCCCACTGTTCAGCTAAAGCTGAAGTCAGGTGTGCCAATGGGTGTGTGTGTGTGTGTGTGTGTGTGTGTGTGTCAGAGAGAGAGAGAGGAAGTAAGAGAGCAAGAAAGAACAAAAGAAGGTGAGGGGAGTTGAGCGGAGTGTAAGAGGGTGGATGGCATGTGCTTCTGACCTACCAAAGCATCTGGAAATTTCAGACTGCTCTTTGTCTCTGAGACTGTGTTGGGCACACCATTGAATAAAGTGTGGATCAATTAAAAAAAAAAAAAAAGAAGGCAAGAGACAGTGAGAATAAGCACAGAGTGAGAAAGAACAAGAGAGAGCCCACGAGACAAAGTGAGAGACCTAGGCAAAGGGGAATCTTACCTCTGATCACCCAGAAGCCAGCACTCCTGTGACACAGGCTCAGCTATTTTCTACCACTGGGCTCTGCCATAAATGGGTATTGCCCCCTACCCTATGCCAAGCTGCTTACCAGGCACTGGGTCACATGTGGGAGGGGCAGTCGTGTGTGCTGTGATTGTGGCATGTCAGGCAGAGGAAGAGGCTGGAACCAGCCTTGTGATTGCGGCATGTCAGGCAGAGAAGAGGCTGGAACCAGCCTGGGGAAATTCTGAAGGGCTCCCAGAGAAGGCAGCACCTGAGTCTGAGAGAACCAGGCAGCAAGAGGTCCCCAGAAGGCCCAGCCCCAGCACGCAGGCCTCTAAGGCAGAATGTGCTCAGGGGAGCAGCCGGGGCTTGTATTCTAAGGAGTTTACCATGAAAGCTGCAGGGAACGTCTGAAGCCCTTCGGCAGGATAGCGGCATGGCCAGACTCTTTTCGTGGAAAGCTCACGCTATCTTAGGGCAAGGGCGGATTTGAGGGGAAGATCACTAGAGCCCTGGAGACCAGGGAGGGGCTGTGGGAATTAACCAGGAAAAGAGGATGGGAGTGTGAACTGAGGCCCTCGCCGGTGGGCAGAGAAAGGAGGAAAGAAGGAAAGTGCCTACTATCACTCTGGGTGAAGAGCTCACAGGACTCACAGATGCAGAAGATGACGGACGAGGCGGAGGCAAGAACACCCAAATTTTTGGCTTGGGTAACTGGGTGGGACTCAGGAGCTTCAACTTCCTAGTTGCCTTTTTATTGTACCAGAAGTATTTCACTTCCCAGCCAGGTAGTAAGTGCCTCGGAGGAAGAGCTTCTTCATAGCCCCTTATGAACCTCCACCTCTGAATCCTTGTGCTAATTGCTTGTCATGGTGCCACCTTTTGGCAGCTCGACACCCATACCCTGAGCTTCAGCGACCCTCAGGAAAGGAAGTGCTTTTCAATGGAACCAGAAGAAAGCACCCATTCCCAGGAAGTTAAGCTCACTACTGGGGACTGCAGTGTCTTAAGGTCATAATTTAATGTCATTGTTTTCCAGATAATAGAGGTTCAATCAAGAATGCCAATTCATTTTCTTTATAAGATTTTTAAAAGAGCTTATTTTCCAGATTTTTCCCATCTCTGCAGTGTTCTGTTGCCTTTTAGAATACCATACCCCTGTTTTTACGAAAATCAAATAAAGCAAGTGCTTGAACCTTACGATCATGGAATTTAAAATAAACAGTGAATTGTAACTACTCTTCATCACAAAGTAGTCCATTCTCACAGCCTCAACAGGAAAATAACAGCACTTCACAGCAGAGATTTTGAAAACACAAAGCGTGGGAAGTTGAATAGTGACCCCCCCAAAGATTTTCACATCCTGATCCCCAGAATCTATTAATTCATTTATGCCAGAGGTTGTAATTTTTTAAATTTTTGCATGAGTGAAAAATCAGACCTTGGCAATGACCTTGAGCAGTAGGATATAAATAACTCCCTCATGCTTAGTGTTCCAATAATGGAACACTAGGCATAAGTGGGTTAACCCATTTTTGGTTAACTATGTAAGTGGGCTAGCTACACAGTGAAAAGGATTTTGCAGATGTGATTAAATTCGGAGTCTTAAAATGGGATTATCTGGTGGGCCCAATGTAATCACAGGGGTCCTTCTTAGAAGGAGACATGAGGATCAAAGGTAGTAAAGTTAGGAGATGTAACAACACAAGCAGAGGCTAGAGTGATGTCCTTTAAAATGGAAGAAGGGGCCAAGAGTCAAGGCACATAGGTGGCCTCTAGAAGCTAAAAAAGAAAAGAAAATGGATTTTCCCCTCAGAACCTCCAGACAGAACCAGGCCTGCTAACACCTTGCCTTTAGTCTAGTGAGACTGATTTTACACTTCAGACCTCCAGAACTGTAAGAGAATAAATTGGTATTGCTTTAACTACTGTGAGGATTAAAAATGTGGCTAGGCTATGGTACCCAATTGTTTAGTCAAGTATCAATCTAGCTGTTGCTGTGAAGGCATTTTGTAAATGTGATTAACATTTACAATCAGTTGACTTTAAGTAAGGCAGATTATCCCAATGATGTGGGTGGGCCACATCCTATCAGGTGAAGGCCTTAAGAGCAAAATCTGATGTTTCTCAAATAAATTCTTGCTCAAGATTGTAACATAAAAATCCTGTCTGAGTTTCCAGATTTCCAGCCTGCCCTACAGATTTCAGACTTGCCAGCCCTTACAGTCCCATCAGCCAGCTCCTTAAAATAAACTTTTTTTTTTCTTTTTTAAGAGACAGGGTCTCACTCCATCTCCCAAGCTACCATGCAGTGGTGTGATCATAACTCACTGCAGCCTTGAACTCCTGGGCTCAGGTGATCTTCCAGCCTCAGCCTCCTAAGTAGCTGGGACTATATGTGCACACTGCCACCTCTAGCTAATTTTTTGTTGTTGTTGTAGAGACAGGGTCTCTCTATGTTATCCAGGCTGAACTCGAACTCCCAGCCTCAAATGATCCTCCTGTCTTGGCCTCCCAAAGTGCTGGGATTACAGGCGTGAGCCACTGCACCTGGCCAAACTTCTTTATGTATACATACAGGTACATATGCATATAGATACATGCACACACACACACACACACACACACACACAAACATACACACACAGAGACTATATTGATTCTGTTCCTCTGGAGAATACTGACTGAAACAGCCATGAAGTACATAGTAATTTGTTATGGCAGCAATAGGAAACTAATAAACATAATAATGGGAAAAGATACCTGGCTTTGCTTGTTTCTGACAATGATGTTCTCCATCCTGCATCTTCATCTGAAAGGTCATATATATTTACCAGTGTAGTCTCTGAGCATCTTGATGGCACTTTGTTATTTTTCTTTGGAACTGAGAGTGCAGGGATTGGGGTATCTTGAGTGAAATTGTTAGCCGTATTTCCAAAGTGATCCAGAAAGTATCTGGTGATGAGTTCAAGGCTTGTTTTTAGAGGATTTTCCTTTGCCTATCATTGGGAGAGAAAAAAAAATCATTAATTTATATACAGCTTCAGGGAAGAGTGGAAAAGACAACTATTCCACTTCTTTGACTAAGTTTATCAACTTCTCACTCATTCATACAAGCTTTCAGCCAACATTTACTGGCCACATATTATATATGTCAGGTACTATGTTGGGTACGGACACAGAGACAAAAACAAAATCTCTACCCTAAAAGAACTAGCATCCAACGCATGAGGCAGGTGATTCAATAAACAACTAGAATAAAATGTGATAGGAATAGAGGCATGCCTAAGCAAATTTCCTCTTCATTTTTTGCTCCAAGGAATAACTTTATAAAATATATATCCCTTCATTTAAAAAACGGAGTCTGTAGGGAACACTAACCCTACAGATTCATAAGTATTTGCAGCCTGAATATTTTTTTAGCTTGTAAGCTCTGCATCTAACACTGACACCAGCGATGATAGAGACAACTGAAGCAGGTCAATGTGAAGAGCACAGAGAGGCAGTCAGGACTGACTCACTTTACACCCCAACCTTAAAAACAAAAGGCAAATGAAAGTCTTCAGTAGTAGGTTTTGGAATTAAACGATACCAGTATTTTCCATCCTTGCCTATATCAAATATTCCCTTTGGATGTTTTTTAAAAATACAGATTCTCTCACCTTACTGACACTTACTACACCACAACAGCAAGGATTTAAATTCCCCTAAGTAATTTGGATAAACACAGCTATGCATGCAGCAATATGCAGGCTGGCCTCAGGGACCCAGCCATGTGTCAGTCCCCAACCCACTCGCCCAGTGACACCCAGTCTTGCCGAGCCGTGGCTGGACATGGGGCACTCTGTGATTTTGCAGACTAGCCAGGCACCTGACAAGGAGTCTGGCAGAGCAGGCCCTCAGGGCATGCCAAGTCCTCCCCCTTCCTACTCCTCTCATCCATGCAGCAGGACTCCAGGACTAAGACCCACAGCCCATGGACTACAACCAAACTCAACAGATTCATCAGACAAAACCCGGGACAGTTTTACTATTCTTTTCAGTAAGAGATTAAAAACAAAAACTATTTTGTCTAAGATTAAATGAAGCTTACAATAAAGAGAGTTAGGGGAAAGATCCTATATTTATTGTAGCCTTCTTGCTTTTTCTCTCAGTAAGAGAGACTTAAGCCCCTGAATTGCCTGACTATCCCTTATGCTTTTTCACATCACTTGGCTCACAACAGACACAGCCTTTATATGAATCTAGATATTGTTTTTCAAAATCTCAATTTACATAGGCATTTTTATCTATCCTATACCTAAGAGGTTAGAACAAGTTACTAGAAATATTAACATTAAATTGCAGGGCTTTCCTGGAATCAGGCGAGCTTTGTGCTGAATGAATGTCAAAATTATTATGTAGTAGATATTAATGAGTAATTTTCCTGTAAAATATACACTCCGATTCATTGTATAACAGCTAATAACTGCTGTATAAATCAGGGCACTTATCAGTATCTCATGAAAATATCTTAAGTATCTTAAGATAACAACTACTTTAGGGAGACTATATTACAATGAGGGAATAAAAATAGCTTGAATGTCAAAGACACTTTTGGGAAATTAGGTAAGGTACATTTACGTTAAAAGCCCAATGTAACCAGAATGGTTAACTGAATTTTCTGGGTAGTTGTCTCACTCTCTGCGCAAAATTCTCCTAAAGTGTACAGTCCACTCTCCTGCCTTAGAATACAGCAGACGGAGGATTGCAGAGCATCTGCTGCCTGGGTCACCAGTCTTTCCACAGGACTTAGAAAGTACTTGCTACAGGACAGGAGACAGAGGTGCCTGCATGTCACCCCAGGACCCAGAGGACAAAGGCCTTCTATTTGATGTCTTCACTGAGCCTCTGATAGACTTCACGGGGCTGCCATTGCCTACTTCTCCTCAAAGGGGAGCAAGAGAATTTCTGGCAACCTGAGTGCTCCTGTAGGTGCCAGTTGTTTTTAGTTTATATGTTTGCCTGAAATTCCATCCTTTACTTTATTGAGAGATGCCTGGCATAGGTTCCTCCCTGGCCTATGACATGTACTTGCGTAGTTTTCAAGTGGTTCAGTGGATCTTCTGGGTGTCTTAAAAAATAGCCTTGGTCCTACCACCATACGAATCCAATCTGCTGAAGTCTCATTTGAAAAAAGGATTACAGTTAAAATATGCTTGATCATCACTCCTACAATAGAATTGGGAATCAAAACACCTGGTTCTAGCCTCATCCCTACCTGGTAACCGACTGTGAGACCTTGGATAGCCAACTCTCTCTGGCTCACAGCTCCCCCTCCTGAGAGAAGGGAATTGATCAGTGGTTTAAAGCTGGACGCTGAGAGGCTAGACGATAAAGCAAGACCTCCTTTTCCCCACTTCAAATAGGGCATTTTCCCTTCTTTGCTTTGCATATTGGACTTCCACATGAGATATCATTTTATTGCTTTTTTAAAAAATTGTGATAAATGCTGAACTATATCATTTTCTTTTTGACTCTGACACTATGCCCAACCACACAGCAACATTTGCTGGACAGCCCATTCTTTTTCTGTCTTCATAACAAATTAAAAATTTAAGTAGAAAGTGTAGTTTCATTCATTCGTATAGTCATTCATTCATTTATTCCACAAATATATTTCACTATGCCATCGGACAACACTTTATGTTTGGGGATAAAATAGTGAACAAAAAAGACTGCATTTCTGGCTTCTGCTGTGTCCAAGGTATTGGCGGGGGGCAGATACTAATTTTAAAATCACATAAATATTCTATTGCCAATGTGATAAACACAAAAACAGGAAAACTAGAGGGTGCCATGAAAGCCTATAATAGCAGGTTGGGGGAGATCAAGTCTGGGGGATCAGAGAAGCCCCCTTCCCGCCCAAGAAAACACAGTTCCATTTGCTTTTCCAACTCTAATGCACCTGGGTTAGCTGAACCCAATTCCCTCCTCTACCTAAATTATATGTCACAGGAGACTCAAGACTAAGGTATTACTCAGAACTGAAGAAGGAAACTCTTACATAAGCAGGGCATGGAAAATTTTAGTATAACTGGATACGATATTCTTAAGTACAGTCTTACTAAAAATAGCCTCATGTTGGGAGGAGGGAGCACAGGGAATAACTGCGGGAGGCTGAGCACTGCCACAGGCTCTGTTCAAAATGAGCCCGACAACCACACACACACAACACGCCAATGGGCGGCACCAGCTGACCGAGATGGAAAACCCACTCCCGCTGGGGATCTGTCCACATTTGGGGGGTCCGTTTCTCTCTGACCGCAAGTGTGACAGGCCAGGAGAACCTCAAGCCTCTCCTGTCACTGGCAGGGCCCATGAGTGCTTTGGCAGTGCCAAACTCAGTTCCAAGACTCCACACCACACCTTAGAAAGCACATACCTTGTTCTCCTTATAGAGAAATTCAAGATGCAAAACCTTTCGAAGATCATTTCTGTTGTTTATGCTGAGGTCAGAGCGTGGGCGTTCCTGGTCCATGGTCACACATGTCTTCTTTAAGCCCTGAGGGAAGAAAGCTGAATCGCTGTTTACCATCTTAAATCAAAACCCGCTGTTCTCATAAAGCACAAGCAAACGATTCCTGATGTTCACCAAGATAATTCTCATATAACCTTTACACTTGACATCACCTTTGCAATAATTAATATTATTCTGATTCTTACAACAGCCCCATGGGCTAAGTGAAGGCTGAAGTTTTCAGGCCATTTCGCAGATAAGGAGTGAGTTCAGGACTCGCGCACAGGAGTCCTGGGTTTGGCCCTACATTTGGAACCATAGTATATGAAGCTTTAAAATTAAACAAAAGAAAAAATGTAAACAAAAGGCTAATATTCATTCCCTTCACTCTCAGATGGGGAAACCAGGAGATGGGGTTGACTTGCCCAATGTAACACAATGGAATCACATCACAGGTGGGGGCTGTAACCATCCCAAACTGTGAGTCCATGACTCTGGGACCCAGGCCCATGAGAAGCTCTTGGTAAATGCTAAGTCATGAGCAAAGCCACTTTCCATCATCCCACCCTGAACTGCCAGAAGACCAAGGTTCAAGGCCCAGCTGAGACATGCTCTAGCAATGGAAAATCTGGGGTTGGCGAAGTGAGGGTCCTGTTCGCAAGTGCCTGGCTTCTCTATTTGAAAAACAACCACAGCAGTTGCTCTCTGCCCACCTCACTGGGCCATGGTGATTGTCAAATGGCTGGAGGCTGAGAACATGCCTCACCAACAGCTCAGCCTGGTGTTAGGGGTGTTCCTTGTTCTTAATGGATTCCAGACCCCCAGTGCTACACAGGCTTCAGCCTCTCCCAGAGCCTTTGTGTTCAGAATTTTACAGAGGCTCTAGCTGCTGGGGAAACATGACAAAACCCATGCCCACCATGAATTTAGCTAAGAAGGTCAATTTGGGAAACTAAAAGAACACAATCTTGAAACAAACAGAGGAAAGAGGAGGCCGTAGGGAAGGGAAATGGAAAGAAATGGATATATGGGTCAGAAAAAAGGTGGATTAGGTGCATCGGGAAGAGTCCATTTGAAGGAGAGGTGGGGTTCAAAACCAACCACCCGCATTTCATCTGGGCTTAACCATGGCTTTCCCTCCAGTCAAAGTGATGTGGAACATGCTATAACGAGGCTCTCTCTGATGGATAATTCTTTATGTCTGTCAACAGTTCAAATCAGCAAGCCCTGTACATTTAACAAACCCCACCCCTACCCTGGCTCTAGAGCGTGATGCACACCAGCATTTGAAAACCACCGGGGGCCTGGGCATGGTGCCATAGGCCTGCAGTCCCTGAACTTTGAGAGGCCGAGGCAGGAGGAATCTTTGAGCTCATGACTTCAAGGCCACAGTGAGCTATGATTACACCACTGCACTCCATCCTGGATGAAAGAGTGAGACCCTATCTCTAAAAAAAAAAAAGAAAAAGAAAAAGAAAGAAAGAAGAAAAGGAAAGAAAAGAAAAGAAATACCATTGGGGTAGAGGACAAGGGTGCCCTTGGGAGTCAGCCAGTCCTCAGTCCCATCCAGCCCATTCAAACTTCATTCGCCCAACAAACACCTGTCATGCACCTCCTATGTGCCAGGCTCTGTTCTAGATGCAGGAGAGACAGAAGGAATAAGAGCTGATGTTCTGTTGGGAAAGCAGACCATAAATGTATAGTGTGGCAGCTGCTAATATGCACTACGAGGGAGACAAAGCAGGGAGAGGGAAGACAAGGATGAAGGCCACTGTTTTAGATGGCCAGCTATTTGTTCAGCATCATCCACATGCTCACTCCTGTCCCAGTTTCCCTATCTGTGAAACGAAGGGAACAGACCACTAGTCCGTAAGTCCAGTTGCTAGAGGCAGAGCAGTGAACAGATGAAAGTCCCAGTCCTCAGGGAGCTTGCACTCTATAGGGGGAGAGACAACAAGTATAGTATGATATGGGGAAAAAACATACAAAGTAGGATAAGGAGACAGAGAGGGCTAGGGTGGGTGTGGGGATGCGCTGCTACTTTATCAAAGGTGGTCAGGAAAGGCATCATTGATTGATGAGGGAATCAAAAGAGCAGGCCACACAGACACTTGGGAGAAAAGTGTTCCAGGCAAGGAACAGCAAGTGCAAAGGCCCTGAGCCAGTTGCAAAAGGCCAGTGCATCTAGAGCTGCATGGCAGGGGAAAGGAGGTAAGGAAGTCAGAAGTCACCCAGAGACTCATAAGGAAAGGTCTTGTGGGCTTTTATGAAATGGGAAGGCTACTATTTTGAACTGACATATTTTTGAAAGATCACTTGGCTGCTAGGTTGAAAATAAACTGTAGGAGGCAGGAGATTAAGGAGAAACCATTTAGGAGGCTATTGAACAATTCACAAATCACATGAAACAAAGGGGTGGCTTGGAGCAAGGTGTTTGCAACAGAAGTGGTAAGAAGTGGCTACATTCTGTATGTGCTCTGATGATAAAGCCAACAGATTTGCTGATGGACTGGATATGAGGTGCACAAGAAAGGAACAAGCCAAGAATAATTCCAAAGTTTTGGGCCCAGGCAACTAGAAGGACAGAGATGCCATTTATTCCAATGGGCACAGTTGTAGGAGGAACAGGAAATCAGAAATTGAGTTTTGGACATTATGATAAATATATATTTGTTCTGTGTCCCAGGTTCCTGGCACATAGATTCTAAAATCCTTGGAATCTCCAAGGTGATAAGAATGTCTTCTGTATGCTAATGTGATGACTAGTGGATGGGGACCCCTAGATAGCTTCAGGATGGGGGCTGGTCACCAGAAAGAGCAAACCTTGATTAGAGGGCTGGAACTTTCAGCCCTACCTCCCAATCTCCCAGAGAGGGAAGAGAAGCTATAGATTGAGCTAACCACCAATGGTCAATGATTTAATCAAACATTCCTATATAGCAGAATTGACACAAAATCTCCTGAATGATGGGGTTCAGGCAGTTCCCAGGTTGGTGCTGGGAGGGCAGCATGCTGAAGACGGCACAGAAGTTCCATGACCCTCCACCCACACCTTGCCCTATGCATCTCTTCCATCTGGCTGTTCCTGAATTGTGTCCTTTATAGTAAACTGGTAAATGTAAGTAAAGTGTTTCTCCGAGTTCTGTGAGCCATTCTAGCACATTATTAAAACTGTGGAGGGGGTTGTGGGAACCCTCAATTTATAGCTAGTTGGTCAGAAGTTCAGGTGGCAACTTGGGACTTCTGACTAGCATCTGAAGTGGGGGCAGTCATGAGCGTGACTTAACCTGCAGGGTCTGCACTAACTCTTGGTAGTGTCAGGACTGATTTGAATTGTACGACACCCAATTGGTGTCTGGAGAGTTGGAGATTTAGTTTGTATGGAGGAAAAATCCCCATACATTTGGTGTCTGAAGTGTGAGCAGAAACACTATCAGAGACATGTTGAGATGCTTGTTAGACATCCCAGTAGATATGTAGAATAGGCAGTTGTAAGAATTCAAGAGTTCAAGGAGAGGTCTCAGCTAGAGATAGACATTTGGGAATTGTCAGCATATAGATGGTATGGGAATCCACAAGACTGGCTGAGATGTCTTGAGAGTGAACGGAAAGAAGAAGAGAAGAGAGCCATAAACTAAGTCCTTGAGCCCACCAGAGTGCACAGGACAGAGAAACTAGGGGGACCAGCGAAGACCCTGAAGGGAGCACCCAGAGGAGTAGGAGGAAAGCTAAGAGGGACAGTCTCCTAGAAGACAAGCAGAAGGACACAATCAACTGTGACAAACATAATCATTAGATCAAGAAGGGCGAGGACTAAAAATTCCAGGTTAATAATGGCCCTAAGAAGAGCTATTTCCATGGAATGATGGGGACAAAAGTCTGATTAAAATGGGTTCGAGAAAGCAGAGAAAAGAATTAAAATGAAAGTAGACACAGGTCCTTTATGGGGTTTCTATAGAAAGGGAGGAAATAATAAACCAGTAGCTAGGGTTTGGGGGTCAAGATGGGATTCTGCAGGAGCACAACATGTGCTGATAGGAGTAACCTAGTAGAGGAGGGAAATGCATGGTGCAGGAGACAGCGACATCCCTGAGCACACAAGAGAGGGCATGCACACATGGAGGGGTGGGCCTAACCAGGGGTATGGAGAATTCATCCACAAGAACACTAAAGAGAGCAGAGTGAATGGTGCAGCCCAGGAAGGTGAGTAAGTGTGGTAGTGGGAGCCTGCTGGACTTCTCTCAAGACTTCTGTTTTCTCAGTGAAATTAGATGGGGAAGGAGCTTCAGGGTTTGAAGAGAGAGAAGGTATGAAATGGTCATCCAGGGTCTCAGAGGGTAAACAGTCTGGAGAGTTGCAACCAGGTGGGCAGGCACCCATAAGGCACCACAAGGGTGAGTGGCCATGGATTTAGAGTGATACCATCAACATAGTGGTGTGTGTTTCTCTCCAATCTCATTCAGCTCTATGGGCGCAAGTGTAGAGCAGGACGAGTGGAATTTTACTGTCAGAAGAGAATGATGAAAGGAGAGAAGCGCAAAAGAGCTGCACCTGTTATGGAGGGTGCAATTATAAGGATGGGTGGGTGAGAGGTAGGTGGGTTATGGTAGGCCCGAGGGACTGTGAAAAGTTGGCAGGAACAATGCAATATAGATGTGGTGAGGCTGGAGAAGAGTTTACGTGGGGCTATGATGGGAAACAAGCTAGAAATTTTGACAGGTGGGAAGCTTGGAATTGAGATTACAGAAAGGGCGCAGTACTGGTAACAACAAGCCCAGCTCATGACCATGGGGCAGGGTGGCAGAGGGAGGATGGCACAGTCACTGCAGGAGTGGAGCCACAGACTCAAGAAGCTGGGGCAGCAGAAGAGTCACCTCAGCAGACCCTGCCATCTCCAGGAGACTATCATGACTCCCCCGAGGGAAGACCACACTTGGTGAGTTCAAGTAGGCCAAAGTGGTTGAAGGGTAGAGGGCGGAGCAAGCAGTCATGGAAGATGAGGTCTGAGGGTAGCCAGAGCCAAGTAATGGAGAGACTTGAAGTCTAATTATGATGGGAAGCCAGTAGAGGGGTTTGAGCAGGGGAATTACATGGTCTGACCTGCTCACCCTGGGCAAGTTTCTTGGCCTCCTGGTCTCACAATAATCTTATGTGAAAGGGAATACTTATACCTATCTTTCAGGACTGTTACGAGGATCTGAGACAACAAACCAGCACCTTCTAGGTACCTGGCACCAAGGTGGCAGCTCTCTTGGTTACGACTGCTGGGTGCAATGACTGCCTGTGCAAAACCCTGTGGGGAGCACGTGGTCTCTGCCCTAGAGCAGAAGGCGATGAGAAAGCAGTATACCTGGGCTGCAGTCCCAGCTCACTGTGACCTTCTGAGTAACTGTGGGCAACTCCTTTCTACTCTTAGGGCCTTAGTGTGCCCAGATAAAACATGCGAGGGAGAGGAGACCAGGGGAACTCGGCCATGTCAAGTGGGGGGTGGTGGGGAGGGATGTGGGAGAGGCTAGAAATGAAATTGAGATGGTAAGCTGGGGTCAAGCTACAGGGCAGGCTTGGATGTCAGTGAGGACACTGGATTTCATTTGTACTCAAGAAAGAACACGAGGAAGCCCTCTCTAAGAGTTTTTTTCAGTGACCCAGACTTAAAAGAAATGATGTTAACAGTCAGCTTTCCAGGGTGTGTCAATTGATATCCAACATGCAGCCAGGACAGGTGATGGCAGGTCAATTAGCCATAAAGACAGGGCAGATGCGACAAAGCCAAACGCATTTAAAATTTTTTCAAATAAAAATAAATCATAAAAAACACACAAAGACACTTTCCAAACAGGTGCACTTCAGAGACACCTGTTTGGTGTCAGAAACAGTGAGGGTGGGAGGAGGTATAAAGTTGAACACCTACGTGCACATTGTATCTATATGTCAGATCCAATGCTTGGAAGCTGCCCATATGTTAATATTAATCCTCATTATAAATCTGCAAAGAGTAGGTCTTACTTTCCTGTTTTACAGATAACGAAATTGAGACAGTGAGTAAAGTACTGAGGTTCACACTGCAAACTAGTAGCAAATATTTGAATTGTCTCCGTCTGACTTCAAAGTCCTTCCCCTTTCCTCCATTCAAAAAATTACGTGTATGTGTTTTCATACAAGACAAGTACCCATCGCCCTAGCCCAGTATGACACTGCAAGGACAGACAAAACACACAGAGTGCAGCCCTCAGTCACCATGTGCTGAATGAGCTAATGTATGTCCCCCTCCACTACCACGCCCAAGACCCCCCGGCGAGCTCCTTCCCCACCGAGGTCCCCATCTCCACCCTGAGGCCAGATGACAGCTAAGGACCTTCCAAGCTTGTGAACACTGCAAAAACTCTCCTGGGACAAGACAATAGGAAAACTTACAAAAATTAAAGCAACCACTGGAATTCCCACTGTTGACTAAAATGACTAAGGGTTTGACCGTCAAGAACTTTTCTGGGCTTTTGGGGTTCCCTCTGGGAGAAGTTCTTTCCGAGTGGGACCCTGACTTGCGTGGGTAGCGCACGGAGGCCGGCAGCCAGGCTAGGGCGCAGGCCTGCCCGCTGTGCGCCCGCGCTAGGATTGCTTGGCGCGGCCCCCAGGCCCCCTCCCCAGCTGCCGCCGCCCCGGAGCGCGGATGCCCCAGGAGGGCAGCGGACGGGGTCCAAACCGTGCCTTGCGGAAGCGCCCGGTGACGACGGCAGAAACGCCTCGTGGGAAATGTAGTTTCCCCTGTCCCGGGAAAGCGGCGCTCTTCTGGGGCATCTCTGGAGCAGGCAGTAGGTAGGGAACGGGCGCCCTCCCAGAAGCTGCAAAGCCTTCAGGGGAGACCCCGATGATCCCCCCAAATTAGAGCCACTTCCTGGGCTTTGGAGGGGGCGAGCCGTTACCTTTCTGCTGAGGAACTCCCTGACCAAGGAGGCGGCCACCTCCTCCACGAAGAGGCTGTCCATGGCTCTGGCTCTGGCTCTGCCCACGAGGCCCACGCCGGGCCGCAGCACCAGGCAACTGGGTCTGTCCGGCGCAGTATGGCCGCGTTGCCGTGGCGACGGCGGCGTCGGCGCGGCAAGAACTCCTCCCCTTCCCTGGGGCTGGCGGGCTGGGGCGGGAGGGAAGGGGTGGAGCGTCCCGCAAACTCGCGTCTCGGAGTGGGAGGCCGCAGTCAGGGCGCCCTGGTGTCGCCTAGGGCCCCGTCCACGGCTCCGGACTCGGGGCCTCACTCTGACCCTGGCCCTGGTCATCTGAGAGGCCTAGGACAAATTACCGCTCCGCTCCGAGGCTCCATTTTCCTAGACATAAAATGGGAAGAATACCTGCCTCCTTGTTTCTGGAGGACTAAACTCACAGGGAAGTGACCCCCTCAGGTCCACCCTCAGCACCACGGCCCCCTCTGGGGCCACCAACGCTACTGACCTTGGCGGGCCTTGACGGTGGGGGCAAGGAAGCCCAGCATTCTGCTTCTTGGGCACCGAAATTAAAGGAGATGTTCCTCGCCCCCTTGGTGCCTGCTTTCCCGTAATGAGACTGCCATTTATTGATCACCAAGCTCTTAACTCACGGTTGCACTTTTAATCCTTACAACTTCCTGGCTAGGTAGTTACTGTTGGCCCCATTCTTTAAAACGGGACACTGAGATTCAGAAAGGCTAAGATTTTGCTGAGGCCCACACAGCTGGGTACTGGGAAAGTTGGGTTTCTAACCAAGCCCAGTACATTTTCCCCGAACTTAGTCACCTGGGTTCCACCTTCACAATCTTTGCCACTTCCGCATGTTACCTATTGTATTCCTTTGCTTGGGCTGCCATACAAAGTACCACAGACCATGTGGCTTAAACAACACATTTATTGTCTCCCAGTTCTGAGGGCTACAGACCAAGATCGAGGTGTCAGCTGGATGGTTTCTCCTGAGGCCTCTCTCCCTGGCCTCTATTATAGATGGCCACCTTCTCCCAGTGTCTTCACGTGGCTAGCCGTCCGTGTGTGCCTGTGTCCTAATCTCTTCTTATAAAGACATCAGTTGTATTGGAATAGGGTCCACCCTAATGACTGCATTTCCACTTCATCACCTCTTTAAAGACCCTATCCAACACAGTCACATTCTGGAATACCAGGCATTAGGACTTCAACACGGGAATTTTTTTTTCTTTTTTTTTTTTTTTTTTTGAGACAGAGTCCCGCTCAGGTGCCCGGGCTGGAATGCAGTGGCGCAATCTCGGCTCACTGCCAAGTGAACAACCACCTCCCGGATTCAAACCATTCTCCTCCCTCAGCCTCCTGAGTAGCTGGGATTTCAGGCGCCCACCACCGTGCCCAGCTAATATTTGTACTTTTAGTAGAGACGGGGTTTCACCATGTTGCCAGACTGGTCTTGAACTCCTGACCTCAGGCAGTCCGCCCACCTCGGCCTCCCAAAGTGCTGGGATTACAGGCGTGAGCCACCGCACCCGGCCCAACACAGGAGTTTTGAAAGACACAATTCAGCCCTTAACCCCTATACAGTTACTTATGTATTATTTTCTTTAAATCCACATACATGTTTTACAATTTATTTTAAAAGGAAAGTGTTCCCAAGCAGTAATAGCCACAAGATCTTGGGTTTTATGTGCTTATTAAATCTCTAATACACATTAAAACAAACACAAAACCAGAAAGGTATGCATTCACCTAAATCACCTTACAACCACCACTGGCACATGTACCACACTTGGGAAGCAACTATCTCACCCTATACAGTCTCCATAGGACGTAGCTTTAATGTGGCAGATTGCACCATAATCTCCAGGCAATTTCCCCTCTCAACGTGCAATGGTTCTTTGAGAAGCCTCTTTTGAACATGTTGTGCTATGTGAGAAAGAGCCATGTGCTCTTATATGTAGAGAGAGAAGGGCAGAGTTGCAGGAGACAGTATGATGCTTGGTCCAGGGGCCCTCATGTTCCAGCTGTGAAGACACACTGATGGATGATGTGTAATAATGAAAGAATAACATGAGACAGATTTATGCTCCATAAGAGATTGTGTATCAGGGGTCCCCAACCCCCTGGGCTGTGGACCGGTATGGGTCTGTGGCCTATTAGGAACCAGGTCACACAGCAGGAGGTGAGTAGCTGCAAAGGAACATTACCACCTGAGCTCCACCTCCTGTCCAATCAGCCACAGCATTAGCTTCTCATAGAATCACAAACCCTATTGTGAACTGCACATGCGAGGGACCTAGGTTGCGCACTCCTTATGAGACTCTAATGCCTGATGATCTGAGGTGGAACGGTTTCATCCCAAAACCATCCCCCACCTCCCATGCAAAAACTGTCTTCCACGAAACTGGTCCCTGGTGCCAAAAATGTTGAGGACTGCTGTTGTGTATCACAGATAGTAGGTGTTATATAGTAGGTCAGAAGAGAGATTTCCCCCGTGGAGGCAGACGAAGGTGAAAAGAGAAAAAATCATTCATTCCTCCATTCATTTACTCCTTTAAAAATATTTGTTGAGCCCTTACCACGTGCCAGGTGTATGGGTGCTGCAGATTTAACACTGTAAAATATATGCCTTCTTGAAGAGAGAATGGGGAAAGATGCAAATGGGGAGATGGACAGAAAAAAAAATTTATAAATGCATACAAAACACAGAGCACTGCAGATGATTTAAAGGGTATCATAGATATATGTGTGTATGTATTTTAGAGGCAGCATCTCATTCTGTCACCTAAACGGGGTTCAGTGGCACAATCATAGCTCACTGTAAGCTCAAATTTTTGAGCTCAAATGATCCTCCTGCCTAACCTCCCAAGGAGCTAGGACTACTGGCATGCACCACCCTACCTAGTTTATTTGTTTATTTATTTATAGAGATAGGGTCTCACTATGTTGCCCAGGCTGGTCTTAAACTCCTGGCCTCAAGCTATCCTCCTGTCTGGAGGATAGCTTGAAGATATGCAGCTTCCCAAAGTGCTGAGATTGCAGGAGTGAGTCACTGCAGCTGACCCCCAAAAATCATAGACTTGAAGAGGGAAAAAAGCATGGAGGGAGTATAGGAGGACTTTTTAAGGCAAGCAGAAATTATAATTTTTAAAAGTTGACTGGATAAGATCACTTCGATGGTAGAACTTCAGCAAGGAAGAGAGGATGTGAGCTATGCAGAGACTTGGAGGGAGAGCACTGCAGGCAGAAGAAACGCAAATGCAGAGGCCCTGCAAGGGCGACCAACCTGAGTGCTTGTGAAATTTTGAGGCCAGAGGGAGCAGAGAGGAGACAGAAACAGGGACCTGGTGGTATAGGGCCATCAGAAGGGCTTGGCTTTTCCTCTGAATGGGGAATCCTTTGGAGAGTTTTGGGCAGAGGAGAGACAGGATCTGACTTAGGTTTTGACAGGATCTCTTTGGCTTTTGTTTTGAGAATCGATTGTAGATTAAGGGCAAGTACAATGGATCCTCAAAAAACATTGCTTCCTTCAACATTGTTTCATTATGACGTTGAAAAGAAAAAAAAATCAGTTCCCAGCTGGGGCTACTGTCTGTGTGGAGTTTGCGTGTCCTCCCCATGTCTGCACGGGTTTCCTCCATCATCCCAAAGATGTGCACGCTGGGTGAATGTGTGTGTCTACATGGTCCCAGTGTGAGTGATTGTGGATGTGGGTGTGGGTGTGAGTGCTTCCTGTGATGGAATGTTGTCCTGTCCAGGGCAGGCCTTTTGCCCTGATCACTCATGATCCTGAACTGGAATAAGCAGGTAAAGATTGGTGATCTTTTTGGGACCAGAAATATGCCAGGAACTCAACTCTTGTTTATAGCAATTAGCCTATGGTAACACTGGTTTTGTTATATGTCATTTCGCTGAAAGCTGCAATTTCCAAAAACCTATGGATGATGCTAAATTAGGACTTACTGTATGGAAGCAGGGAGACTAGCTGGGGGACAACTGCACCAATCAGTGGTCCAGGTAAAACTTAGGCTAGACATGGTTAAGTGCGTGTGTGTGTGTGTGTGTGTGTGTGTGTGTGTGTGTGTGTGTGTATGTGTGTGTGTGTGTGTGTGTCTGTCACTTTCCTGGCCCTGAAACTCTTTTTTCACATTGGAATGAAAGGTTAAGCAAGAGAAGTGCAGGAATGCATTCTTTTTCCAGGCACATAGCTGGCTCCTGGGAATAAAAGAACCTTAACACAGCCTTAAGGTGGCAAGTGAAAGGGGCAATCTGGTCATCATGGAAGGGCAGAGGGTGTGCTACCAGACATCTGGGAAAGACTAGATCACATCATGTGTCCCATTCTTTCCCACCAATCCTCCACAAGGAATCCTCATTTCTCTACACCGTGTTCCCGTGAGCTGGAACATTCTCATAAACCTAAGGGAGCCCTGCTGTCCTGCCTGAACATGAATGGTAATTGAGGTCTTCTTATTAAAAAAACATGCTGGAGATAAAAACAGCAATGCCATCAAAATAAGGACCCAATCATTGTAAATATCTACAATCACTTAAAAAGAAAAGAAAATGCTTTTCCAGGTTTCATAAAATACGGACAAACCCACAAAGCCTGCTAAATAAGCAAGAACTATAAAACACACTTGCCCGGTACCCAGAAAGTAATAATTTCTCTGTGTTACTCATTGACCTAAAGCCAGATTTAGCCAAGATGAGCATGCACCTCATTAGTGATGGGCAATCATTTCATTCACATTCTCAACAATGCAATGGACTACACATGAAATCTTAACAATGGGAATACGAGTGCAAAGGTTAACTCCCAAAAGATGACAGATAGCATAAAATCTTTGTATAAGCTTAAAAACAACTTAAACCAAGAAGTCATAATTTCTGGTAGGAAAATGGAGCTTTGGTAAAGCTTTATAAAACTAAAAGCAAGAAAATGAAGCTACGATTCAGGTCAGCAGTTACCTGGGAATGGGAAGGTCAAGGACATGGCAGATGAGAACAACGCAGGTAATGATAAGTATCCGTCGTGCTCTGGGTGTCATGAGTGTATTTGTTTCTTCAGCATCTTTTATATTATTTCTATTGATTCATTAGTTAATAAAAGATGGCCTCTCAAGGACCAGTGATGGCAGGATGTCGTGAATTGACAAGAGTCGTGTTATTAATTAACTCCATGTCCCTGAGGTAGAAAAGAAAGGGAGGGAGAAAAATTCAATGGACTTTACACTGGAAGGACAATTTAGACGGCCTTGCCTCATAACACATCTGTCACACAGAGAAGAAAGGTAGGTGTGTGTGTGTGTGTGTGTGTGTGTGTGTGTGTGTGTGAGAAATCATATCCATCACCATACAGCTGTGGCTCTGTGCATCTCTGAGTCGACAAGCTCCTGCATTTGTGTGAGTTTACCCACAGGAATTTCTGGACTCCCTGAATTCTGTCTGGTGCCCCGTTTGGTTCTGGCAGCAGGATGCATCCGGTGTGTTGTGAGACTTGGAGCAGGAAGGTGAGGCCTGCTACATGGGGGCCAGATGTTTTGCAAGATTATGAGGATCAAGCATTGCCTCCTCCAGGATGCTCCAGGGAGGTGACTGACCGAATGAATCCCTCCCCAACCAAGGGCTCCTTGAGTGTCTGGAGGGCTTGGATCAGGGGGTTCCAGAGAATAAAAGCATACATGCTTGTCCCCATAACCATGTCCTCCCAGGGACTGGCTGTCAGGGTTTGGGGCTGGGAACAGGGATCTGACCAAATGCAACATGTCTGGACTAGGGGGGTTGGAAGAACATTGTGAAACTCCTTCTAATGATGTGACTCTCAGACCTTCCCAGCTGTCTGGCCACCATCCCCAAAGATCAGGACAGGGGGTCCAGCCCAGGCCACTGTCCTTGGCAATATGAAGAGACAGTTTATTTGCACACTCCCCCCATAGTTCTGTCTTATCCACCACATCCCAATCTCTGCTCCCAGGCTGTATCCACATGGTCGCCAACATGAGACTGGAGATGGAGGGGGAACCCAGGCCCCAGCCAGGCTCCAGTAGGAGGAGATGGGACAGCCACCCCTGCAGTGAGATTGTTGGTCTTTCACTAGGCCTGGCACATCCAAGATCTCCTCGCTGTCAGGAATGATGAGGCTCAGCCATTTGTGCAGGTCTGTGCACGGGGACTGACTGGGGAGAGAAAAGAAGATAGCAGAGGTATCCCATGGGGTTTTGAGAAAATGACCATTTTAATCAAGAAGAATGTATAATTCTCCACCAATGTGATAGTTAATTTCATGTGTCAACTTGGCTAGGTCATGATACCCTGCTCTTTGGTCAAATGCCAGCCTGGATGTTGCTGTGTGTAGACTTTGAGTAAAGCAGCTTATCCTTCATAGTGTGGGTGGGCCTCATCCAATAAGTTGATTGCCTTAAAAGCAAAAGACTAAGGTTCCCCAAGGAAGAGAGTGTTCTGTCTTCAGCCTGCCTTTGGACTCAAGCTGCAATATCAACTCTTCCCTGGGTCTCCAACCTGCCAGCCTGCCTTGCAGGTTTCAGACTTGCCAGTCCCCACAATCATGTGAGCCAATTCCTTAAAATAAATCAAGGGAGGAAGAAGGTTGTCCCCAGAGAAAAAGAACTAGTTAGGTCACACAACACACACACACACACACACCCCTGGATAATATAAACCCAACCTACTTTGCTGCACACTTGCCCTGGAATGGCCCTGGAAATTCTTGATCAAAGCTCCTTGGATGCTGTCCAGATAAATGTGCCTTCTCTGGGGCCAAGCAGAGACTTTTGGCAGTTGCTTGACATTCTAATGTTTTCACCAGCAAGTACAGACCCCAAACCTTCAGACATAGCTGTCAGTGCCTCCCTGTGAAAAATTCCTGTTGAAATGGTGCAGACATTCTTTGGAAATCATAACATAGTCTCCTCCAAAGTAGGATTCGGCATAAAAATTCTAGTCTGAGTAAATGAATTGAAACTGCTCCCAAAGTGGTGAAGTCCTGTGTGAAGTCTGCTAGTTGCCCAACAGAATCCATTATTTCCTTCATGCATGGTTATATGTTTGGAGCTGGGCAAAAGACTTCCAAGCCACGTGGTATTTCCCAGCCTTTCTTGAAGTCAGAGGCAGCCATGGAACTAAGTTTGTCACCAGCAGAATAAGAGGGCCGGCACCTTAAAACCAGGCCCTATCTCTTTCATCCTCTTTTCTCTCCTGTAAGCCAGAGCACCAGCTGCAACAATGAGTATGTGCTGTGACCCTAAAGACGAAAGCAACACCTAAGAACAGTGATTCTCAAAAGTGTAGCTGCCCGCCAAACACCAGCATCAGCACCACTTGAAAACTAGAAATGCAAATTCTCAGTCCCTACATCAGATGTGCTGAATCAGAAACTCTGAGGGTGGGGCCCAGCAATCTGTGTTTATAAGACTTCCAGGTACTTCTGATGCTCACTCGAGTTTAAGTGTGCTATCCTGGGGGATGGCAGAAATAAGATAGAAGGAACCTGGTTCCCTGAATGACTGCATGGAGCATTCACATGGTGACACGGACTTCAGATGGTTACAGGTGAGAGAAATACACTTTCATCTGGTTTGAGCTTAGTGTTTTTATTTTTTTTAATTTTTTTTCTATTTTTGGAAGTGGGGATGAGGGAGTCTTTTGTTAAAGCAGCTTTTTTTTTCAACCTAAATACTATGAATCTCTAAGAATGAGTGAAAGCTCAATCAGTTGTGGGGCAGTGGTCTCTTTCTCCAGGGTTTGCTAGACCAGATATTCCCACAGGGATTGTCAGTACTGATGTATCACAAATTGATTATAGGGATGCTGGAGTCACAATCTCCTCAGGCCTCAGGACAGCTAAATGGAGCCTATCTGGCCAGATACCATAGGCCATTACTACCATGAACAGTCTTCTCCATTTATCTCAGGCTGTACAAATATGATTTTCTGTATGTGCCCTGGAGATGCCTCCTGCTGCTCACAATTTTTAATCTTCTGCCTCTTGCTCTCCCTCTCCCCTGGTTCTCTGACTTCTTAGTCTACAGCTCTTTACAAACCTGGCTCCCTTGCTCTGATGGTTCAATTGGAGCACCTTCCTCTAGGTTGGTTACCTGAATATTTGAACTCCATGCACTTGGGCTGATGGTTATAGGGATTTTTCCCTTCTACTTCAGTCTCTATGCAGAGACCATGATATATCCTCAGCTTTAAGGCAGGCCTTGAGGATAGTCACAGGGTTTCTTCTCTGTGACTATCCCAGGTTTCCTGGCTTGAGTCCTTCACAAAAACAAGGCTGTTTGGAGCAAGCAGCAACTAGTGCCTTCCCAGCTCAACTCTAGCTGAAGGGTGGCTGCTTTGTGAACCCCTTCCTGTCCCCGGCATGCCAAGTGCTGGGCCTCTAGGTCCAGAGCTGAAGGAGGCAGCCCCAGAGCCCTCATCCATTTCTTTTACTCCTATGCCTGATTATAATGGTTAGTACCCATTTCCATTCAGAGTGACAGAAAAACTCAAAATAAGAGTAACTTAGTAAGGAAGTACTCAAAAAAATAAGGGAATCATGTCAGAAGAACAAACCACCACCCAGCTTAAAAGGGGTCCTACTGGCTAAATCTGTATATCAGAGTAAGTTATGATAGTCACAGATTATAACCAACTGAATAAAATAAGAACCCATGAGTCCATGTTTATATATATATATAGATAGATATATATATAGATATATAGATAGATAGATAGATATATAGATATATATATAGATAGATATATATAGATATATATATAGATAGATATATAGATATATATATAGATAGATATATAGATAGATAGATAGATATAGATATATATATATATATATAGATATATAAAGGAGAAGGGAAAGCCTCTCCTTACATTTGAATGTGAACTCATAAATGTAGAAAGGATGATGGAATTTGCCAATCATCATTTGGCAACCAGGATAATGATAATAATTCATTCAGACAAGAATCATCAATGGATGCTAAAACTAGTGGATACAGGATATTTATGTCATCTCAAAGAATCTCTCCATAAGATACTGCTTAATTACAAAGGGGAAAATGTTCACTTTATGATGGAGAAGTTGGCCAACCCATTAACCAAGTGATCAAAGTTATCATCCCCAGCCAGAGGACTATCAATGTTACATACCTCCTTATGCACTGAAAGAGACACAACACCACTTCTCTGGCATTTCTGCCATAATAATAATAAGGGTAACAATAATATCAGTGACTTAAACAAGATGAAAGTCTATTTGTCTCTCACATAAAAACCCAGGGCTCATGAGTGCTTCACATTATTAGGTTCCCAGTTTCCCTCTGTCTTGTTTCTCCGCCATGTGTGGCCTTGACCTCCTAAACCAAGATGCCAGCAGCCACATTCCAGATCACAGGACAGGGTAAAGGATGAAGAGTAAATAGCAGAGTCTAGGTTTACGACATCTTAAGGAAGGCTTCCAGAAGCTGGTACGACACTTCTGCTCAAATCCCTTCGGTCAGAACTCACTCACTTGACCGCACAAAGCTACAAAGGGGACTAGGAAATATAGTCTTGTTTAAGGCAGCCTTGCCCAGCTAAATGGAGCCCAGCCAAAAAATCTATTACTCTGAAGAAGTTAATGGGCATAGTGGGCACGGGAGAACAACTAGCAATCTCTGGAACACTGGCGTTCTTTTGTTTCAAGATGTCATGTTTCTATACCTCTGGTTCTTTTTATTAGGATCTCAGTTCATGACACCCCACACGCTTATTGTACATATAACATGCCCACATGTGCAGGATCTCAGAACTCAAGTCCTGCAGTCCTTGATCTCCACACGAGCCTGGGCCTGTCTCACTTCTGTGCTTGTACACAACTGTATGTTTTTATAGCTTTTCCCGTAAGTAGAGGCAGTTGCCTACGAAAATTTCTCCATGACCTCTGTGCTGCCTAAGCTGAGATGACCAGAATGGCCAACTTTTGTTCCTTTCCTTTCTAGATAAGCAGTTAAAATGACTCTGGTAAACAACCATGTTCCCCAAGCTTGGGTTTTTTCAGAGTTCTAGGAAAAAGAATAAATGCAGGGTTTTTGAGACTAGAATGGAGTCGCAAGATAAGCAGCATTTCTCAGCAAGGAGTCAAGAATGCATTAGGATAAGATAAGCTGAACTTACAGGCAGAGGGCAAAAGAGCTGTTGGGGTTTCATCCTCCTCTTCCCCACCTCCCCCACAGACCCTTCAACCTCCAGCTCCACCCCCATAAGGATACGGGAGTTAGAAATAGGTCAGGAAGAGATTGGGAAATGTACGTCCTTTTGAGCCTATGAAATGCTTCTGCTGGCATCTCTCCAAGTCTGGCTTGGCCTTGCTACTTGATTCCTATGATGTGGTGGAGGTAGATAGGTAGGAAGTAGGGGGTACCACACAGATAATAAATCTCCTGTGTCTTCTGTTTTCAAATTCAGGTTACTTCAGGACCACAGGGGCCATGACTTAGGAGTGGAGATGGGTTTTTGTGTAATTAGCCGCAACACACAGGTGTTCCCTCTGCTGGGAATGGCTAGCCCTTTTCTCCATCAGCCATCAGTGAACTATTCACTCTTCACTCTCAGCTCACAGATCACCTCCATGGCTTCCTGGACTTCCCCCAAGCCTAGTTAGATGTTCTTCTGCACCCCTGTGAGATGACAGTGTGGGGTCCAGGTTAAGCTCAGGCTCTGGAATGACAGTGCTTGGGTTCATAAGCCCAGCTCTCTACTTAATAGCTACTTTGAGAAGGTCTGTGCCTCAGTTTCCTCACCTGTAAAATGGAATTTCAAAATAATACTGTCCACATGAGCTGTTGTGAGAATTCAGTGAGTTTTACCTGTGGCTGGCCTCATAACGGCATTATTCACAATAGCCCAAACACAAACACCACCAAGTGTCCATCAGTGGATGAATGGATAAACAAAATGTGGCATATCCATACGATGGTATATTATTCAACCTTGAAAAGGAAGGAAATTCTGACACAGTGCAGCACGGATGAACCTGAAGACATTATGCTAAGTGAAATAAGCCAGTCACAAATGGACAAATACTGTATGATTCCACTTATATGAGGTACTTAGGGTAGTCACATTCATAAAGACACAGTAGAATGGCGGTTGCTGGGGGCGAGGGGAAGGGAGACCAGGAGTTACTGTCTAACGGGTACAGAGTTTCACCGTTGCATGATGAAACAGTTCTGTGGACCAATGGTCATGACTTACAAGTCTGCCTCTCTGCCCCAAACAGAAGGTTCCTTCCTTTAGTCACAATAGGGTTTTCTTCCCTAAAGAGTCCTTCCCCCATAGTCTTGACAGCATATCACAGGTTCTGCCCATTGGATAGAGTAAAACAAAATGTTTTATTAGAGCATGTAGAGAGTACTTATGGACAAATGACAGAGCACAGCATAGTCCCTCAGTCCATCCCAGCCCCATTTCATAAGGTAGAACAGCTTCCACAGCCCCCAAAGATTCCCTCACACCCTTGCCCACTCTCTCCTTCCAGGCAGCCAGCTGACTCTCTGCACTGAGCCGTCCAAGGAGCAGAGCCCCGGGTCTGGATCCTGTGTCTTTTCCCTGTGTCTTGGCCAGATCGCTCGCTAAGGGAGGTCCTGACATCACAAGGAGGGGGCATTTGTAGCCTCCTTTCCTTGGCAATCTCCTCTCCTGGACATTGCCTGGCTGCCACCTGGCAGAAGCCAGCCCCTTTTTGGCTGCCTCAACAGACAATTCACTTGTCTTTAAAATTCCCTACAAGACCTATTTTAGCCACTATTCTTCCCCTGTTTGTGGACATGGGCTCTCAGGGATCCACATCGGCTGGACCTCCCACTTCTTCCGCCTGTTGATCATTCTGCCATGAGCATGTCTAAAACTACCCATATTCGGCAAGGCACAGTGGTTCACACCTGTAATCCCAGCACTTTGGGAGGCCAAGGCGGGCAAATCACCTGACGTCAGGAGTTCGAGACCAGCCTGGCCAACATGGTGAAACCCTTTCTCTACTAAAAATACAAAAATTAGCCAGGCATGGTGGTAGACGCCTGTAATTCCAGCTGCTCAGGAGGCTGAGGCAGGAGAATCACTTGTACCCAGGAGGCGGAGGTTGTAATGAGCCAAGAACATGCCATTGTATTTCAGTCTGGGCAACAAGAGCGAAACTAGGTCTCAAAAAAATAAAAATAAAAATAAAAATAAAACTACCCATATTCAATGCCTTTCCAGACAAGGCCGGAGAGGGCTGTACTGAGAGAAGAGCTGGGGTCCACATGCTCTCTGGGGTAAAGCATGAGCCCGGAAGGGAAGGACTGCTGGCAGGGATGTTATCACAGAAACGAGTCTATGCTAAAAGAGAGCCAAAGGGAAGCAGGGCCCCCTGCCCTTCCAAGCCGGGTGGGGAGACCTGGTGGAATGAGGGTACACAGGGTGAACGAGGAGTCAGAACGCCTGAGTTCTTACTCCAGCTCTGTCACCAGCTTGCTGTGTGTCTCTGGACAAGTCGCTTTCCCTCTTGGGACCTATCGTCCCTGACTACAAAAAAAATGGAGATTTGGCTGGGCATGGTGGCTCACGCCTGTAATCCCAGCACCTTGGGAGGCCGAAGAGGGAGGATCACTTGAGGTCAGAGGTTCAAGACCAGTGTGGCCAACATGGTGAAACCCTGTCTATACTGAAAATAAAAAAATTAGCTGAGTGTGGTGGTGCACGCCTGTAGTCCCAGCGACTTGGGAGGCTGCAGCAAGATAATCGCTTGAACGTGGGAAGCTGAGGTTGCAGTGAGCTGAGATTGCACCACTGCACTCCAGCCTGGGCGATAGAGTGTGACTCTGTCTCAAAACAAACAAACAAAAAACCCGGAGATTAGACTGGGTAATTTTGAAAGACCATCTCAGCCCTGACCCTCTGGGGGAATAACATCAATGGGTCAATTTGTGCAAAACCTTTTACTTTTTAAAGCACAAAAATTTGCTGGGCATGGTGGTGCATGCCTGTAATCCCAGCTACTCAGGAGGCTGAGGCAGGAGAATCACTTGAACCCAGGAGGCGGAGCTTGCAGTGAGCTGAGATCGCACCATTGCACGCCAGCTTGGGCAACAAGAGTGAAACTACACCTTAAAAAAAGCACTTTCACCATCCTGGCTAACACGGTGAAACCCCGTCTCTACTAAAAATACAAAAAATTAGCCGGGCGTGGTGACGGGCACCTGTAGTCCCAGCTACTGGGGAGGTTGAGGCAGGAGAATGGCCTGAACCCGGGAGGCGGAGCTTGCAGTGAGCCGAGATAACGCCACTGCACTCCAGCCTGGGCGACGGAGTGAGACTCTGCCTCAAAAAAAAAAGCACTTCCACATCAATGACTTCCTGCTGTTCTTAGGATGTTCCTGTAGATTATTAGATTAAATCTCATGGATAGGAATACGAGGCCCAGAGAAGTGAAACAATTAGTGGCAGGGCTGAGAGTAGATTCCAGGTCTCCTGGCTCTTATCAAGGTTGCTGTGCCCAGGGTGTACCCACACAAAGGCACAGATTGGGGCTGAGGGAAAAAGGGAGGCTGACAGGTGCTCAGTAGTGTGACCCAATCAGCCTTAAGGAAGGGACATCTTTCTCTAATTGGTCTGCCCAGAAGAGGCACCTTGTTCTCATAGCGCTTCCACAGGGAGATGGAACAGCTTTTCTCAATTAATCAGCCCTGAACACTCCTTTCTGCAATGTGTCCATCTGCAGGAGCACCTCTTCCTAATTTGCACAAAGGCACCTTATGTACGAGGAATACCCTTGATCCCTGGGCTGCTCCTCTTCTCACTTGGTGTCAGGTCCTGGGGTCCAGGTCCAGCCCGTGCTAAAGTCTGAGGGGAGTGGGTAGATGGACAGAAAGAACACTCAGGGCCCATAGGCAGGTGAATATGGTTTTATTCAGCAACAGCTCTCATCAACAGCTTACACTAGCTCTCTCACACTGTCCGCCCTGCCTTGGCTGCTTGAGCCCGTGGCTTCCACACACAGCTGTGCAGCCTGCTCTCCCTTGCCTTCAGGGTCAGCAGCTTAACTTTTTCTCTCTCTGGGCGTGAGCAAGCTGAGCTGTGTCCTGGCTCCTTCCTGTCCATCTGCAAAACGGACAGCTTTGGCTCTCTCTCTCTCTTACTGGGCGCCAGTGTGCCCACCATGTCAAGCCATGTTGAGCTGAGCCGAACCCCAAGAGCCCCTGTACAGCATTAGCAGGACAATTACCTTTTACAGACAACAGTGGCTCAGACCAAGTATGAACTTACACAAACAGGTTATATAACAAGTGGAGGTGTGTGCCTGTGCACCAAACCCACTGAGTCATGCAGGCATGGATCTCTGCCTTGGCCTATTCCTTGACCAAAGCACATCCATGTACCTTACACCTGGGTCTGAAGTAGGGTTGCCAGATGAAATACAGGACACCCAGCTAAATTTGAATTTCAGGTGAACAACAAATCATTGTTTAGATTAAGCATGTTCCATGCAGTTCTGGGGACATACTTAACCTTATAGATTTATTTCATTTATCTAAAATTCAATGAACTGGGGCAGTCTGTATTTGCTAAATCTGCTGACCTTAGTCTAGAGGCAGTGGTATGTTCCAGCTGACTCCAATCAGCTCATGAGAGTCAACTGTAAAATATTTAGGAGATTTATGAGCTGGTTATTAAACCACTGGTGGCTTGAAATCAACCATGGTGGGAGTATTTACACCACAGAAATTGGTGACTACCACACATCAGTGCTTTTCCTTTACAGAGCTGGTTATAGAACATTCCCCCTGGCTGGGTGCGGTGGCTCACGCCTGTAATCCCAGCACTTTGGGAGGCCAAGGTGGGTGGATCACCAGGTCAGGAGATCGAGACCATCCTGGCTAACACGGTGAAACCCCATCTCTACTAAAAATACAAAAATTAGCCGGGCATGGTGGCGCGTGCCTGTAGTCCCAGCTACACGGGAGGCTGAGGCAGGAGAATGGCGTGAACCCGGGAGGCGGAGCTTGCAGTGAGTCGAGATCGCGCCACTGCACTCCAGCCTGGGCGACAGAGCGAAACTCCGTCTCAAATAAAAAAAAAAAAAAAAAAATTAGCTGGGTGTGGTGGCGAGCTCCTGTAGTCCCAGCTACTCGGGAGGCTGAGGCAGGAGAATGGCGTCAACCCAGGACGCAGAGCTTGCAGTGAGCCGAGATCGTGCCATTGCACTCTAGCCTGGGTGACAGAGCCAGACTCCGTCTCAAAAAAAAAAAAAAAATTCCCCAATATACCACTGTCCAGAGGTTTCCTTGTCCTTAACATATTAGGTAGACTCAGAGGTTTCCTTGTCCTTAACATATTAGGTAGACTCTAAAACCACGTCCCTGGGTGCTCCACAGTCACACAGGAGTCAGATCGCATCTAAGATAGCTGTAAGGCTTAGTATATTAGAAAATGGAAAATTCCACTCCTAGGATCCTAGAATGAGGAATGTTGGAAACTTAGAATTCTAAAACAAGGATGTTAGAATCTCAGAATTTCAGAAGATGGAATGTTAGTGTTGAAATCAGAGACTGTTAGACAGTATCCATTCCTCACCCCTCTCTAGCATACAGATGGCCAAGGCCTCACAGCCTGACCAGACCTCTGGCTGGCCCTCCTGGCTCAGGGCCCAGGCTTCTTGCGAGCCACAATGAAGCAGACCCCATTGTTGGCAGCATTGGTGACAGAGTAGCTCTGGGGACTGTGTAGGAGCTGTTCAATGTCAAAGCCAGCATCCAGGACAGCCTGCTCCACCTCCTCTTTCTCCAGGGCCACGCAGGAAAATTCACGCTTCCCCACCATGTAGGACGGGAGCCGAAGCGTGACAGTGGTCACCAGGTGGCCACCCGGCTTGAGCAGTGAGGCAAGGTTGCACAGGGCAGCGCGGTAGGCATCAAGGCTACAGCAGGCACACTCCATGGCCAGCAGGGTGAGCACACAGTCGGCGAGAGGCAACACAGCCGGGGCCAGCGGGTTGCCCAGGTGGACATCGCACTTGAGCACCCGCTTCACCGCTGCCCGCAGCTTCTCCTCCTTCTCCTCCCATCGGCCGCTGCAGAGAGAGAGAGGGAGTCGGGGAGGCCCTTTGAGGTTCTGAAGGGAACTCTCAGTCCACTGTGACCAGCAGATGGAGATGATCTCTGGATCCCCAAAGGATTGCTGTCCCTGAGTCCCTGTGTGACCTGACAGCAGGCTCTTCTTCAATCTGAGCCTCAGTTTCTCCCAAAGAAAAATGGTTAGGGAGAATGGCTAGAACAATTATAGGAAACTTTCTCTCTCTGATTCCATGTGAGCCCCCTTCCCTTAATCCCCAGGATGGACAAAGCCACCCCAAGCACAGAGAGGGCAGTTAACAAACATTATTGGATGGATGGATGAATGAATTAATGAATTTACTACAGATAATGTATGAATATAGCTATCTTAAAAATATAATTTTGAGTGATGAAAAGCAAATCGCAAATGACACAGAGCAAATTACTCTGCTATAAAGCTCAAAGGCGACTAAAACTAAATTATAGATTGTTTAGATATACATAAGTATGCAAGAAAAAAATTTTTTGAAAAAGGGAATGATAAGCATAAAATCCATATTAGTGATTACCCGAGGTTGGGAAAGGCAGAGGCAAGGAGTCACAGAGAAGCACAGGTAAGTCTTTATTATATTCGAGTACTCAGGTTGGGTGGTGAGTTCACGTCATTATACATTATATAGTCAGTCACACAGGTACAGACAATAGAGGGAAGAAGGAAAGATGGATGGATGGGTGGGTGGGTGGATGAATGTGGATGGACATGGATGGATGGATGGATGGATGGATGGATGGATGGATGGATAGATGGATATGGATGGATGGGTGGATGGATTGATGGATGTATAGATGGATATGGATGGATGGGTGGATGGATGGATAGATGGATGGCTGGGCGGATGTATGTGGATGGATGGATGGATATGAATGGGTGGATGGATGGATGGATGGATGGATATGGATGGATGAATGGATGGGTGGGTGGATGGATGAATATTGATGGATGGATGAATGGACGGATGGATAGATGGATGGATAGGTGAACGGCTAGTTGGCTGGCTGGATGGATGGATGGATATGGATGGGTGGGTGGATGCATGAATATGGATGGATGGATGGATGGATGGATGAATGGATGAACCGGTGGGTGGACGGATGGATGGATATGCACGGATAGTTAGATACATAGAAGATAGAGAGGTAGATATATAGATGAGGGTAAGGAAGGAAGAGAAGAAGGAAGAGATGAAAATCATCTGGTTTTCAGTGTTCATACTTGACTATATCACACCTCAACATAGTCCTGTGATCAGAGTCTTGCCCCTAAAACTGCTGTAATCCTGAAACTTGGGATTCCATCTACTCTATCCCCACCACAGGACATCTGGTCCTATACCTGAAGGTCCTACTGTCCTGAAAATGTCAGAGACAACAAAGAGGCCAGGGAGACTTCTGAGAAAGAAGGTTGACTGGGAACCCCCTCCCCAACCTCTGCACCCCTACCTGTTTCCTTCCAGCTCACAGGCGAATTTCACCGCTGGGGTCCAGTCATAGGCCCCCGGCTCCTTCTTCAGCCACTTTTCCAGCTCCTCCCGGTTGCGGTCGGTAAAGTCGGAGAGAGTGATGTCTTGGAAGGAATCACAGGCAGCAAGAACTTGGTAGATGGTAGGACCTGAGCCAATGTCAATCAGCGTGTCCCCTTGGAGGCCTCCTGTGGGAGGGAAAGACTGGTAATGGATGGGTAAAAGAAACGAGACCCAAGGCAGACACAGGGATGAGGACACACACCCTGGTCTTACCCAAGGGGCAAACGTGCTTGGTGGTTATCACGGATTGGCAGCTCCCTGTAAGCCAAGCCTCATGCCAAATATTTTATATGTGTTAATTTCCATTTACACCTCAAAACTACCCTGTGTAGTGACTGCTATCACTATTTTCATTTTGCAGATTAGAAAACTGAGTCTGTAAAAGGTTAAACAATTAGCCCAATACCTTTCAGTCAAGAACATAAGCCAAGAGTATAATATTTCTGGGACAGAGAACAGAGGCCCAAGCCCTGCTCTGGGGAAGATTCGGGCTGGAGAGTTCAGAGAGGACATGCTGGGGTCAGTGGCCCTTTAAGTTTCAGGCTGACTGGGAGCTGGAAGCCTCCCCTGGAAGTCCAGCCCTTCCTGGATGGGTTTCTTGTTCCTTGGAGGAGGGAGGGGTGAAAGCATACAGGAATAGGAAGCCGGGGCTAAGGAGATGATCTGGGAAGATGGCCCCAGGAGTGAATCCAGGGTCACCTGGAAGCTGGAATGAAGCATGACTTCCAACATTCTGTCTGGAGCCCTGGCGTGGGGCCATCACTTGGCCTTCCAAGCTTGGTCACACCCAGTCCGGCTGTTCTCTGATTTCTGCCTCCCACACCGGCCTGCTCCTCCAGGCTCAGCAGCCTTTTAACCCCCTCTTATCCCACAGACCACCAGGAGACTCACCCTTACTGTTCCCCAGTCAAGTGCCTAAAGTGAGGACACGGCTGCTTGAGTTTAGAAGACACAATCAAATCATGGGGTCACCATGGGGAGGGCAGTGATCATCGGGAGACAGGCAGAAGTCACCATCCATCGTGCAGATGGCTCAGTTGAGGTCCTTGGGGTCTGAGCCCCTTGCTCAGGGTTGAGACCCCACCTAGCAATCCTTGTCCCAGGGCAGGGCTTTTCCAGGTCCTCATCACAGACACATCTAGGCTGCACACTCCGGGCACAGGCGATCCCGTCCCACTGCAACCCTGCTGTTTGCCCTTGGCCTTCTGGGGGCCCCAGAGGCCTGGCTGTGCAAGGTCAGGACTGAACTTGATGATGACCTGGAGAGCCTTTTCTGCTCCACCCCAAAGACCTAGGGGCTAATGGAGAGCAGTGTGGGAACTGCACGGGGCTGTGCTCTTCAGCTGGCACAGAGCTCCTGAGCCATGGGGAGACAGACTCAACCTCCAGCATAACAGCTGCCCAAAGAGAGGGGGCAGGGCCCCAGAAGCTCCCCCAGCCCATCCCCAAAAACCCCTAGAGGAGACCAGACTGCCCCCAGGACACCGTCTCCCCATCCCCATCCAGGTTCCTTGGAGAGAGGCTCAAGGGGAAGGGCCACCCTCTGCTCACCAGGGCCGAAGGTCTTGTGGAGACATTCCAAGTTAAACTTCAGCATCTCGGCCTCGGGTGAGGGGCTGCCATCGAAGCTGTAGTAAGTAGCCAAGTAGTCCCTGGGCAGGAAGTGCTTCTGGTACTCATCACCCCCAGTGAAGCCACCCTTCATGGTGTCCCTGAAATGTGCCCCCTCCTTGCTATCAGGTCTTATGAGGGCTCCAAGCTCTCCAGGCTCCACCCCCAGCATTCCAGCCTCATCCCATGGCTCCTCCCAAGTATGCCTTTCCTTGAGCTTCTCCTTCTAGGGGGATGCAGAAGGCAGTGCATGTCTCACCACCTCCCAGCCACACTGACACACCTGAGGTTTCCCCAACCCCAGAGCTATGACAGCTGGGGCTGCAGCCGCCCTGGCCCTGCTGCCTCTAGGGACCAACCCATGTCCGTCAAAGGCAATTGATGGTGCCCAGCCCTGGGTGCAACTCTCAGCCCTGGCAGCCACATGCTGCTCTGTGGCCTCCAAGTAGGTGTCAGACCTATGTTTCCCCACCTGCGTGCCCACTTCACTGACTGTAAGGACCAAAGTCACTCCTCTAAGTCACAGGTGTTGTGACCTGAGTGCACAGTGAGATCCCCATCTTGTCGCCTGGTGGTCACTGGGGCCCAGTGGCTCTCTCTAGGCCAGGCAGTGGGTGCAGCTTCATGCATCCCCCATCCCTGCTGGAGAACACAGTTCAGACCCCAGGAGGCAGAGCAGAATGGCTGACTTGGCATCACTGTGCAGGTCACTGGGAGAAGAGCAGAAATTGTCGTCAATCTCCATGAATGAGAACAAGGGCGCCCGGTCATAAAGCATAAACTGTCAGAGGGGTCCTGGCTTCCTGGCCACTGACTCACCTGGCTACTCCGGGTAAGACACTCCTGGCCTCAGTCTTCTCTTTGAAATGGGACTGGGTTGTAAAATCTCCCACAGACAGAAAAAAGCTCAGTCTCTGTTTTTGGCACTAGGAAATGGCTCTGACTTGGCCACAAACCGGACAGAAATGAATCCGCTACACTGGAGGTTCAGGCCTCTTGCCCTGAAAGTGGGAAGGACAGGAATGCCTTGTTCTGGCTTTAAGTAAACAAACAATTCTGAATCCACAGGGCCCAACAGATGGGTGATGCCACAGACGCAGGAACACCCAGCGGTCGTCAGGGCCTGGCTTCCAAGGGGCGGGTGCCTGGGCAGCCTCCAGGGAGGCCTGCGGCTGTCGTGCTGGCCTGCAAAAGGCATACAGAGCAGGCAGGAAACTGCAGGGCTCGCATTACATGATTGGAGGAGTGTGCAATAAAGGCACGGTGCTAACTAAGTTGTGGGCAGGGTGGAAGGAAGACATATGGTACCTCTATTAGTCAGGGTTCTTCAGAGAAAGAGAACCCAGCTTGTGTACACTGAGAGAATCAGATCTATTTTAAGTAATTGGCTTGTATAATTGTGGAGGCCAGTAAGTCCAAACTCTGAAGGGTGGGACCAGGAAAAGCCAATGTTGCAGTCCAAGTCCAAAGACCAGCTGCTGCCAGAATTCCCTCTTGCTCGGGGAAGGCCAGTCTTTTGTTCTACTTGGGCCATCAGCTGATTGGATGAGTCCCGCCCACATTATGGAGGGCGATCTTCTTTACTCAAAGTTTAAATGTGAATTTCATCCAAAAACACCCTTACACAAACAGCCAGGATCATGACTGACCACCTATTTGGGCACCATGACCTAGCCAAGTTGACTCATAGAAAGCACCATCACAGAACCTGAGGGCTAGCAGCATGGAGGAGCCATCATCCCAGTGAGACTGAGACAGAGCTGTGCAGAGAGGGCCTCCTGCAGCAGCCAATAGCAAAAGAGCTGATATGATTTGGCTGTGTCTTCACCCAAATCTTATCTTGAATTGTAGCTCCCACAATTCCCACATGTTGTGGGAGGGACCCGGTGGGAAGTAATTGAACCATTGGGGCAGGTCTTTCCCATGCTGTTCTCATGATACTGAATAAGTCTCTTGAAATCTGATCATTTTATAAGGGGGACTTTCCCTGCACAAGCTCTCTTTTTGCCTGCTGACATCCATGTAAGACATGACTTGCTCCTCCTTGCCTTCAGCCATGATTGTGAGGTCTCCCCAGCCATGTGGAACAGTGAGTCCATGAAACCTTTTTCCTGCATAAATTACCCAGTTTTGGTTATGTCCTTATTAGCAGTATGAAAACGGACTAATAGAGTAGCTAAAGAATAAATACCCAGACCTCCTTCTCCTACCTTCCTCCAATATCCTGCCAAATTTAGAGGGAAGGGAGTGGTGACTACAGTCCACATGTCAGCTTCCTGGCACTTGCAGTAGCCTGGAGAGGATGGAAAGCAGAATGGAGAGGCACATGGAAGACGCCCAGCATTAACACTTAAGGAGTTGAACCGTGGACATGCATGTACTATCCAGGGATTACCCAGAGCCCCTGCAGCAGGACGTGAGCATCTAGGGGGTCTGTACAGGGCGGGAAGAGACCATCCTTCCCAGAACTACACATCATGCTGCAACTGGATGTCCTTGGATGGATAGAGGATGCCCCTCCTAACGCAAGGCCTCCAGTGCCTCCTGCTGCCAGAGGAATGAATCCAAACTCCCCTTTGGCATTCAGAGTCTCTACCCTCTGGCTTCCACCTGCTTCTCCACCACTCAGGCCTTCTCCATCCCTACATGCCTCGTGACTCTGGCCTAACCAAGGGTCCTAACAGCACTATGGCAATCTTCTCAAAGTGAAGCCTCTTACGGATATATTCTAAGAATGAGTTTCTCAACCTCAGTACTATTTGCTCTTCAGGCCAGGTAATTCCTTGTTGGGTGGGGGTGCGGAACTGTGTCATAGGATTTTTAGCAGCATCTCTGGCATCTACCCCCTAGATGCCAGTACACTCCGAAGTTACAACAACCAAAAATGTCCCCAGACATTGTCAAATGTCCCCTGGGAGGCAAAATTGTCCCCGGTTGAGAACCACTATCCTTAGGTTTGCCTTCATCAATGTGACAACTTTGTTCATGACAGGGCTAAGCTTCAGGCCCTTTTAAGAATGTGCACCTCATCTTAGGCACCTTTCTATACAGTGATATTTTTTTAAAATAGAGCAAGGAAATTTCCATTCAAGAGGACTTCTGTTGCAATAGTAAGCAAAGGGGCAAATTTCAAACTGCCTATCAAGAAACTAAGACCACTTGAAAAGTCAGACAGATAAGAAAAGGATCAAGCTCCTTTTCAAGATTAGGGAAACTACCATCTCAGCATTCCACGCTCCCTGATACCTTGCTACTTCTCTTCCTGCCTGGCTCTGTGGGGTGAAGAAATGAGTCCAAAGAGGGAACTTGCCAGTGTAAATGAGATTGTTTTCTCTGGTGAGTTGCAAGCAGCTACTCAGACCCTCGTCTCACACAAAACACCAAAATAAAGGCTAAAATGTCTTTCCAAAAATCAACCACAGAAGCTATCATGGTCAAATTGTTATCAAACTTCTGGGTAAGAGAGGATTTTCTAAACCTAGATTGAAGAAAGCCTGAAGAGAAAAAAAAAAACCACATTTATTATTTTACATTATATTACATTATCTCATATTTTGTTAGAGAAAAATTAAAAATTTTTCCTAAAAAATTAAAAAGAAAAAGCACTATTTTCCTTTTGGAAAAAAATTTGGTGATTATTTGCCTAAATTATTTATACTAAAAGTTTTTAGAACTCTGACCCAGGAATCCTACGTATGGGAATCCAAAATACAGAAAAATACAGAATGCAGAAATACAGAAAAATAATCCAAATACAGAAAAAGCAAATGTACAGGGGTATTAATTACAACATTATTTACAGCAAGGAAAACCTGCAAGTCTCTTACCTGCCAAGCACTGGAGAGCAATTAAGTCAACCTTACTTGAACAGCCCCCAAAACTGACATTCCTGAGCCTTCCTGGTGACATGGAGAAGTGAGTTTGGCCCAGGGCTAGGAGAACAAAGCGATCCAGATAGGTACACACAGTGAGGAGATCACAGCCCTGCAAAGACTTTTCAGATGCAAGAGTGCAGCGGCAGAGGCCAATTCTGACATGAGAAATGCTGGGACAAATATAAGACCCTCAATGTCACCAATCATTTTAACCCACCTAGAATTCACGTTAATTGGATTTCAATATGAATTTTTTTTTTGAGACAGGATCTTACTTGGTTTCCCAAGCTGGGGTGCAGTGGTGGGATCATAGCTCACTGCAGCCTTGAACTCCTGGGTACAAGCAATCCTCCTACCTCAGCCTTCTGAGTAGCTGGGACTGTAGGCACACGCCATCCCATTCAGCTAATTTTTAATTTTTTTTGCAGAAGCAGGATCTCGCTATGTTGCCCAGGCTTGAAATTCATTTTTAATAAACTGGGTAGACATCTAATTTTATTTTCTTCCAATCAGATAGGTAGTTATGCCATCACCATTTATTATGTAATTGACACTTTTCTCACTGAACTGAAATTCCACAGAGTATGAGCTCTGTTAATTTTAGAAAAGAGGAAAATTTACATTTAACACAATAAAATGATAAGAATTATGATTTAAAAATGGATTAAAATCTACACTCTGTTGAAATGTTTTCTTGTGAACTCAAAACCTGAAGAAATAAAAAATAAGGCCAGTCGTGGTGGCTCACCTAGCAATTTGGGATCTCAAGGTGGGAGGATCACTTGAGTCCAGGAGTTCAAGACCAGCCTGGGCAACATAGGGAGACCCCACCTTTACAAAAAATAAAAAAAAATTAGCCAGGTGTGGTGGTGCATGCTTGTAGTCGCAGCTACTTGGGAGGCTGAGGTGGGAGGATCACTTGAGCCTAGGAGGTCGAGGCTGCAGTGAGCTGTTGTCGTGCCATTGTACTCCAGCCTGAGTGACAGAGTGAGATCCTGCCTCAAAAAAAAAAAAAAATTGACCATCTTTGATTCTGGGTGGTGGGATGGGGCCTTAGTGCTCAAAGTGTGGTGGCCTCAGTAGTGTCTTGGAGCTTATTAGACATGCAGAACCTCAGAACTAGAGCCTGCATTATAACCCAGTCCCCAGGTGACTCCCAGGCATGCTAACATTTAAGCAGTTCTATGAAGATATGAAGACAGGAGGGCAATGTGAGGATGAGGCTTGGAGTTCGTCTTTATTTTGGCTTTGGGCATAGAGCCTTGAATTGGAATCTGAATTCCATCCTTTGCTGGGTAAGGCACGTCACCTTCAGCTTCCTCATCTCTAAGGGGGCGCATCAGCATGTACTTTGCAGATTGTTGTGAAGATGACAAGGTGATGCCCAGCACACAGTAGGTACTCTGTGAGTGCTAGGGACCTTCCAAGGTGTCTCCCTTCATCTGCTCTTACAGCATCTGCAGAGGGGCAGCTCATCACCAGCTGAGGCCCCAGACTTGCCCATTTGCAAAAGACATGACAGTCTGCTGCCTGAAATCACTATAAGGTGAATTTTGGAAAGAGCTTTGGCAACACTCTTTTTTTTTTTTTTTTTTTTTTGAGACGGAGTCTCGCTCTGTCGCCCAGGCTGGAGTGCAGTGGCGCAATCTCGGCTCACTGCAAGCTCCGCCTCCCGGGTTCACACCATTCTCCTGCCTCAGCCTCCCAAGTAGCTGGGACTACAGGCGCCCGCCACTACGCCCGGCTAATTTTTTGTATTTTTAGTAGAGACGGGGTTTCACCGTTTTAGCCAGGATGGTCTCGATCTCCTGACCTCGTGATCCGCCCGCCTCGGCCTCCCAAAGTGCTGGGATTACAGGCGTGAGCCACCGCGCCTGGCCGGCAACACTCTTTTAATAAAACTTTTTATTTCAAGATAATTCTAGATTCGTATGCAGCTGTAAGAAATAATACAGAGAGATCCAGTGCACCCCCTACCCAGGTTCCCCCAGTGGTAACATCTAGTATAACATCAGAATAATAGTACACTATCACAACCAGGATATTGACATTGATACAATCTACTGATCTTATTCAGGTTTCTTGAGTTTTACTTGTACTCATTTGTGTGTCTGTGGGCATGCATGTGTGCACATGCACGCGTGTGGGTGGGTGGGTTTGTGTGTGGTGTGTAGTAAATTCTTTGCAATTTTATCACATGTTCTGTTCATGAATGGCAACACTTTATAAATGGTTTGTCCAAACATATGGACCCTGGCTAAGTTTACTTCTGCACTAGTCAAAAAAAGAGATTAATTAAGCAAGTAAATAAAGTAAACAGAATTAAAGGCAGCAGAGAATAGTGAATCAAGTTAAGGACAAGCTGCTTATTTATTTATTTATTTATTCTTTTTTAGAGAGACGTGTGGTCTTGCTGTGTTGCCCAGGCTGGTCTCCTGGTCTCAAACTCCTGGGCTCAAGCAGTTCTCCCACCTCAGCCTCCAAAAGTGCTGGGATTGCAGGCATGAGCCACCATGCCCAGCCAGGACAAGCCTGTTTTCAAGAGCAAGCTCACTGACCTTCATCAGTGAAATCTTAGCCATCTTTAGATCCTGTTTCCTCCCCCAAGGGGCCTTTCCACTCTGATTCTTGTTTTCCCACCAAACTCCAAGAGTGAAACATCCTTGAAATATTGCAGACCCTTGATCTCTCTTTGCCTCTGTCTTTGTCTCCGTTTGTCTCTTTGCCTGTCTGTCTCTCTCATTCTGTGTCTGTGTCCCTCTGTGTAAGTCTCTCCCTCCCTGCCTCCAGCAGCCCCTACACTCAAAACACCATGTCGAAGCAGGAACCCGTGAGACCTGGCCCTGGTGATCCTGTTGCGTTCTTATGATTTTGGTAATGTATCAAGCAGATAAACTCCAGCCAGAAAAGCTCACACTGTGTCTCTGGCTTCATCTGTGAGGAATCTGAGCACCTCCCTGAGAGGCAGGCGCTGGTTCCAGGAGGCTGTGAAACTCCTGGTGGGAAAGGCTGGAAGGGCAGGGGTGTACCTACCATGACTGAAGAGTGGGAAGGCACCGAGGGGTCCTCAGCCAGTTGGAGGGCAACCTGTATACAGGAGGAAAAGACTGTGAGAAAGAGCTCCACCCCCGGGACTACTTACTGACCTACTACGCCTTCGACTCAGCACTGTGACCAAAAATGAAATCCTGAAATCTAACCTGGAAACCCTCTTTCAAAGCTTCTCTTCAGGTGAATGGCTGGTCTCCACTTTGGGGGCAGTACAGGGTTACAGCTGACAGCAAGACCTGCAGGTTGGAGGCAAGCGGCCCCATCCTCTGGCCACTGCTCACCAAAGATGCTGCAAAGTCAGCCCAGTCAAGCTCTATGAACCCATGAGGGCCTCTGCCAGGTGGCAGCTCAATGGGGTCTGAGCACGGGCCGTGGAGGCCAAGGAGCTGGGCATGAGTCTCTGCCAGTGGGCCTCAGTTTCTTCACCTATAAAATGGGAGAAGCTTGGGGCTCACAGGCTCATGCTGAGGGAAAATTAGAGAACAGACATAATGAACACACTGCCGGCTGTCTCTCTGTCTCTGCCAGCCTCCCCTGCAGACAGTCCATAAAGCCAGGCTTTGTAGCCTTTCTGGGCTCTTGAATCCCTCTGAAAATCTGATGAAAGTTCTGATACACACACACACACAAACACACACAAATTTTCTACACAAAACTGACAGAGTTCATGGATATCCAAAGGCAAACCACATAGCTTAGTTTACAAATCCCTGCCCTCGGGTATCAGAATGGGGTGAGCCAGTAGAGACTATCACCAAGTCCTTCAGTGCACACAAGGGGAGACTGAGGCTCAGGTAAGAGAGCAGGGAGAGAGGAGGCCAGCCCAGGTAAGGTCAAACAGCCAGTCAGTAGTAATAGCAAGAACTACAGCTCAGATGATTTAGGGCCGCCATGCACAGTTGGGCAGGGTGTGCACTGCAAACTGTAGGAGTTGCCAGAGCGAGGTGGGGCACTGTGGGTGGTGGGATGGTGGGAAAGGGCCTCTCCGAGGAGCACTCCAAGTGGTGTCCCAGCGAAGGAAGGGAGAAAAGGCATAAAGACCCGAGGAAAGGGAGTGTCAGGCAGCATGAGCAGCAAGGGCAAAGGCCCAGTGGTGGCGGGGAGCCGCCCGTGTGTCGAGGACAGTGAAAAGGGTGCTGTGCGAGGGGTGGAGTGAGGAGGAGAGTTAGGTGTCAGGGAGGCGGAGACCACATCCTGTGGGGCCTTGAGGGCCACGGTAAGGAGGGAGGATGGTGCCGTGGATCTCCCAGGCACTGGAGAAGAGAATGGCATGATAGCCTCTACATTTCTTAAAGAACTGTTCATCATGCTAGGCCTTGGGAGGCGAGGGCAGCATTGGGCAGAGCAGCAGCAGGTGCTGGCATCCTCCAGGGAAGAGCCAACAGCAGGAGGCCTGCAGGGGCTGGAGGTGGCTGGAGTTTGGAATCACTCTGCAGGCGGAGCCAACAGGATTTGCTGATGGTTTGGATGTAAGAGAGAGAGAAGAGTCAAGGGCAACTCCAAGGTTTTTGGCCACAGCCACAAGAAGGATGGAGTTGCCAGTATTAGGAGGGAAATGACAAGGAAGGAGCAGGTATGGCAGCAGATGTTGACTTCTCAGCCTGGGCAATGTGTTGGAGTCACCTGCCTGACACTGAAGTGGAGATACCCACGGAGGAGCCCCTGGTTGTGCATGTCTGGGCCTCCCAGAGACTCCAGGGCTGGAGCCTGACCTGGGAGTCATCCGTGGACGGCTGAGGCCATCAAGTGGCTAAGTGTGGATGGGGAGGAGATGCTGTGTTCTAAGGCTAGGGAGTGGAGGAGGGTGTTCAGGGAGACAGAAAAAGGGAGAACCACGAGGGTGAAGTGCCTCAAGAAGCCAAGTAAAGAGTGTGTTTCAAGAAGCAGGGAGTTCCGGCATGGCTGAACCTAAAGATGTTACGCTAAGTGAAATGAACCAAACAGGGAAGGACAAATACTGTAGGCTCCCCATACATGAAACGTCTAGAATAGGCAAATCCAGAAACAGAAAGTAGATTGGAGGTTACCAGGGGCTGCCAGGAGGGAGAATGGGGAATGGGGAGTTACTGTTTAATGAGTACAGGGTTTACATATGGAATGATGCAAAAATGTTGGAAAGACAGTTGGTGACGGGCGCACAACTGTGTGAGCGCAATTAATGTCACGGAACCATACACTTTGATCAAAATGGCCAATTTTGTAATATAGTTTACTACTTAATGAAATTAATAATGTAATATACCAAAAACTATTCAATTGTTTAAAAGAAAGAGGCGCAGGAGGAGGGGAAGGGGAGTTATCGAATCCACTGTCACCTACAGCTGTGTAGACGTGAGCAAGTCTATGCCTCAGTTTCTTCATCTGTATAATGAGGAAAATAATAATCTCGCTCAAAGAGTTGCTGAACAGGATAAGTCACAGGCTTTGCCCAGAGGGTGGTGGTGAGGGCTGAGGGGCTGCTATCACAATCATTATGTCATCTCTGTGACCCTCCTCCATAGAAGCAGGTGGCATGAGAAGGAGAACCAGCTTTGCTGGACAGTCACGTGGTTGCTGAAGTGCGATATGACCAAGCTGCATCCACTGGGGTCAATCCAGGTGTCCCCTGAAGAGTGCCTGTCCTGATGTGGACATGTACTGGGCAGCCCTGCAGAGGCTGGCCAGCCTGCTGAAAGCAGATGGGAACCTGGTCACCATGGCTGCCCTGCACTCCCACTATATGGTAGGCTCCAAGAAGTTCTTTGGGCTCCACCCAGAGAAGGAGACGGTGGAGAAGGCCATGCAGGAGGCTGGCTGCCAGGTGCAGAGGTGTGCCCCATCAGCTGCTCTGAGACATGCTCCATCAACGACGGCATCTGCTTTGTGGCTGCCTGCAAGGGCCCCAGTGTCTGAGGCCAGCCTGGCAGAAGAGGGCCTGACCGAGAGGGGAAGTCATGACCAGAGCATCTACAGTCTTGCCCCACAGCTCCCCCTAAAAGCAGGTCAGGTCTCAGCCCTACCTCTTCATTCCTGTTACCTGGTCCCAAGGTCACAAGTGAAAAGCAAGGGTTCCCCCAGCACCCCGCCTAGGGGTCTGTCCCTTACACTACCCCATACCAAAGATCATGAACAAAAAGTGACTTAGCTGGATACTATCTTTGTTTGGATTCCCATAGAAGCAGACTCTAAGACAAGGATTTCAGTGCTGATAGTTGATTTGGAGGGAGATCCCAGGAAACATCAATTAGGACGTGGGAAGGAAAGCAGAGCAGGCAGCCAAACAGGGTGTCATCAAACCCTTACCGCTGTGGGCAATTGGAACGCCGTTGTGCTGGGGGCTCTGGGGCCAGCGTAGAGCACATGGCTCGGAGTTATCCCACCCCGGGAGCTGCAACACTTGCCCACCGACTCCTGTCATCATGACAGAGGGCTGCTCCTGAGGGGCGTTAATTCCCCAGCATGTCCAACTCACCTGTATTTGGACAGTGCAGCCCAAGAGAGAAGCCTCGAGTGAAGACTCACAGGTGCTGGCTGTGGGAAGTTCAGCCAGCATGCTGAGGGAATGGGAAGAGGCAGCAAGAGCATCTGCAACAGACATGAAATGTCCTGTTGGCTGGGGTGTGGGACAGGTCCTGGGGAGGCTGGTTTTTCCACCAGAGGAACAGGATCTCAGGTTCTTAAAGTGGAAAGGCACCTGTGAGAGCTAGAAGACCTCTAGGCCAAGCTCCTGTTCCTGCAGGTGGGGAAGCCGAGGTCTGGGAGGGGAGGGGACTGGCCCCACCCAGAGTGCTAAGTGGTCAGTGGCAGGGGCAGCATTGGAGCCTGGGCTCTGTCCAGGTTACGACGGATCTGGTGGTGATGGAGCCTCAGGAAATGGTCGGCTGAGGCTGACCAGCAGGGCAGAGCCGGGACTCAGGCTGTCCATCCATATGGTCGAGAACCTGGGGCCTCTGACCTCTGGGAAGGCCTGGGGCCACGTCCCTAGAAGGACCTTCACAAGGTCGTACATCTCTTCTTACTCAAACAGCCAGCTCAGTTCCAGCCAGCTCTTAGCACTGGGTTTCCTCATTTTCCCTGGGATGTAGGAAGGGCATCAGCATTTCTCCAACCAGGCCAGGCCTACATGAAGCCCCCAACTACTTTCCAAAATGTGGCATGACCCCTCACAGGTCTTTCAACTCCCAGTGTCCCCAACCCCAGTCCGTTCTCCCCAGAGAAACCTTCCAAAGCCGGTGCAGGCCAGGCTGTATCCTGCTTTACACCATGCCCCGCGGGGATAAGGGCCCAGCCCAGCAACAGTGCATGAGGCCCTGCACACCCTGGCTGCTGCCTCAGGGCCGGTACACACCAAGAGGGCTCCCGGAACCAGTCCAGCAACCTCCTACCTGCAAGTCCTTGCAACACAGAACTCCTCCCCTCCTCTCTAGCCCATGCCCCACCTCTGAACAGACTCCAGCAAGTGGTACAGGAAAGAGCTGTGATGGGGAGAAGGGTTGAGCCAGCACCCCAGGCACATTTGCCATCCTGCTGCTGAAGCTCAGTGCTTTTCAAACTGCCTCCATCATGTTTTTGGGGTCCCTGAGCCTTATATCAGAGGACAATGACGAGTCTTCGTCCATCCACCATAAGCAACAGACTTTCATCCCTGGGTCCTGGATCTGCTGGAGACGGGGGCAATGCCAGGTGGCAATGGCTTCCATGGCCACCAGAGGGCAGTGCAGGGCAGGAAGCAGCAGGCGGAGGCTGGAAAGGAGATTCTGTGTGGATCCTCCTTGGGAGAGAAAGGTCCATTTCCTGCCACCTTTTGATTCATGGAGGTTCTGCCAGGCCTAACCAGGCAGAGGAACCATGAGCCGGCCCACCGGGAGGAACCTGGAACCCTTTCGACAGGCAGGGCCGCTAAGAAGCTTGGACCCACCTGGCTCGTGGTCCTGGACACTGTATTTCAGCTGGGGACCAGGAGGCAAGGTTTTCCAAACTAATGTGCCTGTGCATCACCTGGAGATCTTGCTAAACTTTGAATTCTGATCCGGTACATCTGAGCCAGTAGGGCTGAGATTCTGTATTCCCAACAAGCTCCCAAGTGACGCTGACATTGCTGGTCCAGGGACCACGCTTTGAGTAGCAAGGAATAATAGAAAGGAATGCATCTTAAAATCTGAATTTTCCCTGAAATAATGAGGTTCCTGGGCACATCCTAGAGTTGGCACCTAATTTCTCCAGCTTTTCTCTCCAGGTGAGAGAGGGAGGAAGACCTACCTGGGCACTCTACCCAGAAAATATCCCCACTCCTTCTCTTACCCTGGCGTGGTGGGCTTTCTTCCCTTTGGTCTTTGAAGGTCTTCCCTGCCAGCTAGAACTTCCCAGGGCAAGGACTAAGGATGCCCTCTCAGATTCTTCACCTTGGCAGTTCCCTGTCTTGGCCTGGCAGGCAGTAGGGGCCTGGTGGGGGGGCTTGCAGCTGCTTGTGTGAAGAACCAGCTGGCTCTTTACGGCTGAGTTTTCTAGGACTGCCCAGAACCCTCCCACATTGCCTGCCCTCCTCCAGGCTCCCACCAGGCACATGGGAATGGGGATGGGGGTAGTTAGAGGGGTTGCAGGTTTCCAACTTGAGGCCCAAAGATGCAAAGTTACTTCTACAATGTCATTCACCTTCAATATCGCCAGCTGTAGTCAGTCAAAGGTTGGGTGGTGCCAGGGCAGGGGTTTTCACCCTGGATATGCATTAGACTTACCTAGGCAGCTGTAAAAGTCCTGAATCCTTGGCCTTACCCCAGACCAATTAGATCAGAAATTCTTGGAGATGCCACCCAGGCATCAGCACCTTGTAAAGCTCCCCTGGTGATTCAAATGTATGGAAGATTGAGAACTGCTGGCCTGGGCTGGTGCTTCTCAAACTGTACTGAGCTCACGAATTACTTGGGAGTCTGTCAAAATGCAGATTCTGAATCTGCAGATCTGAGGGGGGCAAATAATTTGCATTTCTGAAATGTCCCTAGGGATGCTGATGTTGCTGATCCAAGACCCATTCTGGGTACCAAGGGAACAGAGCACAAAGTACTTCCTTTCCACCTACCCCCAGCCCAGGCTTCACACTGTTAGTAAAGCAGGACTGTATGATAAGGTGTCTGAGTGTAGACCGATGATCCCTGATGTCCTAGATCCTTCAGGGCCTAGGCTCCTGAATGATTCGAAAAGGTCTTCTGAACCATGACGGAGCCATCTGTGCTGCCTCTATTGATATGTCATTGGGAGCATCCAAGAATCACTCACTCCTTCTAGAAGTTCATCTATAGAGCAGCTCTGTATTTCAGACCTACTTGCTGTCCTCTCCCCACCACTACAGTATCCAGCTGCCTCTACTGGCCTAGCCCGAGGACCCTCAAACTGAGCAGGTCCAAAGGCACACTGCCCATCTCCTGGTCCCCCAGCCTTGCTTCTCCTCCCCTCTCCCCAGCCCAGCAAGGACACTCCTGTGCAACCCTTATCCATGCCAGACACATGACTGCCACCCTAGCCTCTTCCTCTGTCACCGTTGGTCTGCACCACCAGCTTCCCCAGGCCTTGACATTACCTCCTAAACAGCTCTCAAATCCACCTAGTGGCCCTCATCGCCCCGCCACTGCCCTGATTCTGGTTCTATTATCTCGCCTCAGCACCTACCCCACCTCCAGGTTCTTGCTGTGTAAAGGGTGGTCCAAGGAGCAGCAGCAGCAGCATCACCAGGGAACTTATTAGAAATGCAGCATCTCGGGTCCCAGCCCAGACCTGCTGAATCTGATCTGCATTTTAACAAGCTCTCCAGGTGATTCATACATACATTAAAGTCTGAGAAGCACTGATCTAGAAATAGAGAGATGATGACAGGAAACAAGAAGGGAAAGAGAAAGCAGAAGAGAAGGGAGGTCCTTTTTAGCAGCCTCCATTCCTGGCTCCCTCCTCATATTCCACATCTCAGCTCAAAAGGTACCTATCCCTACTCTTACCACATAGAGTAGATGTTTCCCCCTCTCTTTCTCCATTCACTATCACATCACCCATTTATTTCCTTCATCTCACATGTTATTCTATTTTCTGTCTCTCAGTGACATAGAAATTCTGAGGCAGGAAACTGCTCTCCCTTGTTTGTGGTTGTGTCTAGTGCCTAGCACATGGTACATGTTGAATAAATAAATTGAATATGTGAAACTTATTATAGACTTCTGCTGCTGCAAACTTCACCTTTTGAACTAAGCAGTTTCTGAAGCCATCTAGTCCAATAGCTTTGTTTTATTCTTTATATCGCAAATGGGCCATGATGTAACAACTTGATGCTTTAAGCAGAACATCAAGACTTCAAAAAGCAAGCATGTACCAGAATGGGATCGATTGCAAAAACGACCACAGATTCTTCCCTTTCCAGTGGGCACAAGTCTTTGCAATATGACTTTGCCTCTTCTTCCATTAGGAGGTAGAGCTATTTCTCTCCACCATCTCCCTGTTCCTAATCTGGACTTGACCACATGACTTGTTTTGGCCATTAGCAAAAGTGATGCAAGCAGAGGTTTGAAAAGTGCTTACACACTGGAGCTTGTCCCCTCTCTTCCTTCTTGGTATTTACCCAAAGAAGTTGAAAACTCATGTCCACACAAAAATTCATGCACAAATGTCTATAGCATCTGTATTTATGAATTGATACAACCTGGAAGCAACCAGGATATCTGGGACTGCCCAGATAAATGCATAACTATAGTGCATCCAGACAATGGGTTATTTTTCAGGACTTAAAAAAACGATGAGCTATCAAGCCATGAAAAGACACAGAGGAAACAAACTTTCTTAATTGAAAGAAGTTGATCTGAAAAGGCTGCTTACTCTATGATTCCAACTATATGACATTCTGGAAAAGGTAGAACTATGGAGACAGTAAAAGATTAGTAGTTACCAGGGGTTTGGGGGAAGGAGGAATGATCAGGTGGAGCACAGAGGATTTTTATTTTTAGGTTAGTGAAACTATCCTATATGACACCACAATGGTGGATATGTGACATTATACATTTGTCCAAACCCATAGAATGAACAACACCAAGAGTGGACCCTAGTGTAGACAATGGAGTTTGGGTCATAATGATGTGTCAACATAGGTTAATTGATTATAACAAATGTACCACTCTGGTGGGGGATGTGAATAGTTGGGGGTGGGGACAGGGAACATATGAGGAATCTCTGAACTTTCCACTCAGTGTTGCTGTGAACCTAAAACTGCTCTAAAAAACAAAGTCTATTAAAAAATAAGCGCTTTCACAGTGGGACTTGTTCCCTTCCTTGCGGCTCTTAGGAACCCTGTGGCCCTCAGCGTATTAGTCCATTCTCACGCTGCTAATAAAGACATACCTGAGAATGGGTAATTTATAAAGAAAAGAAGTTTAATTGACTCACAGTTCAGTATGGCTAGGGAGGCCTCAGGAAACTTACAATCATGGCAGGAGGGGAAGTAAACACGTCCTTCTTCACATGATGGCAGCAAGGCGAAGTGCTGAGCAAAAGGGGGAAAAGCCCCTTATAAAACCATCAGATCTTGTGAGAACTCAGTATCACAAGAACAGCATGAGGGTAGCTGCTCCCATGATTCAAATACCTCCCACCAGTCCCTCCCACGACCTGTGGGGATTATGAAAACCACAATTCAAGACGAGATTTGGGTGGGGACACAGCCAAACCATATCACCCAGCATGTGGGAAAGCCCAGACTGGCCTGCTGGACACTGAGGGCTGTGCCATGCCATTGCCCCAGCCAACATCAAGTCACTGCCAGACATGTGAATGAGGGCATTGCAGACCCCCAGCCCCAGCCAAGATGCCAGCTGAGTGCAGAGAGTAGCCCAACCAGCCCTGACCGCTGTGCTGTCCTGACCGCAGCATGGCCCAGCCAACCCACAGCATCCTGAGAAATCATAAATGTACTAAGCCTCTATTTTGAGGTGAGTTGTCACTACACAAAAATAACTGAAATACAGATAGCTTTTTCAGATAAGGACAGCAGATTGAGCACATTTGAGCCTCGTCCTTCCTAAAACCCCACTAAATGGACAATAAGTAGAGTATTTAAAAGCAATAAACTGGTAATGACAAGTGGGAGAGGAGACAACAGCAACACAATGTTGGAAGCTGGGGAGCAGGTTGATGAGCAGGTACCTTAACTTACCAGGCCAGGGCAAGCTGCATCGTAAGCTTGCCATGGTGGAAGTTGGTAAGCAACTTGACTTCCTCTAGGAAGGTTGCGAGAATGGACTGGCTACTTCTGGAAAGGGTGAGGGTGGGCTGAAGGTGGGCTCCCAGCAGGTGGACTGTTGAATGCTTTGTAGGAAGAAGTTCTCATGCCCTGCCTGTCAGCCCATAGCAGCTGGTGCTCCTTGCCCCACCACACCCAGGACCAAAATCCTGTTCCTTAGGGAAGGCAAAACAAAGGGTGTCTTCGCCAAGGGCCACCAGACACAGTTGACGCTGGAAGCACTGTTCTTGACATAAGAGGATTAGCTGAAGATTTATATGCTGGATATCAACATCATCCGGTGCCCCAGCCTTCTTCCCTCTCACTCTACTCTCTGGTGGACTCTAGGTGTCCTATCCTTACACAGGAGACCAGAAAAGTCTTTTCTAGATAATATAACCAGCACTAGGCCAGGTGCAGTGGTTCATGCCTGTAATCCCAGCACTTTGGGAGGCTGAAGCACTGGGATTACAGGCATGAACCACTGCACGTGGCCCAGGCTGTTCTCAAACTCGTTTTCTCTGCTATTGGACTTTCATCACGTGTATGGCGATCCTCAGCTGCCTGCTCATATTTGCAGTGGGGCACTACGGAGATTAGAAGCTCAGTACTCACTGGGGGTCCAGTCTGGCCCTAGAGCCCTGATGTCGATTTCTCAGATCATTTCTCCTGGGCTGATCAAATTCTTTGGGTTTTGTTTGTTTGCTTGTTTTTGGTTTTGTTTTTGTTTTTTTAAGAGAGACAGTGTCTCGCTCTGTCACCCAGGCTGAAGTGCAGTGGCACCATCATAGCTTACTGTAACCTTGAACTCCTGGGCTCAAACAATCCTCCTGCCTCAGCCTCCTGAGTAGCTGAGACCACAGACACGCACCACCACACCCAGATAATTTTCTTTTTCTTTCTTTTTCCTTTTTTTTTTTTTTGGTAGAGTTGGGGGTCTCACAATGTTGCCCAGGCTGGCCTCAAACTCCTGGCCTGAAACAAGACAAAGGCAACCTGGAAGAAACAGATTGTGCAGGGAGGAGAAAACTTTCTGTAAAGGATCATCAGTGTGCTCTGGGAGATAGAAGATGTTTAATGCATGAAACAAGAACAGGATACACAAACCTGGCTGCTGGTGCTAGCTCTTCCTCCCTGCCTGTCTCGCTCTCCCTGCTCCCTCATTCCTGCTTCCTTGCCTCCTGGGGGCAACCCCCAAACCATCATCTCTCCCCAAGCTCTGGTCTCAGGTTCTGCTCTCAGGGAAGCTGCAGCAGGAGAGCTTGCATTCTGCCGGCATCCCCCTGGGCCAGAGGGCCGTGAGCGTTAAGGTCTTGATAGGCCCAGGAGTTGAGGCAGCAGAGGGAGCTAGGAGAGGGAGGAGCAGGCCCTGCTTGTGTCACTGGGGGTGTTTACACAAAATGCTGCACCAGTGAGCGTCTCTCTCAGCCATTGTCCAGCAAATGCTCACTGACCTCAGTGCTCCTGCTCCAGAAAGGGCCCCTGGAGACCCCGCCACCTGTCCTTCCCATCGCTAGAGCACAGGGGACAGTGGAGACGCAATGTCAAAGACATCCCTGCCTGGGTTTCAACCCTGACCCTGATGCTCAGCTCTGATCCTGGGCAAGTTACCTAACCTCTCTTAGCCTCTATTTAGTCACATGCAAAACAAGGGTAATGGGGGAGATGAAATGAGTTCATATGAAGCATGCAGCACCAGGCCTGGCCCAAGGTAAGCGCTATGCAGTGTTAGCTGTCGGTGTGAGGCTTTTCCCCTAAATCCGGCACACATTCAGTGAGCTCAGAGGAGGAGCCCCCACCCTGGGGGGGGAATCTTGTGATCACACTGGCTCCATCAGAGCGGGGCTGGAAGGTGGGCTAGAGGAAGCCCCGAGGAGGTCAGGGGGACTGGGGAGCCCCCAAGAGGTCAGCGGATCCCTGAGGGATCCCTGAGAAGGTCAGTGGGGTGTGGGGAGCCCATCTGGAGGCAAGGGGAGGGCACAGAGCTTGACCCTGAAGAAGGAAGGCAAGGTGAGCATTGGAGGTTTCCAGAAAAGCATGACCACAAGGAAGGAGGGCAAGTGCCTGGGGTATGAGGGTGAGGAGACCAGCTGGGGCACAGGCTTCATGGGGCATAACAGGAGCGGAATCAGGGACATGAGAGGTGGCAGAGCCAGCCAGTGGAGTGGACTGGATGGGCCGGCGGGCGAGCCGTCCTCTGATGGGCATGGATGGGCCAGCGGGTGGCGGGCATGGATAGGCTGGCAGGTGAACTGTCCTGTGGTGGGCAGCATCGTGCAGGCGGTGTGGGATCCTGCTTCATGACTGCCCTCGTCACAGCAGCCACTGACTTCCCTGGGGATGCACACAGCATGTGCGAGATGGAGCCTGGCACCTGCTCCCCAGCCCACTTGCCAAAAACCGGAGAAGAGTGTATGCTCTGGGAATGACTGAATTTGGAATCCAGACTGGGAGGGTCAAATACTGCATGAATATTTCCAGAGTCCAAGAATCCAACATGCATGTTCACTGAAGCTGAGTGTTCTAAAGACCTCCAGAAGACAGAGGTGTTCAAAGCCAAACAGATTCTCCCAGATCTGGCCAGGCTGCGAGGCCACTGGGCCCCTGGATGGTGCTAGGTGGGTCCTGCACCCCGGCTCAGTGGGCACAGTCAACAGGGGCAGTCAGGGAGGCCCCAGGCTCCCTATGGCCCAGACCACATGCACTGTTGGAGGGTCTGAGCGAAGGACAGGGGTGGTGAAGATGCGCCCAGAACCCCTGCCTAGTGCAGCCGGGAAGGCCATGACCTCCTGCCCAGCTTGCTCTCCCAGCAGATGGGAACCACCTCCCAACAGAAACCAAAGTTGGGATATCTGAGGGGTCGGGAGGTCTCTCAAGGCAGGGTGATGAGGGCTGAGCACAAGGAAGGACAACAGAGTTGCCCCACGTGGCAGGGCTGCCTGGGGAGCCAGCAGAGCATGTAAAGGGAGTGAGTTCCCCACTACTATGGGGTGTGCAAGCAGAGGCTGAGTGGGCTCCTGCTGGGATGGTGAAGCAGGGCTCCCACAGCCCAGCACCCAGTGAGACGCTGGTCTACAGGAGATCACTTCTGGTCCTCCTTTTAGGCCTGAGGAGCTCGACACCTGTGCAGAGGGTGGCAACGTGGCCTGGGTGTGGCTGGTTGCCTCTGGCAGGAGGCACAGCCAGGAGAAGCACCAGGAGAGACCGGAGGAGCACAGCCACTCGGAGCGTCCTTGAGGGCTCCTGTAGAGGCCCGTGTGGGCTGGGGACGGGCTTCCACAGGCAGAGCGGTGACAGCCAAGGAGCTGGGGGCTGGAAAAGGCGGCAGTGGGGAGGAACTGATGTCCTGGCATAGGCACTTCTGTGATCAAAGGTGGCGGGACGTGGGCAGGAGTGGCGTGCACAGCTTTAGGAAGGCAGGGCAGCTGGTGAGATGAGCTACAGTGACAAGAGCTGGAGAAGTACATGGGCCACCCAGCACTGTGGGAGGCCGAGGTGAGTGGATCACCTGAGGACAGGAGTTCAAGATCAGCCTGGGCAACATGGCGAAACCCCGTCTCTACTCAAAATAAAAATAAAATAAAATAAATAAAAAAAAATAGCCAGGTGTGGCACATGCCTATAGTCCCACCTACTCAGGAGGCTGAGGCAGGAGAATCACTCGAACCCTGGAGGCGGAGGTTGCAGTGAGCCGTGAGCTGAGATTGTGCCACCGCACTCCAGCCTGGATGACAGAGCAAGACTCTCTATCTGTCTCAAAAGAAAGAAAAGGAAAGAAGGAAAGAGGAAGGAAGGAAGGAAGGAAGGAAGGAAAGAGAGAGAGAGAAAGAAAGAAAGAAAGAAAGAAAGAAAGAAAGAAAGAAAGAAAGAAAGAAAGAAAGAAAGAAAGAAAGAAAAAGAAAAAAAAGAAGTGCATGGGGTCAGAGTTAGCAGAGCCTCCCCTGCCAGGGCTCCTGGTGTTCCTTCACTGGGAAAGAGGCGGAGATGACTTTCTGTGTTTTTGGAGAAGGGTGGAGCATGTTCTTGGGAAGGTGGATGATTTTTTTTAAATAAATATATATCGATTTTTTTTAACCACTGCAATTGGGGTCTTGCAGTGGGGGACATAGTGTGCACTGAACTCCTCGATGGAAGACTTTCTCATGGAGGTGGCAGCAGTAGGCCTGAGCTTGAGTGGGCAGGCAAGATGTGAGCAGCATCAGGAAGGCAGGACGGGAGCGTGCCTGGGTGGAGAGGACACCCCCTCAAAATACCTAGGGTGGCAGATGCTGACCATCTGCTGAAGAGTTCAGCATGGCTGTGACCGACGGGCCACGTGGCTGTAGACAGAGCGAGCACACATCCTGTAATTAAGCAAGCCATCCATTTCCCGCTGTTAGACTGCAAACTGACTACCCGACGCATTGAGAAGAAAGCAATGTGTTTTTTTCTTTGTAATGATAACTTCCAGATCCCAAGAACAGTGTCAGCTGTCCATTCTGCTAGCCAGCAAAATACCTGCTCCGCCTCTCCCCTGGGGTCCTATGCCCATTTTAGACCGCAAAAGGCATAACTGCTTGCTTTTCCTTCAGTACTGCAAAGGAAGTCATCTTTTCTACCGCGGCAGCAAAGGCAGAAAGCTTCTGAAAACCCAGTCAGAGAGGCCAGCCATTCGGCTTTCAGACAGCCAGATAAGCCCCTCGCTCCTGCCTTGCCGTGGGGGAATGACAGTAGAAAGGTGTGCTGGGAACCCCAAAGTCGTGGGGAGGGAGGGCACCCAGAGTGGAGCCTGCCCACTGCCTCAACTTCCCAACAGCTGGCAAAAAGGGGGAGGGGTCCCCATGCAGACAGAAACTTGAGGACCAGGGAGTCAGCTGCCCAATTCATGGATGGGAAGACTGAGGCTCAGAGAGGGAGGGAGCAGCCCGCGGGTTTGAAGCTTGGTGGTTACCATGTGCAGCAGAGTCTTGGCCTGCAGTTGGGACACCTGGATTCTAGACCCAGCCACATCTCTCATCAGCTGTGTGGCCTTGGGTGAGCTCACATGCCCTCCATGGGTTAAGTGGTTGCAGGAAGATGTTGCCCAGGATCTCCTCCAAGGATTGCAGACCTCTCAGCCCTGCTTCTCCTCTCCATCTCAGCCCCTCTTGCACAAGAAAGGCTTTCATCTCAAGGCTTTGGGCAGGAGAGGTGGACGAGCATCAGCAGTGTGGTGCCACCATGGCTGTGCAAATGTTGGCAGGAGGGCCAGGTACCGAGGGCTGCAGCTATGTTGTCAGCAAGTCCCGACTACTTTCCTCGCCTCAATTTCCCCAGTCACACCAAAGAAGCAAAAGAGGCAGGAAGCTAGAAAAAGCCCAGGCTTAGTCAGAAACAAAGTGCCAAGTTGGAGGCAGGATTTTAGCCATTTTCAGCTCGGCTGTCCCCAGCAGTTCCTCCTGGCCCTACTATTCGCTTCTTCTGGGTCCTGCTCCTTCCTTTGCTTGCTTCTCAGCTCCACTCTATTTCCAGGGGCAGGTTTGCAGAGGAGAAGTCACCTCACCCGCACTGAGGTCCCTCTGCTGAGATAGACATACACCTTTCCTAAGCCATGCGATCCATAAAACAAGGCTGTGAGGTGCTGTATTTTATGCTCTTGTTTGGCATTTAATTATTTGGAAGAGTTTGTCTAGTTTGTCTAATAAGTACACAAGGGCAGAGACTGTCTATGTTTGATGCTGTATCCCCAATGCCTAGCACAGTGCCTGCTGAGTGATTACAACTATCCCTATTTTACAGATGTGAAAGCTGAGGCTCAGAAAGGTTAAGGAATCTGCCTAGGGCCACACAGTAAGCAAGGCGCAGGCTGAGTTTCCATCCTAGCTGTGCCCAGCTGCAAAGCAGGGTGGGTGGATGGGTGAGTGCAGTTGGTTCATGTGCTCAGTAACCAGGTGGGCTCTGTGCACCAGGGTGAAGGAACCAGAGAGGTGCTCCCAGAGTTTGCGTAACCCCATGGACAGACAGACAGACAGACAGACAGAACTGGGCTTGAATCCTGGCTCTGGTGTGCAGGCATCATGGCTGAGCTTTCAGTTTCTGCATGTATAAACTGGGTGATCCTAAGAGCACCCCCTTAGGTTGGGTAAGGATTAGATGAGGGGCTATGGGGAAAAGTGTGTTCTGGGCCCTAGCCTGCAGGGATCTCAGCAAGAACTGCCTCTCATTCCTAGGATTGTCCTTGGTCTGAGGAAAGACCTCGGGGGCAGACATGGTGCTGGCAGACATGGTGCTGGCATGGTGCTAGGAAAATTTCCTCCCACTTCTAGGAACTCCCCTCTGCTGCTGCCATGATTAGGAGAGGTGACCTTTCAGAAAGGCATCCTGTGGTTTTATTTTTTAATTTTTGAGACAAGGTCTCTCTCTGTTGCCCAGGCTGGAGGGCAGTGATATGATCTCGGCTCACTGCAGCCTCAGCCTCCTGAGTGGCTGGGACTACAGGTGCATGCCACCACACCTGGCTAATTTTTGCATTTTTAAAGTAGAATCGGGGTTTCGCCATGTTAGCCAGGCTGGTCTCAAACTCCTGACTTCAAGTGATCCGCCTGTCTCTGCCTCTCAAAGTGCTGGGATTAGAGACTTGTGCCACTGGGCCCGGCCTGTGCTTTTAGCATAAGGGACTTTGCTGCAGGACAGAGCCTAAAGGTCTAGCACACCCTTGCAGCTCTTCCATCGCCTGCCCTCCATGGCGTCCCCCTGAACCCCGAATGCCCTGCTTGCAGTCCCACTCTTCTGCCCTCCCCAGACTTCCCTCCTCTTCCTCCTCCTGTAGCTGGTCCCCACCAGTACTTCAATACCAGTCCCCATCCTGTCCATCCCAGGAGTACTCCCTGAGCCCAGCCCTTAGGTACCCACTGCACTCACAGCTATAGCAATACTTAATCCATGCATACATTCATGCAATAACTATTTATTGAGCAGCTACTGTTTGCAGACTGTGAACAAAGGCAACAAAACAGACAAAATTCCTGCCTTCTAACTAAGGCTTTACCTGCTACACAGGGCAAAAGAAGAAAACCAAGAAATAACTGAAGGTATGTATTAGAAGATGATAAGTTAGGAAAAATAAAGCAGGGAGTGAAGGGGATGCAGTTGAGAGATACGGTTTGCAATTTTAAATAATGCGAGTCTTGCATCCAGTTCCCTAGAAGCAGAGCCTGAGATGAGGATCTGGGCACGTGATGTATGGAGGGAAGTGAGGAAGCGAGGAAGCAGGGCAGAACAGGGGGCAGCAGAGCAGGGACTGGAGTCAGTTTCATTCTGGTCCCACGGGGAGCCCCAGGACATGGATTGCATGCACTCAGTCCCCACTTGAAGCCTGTGCAACCCTGAGTCTGTGAGCCCGTGGTTGTGAGCTGCCCAGAGGTGGAAGTGTTACAGGAAAGGGGTCCCAATCCAGACCCTGATCCAGATCCAAAAGAGGGTTCTTGGATCTGATGCAAGCAAGAATTCAGGGCAAGTCCATAAAGTAAAGTAAAAGCAAGTTTTTTAAGAAAGGAAAAAAATAAAAGAATGACTATTCCATAGACAGAGAAGAACTGAGGGCTGCTGGTTGCTCATTTTTATGGTTATTTCTTGATGATATGCTAAACAAGGGGTGGATCATTCATGCCTCCCATTTTTAGACCATATAGGGTAACTTCCTGACATTGTCATAACATTCATAAACTGTCATGGCGCTGGTGGGAGTGTAGCAATGAGGACGACCAGGGGTCACTCTCTTGGCCATCTTGGTTTTAGAGGGTTTTAGCCGGCTTCTTTACTGCAACCTGTTTTATCAGCAAGATCTTTATGACCTGTATCTTGAGCCAACCTCCTGTCTCATCCTATGACTTAGAATGCCTTAACCATCTGGGAATGCAGCCCAGTAGGTTTCAGCCTCATTTTACCGAGCTCCTATTCAAGATGGAGTTGCTCTGGTTCACACACCTCTGACAGAAGGGGGAAGGTAGAGGAATCTCTTAGGCAAGACAGCTTTCATTCTGCAAGGGCAATGCTATGGTGCCTTCTGGGCGGAGGGAGCAGCTGGGGCACAGGCCCTGAGATGGGAGAGCACCCGGCAAGTTCCAGGAACAGCAAGGAGGTTGGTGCCATGGAAGGAGAGTGAAAGAGGGAGAGGGTGGCAGGAGTTCATGGGTGTGGAGAGCCTTGTGGGCCACTGTAAGGCCCATGGTTCTTGCTGTGAGTGAGGTGGGAGCCATTGAAGGCACTTGAGCAGAGGAGTGACCTGATCTGACTTATCCTTCAAGGCTGGCTAAAGGCGGCAAGTGTGGAAGCTGCTCCCCCAGGGGATCCTGCTCCTCTGCATGGCATCTGCCTGCTGACCCCTGGCCCCCCACTGACCTACACCTAGGACTGTGTGCAGCAGTACTTCCTAATGCTTTATTGCTTGAGGCAAGAGGCAGGGGTTGCAAAGAGAAGGGGGGGGATGAGGCAGCAGTCAGGGGTGGGAGGAAGTGGTTAGGATCAGCCTGGGTCCTGGACGATTTACAGGGCATGTTATTGTGAATAGCAGTCAGAACAGGACTCACTGGAGAATCAAAATCACCCTTAGTCCCAGGCCTCAGCTCAGAGGGCTTTGAAAATAATGCCCCGAATAACTAAAAAGAGACAGTGCTCTCCTCCCTCCTCCTGCCTCCAGAGGGATATTCATCTGCAAATAAATGGAAACCAAATCTAGCAATTTGCATGACTCAAGCTATCAGTGTAAGCTGCCAGGATCTTTGCAGAAGATGCCTGTGGACTGTCGTGTGGTTATACAAATGTGCTGCTCTGAGGTGCCGCCCTGTGTGGCATCTTCTATCTTCTGGCTGCAGAGGCTCTCCCTGCTGTGTGCTCAACAACCTTTGAACCCTAAGTGCTGTCCATGCAGATGAGGCAAAGGGAATTTCCCAGGTAACAAGGTCCCCATCCTTCACTAAGAGGCACACCTCTGTTGGTGGTCGGGGGCTGTCTATACGGGTCACTCAGTAGTTCTCAAGCTCCTCTGACTTGCTGAGTGGTGACGGGAAAGCCCTTTACCTCGTGGAGCCTCAGTTTACCATTTAGGGGAACAGAAAGAGGTTTTCGCTGATCTACACAGCAGGAAGAGGTGCTGGCATTGAATGGATTGATGTGACAGGGCTTCAGCAGGAAAAAAAAATGGCTATGCAAATTTAAGGTGGAATTGCATCATGCAACCTAAAATATCAACAGACACCAGGCTGTTGCTTCTGGGTAGCTGGCAAACCATCTGAAGTCCCACATTTCTTGCCACTCAGCAGCCATTTTTTCTCCGGGAGATGGGGCCATTTTGGTGGGACCAGGAGTCCTGGCCCCAGAAGAGCCTTGAAGAAGCTATGGGGTCCAGGCCCCCACCTTCAAACAGGACCCTGTGGCCTCTGCCCCCACCTGCTGGTGACAGTGGCACTGGCCCAATCACCGCCTACACCATGGCTAGGACACCTTTTACATGAAAGAGGCCAGGGAAACTCTTGGGGCCTAGAAGGCCAAGGGGGAGGTTTCCAAGTTCTCAACCCCTACAGGCTCTCCAGGGGATGGTGGCAGAATAACTACTCTGGGGCCTGCAGCCTCACTTGCTGAACATCACTGCACCCCGGCAGGGCACGGTGGCTCACACTTGTAATCTCAGCACTTTGGGAAGCCAAGGCAGGGAGATCATCTGAGGTCAGGAGTTTGAGACCAACCTGGCCAACATGGAGAAACCCCATCTCTACTAAAACACAAAATTAGCTAGGTGTGGTGTCGCGCACCTGTAATCCCAGCTACTCGGGAGGCTGAGGCAGGAGAATCACTTGAACCCGGGAGGCAGAGGTTGCAGTGAACCGAGATCATGCCACTGCACTCCAGCCTGGGTGACAGAGTGGGACTCAGTCTCAAAAAAAAAATCACTGCACCCCATGTTGTCCTGAAAGAGGCTCAGAGAGGAGTCATAATTCTCAATCTCTCTCTCTCTCTCCCTCAGACACACACACACACACACACACACACACACACACGCACACACACACACACACACACACGGAAGAAGTCCCATTCTTCCCTCACAGCTCTGGGCTCCAGCCACCTTGCCCCGTGTGTCTTCACACATAGAGCTCTCCATCCCGGAGAGGCTGTGACCTCCCCAGTCCCGCAGCCAAAACCAATTACCGGCTCCCAATTAATCAACCCTTTAGGAGACAATGGACTCTGGCAGACCCCGGCCTGCCTGGAAGCATAAAAGCATGCTGGTTTAGATGTTCTGAGCCAGGAGGCTGCAGAGGCCGATTTATCCCCTTTGTGTCTGCTTAAAGGAACAGAACTCTCTAGAATTCCGTACCACCTGCCGGCTCCTAGGGAGCTGGAATCTGATCAGACGAAGTTGCTCTGCAGCTACCTGTCCAGAAGAGCATTGCCTGGGCAAACCTTTCTTTTAGGTTCTTGTTGGAGGTATTGGCAGGCTACAGTAGTAACTGCTGTCAATTATAAAGCACCTCCTATGTTCTAGGTACTTGCTTTTCATTATCCATTAATCCCCACTTGAGTCAGGTGCCATTATCCTGATTTTTAACGAAGGCAATGAAAAGTTGGTGAAGTAAAGAAATTTGCTGAAGCTCATTGCTGGGGTGTAGCCTGCCCCTACACCACCCACTAGAATGCAGCCTGCAGGTATTGGTTTCCTGGTACTGCTGTAACAAAGCACCACAGACCAGGGTGCTTAAACAGCAGAGATTTATTCTCTCACAGTCGCGGAGGCCAGAAGTCCAAAATCAAGGTGCCGACAGAGCCATGCTCCCTCCAAAAGCTCCAGAGGAGGATCCAGGTTCTGGCAGCTCCTGGCATCCCATGGCTTGTGACAGCCTAATTCCAACCTCTGCCTGCGTCTCCATGCATCCTTCCCCGCTGTGTGTCTGTGTCTTCTGTCTCTCATAAGGACACTCATTATTGGAAGGAGGACCCATCCTAGTAATCCAGGTTGGTCTCAAGATCTGTTCCTTAATTACATCTACAAAGACGCTGTATCCAAACAGGGTCCCACTGTGAGGCTGCAGGGAAGGGGCATCACTTTTCAACCCATGACACTCTACAGGGTGAAGTTTTTGTTTTTGTTCACTCATATATTCTAGGACACCAGAGCAGTGCCAGATTCATCAAACATGTTCAATAGATCGTTCCTGAATGGGTGAATGAATCATGACAAAACTGAGCTTCAAAACCTGGCTTGCCAGCCTCCAAAACCTCTTACGTGAGGCTTCCTCCATTTCTTAGGCTCCTAGGCTTCAACAACTCCTCATCGTTACTTTTAAACACCACTTGTTTTCTGAAGCTAATCATGAGGAAACATCAGACAATTCTGAATGGAGGGACACCCTACCAAATAACAAGAGTGGCAAGGTCATGAGAGACAAGGGAAGGCTGAGGAACCACCCCCAATTAAAGGAGAACAAAGAAATAGGACCCGTAAACACAACACCTGATCCTGGAGGGGATCCTGGACAGGGAAAACACAACTGGAAAGGACTTTATTGGGACCACTGGCAAAACCTGAATATGGACCATGTGGCTTAGCTAATAGTACTATGTCAGGGTTCTAGTTCCTGACTGTGATCACCGTACTGTGGTTATGTAAAAGAATGTCCTTGTTTTTAGGAAATGCACATAGAAGTAGGAAGTATTTAAGGCATAATGTACATATATGTGTATGCATGGCTGTGAATATTGTTGTGTATATATTTATACATATACACAGGGCAATGATGATAACACAAAGATGGCAAAATGGCAACAATTGATGAATCTGAGTGAAGGGTAGATGGGAGTTCCTTGTACATTTCTTGCAACTCTTCTGACATTTGAAATTACTTTTTTTTTAAATAATATAAAACTTAAGTCACACACGAACATGCAACAAAATTTACAAGGCAGAAAGGATCCCTAGGCACCCGAAGGCAACCACCACTGTTGCCAGCCTTTCAGGTGTCCTTGGGTGTCCTTGCACTCTTTCCTCTCCTATCGGCTGGAACTTGCCTTCTGACACCCAGTATTAAGCCCTCAGTAGAAGCAGCAGGGGAGGGAGGGGAGCAGCGGAGGGAGGGGAGCAGGGGGTGGAGGGAGCAGCTCTTGAAGGGAAGAGGGAAAGTCCTGTGCTCAACCCTGCCCCAAGGGAGCTGATGAGGCTGCTGCTTTTGTTCTGGGACTCAGGGGCACTGGGTAGGCAGGAGGTAGCCCCTTCCCTGGTTCCCAGGCCCCGGTTCTGGGTCCTGCCCACCCCTCCAGCCCCTGCCCTCATTGCCTCTCCATGCATCCAGCCACTGCCCAGGGTACCAGTGAGGTTCCCCATCAGTGGTCCTCAACTTGGGAGGGCATAGCCCTCTCCAGGGAGGTATTTTCCATTATCAAAATGCCAATGGAGTGCTACTGGCGTTTAGGGGTCAGGACAAGAAATGTGGAAAGTTCCAAATTACTTGTGAGCATTTGAGCCTGCCACCATCCCTAAAGGATGGATCTGACCCAAGTTGATGGAAAAGAAGCTGAGCCCCATCTCCTCCCCCCACCATAAAGCCTTCCATGGCTCCCCATTGCTTTTATAATTCCAAACTTCTCAATGCAGCGGGTCAAGCACCGCAGCCCAGTGGTCTCTGGATTCACCATGCTTGTCCTCATTGTTGGATCTTTGTATGCACTCTTCCCTCAGCTTAGGACTCCTGGCTGCCCCCAAGCCTACAGGTGGGAAATATGGAATGTATCTGGGGAGAGTTCAGTTGAGAACAGATTGAAAATGAGGCAGGATGAAAAGATGGGTTCAGATGAAGGCAATGGGTCTAGCTAGAGGGGCTTAAATGATGTTCTGAAACAGAAAGAAGAGGATCGGGGCCATGGTTGATGGTCTTGGCTTCTAGGAGGGGTGAGGTTCTTCCTGTTCAAAGCCACACAGGCCTCGACCCTTCTTAGAGTCTCAGTCCTCCCTGCCCTGTCTGGTCCTAGGACTAAAGCCAGACTGTTTATTTCCACCTGCACCCATTTTCTCCTTCCCCTCTGCTTCCCTTGTCCTTCCCAGGAGGCTGAAGTGGGCAGATGAGCTCATTCACTACCTCAGAGGTGAGTGACTGATAGGTCTGGGCCCCCAAAGCTGAGCAGGTCACAAGCAGAGAATGCTGGCCTCTGATACCATCATGGCCTTGAGACAGGACCCCCTGCCCTCAGCTCCAAAGGAGTGCAGGCAACCACCTCAATTCCAGACTGGGGCTTCCCCTAGGGTGGTAAGCACCAGGGAAGGCAATATAGGCAGTCAAGCTATAGATAGCATAAGCCCCATTCCACAGAGGACCCTGGCTCAGGGCTCCCCAGCAGCAAGTAAGTGGCAGAGCAGAAACTAGAGGAAGGGGAAGTAGTGAGGAAATGTGATATCTTGGTTTGGATTCCCCAAAAGCAGATCCTGAAACAAGGATCCAAGGTTATATTTTGGATATCCCCACAATAAATAGTGTTGTCCCTCTGAGTAAGTAGAGCTTCCTCCTGCCAGGGAATGCTGAGGGCCAGTGTAGGACACGTGCCTTCCAGTTATCTCACCTGAGGGGCGAGGGAGTGGAGGTAGTTATACATCATTGCCTGCCAGTCATAGATTGAAGGCTGCTCCAGAAACCTTTAAATCTCCAGCCCTTGGCCTGACATGCTTGTGGGGTGGAGACTCTGGCTGTCAGGATAAGTCTTTAGGCAAAGAGTTGCAAATGTTTACAGCACAACAAGGGAAGGGCCCAGGGAGATGTAGGTGGCTACTTCAGCCTCTGCTGCAGGGAGGTAGATGGCAACAGAAGGGAAAACTGTCCAGAGCATTTTCCAGTCTTCTGGTGGATTTCTGATGATGGTATTAAGCCCTCAAGTTTTCCCACTTTTCAGATGATAGCACCATCCAGGCTCACATCCAGCAGACAGTCTTCCAGCCTCAAGAAAGTTTGTTTGAGGCAGGAGAGAAACAGCCCTGGTGGCCTCTGACCCTGGAGTGGTGTTTCCCCAAGAATGAGGCTGTTTTGAGACAGGGTGGTCCTACACTTGAGACTGGAGAGGCAGACCCCAGGCTGACCTGTCACTCTGGTGGCTCCCGGTTCCGTTCCTCCAACATACTAGTGGAACTCATGCCTAGTTTATAGAAAACCCCAAGACCCAGGATGTTGAAGCTGAAGGGCCCTTAACCCAGCCCCAACTGCAGAGATGGAGGGATGAGGACAAGAGAGCAAAGGGGGCATTTCCAGGGTCCCACAGTCAGTCAGAGCCATTGTGTATGGTTTTGCAAGTCGTCAACTAACAGGACAATAATGTCTCTGCAGCCAGTCACAGGAAACTGTAACACAAGTCAGAGTGTCAAGTGAGAGAAAGACCAGCTAAATGGATGAATGTATTCATTTCTGATTGCTGTTGTAACAAATCACCATGAACTTAATGGCTTAAACCCACAAATGTATTCTCTCACCACTCTAACAATCAGATGTCCAAAATGGGTTTGATGGAGCTAAAATCAAGGTGTCAGCAGGGCTGCAATCCTTCTGGAGGTTCTAGGGGACAAACTGCTTCCTTGGCTTTTCCAGCCTGTAGAATCTGCTTGCATTCCTTGCCTCATGGCCCCTTCCTGCATCAAAGCCAGCAACACTGCCCCAAGTCTTTCCCACACTGCCGTCTCTCTGCTTCTCATTCTCCTGCCCCCTCTTCTACTTGTAAGTATTCTTGTGATTACAATGGGTCCATCTGGATAATCCAGGATAATCACCCCATCTCAAGTCAGCTGATTAGTAACTGCTGTGGTTTAAATGTGTCTTCTCCAAAAATTCATGTGTTAAAGCTTAATCCCCATGGTGGTGATATTGGGAGAGGGAGATGGGGCCTTTTGGACAGTGATTCAGTCATAGATTCGTGCCTTGTAAAAGGGCTGGAGGAAACTAGCTTAAGCCCTTTGCTTCTCTGCCATGGGAGCACTCAGGGTATGTCTCCTCCAGAGGACACAGCAACAAGGCACCATCTTAGAAGCAGAGACTGGGCTTCTGGCAGAGACAGTGAACCAGCCTGTGCCTTGATCTTAGACTTCCAACCTCCAGAACTGTACGAAATAAATGTCTGTCCTTTACAAGTTATCCAGTCTCAGGTATTTTGTTACAGCAGTACACACAGACTAAGACTGAAATCTTAATTGCATGTGAACCTTAATTTCCCTTTGCCATGTGACCTAATGTTCACAGGTTCTGGGATTAGGATGTGGACCTCTTCAGGAACCATTCTTCTGCCTATCACAATGGATGCCCAGAGGCCTAAGAGATTGTTTTCGAGCAGAGGAGAGATGACAGAACCCAGACCAGCCCAGAGAAGAAGGACAAGCAGAAGGGATGGGCAAGGAAAGACAAACAACATGGCCTGATTCAGAGACACTGGCTGAGCGAGCAGGTATGCCCTGCCCGAGGAAGTGTGGGTGTGTTTGCTTGTGTGTGTCCCATCTGTCTGTATATCTCTGTATGTGTGCACACACGCATACATGCCCGTGTGTGTGCATGCATGCATAATCCTTCCTTACCCTTCCAACTGTCTCATATCAGACTTCTCCAAGGAGGTAAAATGTGAGCAGGACTTTAAAGGCAGGGCAGGGCAGTGAGCTGGGCTCTATCATCCTGTCCCCAGTAAGCAGGCCTCAACTTTGGCTGGAGGCCATCCCTACTCCCTCCCAGGTCTCACCTCTGCCTAGGTGAGCAGCTCCATAGCCACACAGGCTCTGGGCAGGGCTGAGCTATCCAGGCAGGGATGGAGGTAGAGGGTGGAAATGAAATTTCTTACCACACCAGGCCTGGTTCCTACAGCACTGAGCTCACACAAAAGGAAGGGCAAGCTCATGGTGTCCCACACTAAGGGCAGACCTCCCACCTGGTCTCCAGAAGGAGGCTGAGGCACGTATGCAGCCAGGGTTCTCCTGAGACCCCACATCCAGGTAGCAGGAACAGCACGCAGGCAGGGCTCCCCTGCCGCGAATAAGCAGTCCCCATAGCCAGGAAACATCAGAGTGGACTGAAAACTACAAGACGAAGCCCTCCTGAAGACAGAGAGGCTGAGGCCCAGAGAGGTCACAGGGCTAGGTAGGATAGAGCTGGGGTGGAATCTGAAGTTCCTCTTCAGTTTCTTCTTCCCTCCTTTACAGGATAAGAAAATAACAACAGGGAACAGATGAGGACCCCTGGTCCAGCATGGTCTGAGTACATAGGAAACCTCAATGAATGCTAAATAGTTGGGTGAGTTGATGCATGAATAGATACAGAGAGGGAGGGAGGGAGGGAGAAATGGAGGAAAGGAAGAGTAAATGGATGGATGGATGGATGGATGGATGGATGGATGGATGAATGGATGGATGGATGAATGATGGATGGATGGATGGATGGATGGATGGATGGATGGATGAATGGATGCATGAATGATGGATGGATGGATGATGGATGAACGGATGGATGGATGGATGGATGGATGATGGATGGATGGTGTAGGGAAGAGAAAGAGAGATCAGACTGTTACCGTGTCTATGAAGAAAGGGAAGACATAAGAAGCTCCATTTTGACCTGTACCTTGAACAATTGCTTTGCCCTGAGATGCTGTTAATCTGTAACTTTGCCCCAACCTCTTTGCCCCAACCTTGAGCTCACAAAAACATATGTTGCGTGGAATCAAGGTTTAAGGGATCTACAGCTGTGCAGGATGTGACTTGTTAACAAAATGTTTACAAAGAGTATGCTTCATAAAAGTCATCGCCATTCTCAAGTCTTGATAAATCAGGGGCACAGTGCACTGCAGAAAGCCACAGGGAACTCTGCCCTGGAAAGCCGGGTATTGTCCAAGGTTTCTCCCCATGTGATAGTCTGAAATATGGCCTCGTGGGATGAGAAAGACCTGACCGTCCCCCAGCCCGACACCTGTAAAGGGTCTGTGCTGAGGTGGATTAGTAAAAGAGGAAAGCCTCTTGCAGTTGAGATAGAGGAAGGCCACTGTCTCCTGCCTGCCCCTGGGAACTGAATGTCTTGGTATAAAACCCCATTATACATTTGTTCAATTCTGAGATAGGAGAAAAACCACCCTATGGAGGGAGGTGAGACATGTTGGCAGCAATGCTGCTTTGTTATTCTTTACTCCACTGAGATGTTTGGGTGGAGAGAAACATAAATCTGGCCTACGTGCACATCCAGGCATAGTACCTCCCCTTGAACTTAATTATGACACAGATTCTTTTGCTCACATGTTTTCTTGCTGACCTTCTCCCTATTATCGCCCTGCTTTCCTACTGCATTCCTCTTGCTGAGATAGTGAAAATAATAATCAATAAAAACTGAGGGAACTCAGAGACTCGTGCAGGTCCTTGGTATGCTGAGTGCCAGTCTCCTGGACCCGCTGTTGTTTCTCTATACTTTGTCTCTGTGTCTCATTTCTTTTCTCAGTCTCTCATCCCACCTGACGAGATATACCCACAGGTGTGGAGGGGCAGGCCACCCCTTCATCTGCCGCCCAACATGGGTGCCTTTCTCTAGGGTGAAGGTACGCTAAGAACGTGAGCATTGAGGACAGCCAAGGAGAGATTCCCGAGTATGTCTATGGTCAGCCTTGTGGTAAGCTTGTGTGCTTGGAGGTACCCAGGGTAACAATGGGGCAAACTGAAAGTAAATATGCCTCTTATCTCAGCTTCATTAAAATTCTCTCAGGAAGAGGGGGAGTTAAAACTTCTACAGAAAATCTAATTATGCTATTTCAAACAATAGAACAATTCTGCCCATGGTTTCCAGAACAGGGAACTTCAGATCTAAAAGATTGGGAAAAAATTGGCAAAGAGGTTGGGGCAAAGTTACAGATTAACAGCATCTCAGGGCAAAGCAATTGTTCAGGGTACAAGTCAAAATGGAGTTTCTTATGTCTTCCCTTTCTACATAGACACAGTAACAATCTGATCTCTCTTTCTTTTCCCTACAGATGGATGAATAGATGGGCACTCATCTACAGGATTCTGATACAGTCATGGCATGCACCACATTGTCTCATCTTGGGACTAAACATCCCAGTATGACAGCTAGGAAGGATTCAATTAATCCCTATTCATTAATTCAAGGCAGCATAAGAGATGATCCAGGGTGTGGCTTCAGGAGTCAGGCTGCCTGAATTCAAATTCCTATTCCAAGATTTCCTAGCTGTTCTACCTTGGGAAAGTTGCTATATCTCCCTGAGTCTCAATTTCTCCATTTGCAAAGCAGAAATAATGAGAGTACCAACACATAGCGTGGTTGTGAGAATTAGATTATTTATATTAAGTGCTTAACACAGTGCTTGGTGGATAGAGAAAACTAAAAATAATATTAATTATTATTATAAATTACTATTAATTTCATGGTTGCTTACCGTGTCCTTTTCTTTATTATTAATAATAAGATAACAGAGATACTGCCCAGTAACCCAATTTCCTTCAGTGTTAGAGTCAATGGCCTTACAATGGCCCACAGGGCCCTGCATGACCTTGCTTCATGTCTTGTCTGGCCCTGCCTTCCATCTCCCTCCCTCTTTTCCTCTCTGCTCTTGCCACACTGTGCTTCAAACATGCCAGGCATGCTCCTGCTCAGGCTCTTGGCAGCCGCTCCCTACCAGGCTCATCCTCCAGAGGGCCTCATGACCCACTCCCTCACCTCCTTCAAGTCTTTGTTCTGATATCCCCTTCTCAGTGAGGTCTTCCCCCGCCCCTTTTAAATTGCCCATTCTGCCCTATCCCTGGCACTCTAATCTCCCTTCCTGCCTTAACTTTATCCCCATGGCACCTACCAAGATGTGACTCACCATGCACTTAACTTAGTCATCTTGTTTATTGTCAACTTCCCATAGCAGAATCTCAGATCTATGAGGGCAGTGAGTTATAGCTCTTCTGTTTCCCAGTGCTACAGCAGTGCCTGCGCAGAGTAGGCATTCAATAAATAGTTGTTGAATGAATAAATGATATATTGTGAGGATATTCCAGGCCTTGCTGCCTATGTCCAAAATCCCTAATCAAAGTTGAAAGGAGGCAGACATCCAAATGGAAGTGGAAACAGTTCTCAGAAACCTAGAGAGGCATCATGAAGGAGGTGGCCTTTTCCTTGAGTCTTAGAGGGTGTCCTTAGGTAGAGCTGGGGGTGGGGGACATTCCAGGCTATGGCTGACATCCGCCAAGGCCCTGCAAAGAGGAAGCGTCAGATGATGTGCAGCACAGGGGTCCCTTAAAACAGGCCAACCCTTGTTTCAGGGAGAAAGCTTAGAAAGTGGTACAGGTGACTGTAGTGCCATGAGCTAGGTTTTTGCACAGACTGTAGGGGAGAGTGCCAGGTCAGAGGCAGCCCTGGAAAATCTCATCCCAGCCAGGCAGGCAGACCCAGAGAGGTGCAGCTAGCCTTTCCATCAGCGTGGCAGCAAGAAGGATGGCCTACACTGAGCAGATGCAGAAGTGAGCTTTCCTGCCTGCCCCTTTCTGCACTGAGCCTCAGAACCTCCAGCCCACACTGGAGCTAGAGTGAAGGCACTCAGTTGGGGTGAGTGAAGCCCTTCCTCTAGAAGAGTTACACTCAAAATGGACCCACCTCTTCCACATGGCAGGATGCTGCCCCCTCCAAGCAGGGCACAAAGGAGGCTGCCAAGAAGGCAGAGGCCTGGCCTGGCAGACCCAGCTCTGCTCAGCCCCCACAGATCTGAGCTTGACAAGGGCTGCAGGAAGAAGAAGGGCAGGGCCCTGTGAGTGCTCAGCCTGCACTGAGCCTTCACTCTGGGGTGAGATGGAGGACCCACATTCAGAACCTAGCTTTGCCGCTTAGCTGTGCTGGGCAATACCTTTGAAGTCTCTCAGCCTCACTTTCCTCATCTAGAACAACTGGACCAGGCTGGGTCAATCTGGGGTTTGGAAGTGGGATTCAGAAAAACATTCAGAAACTTGAAAACTGGGGGGCTCAGGGTGCTGTTCTGGGGAAACCTATGGAGTCCATGGACATGAAAAAGCACAGAAAGCTGGTTCACAGGGAGAGGAGGAGGACGCCTGAGGGAGACCAGGGTGCCCTCAGGGAGGCGAGGGAGGTGCAGCCTGGGTTACTGATGGCTCTTCCCAATCCACGGCTGCATTTCCAGCCCGGGGTTACCTGAGACACCCCATGTCCTTATAATGCATTCTCCTTTTTTTCTCAATTTGCTTAGAAAAGATTTCAAGTGTGTTTCCATGTGGGGTAGGGCCCACGTGCTCTTTTACAAAGGGCCCTTGCTACTCCTCTGCTAAAGAGGTGGAAACTATTTCCCCTCCACCCGTCCTGTTGCTGGTTTGCAATGAATGAAGCATCAATGACATTCTGGGCATTCCTGGTCCAGGTATCAAGAAGACCTGGCAGCTTCCACTTTTGCACTCTTGGAGGAGCCAGCTGCCATGTAAAAAGTGTCACTTCCCTGAAACCACTATGCTGTGAGGAAGCCTGAGCTAACCCACTTGGAGAGACCACATAGAGAGAGTTGTCCCTGGCTAGTCCAGCCATCCCAGCCCAGTTTCCAGACAGTAAATGAAGAACCCTTCTTGAATGTTCCAACCCCAGCAGACAACTCATGGAACTGTCCATTTGAAACTGGCCCAATTTTCCCATAGAACTGAAGCTTGAGAAACTTACATTTGTCTTATGAGTTCCTTTCTCAGGAAATCGACCATCAGGCCTCCCAGACAGGATCAAGAAACTGATACATTCCAGATCACCTTATCCAGACAATGAGAGGCCAGACCTCTCGTCTGACCATCTGTTGCCTGTTCACTAGCTCCTCTTCCTTCCCTGCTCTACAAACTCCTAACTTTGGTCAGCGAGAAAGTCAGATTTGAGACTTGTCTCCCATCTTCTGGTGGATGTCACCCATAATAAAGCCTTTCTTTCCTGGCAATACTTGGTGTCTCAGTGATTGGCTTTCTGCGCAGCAAGCAACCTAGGCTGAACCCCTGACATTCGGTAACACGTTGACAGCTGAGCTGCCCCCATTGAGCCCTCCTCAAATTGCAGAAACATGAGCAAATATCTTATTTTTTTTTTACCACTACATCTTGGGGTAGTTTGTTATGCGGCAATAAATAATTGAAGCAAGTTGTAGTCAAAAACACTATAATCCTCACTATGCACATCTATTGGGCTCCTGAGTTCAGACAGTGACAGTTCTGATAGTGAGGGACATCCAGTTAGGAGGTGAGGTGAGGGCCCCAGCCTGGTCTCTGGCTGTGCCACTCTGTCATTCTATGTGTCAGAAATGTCTTCCTCACCTGCACCCCAGCCTGCTCCCATGAACATCCCTCCTGGACTAGGTCAGTGATCTGGAACCTCACAGACAACCTGCCCAGAGCCACACCACTCTTCTCCTCCCTTACCAGTGTCTTTACTAAGCACCTAATTTATTCCACAAGCAGTTCCTCTACCAACGGCCAATATGAAAATATGCTCTACCTCATGAGTAAGCAGAGACATGCCAATTAAAGCAAGAATGAGATTCACCTTCCTGCTTATCAGATTGGCAAAATGAAGATTGAGGGTTGTTATAGACTGGGGTGGGACATATTGGGGGCCTCAGGTGCTGGGAGGCAAGCAATTTGAAGGGTGGTTTAGCAGCATTATTGAAATACAAAGTGTGCATAGCCTCCAATTCAGCAATTCCACTTCTGAGTTTACAACTTGGAGAAATATTTACATATGTTACACAAGGGGGCACATGAAAAATGTTCTCTGCAGCAGAGTTCATCACTGTGAAACTGAAAATGTACCACACCTCCACTAATAAGGGCATGTATCCTTGCTCTGGTACAAAAGGCAGCTGTTAACATAAATGGTATTTTATGCCATATTTATGCCATAACATAGGTAACATATAGATGACACACATGTGATATACAGCACAAAACTACTGGCTTGGAAAGTTCTCTAAGACACATTGCGGAGTGAAAAGAGCATCCATAAAGTATATTTGTGTAAACACCCTCACAAAAAATGGAAATACAAAAATTCAAATGTAAATGCAAAATTTTAAGTGTGGAAAGAAACTCAGGAAACTGATAAGAAGTCTTCTCAGGGGAGGCAGATGGTATTGGGAGGGCCAAGGGGGACATTTGTCTTATTTCTATTTTTTAATAATGATAATGTATTTATGTATTTCTTATGTTATTAAAAATAATTCTTGAAGTAAGTATTTATGAGTGTCCATGGAGCTTCCAAGATAGTGGGGGCAGCTGAGAAGAGTCCAGGCTGGGGAGAGAGCAAGGGCTGGAGAGCAAGACTTCGGGGGCTATAGGAGCACAGGGCTGGGAGATTACCGAGGGCTGGCGCAGTTAGGGAAGGCAGCCTGGAGGAGAACCATCCCCCCAACAAAATGCTGGTGGGAGCTGAGTAGCTGATGAGGAGGACCTGTACAAGCCTAAGCAGGGTGCTTTGCTGCTGGGGAGCTGCATAGGGAGCCTCTGGCTCAGACAGGAAATGGGATTGGGCAACCTTGGAGAGTTTGCCCTGCCCCTAGCCGCCCCCATGCTCTGATTGCTTGGGTTGCTCTGCCTGTGAAGCTAGGTAGCCAGGACCAGGACAGCAGGGATGCAGGACTTGATGGGTCACCATTGCTCACGGCTCAGGAGCGCACAAACACACACACAAACACACACACACACACACATGACTTATTCTGCCCCCAGAAAGACTTTATGCTCGTCCTCATAACATCCAACCATTTTGGCACCCATCCATCCATTGACTCCTCCAATGATGATTGAGAACTTGCTATGTGCCTACTTGCTATGGGCCTAGTGCTGTGCCTCAGCCACTAGCCCTCCTTTGGAGGCCCAGGTCACTACAGATGGAAGGACCCTAAGGATTCATCTAGTCCAAACTTCACCCATTTTATAGATAAGAACACGGCCGTGACTTACTCATAGGAAGCAGGGCCAGAACCAGGACTAGTCAGGTGTCAGGTAAATCCCCTTACTCCCTGCACCTATCCTTTCTACCTACATCTTTCCTTCAACTCTGTATCCCAGACCCACATCACACCTGCATGCAGAGAGAACTCAAAAATATTTGGTTCAACAAATGATTCAGTAAATGAATGAGTGAGTTATGAATAAGTAAAAAATAGGTAATGCTGGATTTCTCATCAGAGAGAAGAAAGAAGAAAGAGATCGTCTTCAGGGATATGAAGAGATTTCCGCCCTGCTCTTCAGGCTGAATCTTGGGTGGCACACTTGTATAGGGAGGAGAAAGGTTCTGGGCAGCTGGAGGGCATGTTTGTGCTTCAGTTCTAGATGTTCACTGGATCAGTATGTGCACATCTCTGCCTGTCAGGCCAGACCCACAGCAATGCTGGGAGACAGGAACTTAGTCCAGGGCAATAGTTCTCAAATGCCAGCTTGCATTAGAATAAACTTGAGGACTTTTAAAACACAGATTGCTGCTCCCCCACCCCCAGAACTTCTGATTCAGTGACTCTGAGGTAGGCCCTAGAGTTTGCATTTCTAGCATGTTCCCGGGTGATGCCGCTGCTGCTGATCTGGGATGGCAGAATTTCTCAATCCTGGCTGCACAGTGGAATCACCTGGATAGCCCTGACCCCAGCAGGTGCTCAGCCTGCATCCTTGACCGACTGCCTCAGAATCTCTGGAGAAGAGACCTAGACGGCAGAGCTTCTCAAACCTCACCTAAGGTGAAGGGCCAGAATTTTCTTTCATTACTGTCAATCAATGGTGGATGAATATTTCTGAGAAATACAACAAAAACAGATCTTCAGAAAAAAATGAAACAAACCATAAAGATCTACAAAATGTATGTTCACATTGTACTTATTAGATTCAGCAAACACAAAACTACTCTATCACTTGCCATAAAAGTTTCTAAACACTTACTCTCAATTTCTGTACTTCTTGAAGGCTAGTGGCCAAAATTTCACAAGTTGGCAGCATCTAGGATCATCCTCTTTTGAGTAGTCCTAGGTTAGAACTTCTGTAATCTCAGAGCCGGTCACAAGTCAAAGATGACCAACAGCTTAACCTAGCTTTCTCTGGGGGAGTAATCTCTTGCCTCTCTATCTATATCTACAGCCTCAAATCTACATGGGCATCAAATCCTCTTCCCTGTATCTATGGGGTTTGTCTTTATAAGGGCCAGAGTTGGGGGATTTTCTGAAATATTTTACAAAACACTGGCCAGGTACAGTAGCTCAAACCTGTAATCCCAACACTTTGGGAGGCCGAGGTAGGTGGATCACTTGAGGCCAGGAGTTCAAGACCAGCCTGGCCAACATGGTAAAACCCCATCTCCACTAAAAATATAAAAATTAGTCAGGCATGGTGGTTCATGCCTCTAGTCCCAGATATTTGGGTGCCTGAAGCATGAGAATCACTTGAACCTGTGAGGCGGAGGTTGCAGTGAGCCAAGATCGCATCACTGCACTCCAGCCTGAGTGACGAGCAAGATTCTGTCTCAAAAAATAAAAAGTAAAAACACTGCAATGCAGAAAATCACTGGCAGAAGGCTTGCTTAGAGAGGTACTCTTTTGTTGTAGTTAGATTCCTAGTTGGGAAGTTAGCAGTTCTGGGTTCTGGTTTTAAATCTACCACTAACTAGCTAAGATACAAATCATATTTCTCAGGGTGTCATGCATCCTCCCTGAGAACTGGGTAGAAAAGCATCTCTGGTTCCTGCAATGTCATCACCATGGTTCTAATGATTAGAAACACATATTACCCATGGGATCAGTCATCAATGACCAGGAAGAAAATCATGGTGAGAACTTCTCAGAAAGAATCCCCTGGTTGGCTGGGTGTGGTGGCTCACGCCTGTAATCCCAGCACTTTGGGAGGCCGAGGTGGACGCATCACCAGAGGTCGGGAGTTCGAGACCAGCCTGACTAACATGGAGAAACCCTGTCTCTACTAAAAATACAAAATTAGCCAGGCATGGTGGCGCATGCCTGTAGTCCCACTCAGGAGGTTGAGGCAGGAAAATCATTTGAACCTGGGAGGCAGAGGTTGCAGTGAGCCAAGATTGCGCCATTGCACTCCAGCCTGGGCAATGAGAATGAAATTCCATCTCAAAAAATAATAATTAAAAAAAAAAAAGAATTCCCTGGTTAACTAGTCACATGGCTTAGAGGTTATTAAACTGATGGCTGCTGTCCCTCCCTAGCAGTGTATGCTGGTGACTCAGCGCCAAACGTGCCAACTTGAGCTGTGATTTCTTTTCCCAAAGGCAGTATGTTGATTCTCTGACCTTTGAATCTTTTATTTGGTCACAGCCATGGATAAAGAAATGAACCTGGAGAAGCAGCGTAGCCTCTTCCCTAGAGGGACTTAAGTCCCAGCTCTGACAGGGACCAACTGTAGAAGCCTGAGCAAGCCCTTCCCCTCTCTGGGCCTCACTTTGCACATCTAAAATGAGGGGAATTAAGCTAGATGTTCTCTAAAGTTACTTGCAAAATTCTCTATTTTTGTATACAGTATTAATTTGCCAACTCTTGCTAGATTTTCATCAACAGTGCAAATATCTGTAAAAGATCAAAGTCACTTCTGGTGCCAATCATCAGGAGCAGGGTGGCCAGGGTGACCTCTTCCATCCAAGCCATATTTTGCTTTCACTCTTCCACTTGAAGCCTGTCACAGTAGCAGCTAGTCTTTGACTGAGGGTGTACGATGGGCCAGGCGCTGATTTAACCACTGGGCCTAGATTCATACATGTAGTTCCCCATGATCCAAAGAGGTAGGTACCATGAAAGGTACTATTGTCAGCTCCACTTTACAAAGGGAATTGTGAGCCAGAGAACGGAAGTCACTCACCCAAGGTCACACAGCTAGAGCACAGCAGACAGAATTCTCACCAGGCAATCTGGCTTTAGTCAATTCCTATTGAGCTCCTATTATGTGCATATAATAAAAGACACTGCAAAGAATCAATATTTGGGGACAACTGTGATGGTATTTATGCCATGTTCAAAACTAATTTCCCCTTCTTCCTGAGAAGCTGGGGGAAATTCAGGACAACTTGAATTTCCTTTGTCAATATTCTATATACCTGCCAACGAGAACATTAGCAGATTGTGCAAGGAGGCATGGTTCTCCACACAAATACTTTCTATTATTGCTGAATCAATAGCTCTGGTGCTCAGTTTGAGAGAACTATATTTCTGAAATAAAGAGAAAGAAAATTTTACTCAGAAATTCCAATTCTGCCTTCACAAACAGCCTCCCGGTAAGAGCAGTGGAGGCGCGGGTAGTTGATGGCTAGATGGGCTCTGAAATTCAGCAGGAGGACCAGGGGCGGGGGATGGGTGAGTGATACTCTCATAGCAAGCCCTGGGAAAACAAGAGAGGTATTTCTAAGGACCTGCAGGCGCTGCGTGGCCCTTCCCACAGAAGGGCACCATAGCACAGTAGTTAAGAGCATGGACTCCTGACCCAGACTGCTGGGTCAACTCCTAGATCCACTGCTTATTATTAGAGCTGTGACCTTGGGCCCATGACCTCAGCTCTCTGTGCTTCAGTTTCTTCATCCCTAAAACACAGGTAACAATATGGTTTTATATAGGGATTATATACATTTATAGGGTATATCTGAAAGGATTAGAATTATGCCTACCAGGGACCAAGGCTATGTATGCATTAGCTGTTATTAATACAGTTTCAGGTAACTCACCAAGCCCTGTATTTGGAAATGCAGAAGTCAAGGGTTTAGATGGGTGTGGGATTTAACTTTCCCATTAAATATGCTTCCTTCTAAGAATAGCATTGTGATGGCCTTCCCAGAGCGTGAAGCAATGGGAATGAGTTTCTTTCCCTTTTTTCTACCACCCAATCGTTTCCATCCTTTGATTCCCCTGGGATCCTTTGCCACAGGTTCCAGCCCCTGTGACCTCCCATCCCTCTTGCACAATCTCGCAGCCTCCAGCTCACACCCAGCCTAGGCTGTTCCCTGACTGTGGGTAAGTCAGCCTCCCAAGAATGAGGCTGGATTTTTCCTCTGCTTCTCTTCCTCCCCCCATCTCATCTTCATGGATGGGCCTGGGTCTCCTCTTCCCATATTTCCTGATCAGAGCTGGCACACAGCTGGGCCCACAGAAGAAATCAGAGTCCAGGAGTTCGAGACCAGCCTGGGCAACATAGAGAGACCCCTTATCTACCAAAAAAAAAAAAAAAAAAACCTGGGCACAGTTGGTCCCAGCTACTTGGGAGGCTGAGGTGGGAGAATTGCTTGATCCTGGGAAGTGGAGGCTGCAGTGATCTATGATTATGCCACTGCACTTCAGCCTGGGAACAAGAGCAAGACCCTGTCTCAAAAAAAAATAAAAAAAAAAAAAGAAGAAGCTGGGACTCTGACTGGAGGGGGCCATGAGAACATGAGCTCCCTGGAACACATACATGCCCATGGAGGTCACTGAACCCCCTCAGGGAGGCAGGATAGCGTGCTCACAGCAACTTGAGTTAAATCTCAAAGGACAGCTGTCACCACATGGTAAGAGATATGGATGAGGGAGGCCAAGGAGAATGCAGCCCTCACACAGTAGGAACACGGCTTTCCTCCTTTCCCCAGACGGAAGGCAGGGCAAACAGTGGCTTCGGTGTTGTTCTGTTTCACTCCTTTCTTTGGGCTTCAATTAGTTAAACATCTCCCCTTGCTTCTGGCTTATTTCTAGCCTTCAGCATTATTGATAACTTCGGTGTATCTTGGGAAGGTGGGAGGGGTGAGCCAGGAGGTGCTAGTTGCAGCTATCATACTTCCACGTCCCCTACTTCGCATTTTTTCAGGGCTTTGTCTAATTCCAGGAATAACTGAGGGCTGTGGAGAAGAGATCAGAGTGGAAGAAAGTGGATCCCACCCTTCTCTACTGACAGCCTAGCTCAGACTACTCACCGGCAGGCTATGATGATGATCAGAGTGTCTGCCTGAGAGGCCATCAGCCCCAGCCCAGGGAGTAGCCGAGCAGAGACCAGGGAACCCCTGGCAGGGAGGCTGGATCCGTAAGAACGTAAACATGACCCAGGGGCAATGTAAGGCAGCTCAGCCATGGAGACGATTCCATTTCACAGATGAGAAACTTGAGGTCCAGACGATGAATCCCTTTTCTCCAAGGGCTCACAGCCAGTAAGTCTTACAGCCAGACCGGAATCCTCCCTCCCAGTTCAGGCTCCAGGCCAAGTGAACTAGGCAGAGGACAAACCTTGCAGGCCGCTGGCTTCACTCTCACACTACCCCACCCAGCCCCACCAGCCACCAGGAGAGCACTCTGAAGTCAATGTGGCATTCGGCTCTGGTTTCCTCTGGCTCTCTCCTTTGTCCTCCCATGGCCCAAGGGGAGGACAGCTGTTCTGGACACAGGTGACTCCATTACAAAAGGCCACCTCCTCACCTTGCCAGTCTGATGCCACTGGCCGGTGGTCTTGTCCCTGCATTCAGGTGGAAATGCCCCCAAGCTGCCCAGCCACTGGGCCTGACATTTGCCCAGTGAAGGGCTGAGTCCAGGATCTGCCAATCCCGTCGACCACTCACCTTTTATTGACCTGCTGTCTCAGGCTCTTGCCCTCTGGGGAGCCCCAAGCTCAAGGCCCCACAACATCACCCTGCCGTAGAGGCAGCGTGGCCCAGAACAAGAGGAAGAGACATGTGTCATTGATTTGTCTCACTGAGCAGGCAGAAAAAGGTTGGGGAGAGGGCCAGCTAAGTGGCTGGGGAAGAAGCCTTCCTGGGGGTGGCCTTCCTGAAAATGCCAGGTCCCAGGCCTCATGGGGCCTTGGTTTCTCCACCTGTGAGATGGAAGCATGAATCGAGTGACTGTCAAGGTCCCTTCTGGCTGCAGTGTTCTCTGGATAGCAGCATCTGGACCAGGACTCAGGCCACCATCACGTCCCTGCAGAGTCTGCTGCCTGATCTCCCTGCCCCTGGGCGTGTCCCAGCCAAGCCATCCTCCACCCTATTCTTCCCACGTTCCAGCCCTTGTCACTCCCATGGTGGAAACCTCCAAAGTCTGCCTTACCCAGCCCACATGCCCCAGGCCTGCGCTCTGCCCACGGCCCTGCCTCACCCTAGTAGTCCCCCTTTTATGGACTGAATGTTTGTGTACCACTCCCCCACCCCAAAGCCAAATGATGAAATCCTAAGCCCCATTGTGATGGTCTTAGGAAATGTGACCTCTGAGAGGTGACTAGTCAGGAGGGCAGACCCTTCATGATGGGATTCTTGTCCTCATATAAAGGGACAGGAGAGCTTGCTCTGTCTCCATCCTGTAAGGCTATGAGGAGAAGATGGCCATCTGGAGGCCAGGAAGTAGTTCCACACCAGACACCACCTGCCAGCACCTTGATCTTGCACTTCCCAGCCTCCAGAACTGTGAGAAATAAAGTCCTATTTTTTATAAGCCGCTGAGTCTATGGTATTGTTCCGCAGCCCAAACTGGCTAAGACATCCCCTCAGGCACCCATCTATGACAGATGCCACCCATACAAACCACATGCTGGTCCGTGGGCCTGCCTTGTTCTCGCTCATTTGCTGTTGACACCTCCAGCCTCACCCAGCTGAGGTCCCCTCATTCCTTAAGCTGCCTTCCCTGGCCCCACTGGCGGGGTGCACGGGTTGGTGATGCTTACTCCTCCCCCCATAGGCCTTGCCTGTTTACTTATTATCTCCCCCACCAAGCTGGGGCAACCACTGTGTCTTCTCTCCCTGCCTCCTGCACTTAATAGTTGCTCAATAAATAAAATTGTGTGAAGTTCAAATCAAACACTGTCTTCTGCCTTCCGGCCCAGTGTTCTTGTAGGGGTCCAGGAAAGTCAGGCATAGGTAATGGCATCCAGAACCTGCCCACTGTGTGACCCTGCCATTGACCACTCCACGCCCCTTGCCCTGAGGCTCCCAGGGTCCTCCCTGTCCATTTGTTCACTTGACATCTAATAACCTACTTTGTTCTAAGCACCCATGGTCAGGCATCGCACAGGGTCTTGCACATAGTAGGCCTTCAGTGTTTGTTGACTTTGAAACAAAATAACAATAACGGCAACCTCTCACATTTCTAGGCAGAGTTTGTCCACACAGGTCCTCACTTGGTCCTCACAATGGCCACCCACGACAGGTATTATTTTGTTTTACAGGCAGGAGAACCGAGGGGGAAAGAGTGGAGAGAGCAAGTTAGGCATCTCGTGAGCCACAAAAGACGCTGGAGCAGGGGCAGGGACAGGCCCCGCGGGGTTGGAGCCCAGACCCTGGCACAGGCCAAGCCCTCCAGGGCAGCCTCAGCCTCCCTGCGCCAGCTGGGATCCCCTCCATGGGTTTCTGCCCAGGACAGCCCATGGCGCCTGCTCCTGGAAGGAGCCTGCACATGGGACAGGGCACAGCTGTGAAACCACAGACAGGACAGAGCCAGGCCTGATGCCACTGGGCACCGGAGCCTGCACTATTCCGGAAAACACGGGCTCCACAGCTCTTCTCGGGCACAAAGTTCAGGGCTCGTTCATGAGCAGGTAGAAGCTCCACCAGAGCTGACTTAATCTCTATTAATCAAACGTGACCTGTTTTTCTTTAGAGACCAGTGACAACAGAACTGCATCGTCACTCCTGCTCTGCCCTGGCCTTCCTGAACCAGGATTTGGGAGGCAAAAAAGAGAGTGGAATCAAAGTAACATCCCATGGAACCCATGGGGTAAAAATGAAAATTAAAACTGACCCAAATCAATGTCTGTTCTTTCAACAATGCTGTAAAATTGTGTTCTGAAATTGCATGGCAAGAGCAGAGTCTGCAGCCTGAGGCTAAATTGGTGTGACCGCAGCTAAATTAAGGAGACAGCATTAGAAACCTGGGGAATGTCACCTGGCCACAAGGTTGGGGTGGAGCCGGGAGCTCCCTCTGCGGGACCCAAGGCACCTCGTCTCCTATGGCACTGGGTCTGAGCAGTCTTAGTCACAGGCAGAGATGTGGTCTGTGTGGTGGCCCCAAATGCAGGGCAGAGGTCCGTTTCTCGACAGGTGCCGGCTTTCCTTAGACTCCTCCTTGGACTGAGAGGACCAGCTCATCCCTTCCTGCCTGGGCTGCTGCATTCGCCCACACTGACTTCTTCACTCCAGACTTGCCACCTCCAACCCAAGACTACCCTGCTGCCTGAGCAAACCTTCTAAAATGCAGACCCTCCCCTACCCCTCCCCTGCTTGGGGACACATGTGTCCCTAAGTCCTCCAGCCCTTCAAAGTCACCGTTTCCTTTCACAACTACATACAATGACCGAGCCACCCCATCCTATCAGATTTACAGAAGGTCTAGGCTCCCTGCAACAGTGCTGGCTCCCAGGCAGGTGGGTGGGGTGTCTTACATTTTCCTGGTCACTTTTTACTCTAAAGTCTACTCCTGTTCAATTCCTGAACACTTCTGTGTTGGTCAGAATTCCAGGGGTAGTGAGCAACAGAAACAAACTTTAAACATAAAGGAAGGTTTATTAGAAAGCTCCCTTACTGGAGGCAGGGGCAAGGCTAGCCTCAGGTCCAACTGGAGTTGAGGCCTTAAAGGCTACCAGGCCCTTCTTTCCTCCTCTCTTCTCTGCCCATGCTCTTGGCTTGGCTCTCAATGAAGCCGCTACACTTGGCATCTCTGGTTCTTCATGAGAAAGGAATAGGCTCTCTCTTTGGAACAAAGTTTAAAAATTCCAGCTGAGCAAGATGGCTCATACCTGTAATCCCAGCACTTTGGGAGGCCAAGATGGGAGGATCGCTTGAGCCCAGGAGTTCGAGACCAGCCTAGGTAACATAATGAGACTCTGTGTCTACAAAAACCATTTTAAAAATTAGCTGGGCATGGTGGCCCATGCCTGTAGTTCCAGCTACTCAGGAGGCTGAGGTGTGAAGATCACTTGATCCTGGAAGGTAGAGGCTATAGTGAGCCATGATCATGCCACTGTACTCCAGCCTAGGTGACAGCATAAGACCCGGTCTCAAAAAATAAAAATAAAAATCCCAGAGGAGGGCTATGATTGGGTAATTTCAGATCAGCTGTCCATTCCTGTACCAACCAACCATGGTCAGCGGGGTGAGACACTCTCATTGTCCAGCTTGGTGAATAGCATTTGGCCAATCCACAGTGGCTGGCTGCTAGCCTGATCACGTGGCTGGAAAAGAGCATGCCTGTTCTTTGCTCCCAAGGGAACAAAATCCGTTCTTAGGAGGCAGAACCATCTGATATGAGAATGGTCTGTGGCCCTCCAAAGAGGCAAGTACATGACACATATACAGTATGTCTGTGGTATTAAAATTTCATGGTAGGAGGGAAGGCAATTAGGAAAATAAATATCTAAAAAGCCTCCTTGTAAATAATAATGGGAAAAAAAAGGCTGAGCAGCGTTGGAGTAGAGGATGGAGCATTTCTCAGAAGGACAGTACCATCTTGGGACAAAACAAAGAAATGTCCAGTTCAGCTCCCGCTTCCTGCAACCTCTCACCTCTCCTAACCCTGTATCCAACATGCCCCAGCACCTCCTCCTTCACTGCTGGCACAGGCTGTTGTGTATTGTAGACTTTTCTGAAGATGAGGCATAACATTCATTGACAATTCACCACCATAGGGAAGCTCCTGGTTCATCCATGCTTGGACCTGGCCTGTGCCAGTCCGTGTCTCCTCTTCTTTTTCCTCCTCCTTTCTAGAGCCCAGCTCCTAGCCCTTCTACACTGTCTCCATCTTGGAATGCCATGCTCAATCTAGTCATTTCAATAGCTTTGCTTTACAAAGCTAGTTAGGTCTCTTTCCACACACTTCTCTTTTAGATCATGCTGAGTTTGTCTTTCATCACCAAAAAGGCCCATGAAGGCATTTTCAAAAACATAAAGCCTCCTTTCCACACTGAATCTACCCTTAGTAACACAAAGCTTATAAACGAGCAGGTTGTTATTAACCTGCTCAGATCACGTTGCTAGGCAAGGTTTATTCTACCACCAGCAGCCTCAGAAAGTGAAAGGCTGTCTAGAGGAAACCCTGCAGGCTCAAGTTTTTTGTTTTTTTATTGTCGTTGTTTGTTGTTAACACCTTCCATTTAGAGGGATCAAGTCCAGACAGACTTCTTTGACCATTTAGGCTCCCTTAGATGGGGTTCCCCAAAGGTGAGGATTCCTGTGCAGGGATGTGTAAAGAAAATGTTCCCAGGAGCGACTGGTAAGAGACGAGGCAAGGCAGGACGGAGAATGGAAAAGATCCCAGGCAGAGTCCCGGCCTCTGCCTGGTTCCACAAGGAGTTCTAGAATGTCCATTACACTTCAGAGTTCCTTCCACCTCCAGGCAAAGGAACACCAATCACTCAATGCTAAGGATGCCCTTAGGGGGTTGGGAGGATATAAATTCCTGGGTACTTTGTGCAAAAAGTGGTTCTCATTGCCCCAGGAGAGTTCTAAGAAAGTTCTAGGTTGTGAAAAGGGACCTATTTAGAAGCACAAGGAAAGCCAGGGGAATGGCACTGACATGGATTGAATCTGTGTGCCCCCACCCCCCAGATTCCCAAGTTGAAGCTTTAACCCTTGATGTGATGCTATTTGGGAGGTAATTAGGGTTTAGGGTTAGGTGAGGTCATGAGGGCAGAATCCCCATGATGGAATTAGTGCCTTTAGAAGAAGAGGAAGAGACAAGAGTCCAACATCTCTGCCATGTGAGGAAACAGCAAGAAGGTGCCACCTACAGACCCAAGAGAGGGCCCTCATCAGAACCTGACCATGCTGGCACCCTGATCTTGGATATCACCGCCTCCAGAATAGAGAGAAATCAATGTCTGTTGTTAAGGCCACCCAGGGTATGGTACTCTGCTACAGCAGCCCAAGCTAAGACAGGCACCCAGAACACCCCCCCAAGAGAGGAACCTGGGCTAAGCACCACAGTGCCTACTGCTACCCGGACCCTCCTAAAGCTGCAGAGAATCTGGCTTCCCTCCAGCTTGCCCCACCCAGCCAGGCTCCCAGCTGCATGAGACCTTGCTCCCTGCTTCTGCTCAGGAGACTTCCCCATTTGCAGTAAGGGTCTCCCATTCCTCCATCTGCTTAAACCCTTCAAGGTGCTCCTGCAGTACCTTCCCAGGAAGTGCCCTCTCACTCCCCTGAGCTGGCCCAGCACCTGTGCCATGTCCCACCTCCCATCAGTTATGGATGCCAGGTCTCATGGGTTCCCCATGCCTCTCCTTCCCATGTCCCTGCACACTCTGAGGCTGGCCTCTGCTCTTGGTGCCTGCTATTAGGCTGGCCCCTGGAGACCTACAGCTGAAGGCTGCTGAAGGGAACTGTCCCAGCCATCTTTCAGAGTCTGCCCAGCTCTCAAAGTCCTTCCCAGCTTATGATGTTTTGTAGGAGGTATCCACCTTCTACAAGGAGCCCTCTCTGACCAAGCCCATCTGGCTGGGTCCGGGAAAGCCAAATCCTGCCCCAGGACTTGGGATAGGGTTTTCACCCTGCCACCTTCAAATAAATGAGGAATCCGATCAATTCTTCCTCCATTTTTCCTATAAAGATTTCCCTGTACCACTGAGACTAAGCTCTGTACAAAATAGGAGGGAAGGGAGAAGAAAAAACAAGGAGAGGAAGGTTGGGGCACATCCACATTCATCCTTATCCTCCCAGAGCTTGGAGAACAGTCCACACCAGCGAGGCAGAGCTTCAGACTCAGACCTGTGAGATTTCACAGGAGAGGGAGGTGGGACCTGGAACAGCCAGGAAGGCTGCCTGGAGGAAGGGGCTGAGGGTGGGGAGGAAGCACTCAAGGACAGAAAAGTGTCCCATGTCTTAGATAGGGAGACCGGAAGGAGCACAGAGTGTCTGAGTTACTTAAATCGGGACTGAGTTTTCCAAGGTCTCTCTCCACCATGCCTGCATCTCCAGGAGAAAGTTTGGTGCCCCACTAATCACATTCCTCACATGCTTTCCCCTCAGATCCTAACAACAAGCAAGGTGCAACTGTGGCTTAAGCTTTTAAACCCCCTGCACCAGGCCCACCTGTCAGGAACAGCTCCTAAGGAGGCTTCTGAGGCTCTGGAAGAACAGACCTCACCTCATGAGCCCTGACCCAGCCCCAGGTTGAACCTGTCCCCGCCAAGAACAGCACTGCTCAGCCACCTGATATCAGGATCCCTAACCATTTCCTGAAATGGAACCTGGGCCCCATACAGACAGACACCTGGGCCCCATCCCAAGCTACTTCATTGGAATCTCTGGGTGAGCCCTGCCATGGCTGTATTTGCTGTCGGTTGGGTTTTTTTTTTTTTTTTTTGAAAGCATTTTATTTTGATAGAATTTCAAACGTACAGAAAAGTTGGAAGAATGATCCAAAGCATATCCATATACCCCTTTTCCAGATTTACCAACAATTTACATTTTGCCCCATCTGCTCTCTTGTTCTATCTATGTATCTATCTGAGTTTATTTCTGAACCATTTGAAAGTATGTTGGAAACATGGTGCCCCTTTAATCCTAAATGTGTATTTTCCAAGAATGAGAACATTCTCTTACCTACCCACAGTACAGTATCAGAATCAGCAGATGTAGCATTGATACAGTACTATCTAACCCAGCATCCACACTCCCATCTCAGTCATCCCAGTAGGCATTAGCACCTGTTAAAAGCTCCTCAGATAGGTGTTAGGCAGTGCTGGTTCAGCTGAGACCCAGGGCAGCCCAACCCTGTGCTGAAGCAGGGACCACAGCCTAGGCCCCTCCTGCCTGTCTCAATTCCTCTCTCCCACCTGGGGAGCTACAGCCCCGGGCAATGCTGGCAGCCGATAGAAGGCATTAACCCCTTCTCTGCAGGCTGGATGGAGAGCATAGCCCCTTGGCTGGCTGGGTAGCAGCAGCTGTCTGGGACCAGCTATAAATAACCTGGAGGCTGTGGGCTGTGGGGCGGGGTCACCACTGCCCTGTGGAAGAAGTGGGTGGAGAATACCTCCTCATGCCCAAGGCCTTACCTTGGCCTCCCCTCCAGGGCCGGGTGGGGTGGGGCTGGCCAGGGTGTGACCACCGTGCTGGGCAGCAGGCTCCAGTCCCTAACCCCCAGCCACTACTGGCATGAGGGGTCCCTCAGGGCCCCCAGGCCTCCTCTACGTCCCACACCTCCTCCTCTGCCTGCTCTGCCTCCTCCCACCGCCGCTCCAATACGTAAGTGCAGGGAGTGGGAGTCCACGAGGTGGGGCGCCAGGAGCACGGAGCTCCCAGCTCTCATGACTAGGGGCGGGGGTCTCAGGGCCTGGTGGCTGGGCTGGATCGGGGATCCTTGTGTCTGATGATGAATTGGAGATCCCGTGCCTGGGTGAGGGGGTCTCAGGGCCTGGTGGCTGGGCTGGATCGGGGATCCTTGTGTCTGATGATGAATTGGAGATCCCGTGCCTGGGTGAGGGGGCAGGGGAAGGGAAGATGAAACTGTGAGGCTGGCCAGGATGAGACTGGGAGACCCCTGTGGATAAGCAGAGGGTTCTGGGGTGACATCCTAGCATCCAGAACTTGACTACCTCAGGGTCCAAGATTCCCTGTCTCCTATCCATTCTCTCCCCACCCCCATGACCCCCCTCCATCTCTCCTGCAAGATCCTTGACTTCTTTCCCCAGCCCACCCCTAGTTCTGACCCTTACCCCCAGGGACCCGCAGAGAGCCACCTCCTGCCCCTGCTGCCTTGTCTCCATCCTTCCTCTCAGTGCCTGGAATCAGGCAGCCCCCAGTACCAGATGAGCGATGGGGACAGAGTGGGCTCTGGGAGAACCAGCCTCTCCAAGGGTTTCTCAAGACTCAGAGCTTCATCCAGCCACACCCCGTGCCTTTGTCCAGAGTCAGGGGCCACCGATGGAAGGTGGGGAGAAGGGACACAGAGCGACCATCAAAAGAGAGCTGAAGAAGTAGGGGAGAGGCTGGTGGGAGTGGTCCACCTCCAGCCTTCTCCCCATTTTACAGATGGGGAAACTGAGGCTCAGAGTGGTAGGGTGACCTGTCCTAGGCCTCACAATCTGGAAAGTAGTGCCTGTGGAAGCTAAGAGGCTTGTCGCTGTCCTGACTCTGCCACAGACCAGCTTTGGGGACCATTCTCTGGGGCTTAGTGTCCCTATACGTATAAGGAGGATAATACATTCAACAGTAATTCAACAGATAATTGCCTACAAAACCAATCCAGATCCCTGCTTTGCTGCTTAATGTGTGACCTTGGACAGGTTACTCAAATCCTCAGTTTCCTCATCAGTAAAATGAGGATCACAACGGTGCTTACTGAACAAGCTTGTTGTGAGGAACATTGAGGTAATACAAGTAAAGCAAGCAGCATCATGCTTGGTGTGGTGTGAGCACGCAGTGAATGCCAGCTATGCTTTTGTGCCAGCCGCCACAGATACAGCATGAGGACATGAGGGTCCCTGCCTTCCTGGGGGCCTGGCCAGGTGGAGGAGAGAGGTGGGAGGCAGGTAGTATGCTGAGCTGTGGTCAGTGTCCGATAGGCAGATGGCCCCCAGACCTGCTGAGTCCTTTGAGTGACTTTGCAGACTGCAATTGGGATGGGTGAAGGTTGTACAGGGGGCTCACCATCCACCCCTCTGCCCCCAAGACATCTTGGGCTTTGAGCTCTCTTGCCCTCTCCCACTTGTTTTCCAGATAGGTGCCTTCCAGGAGATCCAAGTGTTGGGGCAAGGGTTGCCCCTCAGCCCGTCCCTCTGGGGTCCATGCTGCCAGCCGCCCAAGCTGGTTAGACGGAGGAAGCTTCTGCTGGCTGCTCCAGAGGTGCCCTAGGATTCTCAGGGCAACACTGTGGTCTCAGCGTCCCTTGAGGTCATCCCAGGCCCTGCGCCTAGCTCTCCTGCGGATCCCGGAGTGGGATAGAGACCAGTTACTTACCCACAGCCACTCAGCATGTAAGCAGCTGGAGAGCACTTAAACCTCGGCCTTTCTGACGCCAAAGCCCAGCCTTCCTCTCACGGGGCCTTCATGGCAATGGGACTTTTTCCCGGGTCCTGAGACGATGAGACCTGGAGCAGGCAGTCGGGAGGGAAGGCAGCCCAGGAGAGCCCAGCCTTGGAGGCTTCTCAGTTATTCATCCAGTGTTTAAGGAGGACTGCCCATGGGGAGGATCCAGGGTCTGAACGCTCATCTGGTTCCTGTTCTTGTGGTGTTTATAGCCCAGAAGCGGGTGTGGCAGGAAAGAAAGGAGTCTGTGTTTACAAGTTCCAGTAAATGGGCTCAGAAGAAGCATGTGTAGGTGTGAGGGCCCTTGACAGGATGGGGGAGCCTGGTGGGAGGTGGGCAGCATAGCAGAGTTGGAGATGGGTAGTCCAAGGGAAGGGATAGGGGAGCAGGTTGGGGGTAAGGCCCCAGGGCCCCAACCCTGAAAAGACATTATGTGGGAGACTGCAGAGCTGTATGGGTCCTGGTGGGATCTGAGGACATGGGGAGCTCTCTGAGCAGGGGAGGTGCCTGGTCTGATCTGCAATTGTAAGGGTTCCAGCTGGTGCTTTTGAGTGAAGAGGATGCCCTGGCCCAGGGCACACTGAGAGCCTGGAGGAACCCACCCAGCCTTGACCCTGGTGCTCCCTATTCCCCGTGGAGGCCTTCGGGAAGCTGGTCCGGAGGCAGGTGGTAATCTAGCAGCTGTTAAGTGGTGTTAGGCGCCTTACTCAAACACCGGGAAGGTGGGACCACTTATTTACAGACAGGAAACAAGTTTAAAGAGGCTCAGCAATGCCACTTGCCTCCCACTCTGTGAAGATCACAGGAGCCTCTCAGCCCCTGCTGACTAAGTCCAGCTCCTTGGAGCTTTGGACAGCGAGACACCCCCCAGGGTCTCAGGATGGTGCCTCTGTGACCTCTTGCCCCAGGTCCTGGCTTCTGGTGGGCCCATCTGCCCCAAGAAGGCTCAACAAAGAGAACAGAACACAGAGAAGTCCCTGGCAGTCCCTGGACCCTCCCTGACCTGTCCGGCTCACACCAAAGACCGAGTCCACAGTGTCCCCTAACATACACACACTGAGGGTCTGCAGAGCCGGGGCTCCAGGGCCATTTGCCAGCAGCTAATGCATTGAATGACTTTTCCCAAAAATTCAACTCCCTTCTGAGCGTTTTCTAGCCTCACTAGCTAATTTAGTCTCTAGTTTTGCCATTTTGTTGGTGTTTCAGTATTTTTTTTTTAAATCTGTCTGAGGGCAATGGCTACTTAATTCTGTATTCCTCCTAAATCTCAAATTTGCAGCACTTTAAGAATTATGGGACTACTCTTTATCTTCTTAGCTGTCATATTCTACTTCATTTAATTTAAACCATTTTATCTACAGCTAGTTTATCTACAGTCACTTCTTCCAAAATTCTAACTTTTTAAATTTTAATTTTAATTATTTTATTTTATTTTTTTGAGATGGAGTCTCACTCTGTTGCCCAGGCTGGAGTGCAGTGGCACAATCTCGGCTCACTGCAACCTCTGCCTCCTGGGTTCAAGCGATTCTCCTGCCTCAGCCTCCTGAGTAGCCAGGACTATAGGCGCCTGCCAACATACCCAGCTAATTTTTTTTTGTACTTTTAGTAGAGATTGGGTTTCACCATGTTGGCCAGGATGGTCTCGATCTCCTGACCTCATGATCCACCCACCTCGGCCTCCCAAAGTGCTGGGATTACAGGTGTGAACCACCGCGCCTGGCCTTAATTTTTATTTTTAATTTTTGTGGGTACATAGTAGGTATATATATTTGTGGGATACATGAGATATTTTGATACAGGCATGCAATGTGTAGAAAATCACATCATGTAAAATGGGGTATCCATCCCCTCAAGAATTTATCCTTTGTGTTACAGACAATCTAATTATACTTTTAGTTATTTTTAAATGTACAATTAAATTATTGACTACAGTCACCCTGTTGTACTATGAAATACTACGTCGTATTCATTCTATTTTTTTTTGGTACCTGTTAGCCCATCCCCTACTACCCTTCCCAGCCTCCGGTAACCATTCTTCCACTCTCTATCTCCATGCGATTGTTTTGAATTTTAAATCCCACAAGTAAGTGATAACATGCGATGTTTGTCTTTCTCAACATTCTAATTTTTAGTCATTGCAAACCCATGGGGGACAGATTATTCAATAAGCTTATTTTATTTTACTTAGCAGCCCTACAGGGCCTATCATGGGCACTGATGCACCTCACCTATTTTTACCTTCATACCAACGCCCTGAGTTAAAACCATCCTCTCCCCATTTTGCAGATGAGGAAGTGAGGTGAGCTCACGTGCCCAGGGCCGCTCAGCTGGTATGTGGCAGGACCAGGATTCCGGCCCACAGCCTGACTCCAGATTCCTTTCCTTTAACAAAATTTTAATTTTAATGTTATTTAATTTTAATGTCAAGTTATTTTTAGGACATTCGGACAGACTCCAAAACAAATCAGAAGAGATGTGACTTTTATGCAAACTGGACATTAGATGTGTTGATAATTAAGGAGATAGCTTTAGGCCAAGTGGCCTGCTACGGGACCTCCTGCTGGCCAGTTCCTGCCCCTATGTTGGGCCAAGTCACCTCTCCCTCCCCTCCCCTTCCCCCTCCTACTCCAGTCAGTGTTCAGGGCCCAGGGCTCGGCACAGGTGAGACAAGCAGGACTGAGGGGAGAGGGATTCATGGGCGTTCAGAGAGAAGAGAGAACAGCAGAATGAGGAGAGGCCTAAAGCCTCCCGGGGGAGCTGGAGGGGAACTGGGAAGGAAGAGTGGGGCATCCTAGGAAGACGAACTTGGCCGAGCACAGACTCAGGAACAAGAAAGCCGCTGGGAGCTGCCCAGGAGGCCAAGGGGATTCTCACTCAACATCCAACACCCTACAAGTTAGAACTGAGTATCTAAAGTCTCCTCTTCCAAGGAGCCTGCCTGAACACACCAGAAAACAATGACCCACTTCCCTCATCTGACACCCCACCCCTCGCCCGCCCCTCGGCCAGTCTCAGCTCCCATTTCTGCCCCCTATGTCTGTGCAGGGCCTGACTGCCTCGTCCTCCCCCTCCTTCCTCATGTCCACCTTCCTCCCCTCTTCCCCCTCCTCCCCGTTCCTGTATCCTTCCTTCCTCCCCCACCTCCTCCCCTTTCTCTTCCCAGTCTCCTCCACCTCCTTCCCCCATACTCCTCTTCCTCCCCTTCCTTCCTTCTCTCCTCCCCATTCTCCCCCTCTCCCTTTTCTGACCCCTTCTTCTCTCCTCATCATCCCCTCTCCTCCCTGCTCCTCCTTCCTCCTTTCTTCCCTTCCCTTTTCCTACTCCTCTGCACTCCTCCTCCCCTCTTTTCCAGTCTTCTCCTCCAAGCCTTCTCCTTCTCTTCCCTCTCCTCTTGCTCCTTCCTCTAACTCTGTGCTCCCTAAGGGGCAGGGCCTGAGCTCAGGCTCAATGAAATCCACTGAATGAAAGCAAACATGGGGTGGAATGCTGCCCCTCCCAGCTGAGTCCTTCTCTGACCTTGGGAAGCAGAGGGAGAAAGCAGGGAGGGAGCTCACCCCATTCCCCTCCGGTCCCTGGCAGCCTGGGCCCAGGACACATGGTCCTGTAAATCTCCCCAGCTTATACCATGGGCTAAATTTAGACAGAAGCTTTGTCGCCAGGCCCTGGAGGGAACACTAGACTGGGCCAGACCCCCAGGTTCCAGGGAGGCGATACCTTTGAGGCCTGTCGGGGCCCCGGGCACAGGTTCTGTTTGGATAGGACCCAAGGTGGAAGAAGAGCAGCTGGAGTCTTGGCTCTCATTCCTGCATCCTTCCCCAGCCAGGGCCTCTCCTTTGCCTCTTCTAAGGTGAGGGCCTCCCATGCCAGGCACTGAGAGGCGGGAACCAGGACCTGGGCCCTCACACAGGCTAGGCTCAGAGCAAAGTTCAGAGAGAAGGAAATATAACAAGCAGGAAAAGCCCACAACCTGGTCTCCCGGGATTAGGGGTGGGGATGTAGCTCTACCTGGCTGAGGGGGCCATGGTTTCATTAATCCATCCAAGCAGTCAGTCAGTTGACAAACATTTATTGAGCACCTGCTGTGTGCCAGGCTCTGAACTGGGGACTGGGGACACAGATGTGGACCCTGTGCTCCCACAGCCTACAGTCAGTCTCATGGGCTGGGGTGTGCATGGTGGAGAGCTCTCTGCCCTAGAACAGCCAAGAGCTAATCAGCACAGGTGTCCAAGACGTTCCCCTCAGAAGAAAGAAAAATGGAAACAGGAAAACATTCCATTTCTTCTCTACACTCTTACACACCTCTGACACCAAAAGTGTGGATTTTCTGCCCCAAGCAATTCTCCACTTCTCTGGGGACCCCAACTGGGTGTCCTCCAATTCAATTCAATTCTGATGCTATCTTCCTGGAGTTGGCATCAGCCTCCACAGGTAAAGCCTCAGTCCCACAAGACTGCCCCCAATTCAGATGCCAGTCGCAAGACAGGGCTTCTCATTCTCCCAACCGACAGGCTATATAAATCAAGAGTTCCCATGACCCTCTCTTTGGGTTCAATAGTGTGCTATAACATTTTGCAAAACTCAAGGAAACATTTCTATTTACAGGTTTATTTTAAAGTCTATCACAAAGGATATAGCTGAACAGCCAGATGGAGAGGCACACAGGCCAAGCTGTGGGGAGGGCGCAGAGCACCGTGCCCTCACTGGATGCCACCCTCCCCGCACCACCAGGTGGTCACCAACCAGAAGCCCCCAATCCCACCTTTGAGGGGTTTCACGGAGGCTCCATTACAGAGGCATATTAACCCAATCTCCAGCCCGTCTCCCTTCCCCAAGGTGTAGGAAGGTGCTGAAAGCTCCAACCTTCTAACCATGGCTTGGTCTCTCTGGTAACCAGCTGCATTTGGCAGCCCACCAAGAGTCACCTCATTAGAACTAACGACACTCCTGTCACCCAGGAAATTCCAAAGGTTTTAGGGATTCTGTGTCAGGAACTGGGGGCTAAGACCTAATATTTATAATTCCTCATCTCTCTTGTGCAAGGTCCTGCCCACTGGCTGGGTCTGCCTCCCGTGACCCAGGTGTCTGCCTCCAAGGCCCCTGTTCCTCTGTGGCAAGAGAGGGGCTTCTCACCTGAGCGGCCTCCTGAGCCCCACAGCCACCCAGTCTGGGGCTGGGGCCCTCTCAGCATCCGTGACCCACAGGTCTTCACTTCCTCACCCAGGATCAGCTCTTCCCATGGGAACCTGACCAAGCCATAACCTACCAACTGACTGGGCTTGAATCTTGCCTCTGCCCCTTACCTGAAGTGGGACCTTTGGTGGGTGACTTCGCTTCCCTGGGCCTCAGCAGCCTCATCTGTGAAATGGGGTTATTTGCAGCTACCTCAGAGACTGCCGTGAGGATTCAATCCGCTGTCTTCTGTAGGGCATTTAGAGGCAGGTCTAGCACTAGAGTAAGTGCTGACTTCACGTGAAAGAAGCCTCCCCTTCCTGCCTGTCTCCCCTCTTCTTCTCTTGGCACCTCCATACCAGATGGTGCAGTTTCCTGTGTGGGCCCTGGGCTCGCCTGCCTCTGAGGGTTTGCTTTCTCAGCTTCTACCTGGGTCACTTTCTCCTCTTCTTACTGCTGTTCCTATGGCCCAAGTCCTTCCATCCTTTTAGATTCCGCTCCAATGTCCAGTTCGCCGAACGGCCTTCGGTTTCCTCAATGAGCATTCACTGAGCACCGCTGAGGGGCGAGCTCAGTGAGGGAGATGGAGGCTGCACCTTCAGGGGCCCATTGTCCGAGGGAAAGCTGCTGAGGGCAAACGGAGTCCCACACTGACTGGAGAGCTGGGGAAGGGGGGCACAGGGTTTCCAGGAAGCTTTTCTGGGCAGGAAGAGCTTGAGCTGGGCCTTGGGAGTCCCGATGAGGGGACTCGACCTCCCATCACTGAGCTCTCTAACTAGCCCCCTCCTAAAGTCCTTGCCAAGAGTCACCATTCAGCGTGCGCATTCTACGTGCCAGGCTCTTGACCTACAGTAATTTGTTGAATGCACACAAAATCCTGTGGGATTTGTATTATCCCCATTTTAAAGATGAGGAGATCAAGGCTCAGAGAACTTAAGTGGCTTGCCAAGGCCACACAGCTAAGCCCAGCATCCCCAGAACTCTGCACACTGGGATGTGTGCACTCTACCCACTCTGACAGCTCTTCTCAAGTCCTTGGAATGGGATTATCCAAGATATGTCTGTCCCTGACTTTCCTGGACCATGTGTTTTCTGAGGACAGCAGCCTCTCTTTCCTCCTCCTCCCTGCCCACCCATCACCACCACCACTAGGGGCTCTGCCCAAAATTGACACCTGCATGGTAGATTACGACTTCGGACTGAGTCAAATCCACCCAAACAAGCCCCTTGAAGAGAATGAGTATCTTTGGCTGTGTCAGCTTTTGGGGCCAGCAGAGAAGTTATAGGAGATGAAGCCAGGATCTGGGATTACTCCAAAAATTACTTCTGATATGCCTGTACCAAATTTTGCCCAGACCCAAAGAGCAAGCATCAGTTGCAGAGTATGGTAACCCTGTGCCCACTCCCCACAAAGTGCTTGCTCAGCCAGAAGATGGCCACAGCCTGAGACCACAGAATCCAAGGCAAGGACCATCCCACATTGCCTGAGTCCTGGGGGAGGATGCCCTGACCCCATCATGGGTTCAAAGCATGTGTCAGAAACCCCGGTAAAGTCAAACAGGAGATCACCTCAGTGATGGGGCTACAAATGTCACAGCTCAGGGGCTTTGAGAGAAGGCACTAACATCTGAGATGGAATGGCTGCATCTGCCTAAGGGCGCACCGTGGACACTGCATGCCTCTGGGTTGCCCGTACCCTGACCTCCAGAGGCTGGGATTCACTGGGAACCCTCCCACAGAGGGCATTACTAGCTGCTTCTCAAACAAGGGCGATGGGCGCCATAAAGAGGGTGATGGGTCAGACCTAGAGCCCTCACTGTCCCCAGACCCAGCCAAAAGTATGGCCTGAGAATTCTTCCTGGAAGGTCTCAGTGTCTGGAGTGTTCCCTCCCCTCCCCAGCCCCCCAACCCCTGGCAGTGGCTCACGGGGTCAGCAAGGTCTTCCTGATGCCCGAGAAGCTGGAGCTGAGGAACTCTCAGCAGCTCCCTTGATATGTGGACAGCAAGACCATGGCCCCCAGTGTTTGTCCTGCAGGCCAAGAGGCCAGAACTCCTGGCTGACAGCTCAGGAGGCCCCCACAGTGCCGAGACACACACACAACACACACACCTGCTCCCCTGCATTTCCCTCTCTACCTCACTTCGTGGGGTGGGAGTTTGGCAGAACACAGGTGCAGTGAGTGCCTCCAAGTGGTGTCTGCCTCACCCTAGGCTTCCGGGAGGGGTGCAGGGGGCAGCACTCTCCTGTCTGAGCAGGTGGGGTCATTCATTAGAAGCTCCAGGCTGACGTGGTGAGGGCTGAGCATGCAGCTTCCAGTCCCAGCACAGGAAATGGACTGAGCCCAATGTGGAGAACGTGATGTTTGAGGGCTTTTGGGCTCTGGCCCCTGGGGACATCCTGGGGCAAACATTGACCCAGCTGCCAGGAAGAGTACATCTGACAGGCAGCAGGAAGAGAAGGGGCTGCACACTGATGGAGCAGTGTCTTCTGGAATCCCAGAATCAGGAATCTCAGGGTTGGGAGGGGCACAAAAGTCACACACGTGTGTGCATGTACTCACACACACACACGCTGACCATAGAGCAAGAAAAGGAGTGGTCTTGGGAGGAATGGGGCCAAGCGTTAGAATTTAGAGTGAATTGCTCTCGTTCAGTCATACACCATGCATTTTCCAGCCTCTCTGCCTTTGCACATGCTGTGCTCTCTAACTAGAATGCCCTTCCTGGCCTGATCAGCTTGGCAAGCTCCTACTCACCCTTCAAAACCCACATTAGCATGACCTCTTCTGTGATGCTACCCCTGCCCTCCTCAGTAAATCGTACATGCCGTAAAACTGTACATCCTATCCATCTTTCCCACCAGAAGATGGTCCCTTCACGGGTGCACATGCCCACATCTACTTTATCCGTGCACATCCAGCACCCACTCTGATGATTTTTTAGGAGACGGGATCCTGGGTGCTTTTCTATCTTTTGGATGGAATTGCCATTATTGCAACAATCACATATCTTCCCTAGTGAGTGCCTAAGCTGGCCCTATGGTCCCTTCTTTTGTCCCTACTCATCTTTCTGGGTGCCCCAAAATGCTACCTCTCCCAATAAGCCTTCCCTGTCTTCCTGAATCCAGGTTAGGCACTTCTCTCACGTATTAACCTAATGCTCTTCGTTGCAAGTGCCTGCTTACCTGTGTGACAGGGAAACAAAGTTAAATCATGCATTTGCCTCCTCTTCCTTCTGCACTTTCTAAGTCTAGAGGATCCCTACCTGGCCTGGGACTACCTGAAGGACACCCATCAGTTCCCCCAGCCAGGGCCTGACACACAGTAGGTGTTCTGCAAATATTTGTTGGTTGAATGAACAACTAATGGAACCCACCCCCCACCCAGCTTTGCTGACAGAAGGACACAAGCCCCATGACAGTGACACATCCCAGCCTGAGGAGGAGACAGCCTTGGGGGCTGAGGGATGGACAGAGCAGACCCCTGCCTAGGAGGCAACACTGCATTGGGCCACTTCTGAGGCCTTTCTTCGGTCCAGCCCAGGCCAGACTGCTGCTGCTCCATGTGGCCATGGGCATCTCCCTCCTTGTTCTCCCTCTCTGTACTAAGAGGAGTAAGGGATGAGTGATAGGATAGGATGGGGGCAGACAGGCACTGTCAATGGCTAGCCTGGGCCTGATCTTTGACCCTCATCCTTGCTGTCCCCTAGGCAGCCGGGCAGAGCCAGATGCCCAAAGACCAGCCCCTGTGGGCACTTCTGGAGCAGTACTGCCACACCATCATGACCCTCACCAACCTCTCAGGTAGGTACCCTCTGCCACCACCCTGCAGCAGCCCCTGGAGATGTGGGTGGGCCCTGCGGGAGGAAGAGGCTTTCCTGGGGCCAGCCCAGGCTCAGCAGGGTGGTGGGTGGGGTGCTGGTTTCCAGTCCTGGTTTGATTTCTGCCTTGCTGAGGGCCCTTACGCAGGCCCTTCCCCATTCTAGGCTCAGGCTTGCCACTGATAATGAAGGGCTTGGCTGGGAGGCCACTCCCCATTCCCAGCTCCCACGATGGAAGTCAGCTGGGCTGGCATTCAGGAGTCCAAGAAGGGGATGACCCCTCAGCTTTCCAACTCCAGGGAAACTGGCAGAAGGTGGTAAACATTCTCTGGTTGCCGTGGCTACAGGTGTGACTTCCTGGTAAGGACTTGCAAAGCAGCAGCCCGGCCCTGAGTTCTGGCCCCTCAGAGGTTTCCAGTGGCTGATTCACAGGGTCAGGGCCAGCCACTGCAGAGCTGCACAGAGCCCTGGATTCTGCTGGGTTCCAGAGAGATGTCTCCAGTGTCCCACCCTGTATCCTGGCCTTCCCAGGTCTGCATCCACAGGATGGGAGTGGGGGTGACCCTTGCTCGGGCCTGGGGCCACTGCCAGGGCACAAGGAGACAAGGGTGCTGGCCAGCACCCAGACCCAGCCTACAGGCACTGCCCAAGCCAGGCGTCAAAGAGAAAGTCTTGCTGCCTGTTCTCCTTCCACTGGGGCAGTCAATAGCTCCGGTGTTGGGATCAGGTAGATCCAAGTCTGGATCCTAGCTCTTCCACCCAGCGGCCTCGCCCAGCCCCTGGAAACTCACCTAACCCATCTGTATTAGTGTCCTGGGGCCACTGGAACAAAGCACCACAGACTGGGGGCTTGAGCAGAAGCTGATTTCATCACCATTCTGGAGGCTGGTAGGCCAAGATCAAGCTGTGGGCAGGGTTGGTTCCTCCTGAGGCCTCCCTACTTGGCTTGCAGATGGCCATCTTTCTCCCTATGTCTTCATATGGTCTCTCCTCTGCATGTCTGTGTCCCAATCTCTTCTTCTTCTAAGAACACCAGTCCTATTGGATTAAAGCCCGCTTACCTTACTTTACTTTAATCACCTCATCGAAGACCCTAAATCCAAACAAGGCCACATTCTGAGGTACTGGGAGTTAGGACTTCAACATACAAATTTTGGAGCAACACAGTTCAGCCTGTGACACCATCTGAAGCTAGTTTCCTCATCTGTTTAGCAATGGATCTAAGTCCACCTCGGAGGCTCACAGTGAAGGCTGAATGAGAGCCCACGGGGACACCTAGCACAGGCCATGCCAGCATCAGACAGGAAATGGAGGCCCCTCCCTTCAGGAAAGCCCAACCTTCCCTCACCCTCAGAGGCAGCGTGGGTTTGTCAGCAGACCCATAGCCTTCTCCCTGCCTTCCTCTGCCCTCCCTCCAGCAGGTGGCACAGACCCTTCCCTGTCTCCCTTGGCGGATGGTCCCCGCTCTGAGTGCAGCGGATAGGGTCCCAGCTTCTCCAAACATACAGCCTTGCCTGTTCAGCTTCTAACAGCATTCATCCATTTGCAAAAGGGATCCACATGATTTCTATAAAATTGGGCACAAAAAAATTTAACTCAAAGGAGAAGATGATAAGTACTCATTCTCCCACAACCCAGGAATTTTTATAATGCCTCATATCCCTCAAGAATTTATGCATTCATAGAGCCTCATGTTCAATTGTTTTTTTATTTTCTTTTTCTTTTCTTTTTTTTTTAATGGGATAATAGTGTGTCCATAGTTTCGTCGCCTGCTTTTTCCTCTTATAACTCAGAGTGAACATTTCCCCATGTCATTAAATATTCAACCACCGCATCGCTTGTGACGCTGCCTAGCAGCCACTCTGGGGATGCATCACCCCACATGAACCATGACCGGATGGTGGATGTAGAGGCTGCTAGGGAGCCCCTCGAGCTTCAGGAATCATTTCTCAAGTCCCCAAATTGATAATGACCTTCTTTTCAGTGTCCACTGCTTGGGGAAATGCATCATGTCTAACGCAGAGTTCAAAACCAAGTAAAACCAAACACTATATCTTTTAGATGTACATACCTGTGAGAAAACTGAAAAAAAATATGAGCCAGAGAATGACAAATGCAATAGTCAAGGGAATGTTCCCTCTGGGGAAGGAGAATAGAAATAAATAGATAAGTGACTGGTAATGATGTAGTTTCCAATTGGGTGGTAGGCTTATTATATTGTCTACTACATACAATAAAAAGACTAAATAAAATAAAGACTAAAAAATAAAGTTAAGCCATGCATGGGCTAATGCACAGACTAATAATGACAAAGGGTCACGAATCTATGATCAATTCAATTGTATGCCCCTGAAAAAGGCAACGCATGCAAAATCACAGAGCAATTATGACTTCAGGCAGGGTTTAAATAGATTATTTCTATTTTATTCATCACAGAGGCAGCTACATATATTTGAAAAATATTAGGGCATATATTATGAGGCATATTATTTATCCTATCCATAGATGATATAAAAATCCAAATGGACTATTTATTTATTTTTTATTATTTTTTGTAGGCTGGTCTTGAATTCCTGTGCTCAAGCAATCTGCCTACCTTGGCTTCCCCAAGTGCTGAGATTATGGGTGTGAGCCACTGCACCTGGCCAAGAATCCGAATGGATTCAAAGATACCTTGAAATAATTCCTCAATGCAACACACACACATATGCCAGGGTTGGTCAAATGGGAAGAGAGCCTTGGCCTGAAGACAGGGACCTGGGCTTTCCTCAGCTCTTCTGCCAAGGTATCTGTCCTTTCTTAGTGACTCACTGGGCTGAAGTCTAGAGCATTCCAATGGGTGCTGGGGATGGGTTAGTGAACCAGGACCAGCCCTGCCCTTGGGGAGGCATGGGCTGGTAGATGAGACAATGAATAAAAAGCAACCTGGATGTGACATAGGCCAGCACCCAGCAGATGGGGTCACCAAGGAGCTGCATGTCTGAAGGATGAGTGTGGAGCTGTAAGGCCATTTCCAGTGCAGAAATACAAACAAGGAACAGAGATAGCGAATGGTTTCTGGTAGTGACACATTGTTCTGGAGGGCCTTTCAAATGAAGCAGGAGGGTGAGGATGGGGGACGATGATCATGAAGAACCTTCTTTGCAATACCAAAGATGGTTCCCAGGAATGACATGTTGTTCTGGAGGGCCTTTCAAATGGAGCAGAAGGGTGAGGATGAGGGATAGATGATTACGAAGGACCTTCTTTGCAATACCAAAGAGGTGGTCTCCATCTCAAGGGCAATGGGTTGGCGGCACTCCTATGAGGAAGAGTGACAGGATCGTAATTATAAAACATCGTTTTATCTGCCATGAGGAGACAGGGAGCCCATTTGGGCTGCTGCAGAGATGAGGATGGCCTGGGAGAAGTAAGGGAGGGAAACCTCTTTTGCTTGTCTGGGAATCCTATTGTCCATCTGTAAAACAAGAATGTGGGATTGGATGTCACTGAGAGTCCTTTCTGTCCCCACAGCTTAGTCCCATGGTTTGACATGAAGACACCAGGCCAATTCCTCTGTCCTGCAGTGGAGTAGGATAGGGTGAGGAGGGGGTGCCTGGCCTGGGACCCCTGTCTCCAGTGCTACAGGGCAAAAGTGCAGCACCTTCAGGCCCCTCTGGAACCTCTGTGCCCTCAGCAACCCCGTCGTAATTCCCAGGAAACACCACGACTATTCCAGCTGTGCCTGAATAGACTCCCTCTCTATGTAGTCTAACCAAGGACAGTCCCTTAGAGAAGCAAAGATGCATCCTGTCCCTTTAAATCCTGTTTTCCAGCTGACATTTGAGTGGTAGGGGATGAATTAGAGAGAGAATGTGTGTGCATGGTGAAGATGCATAACTGTGGCTCTGTGTGTGATTCTGTTGTGCCTACATGCCTGTTTGATGCCATGTATTAGGCTTTGCAAGTGTGTCTGAGCTGGCCTGGAACTGTCCACTGCTGCTGCAGCTGACATCAGAGGTGGGCCATGGGATGGGATGCAGGGCACCAGAGGCACCTGCCTTACTCTGCTGCTCATGGTACACAGGGGTCTTCCAAAGTACCTGTCACACTTCCCTGAACCTATTTGCCAACCTGTCCCCAACAGCTTGGGGACACACAAACTGTTCCAAATACTTATCCCCTAATTCCTGGCCTCCAGCTGGGATGGGGCTGGCCTGCAGCGCTGGGAACCCATCACTATCCCAAAGCCTCTAATCTACCTCTGCTTCTTTAGTTAGCAAAAATGCCCCTGTCTTTGTTTGTTTGTACTTGGATTTAGTAAAATTGAGGGAATTTTGGGGCTCTTCCCAATTTCTTCCTCATTTGCCTGTTTGCAGACACTAAAGTGAGCTGTAAAATCAATTTGTTCCCAAACTGCTACCTTTTCTAGTTTTCCCTCTGTCACATCTCGAATGACAACTGTGCCTATAATAATAAGATCCATGAAGAAATGGCCCCACATCCAGGGGACCTCGGGTCTGTGGGTCTGTGGGTATGTGCTCAGACCCCAACTGCTCATTCAGGATGCAGAACAGCCTTTGACTCTGCCACTGAAATGGTCACTTCCCAGAAGAATCTTTGGTATGTGAGCTCTCCCAGTTAAGAGCAATCCAGTTCACCCAGGCCAACCCTCTGTTCTGCAGAAATCTGCATGAGATGAGAAGTCCCTGGCCTCTGGTCATTGGGAGCACACCACCTCTTGACATAGCTGCATCTATAGGTGCTTTAGGCACCACCTAGGTGGTGGCTGCAGTAATGAACAAGGATAATAACTTAAGCTTGGCTTAGGATTTCTCCCTTCCTCTGTGCTGCACCGTGCTGTGTGAAGGGCTATCCCTTGTATATGAGGGACACTATTGCCCTGTGAATACATGGGCTGACCTGGCCAGCCACCCTCTGGCCTGTGTGGGACCCTGGGTAACAGGGCTCAGTCTAGGAGCGGAGGGTAGGACTCTGCCTAGGTCCTCCCCTGCTCCTGGCACTGGATAATATGAAGACCAAGGAACCTCTACCTCTGCAGCTGCCCAGAGCTGAGCCTGGGCTCTCACTGTCCATTCAGGAGGCAGAGGGTAGACCTGGCTGGCTGCTCAGCATCTTGTTCCTGCCAGTCAGCAGGCCCTGGAGAGATTCCAGGGCTCAGCCCTGGTCTTAGTGTGGTCTCACTCGCTCTGCCTGGGCAGTGACAGCACCATTAATATGGAGGCTGGTGAGAGCGGAGCACACAAAAGCAGCCTGCCTGCTGCTTTGCCTCTCTCTGCCCAGGGCATGGTGCTAGTTCATGGTGGTTTCAGCCTTTCCTAGCAGCTTAGGTTTATGTGGAGGATGGCAGGGGAACAGGACTGGTTTCTGAGACTAGGTTCCAGCTCTCCTTGCCCTCTAAAGATAGAAACAAACAACACACAACACACATGTATGTCTTCCCCAGACTCTCCGTCTCATAACTCAGAACCAGAGAGTCTCAGAGCTGAGAGGGGCCTCGGGGAAGATTTCACTGATGGAGAAAGCTCCAGAAGAGAGGGCAAGCATCCTGCCTGGGGTACCATGGCAGGGAGAGCAGAGTCAGAGGCTGGACCAAAATGCAGCCTGAGTGGAAGCATGCCTTACCCCAGGCCCTGCTTCCCGAGCCCAATGCCCCACTCAGCTGGCAGACACAGCAGGCCCGCCCTGGGCACTCTGAGGGTGCAGCCACAGCAGATCACCAAGGAGGCATTCTGGGCCAGGGTGGGGTGGGGGGCCTGGGCAAGTTCTCTGGGGAGGTTTCCAGCTCCTCCACACCTGCTGTGGGGCCTGATTCTCCCCGCCCCTGCCCCGCTACTGGTGTGGAAACCAGGGTCAGGTGAAGCCCTGCCCAAGCCTTGAGGAAGAGAGACACATTCTCACTTCTTCCTTTATTCTTTCTGGTGCCCAAGGCACTAACAACTGGGTGTATAAAGCCTTCCAGATAATTTCAGCCAATTTCTCCCCTAGACTTACTCCATCTGATTAAATGGCCACCCAGTCACTCAAGCAGGAGACCTGATGTTATCCCTGCCTCTGGGCTCCTACTTAAAACCAGCCACCCACTCCAGTTCCTCCTCACCAGGTCTGGCTGCCCCTCCGAAATCTCTCTCCATTCCAGCTTCCACGGTCTGATCCAAGGACTTCAACCCACTCAGGCCACTTGATCTCATTAGACTCATGGGTGTCTCCCTGCTTCCCTCCAGGCCTCCTCGATACATTTCCTTCCCAGAGGCTATGGAGGCTTTTGGAGGATGCAGATCTGCCCATGGGCTCTCCGTCTCTGCCTCCCTCCAGTGTCCTCGCTCAGGGAGGGGAAGCTCAGGCGGAAAGCTGCCGAACTTTGGGTTGCGGCTGTCCCTCGATTAGCAGAGCTGCGGTGTTCTCCTCGGGCAGGCGGGCAGGTGGGCGCGCTTTGCTGCCCCCTGCAGCTCGGGGGCCTGCGATCCCCGCACAGAGCATTCCGTCACCCCAGGCCCACGCTCTCCAGCCCACCGCCCTCCTCTGGACGCCGCGAGTGGAAGAGAGCTGCGAACTGAGAAGCCGTACTTTGGGCAGGGTGGAGGGCCCGGGGGCTGGAGACTGAGCCCCTCCGAGAGGAGCCGCCCGGCCCCGCCCCCCGGCGCAGCCATTGGCCGCGGCGGAGCGGCTGTACCCGCAGCTCCGTGCACTCGGCGGCTCCTCTCCGGGAAGGTCCCCACTTGACAGCTCTGGGCGACCGGAGGTGGCGCCCAAAGGCTGCCCGGGAGATCGGGGCTGGGCTGGCGGGGGCCAGGACCCCGCGCCCTCTCGGCCGCTCACTCTCGCGTCCACTCCCTCGCAGTCACGCCGGGCGCGCACTCCCACTCCCTCTCCGCACGCGGCTGCGGGACGCGATGGACGCGGCACTGCTCCACAGCCTGCTGGAGGCCAACTGCAGCCTGGCGCTGGCTGAAGAGCTGCTCTTGGACGGCTGGGGGCCACCCCTGGACCCCGAGGGTAGGCGGGAGGCGAGCGGTCGGAGGCTGCGCGGGCTCCTTCTCTCGCGCGCTGGGTGCGCCCCTGACCCCGCGCTCCGAGAGCCCCGCGTCCCTGCGGGCCCCTCTGAGCCCTACTGCGCTCTCTCCCGCCGCCAGGTCCCTACTCCTACTGCAACACGACCTTGGACCAGATCGGAACGTGCTGGCCCCGCAGCGCTGCCGGAGCCCTCGTGGAGAGGCCGTGCCCCGAGTACTTCAACGGCGTCAAGTACAACACGACCCGTGAGTGCCCCCGGCCCTCGCTGCCTGCTCTACACCGGCCTCCTGAGAAGGCGGTTTAGGGAGTAAAGAGGATTCCGGACCCAGCGGTACAAAGCTGCTGACGGCCGCGGTACCGCGGACCGCGGGCGTTAAGGACCCCTTACAGTGTTGGGGGCGCGCCTTCTGCTTCTACCCCCAATACAGCGTCTAATCTCAGTAAGCCAGTGATTTGCCCACAATTCCCGTGCTCCATGCGGTGACAGCCCAAAAAGGGGAGAAGGAAATACTTCCTCCTCTTGGAGTGTAAACCTCCTTCCCTCATTGTAGGTTCCCGTTGCCTGAAGTTCCCCATTAGGGCTTCATTGTTTAGACAATGCTTCCCCTGCCCAGGAGGGGGACCTATCCCAGGAGGGCGGATATGCTAAGTCCCAAATCCCCCAGAGTGAGTGCAGTGACCAGACCCTACTACCAGAGGGGAGGAGGAGGGTAGGAGGCAGGAGGGCTGGGGCGAGCGCATGTTTCGTGGGGAGGACATGCAGGCGTAGGTTCTGCTAAGCCAGAGGGTGCGGGGTGTTGCATCTTCCCTAATCCGAGGTCCCAGGACTGACCTGCTGGGCTGAGTCAGGGGCTGTGGGCAGCATTATTCCTGCGCCCCCATAATGAGTGGTGTCTGAATCAGCACCCCAACACCATCTCTCAAGGAGAACAACCTGTGCCTGCCTTCCTCCTGGCAAATCATGGACTGGCTTGAGGCTCTGGGGAAAAGGGCAGTAGAGGTTGCTGGAGTTACACAGCCTCCAGGTGGGGTCGTTCAGTGTGGGTTCTGGGTGTGTGCGTGTGGGTAGGTGCCTGTCTGTGCCCTGTGGAACATGGGATGGGAGCCAGGTGTGTGGTCTGCGGGAGGCTGTGGGGGCAGCAATCACTGCCCCACCTAGAACCCCCCTGATATCTCCAGCCGGACCCCAGTTGTCAAGCACGCTGAGACCCTATCTGGATTGTTTGTCTGAAGCCTCTCATCCTGGAAACATCCTCAGAGTGTCTGTGTCTGATTGGTAGCCCAGCTCCACCTCCACCACACATACACACACACACACACACACACACACACACACACACAAGCTTTCAGAAGCTGAGGCTGAGGGCTTTGCCATGAGAGATGGTTAGAAGGCAAGAGAGATGTACCTGCACCTGATGCCAAGCCGCACTCTCCTGGCTGCACCAGCTGAGGGCTCTGGTGGGCCCAGGGAGCACATGCTTCCCATCCATGATTAAAACAGATCTCCCTAGAAGGAAGTAAGATCCCCAAGCTAGGAGGTGTGCAAGCAGAAGGAATGATTTCCCTGTGCCTTCCTAGTCCTGACCTTATAAAACTGTATTTTTAGGATTCCGTGAGCTGTGTGGGGTGGGGCAATGGAGATCAGCATGCCTGATTCAGACTGGGCCCGGAGATTAAGGGCCATCCAGGGTAAAGTGGGGTGATGGAGCATCTCAGCCCACAGCCTGTGAACCTCAGGGAGCTCTGCTTTCGTTCTTACCCCAGCCTGGGCTATGCCTTGTTCTCCCCGACCAGCCTGGGGGCCCCCCCTTCCCAGGGCCTGGGTCTCTTCTTCATAGCCAAGCTGAGTACAGTAATACTCAGTCAATTTGTGGAATACCCACTATGTGCCAGCCACTGCACAGGCACTGTATTGAGGCTCTCACTCACAATTGCAACAGACAAAAAGAACAGAATGATGAATGCCCTAATTAGGGGGGAAGCACAAGGTCTATGGGATTGGGGTGTGGGGGCGGGGTGACAAGGAAGACTTCCCAAAGGTGCTGCAGACAGCACATATCAGGCCATTCATATCAATTAAGTCTAATGAGAAGCTGATAAAAGGTTGGGGCACCACCCAGGCTGGTAAAAGTAGGGCCAATTAGCCCCTGGTATCTAATGAACAATTTTCTTCATTTAGACCAAAGTGCTGCCTGCACTGCAACTGCTGGAGAATGAGAGGAGCTTGTGGAGGGTGGGGAGCACTTACCACTAACCAGCACCTGGGGTGTGAGGTCAGCCTAGGTGGGAAGAGCAGAGGCTGCTAATGGCTGTGGAAATGCATGATTGATTTCCCTCCTCCCCTTTCTTCACATCAGTGCTGCTTCCTGCTTCTCTGTTTGCCTTTTCCTTGGGATCCTTCCTTTAAAAAGAATGACAGAGGGAGAAACCTCCACGAGAAGCCTAGGGGAAGAACAGGAGCGTTCAGGCTCCACTTCCTGCCCCAATTTTGTTATGCTATAGCCAAACCCGCATTGAAGCCTCATTCCTTAGAGAGCAGGAATCGCCCGGGTGGGGATAGCAGTTTAGATATTAGTCTCTGCGATTTTTCAACTCAGCTGAGCACAGAGAATCTGCCACAAAGCTAAGTGTTGATCATTTTCCAGGTGCCAGCTACCACTGAGAGAGCTTTGTATCCATATCTCAGGCATCCATAATCCCACTCGCCCACACTCCCTCTGAGATACATACTGCTTTTATGCCCATATTGCAGGCAAGAACACTGAGTCTCAGACACATGAAGTAACTTATTGAAAGTCCTAATCAGCTCCTATGCACCAGTGCAGGCAGGTGAATCCACAGCCCTCGCTATTAACCATGGGGCAGTACTCCCTCCACAAGAGGCATTCGGTTTGCGAGGAGAGCTTAGAGGTTTGGAAAGAAGACTCATACCTCCGGCCTGGAGGATCAGGGAGGACTTAGCCCTCTGAGCTGGACTTCTGGGGACAGGTTGGATTTTAGCAGGTGAGTGTAATAGGCACAGGAGAGGCCCTCTAGGCTGAGGGGACTGAGCAAAGGCAAGGAGACAGGCTGGGCTTTGTGCCTTGGGAGGAGTGTGTTGTATGGAGAACAGGGAGTAGGAGAAAGAAACAATGAGGCTGGGGAGGGGCATGGAGGTCAGGTGATGCAGGGCATTCTACAGGGCTTCACCATCTGGAGAGGGAGCCTGGGTGAGCTTGTGAGCAGAGAAGCTCAATTTTGGGAGCACACTGTCCTCTGGAGGGAAAGGAGAAGTAAGGGGATTTCTGCACAGACCCAGGTAGACCGCAGGCTGTAAGAGCAAATGAGGTTGAAGACGCCAGCAACCTTGGGCATTTGAAATTGACAAGATATGGTGAGAGATGGCAAGGTAAAGGTTGGGCACACAGGAAACAGCTGAGCACAGTTGGGGATGTGTTGACTTTGAGGAGCTGGAGGGACAGCTGAGTGGAGATGTTCAGGAAGCAGCTGGTTGGGTGGGGGAAAAGCTCAAGAGAGCACCAAGAGTGGAGATAAGGCGTTTAGAAGTCCTCAGGATGTGGGGTTAGCAAATAGCTACAGTGTGTGAGTTTGGGAGGCTGGGTCAGAGCCTTGAGCCATCTTACCCAGAGTTATTTCCAGATGCAGCAGGGCCAAGGGAAGGGAAGGGACTAGCGCATGGCCACACATGTTAGTCAGTGGCAGAGCCAAGTTAAGCACACGAGTCTCCTTGGGTGTTCTCTACACAACCTGTGCTGGCGCTTCAGTGGCTGAGCTTCCACATGTTTGTACTGTGGTTTAACTCATTTAATCCTTGCACCATCGAGTGACAGAGACATGGCATTATCCTCATTTTACACATGGGGAAACTGAGGTGTGGAGCAATGAAGTCACTTGTAACAGAACAAGGATTCAAACCCAGGTTCTGCTGCCTTTCAAAAAGCAACTCTGCTAGGTTAAGCAGAGAAGAAATTTTTTAAAAAGATATTGGGGAGCTTATGGAATCACTGAGTGGGCTAGAGAACCAGATTTGGGGCCCCAAGCCAAGAACACAGGGCAGAGCTGGCCCTGTGAGGGGACCTCCCTCTCCCTGAAAGGCCCTGCCAACACCACCAGCCCTGGCCACCACTAGTGGCATGATCAAAGATCACTGCAATCTCAAACTCCTGTGCCCAAGCAATCCTCCTGCCTCAGCCTCCCGAGTAGCTGAGACTGCAGGCACATGCCACCACACCTGGCTAATTTTTAAATTTTTTGTAGAGTTGGGATCTTGCCATTTTGCCAGAGCTGGTCTTGAACTCCCAGACTCAAGCGATCCTCCTGTCTCTGGCTCCCAAAGTGCTGGGAGTATAGGCGTGAGCCACTGCACCTGGCCAACCTGGAGTCTTAAGCTTCCTGCAGTTATCTCTGGAGAGGCTTTCTCCCTGTCTCCATCTGGGGGCCTCCAGTTCACTAATTCCCTCGGGTAGGTGCATCTGATGGGTGGGGGAATATGTGGAGCCCCAAATCCCATGCCAAAGCTCTGGCTACAAGGGATCCTGGGAAGTAAGGATCTGGCATTTTAGCTCTAGGCGGGGAGGTAGCCTCGGTCTTACCCCAGGATTCTCCGAACCCAGGTTCAAATCCTGGGTGGCTAGAAACAATCCTAAATGTCCATATACAATTTAATTGGGGCAAGTCTCATCCCTTTTGTGGGCCTGTCTCCCTGTCTGTAGGCCGAAAGGAAGTGGATTAGCATGGAAGTGGTTTGGCCAGAAGTGGGGCACTTATATTCCATTTTCCTCCCACCTCTCCCCATTCCACACGGACTCCTCTGAGCCCATCTCTGTGTGTACATCTCTGTCTCTGTGTCTCTCTCATTGTCTCCCTGTCTGTTTCTGATTTTCTCTATGTGTGGTTCTGTTTCTGGGTGTATGTTTCTGTCTTTCTCAGATTCTCTCATTTTCTACCTCTCTCTCTCTTTCTCCATCTCTCCCTACTGCCTTCTTCATCCCCCGACTCCATCTCCAAACCCACTGTCTCCCCACTCCCATCCCTCCTTCTATCTGCCCTCCTCCTGCACCTCATCTTGCCTGTCCCTACGGTCCTTTTGGCTGCAAAGGAGGGTCTTGCCACCTCCCTCCTGGCCATGGTCCATTTTCCTTCTGTGGAACCACTAAGTGCAGCTTGGCTGAGCCTCAGCCTCCTTGACCTCAAGCTCCGCAATGTCCTACTGGGAATGGCTGGGGTCATCTGTACTGAGGCATCTGCCAGGACAGGGGAAGAAGGGGCATCCCATCTAACCTAGCCACATGGGGAGGTTAGGGGTCCCCACTTCCCAGAACCCCATTCTAGAGACATGCTTAAGCACTGATTGTGTTACAATGGAAACACATAAGCTGAGTGGTCTCCAGCCAGAGGGGTCTCTCCCATTGGGTCTGCCTGCTTATGCAGGAATCCCTTCTTCAGCCCTAAGAGTCAGAGGTGATAAGAAAGGCTGAGACCTGCCCTCAGGAAGCCCCAGGCTGCTTATCAAGGAGGCTTGTGCAAATCAACAGTCAGAGATCGGGAAGAGGGGCTTGGTGGACACTGGGACATTCCTGGGAGGCTTTCTGGAGGGAGTGGGGGTAAACTTTAAAGGTCTTGGAGCAGTTGGGATGCCACATTTGTTAAGGACAGGCGCAGTGCAGGGGTGCAAGCCTCAGGAGGACCCCAGATAGACCCTGCCCTCTGGGTTGAAGAAGTAGAAGCTGTAAATCCGGAAACTCAGGTCTGCATTCTCAGACTCCAGCGAGACCTGATCCCCCCTGACTCTATTCCATTCTCCAAGGGCCACAAGTTACTCCATGTGTGAGAACAACTTCCCTGCTGGGAGAGAGGGAAGGTGGGACAGGCATGGCCATCACAGAGGTTTAGCTAAGAAAAGAAGGAAGGAAGAGAAATAGAGCAGAAGTGGATGCCCTTGTGGCCATCCAGACACCCCAGAGCTGCCCGGCTGCAGAGCGCTCTATGTTCCGAGTCCAGCCTTCCCCTCCCCACTTAAGGGTAGGAAATGACTGGCCAGGAGAGGGAAACACAGCTGCTCAGAGTTCTACAGCAAGTCTGGGCCCTGATAGGCCTCTGCTGGCTCTGGGAACTCCTGGCTTCTGCTCTAGCTTCTACCCACCTCTGCATGCATCTTGATCTTTCCTGTCTCCTGCTCTCCCCAGGAATCCTCCAGCCACCTGATCGTCTTGCTCAGGCTCACCCCTTATTGGGGTTCTGAGTATTTTACCCTTTCCCCCAGAAAGAATTGAGGAGCCTAGAGACAAGCTTTTCAAAGATGCATAAGACCTGAGCCTGCCTTCCAGGGGCTCCTGTTCTAGGAAGAGTGACAGACAGGCAGACTCTCAAAGAGAACTTTTTGATATAGGCTCCCAAGTAAAATAGCACAGTGAAGACAGTCAGAGCACATGGAAGGGAGTTATTCCAAGAGTAAGGGAAAGTAAATTTGGAAGACTTCATGGAGGAAGTGTTGTTGAACAGTGCCTTGAAAAATTGAGCTAATGATGTGTCAGATGGAAGGGAGGGTGGGAGCGGAAGTGGAAGAGGAGGGAGGGAAGAATAAGCCAGATCATGGAGGCCTCAAATGTTGGACCAGGGCATGGGCCTCGATTCTGCTGGCTTTAGAGACAGCGGCTGCTTGTCCGTAGCCCTATGGCACAGGACCAGAATACTCTGGAAGGATACTGCTTTTCAAAATGTGCCATCTAAATCTCAATCAAGGGCTGGCTGGGGACCTGGGCCTTGGCCCTTTCCTCTCCTCCCACCTGCTCCTTAAGTCAGAGGTCCCAGCATCCTTCCCTGTGCACTCCTTACCACCAGTGCCACAGCAGAGCCTGGAGCCCTGAAGACGGGCTGAAGGAGGAGCCCCATCTCAGTGATCCTCAGGGAGCTCCCCACAGGGCTTCTTGGCTGGGCCCCAGGTACAGGCATTTGGGCCCCTCTGACTGCCCACCCTCACCAGGTGCTTCAGAGTCAGGCAGGCGGTCCCTTTCACACACAGCACCTGCCAGGAGAGCAGCTGGGGCAAGGGAGAGTGGGAGGAACCTGGGCTCAGATTTAGCAGGGCTGGATCTAAGTCCTGGGTTTGCCATGACTCACTGAGGGACTGGCAGGCCCTCCTTGTCCAAGTCCCAGTTTTCTTATCTGTGTGAAGGGGACAGAGAACATGCTGACCTCGTGGGGCCATGGCACACAGGGGAGATGATGCTGCTTGGGGCTCCCTGTAGACAGCTAAGGCATTGTCAGCAAGGGGAGGGGAGTTGAAGGTGGCCTGGGGCCTGGAAGGAGGGGCCATCATGTCCTTGGGTAGGGGAAATCCTGCTCACACCAAGAATGGCTATCCTCATTCTGGGGTGGTGGTCTCCTGCTATCTCTGAGAGCCCCCAGAACTCTGTGGCTTCTGGGGATGTCCTGGGAGGGAGGATTCTGTCTATCTAGATTGAGAAGGTCTGGTACCTAAAAGCCTGTAGAGAAAGGCAGCCCCTTGCCCCCCTGGAGGGATGCTGCTGGCATCCTGCCAGCCAGCTGTCTTCTCCCTGCATTACTTCATAGGAACTAGGAACTGAGAGCCAGATCTAATCCCGGCCATCCTACTGACTGCTTTTCTCCCTTTGGGCAGGTGGTCTCCCCTCTTCAGACCTCAGTTCATCTGCACCAGGTGGGTGGAGGGCTTGATGAGTTCTAGTGATGTTTCTCAGTTCCAAGGCAGCTTCTGCCACAGGGGTCCTGTGTTGGTCCCCTCCCCACTTTCCTCCACAGGCTGGCGTCATGGCGACGAGCCCACTGAGTGTTGCTAGGATGGCTGGAAGGAGGGAGCCCTGTACAGTAGAGGCGGGAGCATGAGGTAGGGGCCTCCTCCCACTGCCCCTCTCTGGGGAGGGCAGAGCTTACACAGTGAGCTGGGTTCCACTCCCCCTTCCCTTTTTCATAGACCCAGTATGGTCTCCATTAAACTGCTCAGTGCCTCTATGACTCAGTTTCCCCACTGTCTCCTGTAAGTGTGCTTACAGGTCCTGCTTAAGGATGGCAGGGCACCATGAGTGAAAAGTCCTGTGGAAATAGGGAGTTGAGGGTCTCTGAAGGTCCAGAACAGGCAGTCGAGGCTCAGAGAGCTGTGTCCATATAACACTAAGAAATGGAATCCAAGTTCCCTGGCCTGAATCCCAGACAGCACCAGCAAAGGGCCCTGGGGATGCCTTTCCCACCCAGTGGCTGGGGTTGGCAATATTAGACTCCCAAACTCAATCTAGCACTTCTACGTCAGTCTGGGTCTGAGCTTGGGTGAACATCACCAGCTGCCTGTTCCCCTCTGACCACCAATTTGCTGTGATCGGATCAAGACAGAAATATGCCAGGTGGGCCTCAAAGTTGGTCAGTCCTCCTTAACCTGCAGTGGCCTCCAAGCAATGCAGGATGCTGACTCAAGGAGATGCACCTCGTTTGGGAAGCTCAGGAAAACCATGCTGTTAGTACTAGGACTGTACGTCTGACCACCCCAGCTCTGTCCACCTTCCCCAAAAGTCTCTTAACTGGGGATGAAAAGCAATCCACTCCAGGAAGTGGAGGCCAAGCTGGGAGGAGACATTGATTGAGAGGTTTTTCCCACAGAAAGCAAGAAAGATGGCCAGGCATGGTGGCTCATGCCTGCAATCCCAACATTTTGGGAGGCTGAGGCAGGAGGATCACTTGAGGCCAGGAGTTTGAGACCAGCCAAAACCACATAGTGAGACCCCGTTTCTACAAAACAAACAAAAAAATAACAAATGATCATGGCATGGTGGCACATGCCTGTAGTCCCATTACTCAGGAGGCTGAGGCAGGAGGATCACTTGAGTATAGGAGTTCAAGGCTGCAGTGAGCTAAGATCACACCACTGCCCCCCAACCTGGGTGACAGAGTGAGACCCCATCTCAAAAAAAAAAAAAGTAGGTAAGAAAGGTGACTCAAAGTCATGGTCAAAGATTTCTCAACTAGGCCCCAGGCCAGACAAGAAGATGGCTGGATCTGGAGTGGCCCAACTACAGGCAGTAAAGGGAACTGAGGGTGGGATATCTGGCCCCTAAGGTATTCTCTTCTGAGGATCTGGACACCAAGTGGTAATGACACTGAAGAGGTGGCATAACTGGCTGCATCTGCTGAAACACAGGGTCACAGGGAGAGTCTGTCTCTCCTAGGTACACCAACTCCAGGGTCTCCCGTGAGGAAGCGTGTCCCAAGGGAGAGAGATCTTCTGCCTCTTCATGGTTGAGTGACCCCAGATGTGTCAGTTTCTCTCTTCTGGTCCCACCAGACCAAATGCAGAAGTTGTCTTCCTTCCTAATTCCCAAGGAGATGCCTGATAACTCAGTTTCCAACTTGCTTCCCTTGGAACAGTCAAAGCTTTCATGCCAGGAACCTGGAGAATGCTGCCCACAGGTTTGCTGTTTGAGACTGACACCCCTCCCCCATGTGGGGTTGGACTGCAATGTCTGCAGTTTTGGCAGCTGGGTCAGCCTACCCATGGTGTCTTTGTGTGAGACCTTGCTTCCTCCTGCATGTATGTGTGACTGTTTTGTATTTGCCATGCATCTTGGTGAAGCATGGGCATACAAGGTGGCAGACTGTCCTCCTGGCCCACTCTGAGCCTCCTACCTTCAATGAGTTCCCAAGTAACCTAGGAAACAGCATCAGCTTTGGTCCATCCTGAGATCCTGTGTGCTCAGCTCTGTGCAGTGCTTAAGAAAAGGCCAGAGATGACAGCAACCCAGGACATGCCTTTAGAGGCTCTCAGCCTTGTACAAAATAAGGTAAACTTCTGCTCCAGAGAACCTGGGCTGGTTAGGAAAGTACAACACCTTTATAGGGGTCAGTGAAAGATCAATCCCAGCCTAGCATGAGCCAGGCAGTCACAAGCAGCTGGACCCTTGGGGAGCTGGAACAGTCATGGAAACTACCTGGAGGAGCTGGGGCTGGAGCTGGGCCTTGAAAAGGGGCATGAATTAGCTTGACCTCAATGGGCTGGGCCCATGGCCAAGGTCGGAATATCGGGTGGGAAGGCTGGTTCTTAGGAGCTCTCCGAGGTCCCCAACCTTAGAGATAGGCAGGGATGAAGAATGGAGTTGTGCTGTCCGCGGTGCTGAAAGTTCCGATCCCATGTAGTGACTTCATTCCTTCTGTAAATATTGCTTCTGGCCCTCCCCACCTCAATGTCATCACCTTCTCTCCCTCACCACCACTACTACTACTAGTACTACCTCTTCTTCTTCTCCTCCTCCTCCTCCTCTTCATCCTCCTTCTTCTTCTATCATCATCATCATTATCATCATCATCATCATCATCATCATCATCATCATCATCACAGGGTCTCACTCTGTCACCCAGGCTGGAGTGCAGTGGCACAATCTCAGCTCACCACAACCTCTGCCTCCCAGGCTCAAGCAATTCTCTCACTTCAGCCTTCTGAGTAGCTGAGACTACAGGCGCACACCACCACGCCTGGCTATTTTTTTTTTTTTTTTTTTTTTTGAGAGATGGGGTTTCATCATGTTGCTCAGGCTAGTTTCAAACTCTTGGGCTCAAGCAATTCACCTGCCTTGGTCTCCCAAAATGTTGGGATTACAGGCATGAGCCACCATATCCAGCCTCTCCCTCACTTCCTGTCCTTTTCTTTGCAAATAGCCAATGACCCCATTGTTGTGCCTTACCACAGTCCCATTAACTCTTTTCCCCATGCCTACCCCTGTCCCTTGTACTCCTTCCCCCAAAACTACCACCAAAAGTAGTCCCTCATGGTCCCTGTCTCCTATGGTCCATGTCTTTCCAGAAGGTATCAGAGATAGAAGTGCCAACCATTTGATGGTGATGTCAGGATGCTTGGAGTTGTCACAATAGCTTGAGGGTGCTAACTGGCATTTAGTAGACTGGGGAGTCTCACATAACATATAATTGATCCACCTGAGATGCCAATAACATCATAGAGAATCAATTTACTGTAATATTTCTAAGAGGCAAAACTGAGACCAAGAGGGAAGGGGCTTAGTCATGGTCACCTAGCTATCTAGAGACAAAACTACAGCTAGAATATAGGGTCTCATGTCCCAGCCAGGCTTCAGGACCACCCCAGGTAACTGCCTGAACCAGGAACTCTTTGCAAAGTGTCAGCATCTGAAACGGGGAGAGCCCATTGTAATGGGGGTTTTTGGCAGGCCTGGGCCACTCTGGGCATGGAAACCAGGCCTCCCAGACTACAGAGTCCTGCAAGAGAAGACCCTGCCTGCATCATTCAGACCCTAATGCCCCTGGAAGCCCACACTCCACATCATCAGCACTGATCCTCAGCAGGGGCACCTGTGTTGCTATGGTAATGGGCACCCACCTCTCTGCATCCAGCCCCACAATTCTAGCCTTGCCATCAGCCCTCAGAGTGTGTGCCCATCCGTCTACGTTTCCCACGGGGTGGATGAGATTCTTTCTGTCTTACTCCCTCCTGTCCGAGGCTGTGCCTGAGGGCCCAGTGCCCTCATTGGCCACAGCAGACAGCTCCCCTGAAGAGTGGGGCACATCTATCCTCCAGTCCTTTGATACCCAGTGTCTGTAACCAGAAGCTCATCTGCAGGCAGGGCTGGGCTGCCAGAGAGGGAAGTCCCCTCCCGCTTCTGCATCCCACCTGCTTTCCCAGGGGTCAGCAGGTCTGAGTCAATTCTGTTCAGCCGACATTTCCTCAATGGCTCTGTCCTGAGGGAGATATGGTGGCTCCAATATGGCTTCTACTTACTTGTCTATCCCCAAGGAGCTCAAGTCCAGTAGCAAAGAAAAGAAGGATTAGGTCCAAAGAGATGAAGTTCATAGTGAATTATGGCAAATGCACTAAAACAGAATTTGTATTTTTCAAACTATGGATTGTGACACAAGAGTGGACTGTGGAGTCAATTTAGTGGGTCATGATCAGTGTGTGTGAAATGAATAGAAGACATTAGAATAGGCTGGAAAGGAAAATAGTACAGCTGGATTCTGTGTTTGTGTGTGTGTGTGTGTACTGGATTATAACATAAAATGTATGTGTTATTGTGGTTCAAGGGCAATAAAGTGGAAAAACTACGTTACAAGAGAAGGGAAGGGATAGAGGAGGAAACAAAGAAAGGACTGCTTCAGACCTAAGGGTGTCGGGGATGGCTCCATGCAGGAGGCGGCATTTGAGTGTGGGGTTAAAGATGGGTAGGAGTTCATCCGTGAGCAGTGGGTAAGAAGGAGGAGGTGCTTTAAGTGGTGGATCCACACAAAGAGGGTATGTGCCAAACCTATGTGTGCCAATGCCAGTGGCCATGTAGAATGCTGGAGATGGGTCAGGACAGTTAGGCTGGGACCTGGGTGTCAAGGGCCTTGACTATCATGCTAAGAAATTGGACTTTATTCTTGAGCACAATAAAGAGCCACTGATGGCTTTAAGCAGAAATCAACATGGTCAAGGTGGCAAGAAAAGAAGCAGGGAGGCAAGAGGAGAGGAGGCTGTTGTAGCAGCCCAGGCAAGAAGACTAGAGAGCAGATGGAGGGATGGGCAGGAGGGGAGTTGACTCTGGAAAAAGAAAAGGAGGAGACAGAATCCATGGAACTTGGGACCCCATGGGCATTGGTGTGAGGGAGAGGAAAGGTCTCTGATTTGCAGCATTTCTATCCTGACCCCCTCCCACCTGCAAGCCCACCCCATGATCAGTGCCACCATGAGATATCATATTCGGGAAACAAGTATTCCAAGGCCCTGTCCTCAGGGAGCCCCCACATTGATCAGAGTGACCAGACTCACTCACCTAGACAGCTCCAGGCTGGTCATGGGGCAAGGGCTGGAGTGTGGGGCTCAGGCGGTCAGGACTGGAGGTGCTCAGGAGAGAGAGAGCTATAGAGTAGAAGCAATCAAGGAGGTCTTCCTGAAGGAAGGGGCCTAGCACTGAGCTTCAGGAAAGCTGGATAATATCTATGAACATATAGAAGATAAATTTTTCTGCCCTTTGAAGCACAGGCAGGATCCTGGTCTGCCTCACCTCACATAGACTGTTCAGAGGCACCGTAAACCCCCATCAGGGAGGGACTGTTCATTTCACAAAAGAACTTACCCTCCTTACATACTTTTGCTTTTTTAGTTCAGTGACATCACTATCACTGACCCTCACGAGTTGAGGTAACCTTTCTCTTTCATGAGCACGAATGTTGGTAAGGAAAGATAGTGCTAGGTATCAAATTAGATCCCACCTGGGGAGTTGGGCGCCATGGCTAGGGGTGGGGAGCAGGCTTCCTCTTCCTGAGAGTCAGAATCAGCATCAGACCAGGGCATTCCCTGACTCACTTGGCAGGGGGATGGCAGGGCCCTGCCAGGGATGGGCCTTGGCCCAGGAGGAAGGAATAGGCCAGTCACGTCCCTGGGTTTGAAGAATGGATGAGCTCCAGGCACCAAACTAAAAAACAATTAAGCTAATAGAATCTTCCCCATTGATTTTGCTCTTCGGCAAGTGCTCCTTCCCAATTCCATTGCTTCCAACTCATCGGGCTCAACGGAAGTGGGTTTTTAAGTAACTTAATTATTTCAGAACACACTGCTTCCAAAAACAACCTAAGGTTCCCCCTCCAGCTCTGCAACTCTGTGCTCTGCAAGCTATTTATTTTAATTAGCTTTACATTGTACATCTAACATATGCTAGAAAGAAAAATTCACAGACAACTGCCCATTAGTCAGAGAGCTGAACCCTGGTACAAATCACCCCCAAACAATGGAACGTTCAGCATTTGTAACCCACCCGGTAGGTCAGAAACACACTAGTGATGAAGGCCAAGCAGAGGCAGGCTTCGAGAGCTCCGGGCCTTCTCAGGTGGGAGGGCTTCCTCCTGATTGGAGCTGGTGTATGGAGGGGGTGGCTTAGGAGCCAGACCTTGACAGTTGGAGCTGAGATAGAGAGAAAGGCAAATGTGAGCATTTTTTAACTTTCCTACCTTCCCCCTTGACAAAACCTGCACTTTTGTGCACAGGACATTGCTGCTTGAAATGTCTTTTCACACTTAAATCATGTTCCAACTTAAATACAGAGGCTGGTTCTTGAACATTTAGAAACATCTCGTGGTAGCCTCCCAGGCAGCAGCAGCCCGAGGGCGGTGGCCCAGCCCTGAGTCCCCAGCATTCACTCATTCCTGTTTGCCACTACTTGATATGGCCTAAAGGTTAAGAACAGAAGACCCGAAGCCACAACTTCTGAGTTTGAATCCTCTTGTCATCTTTGTATCCTTGGCCAGTAGCTTAATCTCTTTATGCCTCAGTTTCCTCCTCTTTGAAATGGGTTCATATTAATGCCTCCTTCATGGGATGGTTGTGGAGATTGAATTGACATGTATATCCATAGCAGTTAGAAGAGGAAGTGGTACATGGGAAACATATGCTATATAAATGGTAGCTATTATAAAAATGGAAGTGCTGATATTGGTGAAGTATGGACCTCATAAATATAAAACAATTGAGACAAGGATGTAAATTATGTGGCATGCTGAAAGCAGTGAATCTTCAGGCACAACCCACTCCTCACAGTTGGATTCAGTTTTGAAGCAAATGAACAAAATGAAAGTGTACAAAATGCTAGTCAAAGATTGTGTCTAAAATGGGTTTTAGCATGCCTTTAGCTATTTTGTAAGATGAGCCTTTTGTGCTATTTTCACATAAGTGACTTACATGTAAACTTTCAGATGCACATTGTATTTGCTGCCCTAGGAGAGCTGAGGTGCGTACACCTTATCCTGTGGGCACCAGGGAGCCAGGGAGGGTTCTTGAGGAGGGGAGTGACCTGACTCTTGGCAGTTGGCATTTTTTGTAGGGAATGCCTATCGAGAATGCTTGGAGAATGGGACGTGGGCCTCAAAGATCAACTACTCACAGTGTGAGCCCATTTTGGATGACAAGGTGAGTGGCCCTCACCTGCTGTGACCCCAGGCCTCACACAGGTATTTGGACTCAGGTTGAGCAGAGAAGATCCCAAGGGGGGCAGACCAGTCCTTTTGTCACCCAGTCACTCCCTTCTGTACCTCCTGCCCCTGCCCCCAGTGTCCTGCCCTGTGCTTAGTGACACTGTAGGGGAGTAGAGAAGGGGGACATGGAGTCCTACCTTCAAGAGAGCTTGGGCTGCTAGAGGACAAAGCCAAGGTGGCATGTGACACAAAAAGGGAATAACCGTGTAATCAATGCTCCTAACATCTTAGGGGTTGTGTGACTGCACACCTTCCTCTCCCTCTGGGCCTCAGTTTCCCCATCTGGCATTCTGATTCTGTGACTCCACATGGAAACAAATGCAGCCCCCCAAGGGCTGTCCCCATGAGAAGCTGGGTCCTGCTCTGCCTCTCTGGAGCCCTGCTCCAGCTCTCGCTCTGGAATTCAATTCAGTGCTGCTGAGGCACCGAACTCCTCTCCTTGAGGCTACGCCTCATTCCTGACCTGAAAGGATACATCTCAGCTCCATCCCCTCCTCATTACCCAGCATAGTCCTCAGTGGGGCTGGGACTTTGCCCCAGATGAAGTCCAAATTGAGAGGGAAAAACATTCACCCGCCCTGAGAAAGTGATTCTGCAAAATGTGAGCCACAGGGGTTCTGCAGGGAGGCCACTCAATGGGCAGGGGGGCCTCCAGCCCTTGGTCCTCACCTCCACTCTCTCTGCCCCTCCAGCAGTGGAGAATCAACACAGGGGTTGGGTAGGGTGGAGGGGTGGCTCTCCCTGGCAGGAAGGAGTATTTCATCACTAACTTTGTTTCAAATTGCCAACACTTGGTGATAATTAAAAGTCAACTGACTTTTATTCAGTTTGAATAGAATTTCTAAATTCTCTATAGACAGTGCACCCCCTCGTGTGGTCTCCAGGGCAGACTAATCTCAATGCACCCCACCCCAGGCCTCCCATAGGCCATTGCTTCTTAGGTAGGATGGCAGGTTGGCCCCATTGTATAGACATCAAAACTGAGGTCCAGAAATAAAAATCGACTCACCCTCAGTCACTCAGCCAGCTGGGATCCGGGCTGAGACTAAACTCAGGAGAAGCATTCTAGAGCCTAGAATTTTAAAAAAGAATCTGTACCCATACCTCTCAAAATGTGCCCCCAAAAATGCATGTTGGTGCCAGGCACAGTGGCACTTGTCTGTAGTCCCAGCTACTTCAGAGGCTGAGGTGGGAGGATTGCTTCAGGCCTGCAGATCAAGGCTGCGGTGCACTGTGATCACACCTGTGAATAGCCACTGGACCCCAGCTTGGGCAACAGAGTGATACCCCATCTCTAAAAAAATAAAAATAAATGCATGTTGGAAGGCCTGACCACAGCCATTTATAACAACAAGAGCCACCCAGGGCCAACAGGAACGAACCCTAAGAGCCAGGCACGGCAATGACACCTGGAGCACTTCTGCCCCCAAGGTCAGGACACAGAGGTGGCCACGGCTGGAATACCCAGCCCCACCCCCACGTGCCCATGCCTCCATCTGCCCTGCCCATGTCTGTCTGTCCAGCAGAGGAAGTATGACCTGCACTACCGCATCGCCCTTGTCGTCAACTACCTGGGCCACTGCGTATCTGTGGCAGCCCTGGTGGCCGCCTTCCTGCTTTTCCTGGCCCTGCGGTGAGTCTGCCCTTCCGCCTTGCTTTCTCCTCATCCCTCCCCCTACAGCACCCCCTTCACCTCTCCCAGACATTCTCACCTCCATTCTGGGGCCCAGCAGATAAAAGGGCCCGTGGAGAAAGTGGGGTTTGGGTGGGGTGCCAGGGCATGAATCACCAGCAGGCATGTGGGGTGCAGAGTGGGAGCTGGACTCAGAGGCCCAACTGTGGCCACCATGGGTGGGAAGTGGCTCCTAGTGCAGCCCTGCCCTCATCCCAGGCTGAGTCTCTACCTGGCCTCAGGGGGAACCCAGTCCCAGTTGACCCCTGAACCTGGCTGACCCCTGACCTGCACCTCCCACAGGAGCATTCGCTGTCTGCGGAATGTGATTCACTGGAACCTCATCACCACCTTTATCCTGCGAAATGTCATGTGGTTCCTGCTGCAGCTCGTTGACCATGAAGTGCACGAGAGCAATGAGGTCATTGCTCGGGGAGACTCGGGGCTATACCTGGGGGGCTCTGGGCTCCGGGGGCACCCATCTGTCTGTCTGGTCTCTGCTTGGACCCCTCCTTTGTCAGGAAGCTCACTACCTGCTAAAGCAGCCCTCTTCTTCTTGAGCAGCTTTTACTCTTACAAGCTCTTCCTAATGTTGAACTTCTGCAACTCCACCCCATTCTTGCCCCCACTCTGAGAACAGATCCCCTCTGCTCTCTCCAGGCTCTGAGACAGACCCCTTGGAGATTTGCACACAGAGACTGATGTTCACCAGTCCCTGCTACTCTCAGCTGGTGACAACTGACTTTCTGGCTGCTCCTTGGCTGACCCATGGCCAGAATGCTGTCATCTGGGCTGTGGCTCAGGTGCAAAACCAGACCTGAGCTCACCTCCACCCTAGCCATTGTCCCAACAGAGCTGGGCTGGGAGGAGCAGGAAGCTGCCAGGCTGGGAGCTTCACAAAGCTGACTCTAGACACATTTATCCTAGTCCACTCCTCATCTTGTGGATTCAGGTGCCCTCAAAGACCCCTTTGAGAAAAGGAAGCTAGAACTAACCTCTGTTGAGCTTTCTCTCACTTAATCCTAATGAGACCAGCAGGGATCATTTTCCCCATTACATAGACATGGAAACTGAGACTCACAGAGGTTAAGTGACTCGCCAAGGTCACATGCAGTGATGATACCTCTACATAAGGGGCTATCCCACATGCTAACTGTCCACTCTGGATTTCTGTCCATTGCTGTGTACTGTGTCCAAGCTATTGTAAAACTGTAGACTAGTCTTGGGCCATCACAGAGCCCTGTGGCACACCGACAGAGACTTCTCAGTACATTTCCTTTGGGTGGCCTGTGCCTGAGCAGACACCAGCCTGGTGTGATCCTTAACATGGTCCCACATAGAACACTGCCTCAGAATCAAACAGGTTCACTCGAGTTGAGGGTGCCTTCTAGCTCCAACGTGGGCTTGTGCTAATAGAACATCATCAACCCTGGATGAAAAGTAGGGTTGGGAGGAGGGGCTTGGTAGCTTCCCACCTCAGCAGGACTTTCTCAGAAAAAAGGAGACAGCCAGCCACAGGGACTGTGCAGGGAAGCCCAGAAGCAGCCAACAGCTCAGCACAGGAGGGTTATCTGAGAACTGGGGCTGTCAGAGCCAGACAGAGAGGATGGGCTGTGTGCAGAAGCAGAGCCCCTGACGCACAGCTCCCCGGACCTTGAGCTGGCTCCATCATTCCCCATGTCCCAGCCTTGGCTCTCAGGGTGCCCTGGGGATGAGCCTGTGGGGAAGATGACCAGGTGGGGTCTGTTGAGAGGAGCTCTGGCCTGGAAGCCCAATGTCTAGACCCTGGCCCTGCCATGGCCCACTGCGTGGCTCTAAAGGGGCAGGGTCTTCCCCTCCCTGCCTCCTTTGGGAAGGTAGCCTTGGTGCCTGGGGAAGGGTGGCCTTGCTCAGAGGGACAGGGACACATTCCCCTCTGCTGGGAAGGCACGGAACCACAGCAGGCACAACCACAGCCACAACACAGCTACCCTCATGCCTGTCTTTGCCATCCTCTATCTCCTTCAACCACCCTGGAAGGCAGGGTTACTTTTTGAGGTTCAGAGAGGTGCAGTGACTTGCCGGGGGCCGTGTACTTTGCAAGTCTCCCTCCAGAGCTAGTAATAATTGTGCCAAGTCCAGAAGTTCCCAAACCCAGAGTCTTTGGAGAATCCCCTCCCTGGCCGCAGCCCCACTTCATACACCCTTGACTCACTTTACTCACTTTTATTTTTTCATTTTTTTCTAAATGAAATTCCATATCCCATCCCCAAAAGGAAGCAGGTCTGACTTGCTATGGATTGAAAATGACTCAAAAAAACTAAAATGAAAACACAACAAGATGGTTGAATTCCAGCCTCTGCCTACAGAAAGCTCAGAGCCAGACTCTTGCTCTCTTTACTAGAATGAAAAATTAGAAAGAGTTAGAGAGAAGTTAAAAAAAACACGTTGGCCCCAGTGGAGAATGGCACCTTAACTTAATCTGAAAGTGTGAAAGAGCACTGGAGAAGGATGAAGCTTTTCAGAGTGAGGTTCGCTGGTATTTGATGGCATGTCCACGAACCCCCTTTGGGGAGCCCTGTGTCTTGTTGCCCTGCCTGGGGATGGGTATGTCCTACCTGGGCCCCAAGCTGCCTCCTGACAGCCTCTCTGCCCTGCACACAGGTCTGGTGCCGCTGCATCACCACCATCTTCAACTACTTCGTGGTGACCAACTTCTTCTGGATGTTTGTGGAAGGCTGCTACCTGCACACGGCCATTGTCATGACCTACTCCACTGAGCGCCTGCGCAAGTGCCTCTTCCTCTTCATCGGATGGTGTGAGGGTCCCAGGGGCAGCAGGGCCTAGTTGGGGGGAGGACTTCTCACCAGGCCATTTCCCTTCGTCTTGGGTCCAAGGACCAGAGCCTGGCCCTGCCCTCCACCCCCAGCGCAGTCCGGTGGATGCAGCTACTTCCCTCCATGCTGGTGAGGAACAAGCAAAGGATCTCTCCAAAGGATATTCCTCAAATAGCTCTTCTCCCCCTGCCAGGAAGGACCTGTCCAAAGGCCTTTGTCTCTGGCTCAGAAACTGGCTGGCTCTACTTCTCTATCACAAAATCACGCAGCCCTGCTTGGAGAGAGGGGCAGGGGCATGGGCCAGGTGTTGAGGGACAGGGCACCCCTGGGGTTGTGGGTGGCCTGCTGTTGGAAGAGTAAAAACATGATCCTAGCCCTGTTGTGGTACCCCACGGTATGTCCTACAAGAAAGTCCCTGTCCATCTGTCCCCTGCAGCCCAAGTCTTTCCTTCTTTCAGGCATCCCCTTCCCCATCATCGTCGCCTGGGCCATCGGCAAGCTCTACTATGAGAATGAACAGTAAGTGGATGGGCCAGCCATGGGGGGTCATGGGGAAGGGAATGGGGGTGTTAGGACAGGTCAGCCTTGGGCTCTGGCCAAGCCGTGGAGCAGGAATTGTAGCCACACCTAGACAGATCCACGTTCCTGTTGTCCTTAAATTGAAAAAAATAGTCCTGCACTCAGAGGTACTCACATGGTAGGGCTCAAGGAACTTTGCTGAATTAAGTTAGGAATTGTGGTTCCTTGAAGTGCCCCCCGACCCAACGCATGACCCCTTTGGTCTTTGTAAGGCCTCCTCAGACTTGGATGTGGCAGCTCTGGCCCGGGGTATGTGGAAGGGGCCAAGGCCGCACATGACATCCAGAGCTGTCCATGAGCATTTAAAGAGTCCATGAGCATTTAACAGAGCTTGTTTTTTTTTCTGAAGTCTCAGTCTCTGCCTGGGTGCAGTGTCCCATCCTGAGGTTCTCCCTATGCCAGAGGCTGTAATATGCTGAGCCACAGCCCAAATGACAGCAACTCTGGCCATGGGTCAGCCAAGGAGCAGCCAGAAAGTCAGGTGTCACCAGCTGAGAGCAGCGGGGACCAGGGAACATTAGCCTGTATGCAAATCTCCAAGGGGTCTGTCTCAGAGCCTGGAGAGAGCAGAGGGGATCTGTTCTCAGAGTGGGGGCAAGAATGGAGTAGAGTTCCAGGAGCTCAACATTAGGAAGAGCTTGTAAGAGTAAAAGCTGCCCAAGAAGAGGGCTGCCTTGGTAGGTGGTGAGCTTCCTGTCAAAGGAGGGCTCCAAGCAGAGGCCAGAAACCCTGGGAGACAGGGAGAATCCTATCTGAGGCAGGTCTGCACTGGATGACCTCCAAGATTTCAGAGGAATGAGTTCCCCAAAGTTGATGGCCCCTCCCTGTGGTCCAGTAGTTGCTGGCCGACCCAGACCCTAAAGCATTTCCCCTGACCAGCATCCCCGGAGAATGAATTATGCCTCTGGCAGCCAGTGAGGCCAGCCAGGCAGCAGCTCCCCTCACTGGGTGCACAAGCATTGGCTCAAAGACGCAAAATCCCAGGCTGGAGGTAGGAAGGCTCCACTTCCACATCTGCTGCTTTGTGTGGCCGAGTGAGTGCCTGGCACACGGAACAGCGGGTTTCAAGCAATATGGGAACAGGTGGCCTAAGGCAATTGGCCCTGGGCCAGCAAGGGGGAGCCCAGCTCTCCCTTTATTCCTGTGCCTCCTGCATGCCCAGTCCTATGCCTAGCAGTCTGCAATGGGGCAGGTAAAAGAGGAGGAGAAAGAGACCCATGGCCTGTCCTCAGTCGGGCTGGGGAGATCAGACCCACCATGTAGAGCAAAAGACAGCCTGGTGGGTAAGGGTGGTCAGTGGAGCTGGTATTTCCACCAAGGCTTTCTGGGAAGGGGCAGTCCTGGAGATTGGGTCTCAGGAAGGGTAAAGCTGGAGGACCCTGGGCCCAAGTCTGTGGGGGTCCCCCAGTTCCAGCTCAGGAGGCCCCCTACAGCCACCCCATCTTCACAGGTGCTGGTTTGGCAAGGAGCCTGGCGACCTGGTGGACTACATCTACCAAGGCCCCATCATTCTCGTGCTCCTGGTAAGCCCTCAGCGGTGGCTGGGATGGGGCTGGGTGCCAAGAGGACAGAAGAGGGCCCACCCAGGCAGAGACGCTGGGAAAGATGTGGCATGGGCAGCCCTGCGCACACACTCTATATGCCACCCCCGTACCCTGTCCATGCCACCCTGTGCCCCAGCACCACCCGGCCTTCCCTTCCTCATGCTCGATGCCCTGGCGCAGCCCTGCACCACTCTGCTGACCTCAGGGCTCTTTCTCTGGGAGGAGAAAGGATCTGATGGGTAGACTTCCTGTGCCCTCCCGGTCTGACACTGTACAATGCTGAGAAAGCCAGGTGAGCAGGCAGCTGGTGACAAGAGAAGAGTGTGCGGGCTTCTGTTCATTCCAGACCTACGTTCCCCTCAGCCCCCAGTGACCCTCTCCAGGTCCAGCCCACCACCCCCAGCCTGAAGCGGTGAATACCGGGATGCAGCATAATGAGGAATTGTTCCTTGTCCAGCTCCCTGCCCTTTGCCAAATGTATTTGCATCTAAGGTATAATTGCCACACATCTTTAATCCACAATGAGCTTTAATTAAGAGAGAGTTCAAGTAGAGGCTGCATTCTGCAAAAGGAACCCATTATATATCATACCTTTAAAAAAAAGAGAGAGAGATAAAGAAAGAAAGACATACAAAAAAGCCCCGTAAGAAATTGGCATTTACGTAAGACTTATTTCAGGCTCAGTAATTTCAGGCTCCTGTATGTACCAGCTTCCTTAAAGGGCCACAGTTCCTTCTGGGAGACTCAGCGAGAGTGCCATCTCCTCCTGCACACAGAAGGTGCCTGGTGGGGCTTTCTTTTGTCTACCTTGGAGACAATTATTATTTATCTCTTTTATTTTCTTACTCTCCTTTTTCTGTGACTTCGGGTTTCATTTGACCTCCATCTTTGGAGTGTCCTTGATATATGTGAACTGATGAAGACTAGGAAGGTTTTTCACCCACTGCTGGAAATTCCACCGTCAGGGCTTGGTTCGCTTCAGAGGCAGAAGCCAGGTTTTGTCAGCAGCTAGTAGGATTGTCCTTGGACTCCCAGCTGCAGTGAGTCACTCACCCCTCAGTGTGTATGGAAACCCCATGAGATCCTTTCCCTCCCAACCAGCTGCCAAGGGCCATCCTGGAGGAATAAGGCTTTTGATGAGCCTGGAACTGAGCCAAGGAAGGCTGGCCTGGATGGGGGACCAATGGTGGCAAAGAGTAAGCCCCAACTGTAAAGATGTTGGAAGGGTGGTGAGGAAATGCCAAGAGAAAGGGAGGCGAGGAACGCAAGAGCTCAGTGTCAAGACCCAGCTCCATGCTTCCTCTTCCAGACCCATTCTCTGGCTCCACCCCTGCGTCTGTGCTCACGAGCCCTTTCCTTCTTTCCTTTGGGCCCAGCTCTTTGCACCAACAGGGGCTTCCACATTCCAAGCTGAGCCCTTCCAGAAGCTCTATCTACATTATTTCCAACCCTTGCATGCTCAAGTCCTAAAAGAAGTAGGGTTATGCTCTCCATTTTACAGAGGAAGAAGCTGAGAGAGATGAAGTGGCTTGCCCAAGGTCACCACTAATAGCTAGCAGAGCAGAGGCTCAAAGGCAGGTCTCCTGCTTTGTCCCCACCATCTGCCTGTTGTCCTCGAGGTTGGACACGTGTTTGGTGTTCCTGCCATCCCTACACTCCCCAGCAGCTCACAGCTGCATTTCTGCTGCTAAGAGACACTCACTTATTTCTGGTTCTGAGAAGTGAATCAGGTGGTTGAATTTGCAGGAAGCCTGACTTCTTGCTGGTGTTGTCATTGTTGGTGTCATGGGAAAGGATTGGCAGTCACTAGGCCAGACACAGGTCTTAGTGGTCTCTGTGACTATTTCAGCCCATGCTGATCTTCTAAGGCAAGCTCTGTGGTTAGGCCCCTCGGGGGCAGACAAGGAAGCAGGAGCTCATGAGGTTAAGCAACTTACCCAAGGCCACACAACTGCAAATTGGAACAGTCAAAATTTGAGCCATGAGACTAGGACTTGGTGCTTCAGTTCATTTGGGAGGGGGGCCTCATCTTCAGTTCTTAGCCCATCTGCCATTTCTCCAGGTCTTTTTGACACCTTAGGAAAGATGTCATCTCCCCCACCCCCAACCCCTCCAGGCCCCCAGCTAGGCCACAAGCCCTCTGCAAGCAGGGGCTGTGACTGCCTGTCCACTTCGCCATCGCTGATGCCTGGCTCAGAGCCTGACACATGGTCCATTGATTCATTGAATGAATGAACAATTAAATAAAACCAGAAACAGGCTGAACGAGGGCAGGGTACAATAGACAGTTCTTACTAAAGAACTGGAGTGTGTTTTTAGCAGGGAGGTAGAGTCCAAGAATGGAAAGCCGGAGAGCTCAGTGTGGGCAGGGTGACCAGAAGGCTCCCTGGAGAGAGAGGAAGGTACCTGTGGTGGTGTGAAGGGGGAGGCTGGGAAACAGGCTCAAAGGAAAGAAGGATTTTCAGGTTACATAGACCCAAGCTGAGATGAGTGGGGCCACATAACTAAATGTCTGCCAAGTGTAAGGATGGAGACAAGGCCTTGGTTGCTAGGTAGATGAATGGATAGACGGATGGGCCAGTGGATGGGCAGATAAAAGAGTAGGTGGATAACTGAATGGATTGGTTATTGGGTAGGTAGATGGATGGGTAGATGGATGGGTACGTGGATGGATAGATAAAACAGTAGGTGGATAATTGAATGAATTGGTTGTTGGGTAGATGGATGGATGGATGGAAGGAAGGAAGGATGAATGGATGAATGGCTGGATGGATGGATGGATGGACGGATGGATAAAAGTAGGTGGGTAAATGAATGAACTGGTTGGTAGGTAAGTGGATAGATGGATAGATGAATAAAGTGGGTGGATAATTGAATTGATTAGTGGGTTGATGGATGTTGGAAGATTAATATTGAATTCAAGAAAATGTGGCAGAAATGAGAATATATTTTGATTCCAACAGTTTCTACTCTCAGGGAAGTCCGGAAGAATCAGAAAAGGTCAAATACTTTGTATTACTTGTATGAGAAAATTAGGATTCACTTATATGTTAAGGTGACTTGTGTCCCATGATCCAGGGGAATATGCCAGAGACCCAGGAGCTGGAAATTAGGTGAGCCCTAGGAGAAAGCTGGGGGTATCAGGTCATGGCAGCCCCGCTGAAGGCTTTCCATCCCCAGCCCTCCCTGGGACCCCCAGGCCATACCACTATGTGGTAAGAGAGCAGTAGACAGTGGCTGAGGTGGGGTGTGAGCTCTCCCTGCCCCTAGGGCTACCCGAAAGCTTGTGGGGAGCATCCAGAGGCTACAGGTTGACAGTCTCAGGATATCTGTCTGTATCCTGTGTCCCTCCTCTCCCAGCCAGGATTCAGAACTTGGGAGGGTTAGAAGGGCCCAGCCCAAGCTTAAGAAGCAATGGATTTTCTTGACAGAGTGTCAGAGGTGTGTGTGTGTGTGTGTGTGTGTGTGAGTGGGTGTGTGCACACGAGCCAGCAGACACCCCTGGGCTAACATGTGTCTCCCTCTGGCCCACGAGCACTTTGTCAGGAAACAGCCCCACTGTGTCAGGCCGACACACACTCCCTTGCCTGCCTGCCTGCCTATGCTCGGAGGCAGGTGAAGAGAAACGCAGATGTGCCCGGGCCCCAGATCCATGCTCACACATGCACACGCTCTGTGAGGCAAACACACTTGCACAAGTGCTTAAAGGATAGACCCACAGACCCACACTGCAGCTCCCAGGGGACAACACAGTCATAGTCACAGCCAATACAGATGAACAGACACTCGCAGGCCCATGGGGACCCACACCCAGCAGGGAGCAGCTGGGGAGCCACACAGGCCAGTTCCAGGGCCAGGTGCTGGGTGGGGAGGCTCTGGTGCTGAGGGAAAACTCAGAATGAAGATAAATGAGGCCCTTCCTGGGGCCTCAGAGCCAGCCCCACAGCCCATCCATCTTCCCTGTCTAGGGTGCCTACGAAGGCTCTGGAGTTCCTGGGCACAGGGGTGGGATGCTGGCAGATTAATCACTCATTCGGCAACTGAGTTCTTAATCCCTCCATCTGGCCTTGTCCGCCCCACCATGGCAGTGCTGTCCTCAGTCAGAAGGACCTCAGGCCGACCTAGAGCCAGTGACAGTGCAAGGGACTCAGAGAGCCCCGCAGTCAACAAGTAGGGACCCCGTGGCAGTGAGGGGAAGGGGGCTCCCATAGGGTCCCTATACTGGGGAGAGGGTTGGGGGCTTTCTCAGCCTCAGAGGGCATGCCCCGTGCTCTCGGTCACGACCCACAGAGGCTGCCACCTTTCCTCCTCAGTCCTGGGCTGGAGACACAGGCCCTGGAAAATGGGGCTGTCTCCCCATCCTGGCGAGGGAGGAGCACAGGCCTTGGGATGCTGGCAGGTGCTAGGGGGACAGGTAGGATAGGTGTGTGCGTGGGACATCGGTTTCCAGGGGTCTGCGGGGAAGGGGGCTGCCTCTCGGCTCATCTCAAACACGTGCTCCTTCCTTTTCCCTCTTTCCCATGCCCGCCCTCCCTCCAGATCAATTTCGTATTTCTGTTCAACATCGTCAGGATCCTAATGACAAAGTTACGCGCGTCCACCACATCCGAGACAATCCAGTACAGGTATGTGAGGGGGTCCCTTGACCCCACAATGGGGACAGGAGGAGGTCATCGGGCCGTCCCCCTGCTTCCTGGCAGAGCCCTCTGCCCCAGGCCTCACCCAGGGAGCTCGCTCAAGCTCCCGGAAGAAACACCACCACTGTCTCCCGCCGCCCACTGGGTGAGGCCCTGCCTGCCGCATGGGCTCAGACCTGTGTCCACCTCTCGCCCCCAGGAAGGCAGTGAAGGCCACCCTGGTGCTCCTGCCCCTCCTGGGCATCACCTACATGCTCTTCTTCGTCAATCCCGGGGAGGACGACCTGTCACAGATCATGTTCATCTATTTCAACTCCTTCCTGCAGTCGTTCCAGGTGGGGCCTGTGACCAGATGGGGGCCCCACAGTGAGCTTTCCTGAGGCTGCTCTGGCAGCCATGCCCTCACTAAGGGGGTCCCGTGGGACTGGCACACCCATGGCTCAGTTACATCCACAGAGTTAGAAGCCCGTACATGCTCAGCCTGAGCCTGGCCAGTTATCCCCATCCCAGCCTGGGTCTTCATCCTACCAGCCCGCACCTACTGTCCCAGCACCTGTTCTGAGGATGCAGGCAGCCCAACCAAATGCCCTGGGACAGGTCACACAATATTGAGGAGACCGGAGTCTGCCTGGCTCCAGGCCTGTGACCACTGCTCACTCAGAGTGGACCGTGGAATATCTGCACCCTGAGGCTAGGACCCCACCCAGCTCTGACTCCAGGGGTTCCTGGGTCAAATTGTCCCCCCCCCACCATCTTGTCCCCAGTGCCACCCCACCAGGCAGAACAGCTCCGCAGGTAGGTCACTGACCACTCCCTCCTTTCCCTCCTTTCCAGGGTTTCTTCGTGTCTGTCTTCTACTGCTTCTTCAATGGAGAGGTATGAAGCTGGGCCCTCGGGGTGGCCTGGGATATCCAGGTCCTCAGACCCCACTCCAGGGCAGCTCCATTGGTGCTGCCCGGCCTTGCTGGAGTGCCAGGGAGAGGAAGCCTTGAGATACCACCCGGCCTTAGGGGAACAGGAATCCTTCTCACAGGGGCTGGAGCCAGTTTAGAAGGTCAACTATGCAGCCCCGAAATAACATGCCAGCACCCCACATGTGCACTCAGAGCTGGGTGAGCAAGGAAGCCCAGGCCGCAGGGCCTCATGGAAGAGAGAAGCCAGAGCAGAGGTGGTGACAGAAGGAAGCTTCCAGAAAGAGATGTGTGCCAAGCAATCAGGTCTGTATGGACTCAGGGAGCAGAAGAGAGACCAGCACATTCCCCCGCTACCTGCCACAGAAAAGCCCACACACCAAGAGCAGGCTCTGGGGAGTCAGGCGGCCGTGAAGCTTGGCATGTGCAAGCCAATCATGAGGCCCAAAGCCCCAGTGCAGCTGACGCAGGGAAGAAGCGCACTCGTACCTGGGCTGGGGTGGATGAGGACATGGAGCAAAGAGCAGACACAGCCCCTAGGGCCTGGGAGCTTCCGAACACTCCAGAGGAATACACTTGCCTGTCTCTGCACAGGGCACTGGCGAGGTGTCTATGCAGGCCTGTGTCTCTGTGGATGATAGCACATTCCACTTGCAAAGTCCATCAGCAGAGACGGGTCCTGTGGGCTGGATGAGAAGAAGAGAGGGGGCCAGTAAGGCAAACAAACAAGGGATGTTTATGGAGCATTTATTCTGTTCGAACCATGTGCAAGCTAGGATGTGAGAGACACCATCCAATTTCCAAAAAAATTCAATTACCAAACAAATGAAGCTTAAATGGCACCGGGTAGAGCCAACTTTAGAAATGACCAAGACAGAGAGCTTTCCCTTTCAGGCAGTAAATGCCATGGTTAGTCAGGCAGGGGAGTCTAGCAGGAGGTAGAGAAGGTGGAGGGGTGCAGAGGGGACGGTCTTCAGGAGGGAGGAGGAGGCGCACCAGGTGTGTGAGCTGGGCGCACACCACCAACGCCCTGCAAGGAGCAGGGGCCCAAGAAGGCTGAGGGGGCCAAGTCTCCAAGCTGCGCTCTCTGGTCCCAAGATGCTAATTTTGAGGTGGCAGAGTGAGTCAGGGAAGGGAAGGCAGTGTGTCCAGAGGAAACTGGATGATCTGGGAGGACAGTGTGGAGTAAAGGAGGTGTGGAGTCAAGCTTCTCCAGGAAAAGGATAAGGAAGAGGCCCCTGGAGAGAGGCAACAGCATCAGGGAAGGACCTGTTTTGGAAGCAGACAGTTCCTTGTCATGAGGGTGGCAGTCGACCCATGAGAGCAGAAAGCAGAGGAGGGGATGGTCCCAGAAGCCCAGGGTTGGTCCCTGGGAGCCAGCTGAGCCTCTGCCTTCCCCACAGGTGCGCTCAGCCGTGAGGAAGAGGTGGCACCGCTGGCAGGACCATCACTCCCTTCGAGTCCCCATGGCCCGGGCCATGTCCATCCCTACATCACCCACACGGATCAGCTTCCACAGCATCAAGCAGACGGCCGCTGTGTGACCCCTCGGTCGCCCACCTGCACAGCTCCCCTGTCCTCCTCCACCTTCTTCCTCTGGGTTCTCTGTGCTGGGCAGGCTCTCGTGGGGCAGGAGATGGGAGGGGAGAGACCAGCTCTCCAGCCTGGCAGGAAAGAGGGGGTGCGGCAGCCAAGGGGGACTGCAAGGGACAGGGATGAGTGGGGGCCACCAGGCTCAGCGCAAGAGGAAGCAGAGGGAATTCACAGGACCCCCTGAGAAGAGCCAGTCAGATGTCTGCAGGCATTTGCCCATCCCAGCCTCTCTGGCCAGGGCCTTACTGGGCCCAGAGCAGAGAAGGACCTGTCCAACACACACAGCTATTTATAGTAGCAGACACAGGGCTCCCCTGCCCTACTCATGGAGCCAGCAGCCAGGCAATGGTGTGGCCCTGCACTGGCCCTTGGCCTCCACACTCAGTGGTGCCCCTGCAGTTGGGTGGGGTACGCCAGCAAAGGATCAGTTTGGCTGCCTTATCCCAGGGGCTGTCACCTAGAGAGGCTCACTTGTACCCCACCCTTGTTCCTGTGTCCCCTCCCCAGCCATCCTCCCGCCTTGGGGGCTCCATGAAGGATGCAGGCTTCCAGGCCTGGCTTCCTCTCTTGGGAGACCCCTTCTCTGCCTAGTCCACAGATTAGGCAATCAAGGAAGACGCCATCAGGGAAGCCACATCCTTAGTCAACCAGTTGCATCGTGCGGGGCAAAATGAGGAGCAGAGGCATGGAGGAGGGAGGCGTGGGATGGGAATAGCAGAAACCAACCATGTCTTCAGTGATTGAAACTCATACCCCATTGCCCTTTGCCCTCCAGTCTCCCCTTCAGAAACATCTCTGCTCTCTGTGAAATAAACCATGCCTCTTGGAAGTGGCCTCCCCTCAGGTCAAGTCACCCAGGCACCCGAAGAGTGGTGTGGGCCAAGGATCGTGGCTGGGTCTGAGGGGGCCACATCCATCTTCCTTAGTGGGCTCGGGCCCTGGCCTCGGGCCAGTTCTCTCTCTCTCTGACCTCTGGTAGGTTTGGAGTCTTTATGGTCAAAGCACCTGCAGGCGGGTCTGTCCCTTATCACTCCAACCAGGCTAATACCTGGCCCCAGCCCCCAACCAAGGGCAGCTTGATTCAGCCTGGAGGAGGTGTGCAGCTCATCCAGCAAGCCAGGGCCTGTCCCAAAGGCCAAGGCTCTGGAATCTGGTGGGCAGGGTAGACATGGCCCCTCAGTTGACCACCAGGGCAGCTTCCAGGCTTGGCTTCCGTCCCTGTGTCCCTGCAGCGGAGCCGCAGGAGTCAGGGAGAGAGAAGCATCAGGCCATTTCTTCCAAAAGAAACCAATGCTCTAGGTACCCCCTACAAAAATAAGTTTTGAAAAATCATGTATCCCGTCTTGCACATTTTTAAGTTGACATGTAGTATTTTTTACTTAAGTTTTAAATCCTTCAAAGGTGTGATTTCTGCCATTTTGTAAATATTTACATTTTTAAATAAAACTGCTGCAACAATTTAAAATACATCAAATGAATTCTGATCACCATGGTGATTTAACACCCACCCTCATCTATTTTAAAAACACCTGACCCAGCTCTCCTTCTTCTTCTTTTTTTTTTTTTTTTTTTTGAGACAGGGTCTCACTCTGTCATCCAGGCTAGGGTGCAGTGGCAAGATCTCAGTTCACTGCAACCTCCACTTCCCAGGCTCAGGTGATCTTCCCAACCCAGCCTCCCGAATAGCTGGGACTACAGGCACGCACCACCATGCTGGGCTAATTTTTGTATTTTTTTGTAGAGACAGGGTCTGGTCATGTTGCTCAGGCTGGCCAGCTCCGCTTTAATTGTGGGAAATGTTACATTGTTTCTTTCCTCTTTAATGTGTAGCTTCATTCCATTGCCCTATAGAATTTTATACTAATGCATTACTTTTATGGCTGAAAGTGTTTTATTGCTCACTTTGTCATACTTCTCTGCCACACAATATATGTATGAATGAAAATTAAAATATTTCATTTTCTATGACCAAAGTTTCAAGGGATTTTAAAATAATCTTCTGGGTTGAATTATTACAATTATTTTTTGATACAAAATACAGTAAGCCACTGATTAAAACAACATAGATACCTAAAGTTTTTATAAGTAACTAGTTAAACCTAAAAAGGAAAATGTATTGAAAACACAGCTTAATGAAATGGATAGGAAGTTAATGGCTCATGAATCTACAGGTGAATATTTATTGCTAGAATAAATCAGGACTCAGCATCAATTCTTTTCTTTTTTAATGTTTTATTGTTTATAGTGGGGTGTGCTGAGAAGCCTTTTCAATTCAGTAGATGATCTGGCACTCCAGATAGTCAATTCTCTATACTCTTGCTGAGATGTACAGTCAAAACTGCATAGTGATCTGTCACCAAAAATGACCTATCAGCTGGCTGTTTAATTAAGTGTCCTTTCAATTTGGCTGAAAAAGATGAACTGAACGTTATCTGACTTGCAGTAGGCTTTGGGCGCCCATGTCATCAGCTCATTCCATTTTTCACCACCAGCTGTGTGGGAATGCACTGCAGGTTAAGTGTGAGCCCTGCTTCTCTTGTCAAGAGGGCAGGGAGGTTGGGGCACCCTGATTTTATTTTCTCAAGTGACAGAACTCAGAACTCAGGGTATCTTAGAAAGTCTTACTGCATACCCAGTGGCAGCATGATGGCCGCATCCATTAGCATCATCAGGGCTCTTGTAGAACAAGGAGCCGCAAATGGTTTGGCCCCCAAGAGGCCACTTGGAGATTTCTGTGGCCAGATGAGGCTGTGAACAAGTGCTTATCGGAGCAGACGCTGCAGAGCCTGGCACCAAGTCCCAGGCATTCATCACTGCTTCTTAATGCAGCCCCCGGCTCATTACGCCAACTGTCCTTTGCTCCCTGGAGGGACCAAGGGCCTGTGATCCCTGCTGGGAGGCCAGGCCTGCCAAGGCCAACACCAGGAAGAGCATCAAAGTTGCTAACCTTTGTTCAGCAGGCACTTCGATATGCTCTCTCTCCAGTTCAGAGGAGGCTCCTCCTTGATCCAACCCCAGCCCTGAATCCCTCATTACTCCGTCTCCTGGTTGTGGCTCCCACTGAGCTCTATCCTTAAAATGCCACCAGAGCCATTAGGCCATCTCTCTGGGTCCCTACTTGTTAAGCTCGTTAGGCACCTGTTCCTTAAGCCAAGCCAGTCCTCATTAGCATCTGCTTCGGCGCTGGCAGCACCTCGTGGAGCTGGCCTTCCTGGAAAGTGGCCTCATTAGCAGACTCTCCTTCTCCGTAGCAGGCAAGTTCCAGCACCCAGATCCTGGAGGCCCTTAGGGTCCCTGTTTAACCCTTTCACCCACCCTGATTTACACAACTGGGGAAGACCTGAACCAGCCACAGGTCCTCACACCAGCCTCTTGGCCCCACTCCAAGAGAGAGTAACAGGCAGAGCCCTGACCCCAGCACAGCTCCAAGTCCCTGGGTCATCATCAAAGTGCGGCTAGAAAGTACCTGCTGGGGTACAAGCTGGTAAATGACACACGGCGGCAGGAGTGGCGAGTGGTGGAACATCTGTGGGGCAGGAGGTGAATGGCAGGGACGGCATTTCTCTCCCAGTCCCCTGCTGGGAGTGCCCATGGTGGAGGTGCTACCTGAGGGCCTGAAGCCTCAAGACCTGTGAGGGATGGCACTCGCAGAAAGTCCCTTCAGCATATAGACTTCCCTAGAGATGGAGGCCGACATTCCCGCGGCCACAGAGAGGGAGGCCCAGATGGAAATGACACAAGGGCAGGGACACAGAAAGACTTGTAGGAACACACGCACAGACCCAGAGAGGGAGGCGCACGCACCTTCCTCCATCATTTCCCATTCACAGAACACCAGGGTGTGCCAGATATGGAAGTAACAGAAAGACAAGTTTCCTGTTTCAAGAAACTCATAATCTGGTTGAGAACAGCACAAGGAAAAGGCAGGCAAAAGACACATCGGCTCCTGCAGCCTGCGCCTGCCCCCAGCCCCCTGCCCTGTCCATCTCCTAGTCCATGCCCACAGTGGCCCCAAGCCAGCTGGCTTCTAGGCACAAGGACCTCAGCTGCCCTCCCCACTTCTTTCCCCTTCACCCCCATGCAGGCCCGGATCTCCAGATGCCCCAAAAACAGAATAGGGAAAGAGGCCCAACTGTGCCGCTTGTGCTTTCCCCAGCATCTTCAGAAGCCCTGGGCAGGTGGGGGACGTGTGCTGATGCAGCTGGACGGGAAGGGAGCTGTCCTATGAGGGACAGGTGAAGGGACTAGAAAATGGCACGCTCAGGAGAACAAAGTATCCCCTGCACACGTCATGGGTCATGGAGGCAGGCCTAGGGCTGGGAGGCCCAATGGGAGTTCTTCCCTAGAGTGACATTTCAGCCAGGGTCGGGGAGGGTTTGGTGGTAAACAGCTGTGCCTCAGGTGGAACAAGTGGCTGGGGTGGCCGAGAGCATAGGAGGGGCTTGAAGCAGGGGGACCCCTTCAGCCAGGGAGCCCGGCCCCCTGTTCTGAGAGCACACCTGGAAGCAACCGGGTGGCATGTTGCACAGCAGGCTTCAGAAGTCATACTTGGTGGGGTCTAGGAATCCACACGCTTCACAGGCCCCCGGGTGATTCTGACAGCTGGGGTGTGGGCCAGCAAAAAAAGACACATCCCTTGTCTCTTCTTTCCAACACACACACGTGCTGTAGAAAGCAACAGCGACGCCAGGAGTGGTGGCTCATGCCTGTAATCCCAGCACTTTGGGAGGCCATGGTGGGCAGATCACCTGAGGTCAGGAGTTCGAGACCAGCCTGGTCAACATGGTGAAACCACCCCATATCTACTAAAAATACAAAAATTAGCCAGGTATGGTGGCACGTGTCTATAATCTCAGGTATTTGGGAGGCTAAGGCAAGAGAATCGCTTGAACCCGGGAAGCAGAGGTTGCAGTGAGCTGAGATCACACCACTGCACTCCAGCCTAGGTGACAGGGTGAGGTTCAGTCTCAAAAAAAAAAAAAGAAAGAAAACATGTGAATCTACTCATCAATATGCCCAGGATGGCTTCCAGGCTCTGCCTCGAAGGTGCCGTTAATTTTCCTGAGGGGGCTGTGCCACTTAGACATGTTAATTAGCAGGAGGAATGGGCAGAGGGCATCACTGCCCTGTGTTGACTGAGTTTCTGCCAGATTTTCCTCTTAGGTATTTGTTTGTTTAGGCCTCGGGGCCCTCCCATACAGCGCTGCAGCAGGCCTCCCTCGTCACAGAACCATCACCCGGCAAAACCTATGCATTAGTCAGAAATGTCCCCTCTAGGGGCTCCTTCAGCAGTCTCCACAGACTCCACTGCTGGGCTGGTCATTCCAGGGGGCATGTGCTGTTTCTTAGGCCCACAGCAAGAGTTCTGCACTCAGGAGAAACCCTAGAAACATTCATTAAATAAACCAGCCTTTCCTATTTGTCCCACCCAGAGCTGGTTAACCCACAAGAATGACCAAAGGCACAAAGAAGTCCCAGAGATCTATTGGCTTTGCACAGCGGGAGAAATCTGTCTGTGGCTCCATACCCTACCCTTACCAGAGCCCAGAGGCCAGTCCCAGACAGAGGGCATCACCTCTTCTCTACTTCACATGAGTGACAGCAGATGGGAGCCGGAGGGCCTCTATCACACCCTGCAGACTCTCCTGCAGCTGTCTCCAGATTAACCTCACCCCAAGGGGCCCCAGGCCTCAATGGCTCTCGACTTCCCACTGGCATTGGACGCAGGCTGCTCTTCAGCAGTTCTCTAAGCTGGGATGAGACATGGTTTGCCCCCGTTAGTCCAGGATGATTCCTGTGACCTCATGTAATTAATAGCATACCTTTCACTCTCACGAATCCTGGTCTGAACAATGAATTATATGATCACCCTACTTAAACCCCATATTTGTCTGCATACACAGCAGGGGCCACAGACGCTACTTGGATAAATGAATGATGAAAGCCAGATCCATAGGAAATTCTGAACGTTAGCTACCGCACTTTGGAAGGAGAACCTGAGTAGAAAGGATTTTCTGAGGTGATGTCCTGAGTTCCATCTCAGTGTCTGCTTGGTGGACAAGTGATTGAGCAGGGGCAAGTAGTTTATGATTCCGGTTCCAGAAAAAAACTGTCCTCAGCTTCTGCTGTGAATATGATGAAGTAATTAATTGTGCTTCTTAATTAGCTCTGTAGAGTGCCAAGTAAGGCCCCCTCTAGCTCTCTAAGGCCCAACCATGATAAACAATCCAGCATCACGAATCCCCACAGAGGCCCTTCCACCCAGGAAGGTGGAGAAATTCTAAGACTCGTCATTTCTTCCTTCAACCCCAGTTCCAGTCTGGTGTTCTCTGGGGAAGGCCAGTGGGGGGCCCATGAGCGATCATGCAGCCACCTGTTTTCCCTGTGCTTCCTGCTCGGCCCAAATGCTGTACCTGCAATTACAAGGGAATCCGTACTCCCTCTGGCCATTCAGGGACTTTCCACGTGTGCTCTATGGAGGCCCCCAATTCCTAAGCAAATTAACACCTCAGCCTGGTGTCTCCAGATCCATCTCATCCTTCAGCTTGAAAGATTCTGGGCCACCCCCCTCCCCCTTCATTGCAGACTTGAATGTGAAGATCTTTGCATCTGAAGAAATGAGGTGCCAATGCTGGTGGGGTTCCCCATAAAGGAGCTCAATCTGGAAAGAGGCCCCCATGACCTGCAATCAGACCTGGACTTCATTTGGGCAGCTGACCCCTTGGAGATGGGATAGATCCATTCCCCTAGAAAAACACAGTTGGGTATAAATAGAGCAATGACACCTCCACAGAAATCCTTGAAGGAACTACAGACCCAAGTTTATAAACCCCTAACATCAAGATAAAACTAAAACACTCTAATTTAGCTAGCAAGAATTCCCTAAGTTGGTGGTGCTTAGGCCTGGCTGTGTTTTAGATGCCCCACCCCAGGCCCTGAAACACATCTTGGGAGGCACGGACCCACATGTGAACAGGCTGCAGGAGTGCTCACGAGGCCCTGCGCTCGCCGTGTGTCCCACAGGACCCACCTCACCACTGCACGGGGCGACGTCACCTTTCTAGGCCCAGGGCCAAGCCTCCTCCATGGCCACCCTCACTGTATGTGAGGTTAGGCCTCACCGTCAGGTCGTAAAGGGCTCGAAGGCAGGGCCACATCTGGTCCAACCCCGAAATGCCAATACCAGTTACCCAGTGATACTGTTCCTTTCAGGGTGCCTTGACCAGCCCAGGAACTCTTGTCCCTAAAAGACCTTGAAGTCTTATAGTTTCTCTGCATGGAACCTCTTCTCAGAGTCCACCAGTGTTATAAAGATTTTTAAATTTACTTTTATTTTAGTGATAATCTTTAAAAATGCTTACCAGTTACCTCTTTTTTTGGTGTCAAATGGAAGATGGTCTTAGGGTAAATATACAACATTAGCTAAAGTTTCTCAACATGAGGACTCCGAGTGTACTACAGAGGCTTTTGATGTCTTGTTTCCTTCAAAAAGGGCACCACTCTATTAAGTTTGGAAACCTGCCTTCGTGCCCAACCATTCAGTGGCTGCAGGCCTTTTGCAGAGTACAGACGTGGGGCTTGAGCCAAGGGGTGAGTTGTGTGTGAGTAGCCATTTCTAACTAAGCCAATTTTTATACCAAAATACAGAATGTAGAGCTGCCCTGCAGGGAAAGATTCATTTGTTCATTAAGTCATTCATATATTTACTGAGGACTTACTAAGTGCTAGGCACTTCCCTAGGCAATGAGGATACAGCCAAGAACAAAACAGACCCAAATCCTTGTCCTCATGGAACTTACATTCTAATGTGGAGACCAAAAATTAAACAAAATAAAAAAGTAAAATACGTTTAAAGTGTTTAGTACTCAAGAGGAAAAAGAAAACAAGGAAGGCGATATGAAAGGGATGTGTCTGAATGTGGGGGTTGTGGCGCACATTGAAACTTCAGATGAAGCAGCTGAGGAAGGCCTCACTGAGGCAACTGCTGAATGACATCCCGAGATGAGGGAGTGGTTGTGGGAACCCTATCTTTGGAGGAAGCACTGCAGGCAGACAGAATATAACTGAGTACCAAGGTCCTGTCCTGGGCATGCTGGGCCACTGGAAAAGGGCCAGCATGGGGGTGGTTGGCACGGGGGTGGCGTAGATCTACGCTATTCTTGCAGGACAAGAAAAGCTGGACCAGCGAGGTGGCTCATACCTGTAATCACAGCACTTTGAGAGGCCGAGGTGGTGGATCACCTGAGGTCAGGAGTTCAAGACCAGCCTGGCCAACATGGTGAAACCCCGTCTCTACTAAAAACACAAAAATTAGCCAGGCACAGTGGCAGGCACCTGTAATCCCAGCTACTCGGGAGGTTGAGGCAGGAGAATCGCTTGAACCTGGGAGACGGAGGTTGCAGTGAGCTGAGATGGCGCCATTGCACTCCAGCCTGGGCGATAGAGCAAGACTCCATCTGAAAGAAAGAAAAAGAAAGAAAGAGAAGGAAAGGAAAGGGGAAAGGAAAAAGGAAAGGAAAGGTAAGGAAGGCCACTGAGTTTTGAGGACCAATGCAGTCTGGTGCCAGGTGGAAAACTGCTGATGAAGGGGCAAGGGCACGAACAGGGAGTTCAGGCAAGTCTTTTGCAGTAAACCAGATGGGTGATGATGGCAGCTTGCCCCAAGCTGGTGGCCACGAAGGTGGTGACAAGTAGGCCCAATTCTGATATAGAGTGCAGGTGGAGTTGACAGGCTGGACAAAAAAATGGAAAATCTGGGCTCAAGTTTTTTTTAAAAAACAAAAGACTTTCTAAAGCTTGCCAGTGGGTTTTTTCTTTCCCACAATTTCACTGTACTTAATCTCTCTATCAATTAGTTCACACTTAGATGCAGAACAGTGAGTTTTGATGAGCCCAAAAAGCTTTCAATTTGCCTAAATTGTTTTCGTTAGCATAACTGCTTTTGTGCTAATTATTGGTGATTGAGTTTTAAGACCCAGCAAACGCAGGCATAGGCTGGCAAATTCTATGCAGGCTCACTTGTGCACTAAGTCTTGCACATTAAAAAAAGGAGTGCAGAGAGCTTTGGCTCCCAAAGAGAGAAGGGCTCTCTCTTCCTAGCCTCAAGTTCCTGAAACTATCATTAAGTTCAGACACTAGAAGAGTCAGGACAAGAAGCCAGCTTACTTTATTTCTGGCCCAGAGCTCACAGCACCCCTCTGCTCTTTGGCACCACTACCCTCATCCAGCAAGAATAAGGTTCCCTAAAATTCCCCGGGAAAACAGAAATCCTACTGCTCACTTCCCCACTCTCACATCTACTTCTCTAACTGTCTCACTGGATACAATGTCCTACACATTCATATTCTCAGAGGAAACCCCTTTTGAGAGAGCAATGGGTCCAGCCTTTCACACAGCTAGAAAGTTCACAAGGTGCAACAGTGGTAGTGGTGCTTCTCCTAAGAGACTTAATATACTGATGCCCAGGCTCCACCCTCAACTCATTAAATTGGTTTAAGGAGGAGCCCAGACATGAGTTTTTTTTTAAAGCTCAAGTTACTTTAATGTGCAGCCAGGGTTGAGAACCACTGCCCCAACATCTTTTACTGAGGCAACAAATTTTCAAAGGTGTGTCCTTCAACACGAAAGGAAGATAGCCCATCCAGCAAGAGGGGGGCATGTTGCCAGCAAAAGTGAAGGGGCTCTTAGCCAAGAGGGCGAAGCTGCAGGCTGCGCCTCTCAGGCAACCCCTGGTGATACTCCCAAATCACATCCCAATTTCTAGAGGAGACAGTCCTCCAGATATCCACACAGCCTTAACTAAATTACTGCTTAGAGGCAGCTCAATAACCAAGAATTATTGAACAGGCAACAACAGGCGAACATTGAGGCACAGCAAAATTAGTCATCCACTTACTTACTGAATCTTCAACTAAATTTCACTTTGGTGTTGGCCAAATGCCACAAACACCTGCCTTAAACATTGTCAGACTATCAGCAAAGATGCCGGTGCAAGCAATGCTCTCAAAGCCTCTCCATCCTAGCCCAGCCCAAGAGATACAGATAATAGTTTTCCTTTGGGAAAGAAGGTTCATTTCAGGGCAACTATAACCAGAGATAATTTGGATTTATCTCTAGGGCATCCAGCCCTCTCAAGGAATAGACTCCACTGACTAAGACAGTTGCTGCCATTACCCTGCAATTACACTGGTTAAGGGAGTAGTAAATAAAGGTCTAGAATGAATCTACTTCATGTGACTTCTAATGAAAAAAACGATTTTGCAAGTTCTTATCACAAAGAACTTGAGACGTCTGACATCTTTAGTACCAGCTCATGAAAACAGTAAGATTATTTCCATGTTCTTTAGACTTGGTGATGAATTCCTTTTCTGGAACACCATCTATATCCACCATTTTGCTATTATGAGCTGTTGGGCAATATTAAGGTGGTGGACTCCTGCAGAAGCCAGGCAGATAGCCTCTCTGAAGTAACTCCACATTGCATTTGACTGAATGCCTGAATTCCAACCTAAGTATTAAAAATCTAATTCCTGTGTTCTTACATAACAGTCCATGGAAATTAGTTAGAATCTGACCTTCCTGGAGGAGCCAAGATGGCCGAATAGGAACAGCTCCGGTCTACAGCTCCCAGCGTGAGCGACGCAGAAGACGGTGATTTCTGCATTTCCATCTGAGGTACCGGGTTCATCTCACTAGGGAGCGCCAGACAGTGGGCGCAGGTCAGTGGGTGCACGCACCGTGCGCGAGCCGAAGCAGGGCGAGGCATTGCCTCACTTGGGAAGCGCAAGGGGTCAGGGAGTTCCCTTTCCGAGTCAAAGAAAGGGGTGACGGACGGCACCTGGAAAATCGGGTCACTCCCACCCGAATACTGCGCTTTTCCGACGGGCTTAAAAAACGGCGCACCAGGAGACTATATCCCGCACCTGGCTCGGAGGGTCCTACGCCCACGGAATCTCGCTGATTGCTAGCACAGCAGTCTGAGATCAAACTGCAAGGCGGCAGCGAGGCTGGGGGAGGGGCGCCCGCCATTGCCCAGGCTTGATTAGGTAAACAAAGCAGCTGGGAAGCTCGAACTGGGTGGAGCCCACCACAGGTCAAGGAGGCCTGCCTGCCTCTGTAGGCTCCACCTCTGGGGGCAGGGCACAAACAAAAAGACAGCAGTAACCTCTGCAGACTTAAATGTCCCTGTCTGACAGCTTTGAAGAGAGCAGTGGTTCTCCCAGCACGCAGCTGGAGATCTGAGAACGGGCAGACTGCCTCCTCAAGTGGGTCCCTGACCCCTGACCCCCGAGCAGTCTAACTGGGAGGCACCCCCCAGCAGGGGCACACTGACACCTCACACGGCAGGGTATTCCAACAGACCTGCAGCTGAGGGTCCTGTCTGTTAGAAGGAAAACTAATAAACAGAAAGGACATCCACACCAAAAACCCATCTGTACATCACCATCATCAAAGACCAAAAGTAGATAAAACCACAAAGATGGGGAAAAAACAGAACAGAAAAACTGGAAACCCTAAAATGCAGAGTGCCTCTCCTCCTCCAAAGGAACGCAGTTCCTCACCAGCAACTGAACAAAGCTGGATGGAGAATGACTTTGACGAGCTGAGAGAAGAAGGCTTCAGATGATCAAATTACTCTGAGCTACGGGAGGACATTCAAACCAAAGGCAAAGAAGTTGAAAACTTTGAAAACAATTTAGAAGAATGTATAACTAGAATAACCAATACAGAGAAGTGCTTAAAGGAGCTGATGGAGCTGAAAACCAAGGCTCGAGAACTACGTGAAGAATGCAGAAGCCTCAGGAGCCAATGCGATCAACTGGAAGAAAGGGTATCAGCGATGGAAGATGAAATGAATGAAATGAAGCGAGAAGGGAAGTTTAGAGAAAAAAGAATAAAAAGAAACGAGCAAAGCCTCCAAGAAATATGGGACTATGTGAAAAGACCAAATCTATGTCTGATTGGTGTACCTGAAAGTGATGGGGAGAATGGAACCAAGTTGGAAAACACTCTGCAGGATATTATCCAGGAGAACTTCCCCAATCTAGCAAGGCAGGCCAACGTTCAGATTCAGGAAATACAGAGAACGCCACAAAGATACTCCTCGAGAAGAGCAACTCCAAGACGCATAATTGTCAGATTCACCAAAGTTGAAATGAAGGAAAAAATGTTAAGGGCAGCCAGAGAGAAAGGTTGGGTTACCCTCAAAGGGAAGCCCATCAGACTAACAGCAGATCTCTCGGCAGAAACCCTACAAGCCAGAAGAGAGTGGGGGCCAATATTCAACATTCTTAAAGAAAAGAATTTTCAACCCAGAATTTCATATCCAGCCAAACTAAGCTTCATAAGCGAAGGAGAAATAAAATACTTTACAGACAAGCAAATGCTGAGAGATTTTGTCACCACCAGGCCTGCCCTAAAAGAGCTCCTGAAGGAAGCGCTAAACATGGAAAGGAACAACCGGTACCAGCCGCTGCAAAATCATGCCAAAATGTAAAGACCATCGAGACTAGGAAGAAACTGCATCAACTAATGAGCAAAATCACCAGCTAACATCATAATGACAGGATCAAATTCACACATAACAATATTAACTTTAAATGTAAATGGACTAAATGCTCCAATTAAAAGACACAGACTGGCAAATTGGATAAAGACTCAAGACCCATCAGTGTGCTGTATTCAGGAAACCCATCTCACGTGCAGAGACACACATAGGCTCAAAATAAAAGGATGGAGGAAGATCTACCAAGCAAATGGAAAACAAAAAAAGGCAGGGGTTGCAATCCTAGTCTCTGATAAAACAGACTTTAAACCAACAAAGATCAAAAGAGACAAAGAAGGCCATTACATAATGGTAAAGGGATCAATTCAACAAGAAGAGCTAACTATCGTAAATATATATGCACCCAATACAGGAGCACCCAGATTCATAAAGCAAGTCCTGAGTGACCTACAAAGAGACTTAGACTCCCACACATTAATAATGGGAGACTTTAACACCCCACTGTCAACATTAGACAGATCAATGAGACAGAAAGTCAACAAGGATACCCAGGAATTGAACTCAGCTCTGCACCAAGCAGACCTAATAGACATCTACAGAACTCTCCACCCCAAATCAACAGAATATACATTTTTTTCAGCACCACACCACACCTATTCCAAAATTGACCACATACTTGGAAGTAAAGCTCTCCTCAGCAAATGTAAAAGAACAGAAATTATAACAAACTATCTCTCAGACCACAGTGCAATCAAACTAGAACTCAGGATTAAGAATCTCACTCAAAACCGCTCAACTGCATGGAAACTGAACAACCTGTTCCTGAATGACTACTGGGTACATAACGAAATGAAGGCAGAAATAAAGATGTTCTTTGAAACCAATGAGAACAAAGACACAACATACCAGAATCTCTGGGACGCATTCAAAGCAGTGTGTAGAGGGAAATTTATAGCACTAAATGTCCACAAGAGAAAGCAGGAAAGATCCAAAATTGACACCCTAACATCACAATTAAAAGAACTAGAAAAGCAAGAGCAAACACATTCAAAAGCTAGCAGAAGGCAAGAAATAACTAAGATCAGAGCAGAACTGAAGGAAATAGAGACACAAAAAACCCTTCAAAAAATTAATGAATCCAGGAGCTGGTTTTTTGAAAGGATCAACAAAACTGATAGACCGCTAGCAAGACTAATAAAGAAAAAAAGAGAAGAATCTAATAGACGCAATAAAAAATGATAAAGGGGATATCACCACCGATCCCACAGAAATACAAACTACGATCAGAGAATAGTACAAACACCTCTACGCAAATAAACTAGAAAATCTAGAAGAAATGGATAAATTCCTCGACACATACACTCTCCCACGACTAAACCAGGAAGAAGTTGAATCTCTGAATAGACCAATAACAGGATCTGAAATTGTGGCAATAATCAATAGCTTACCAACCAAAAAGAGTCCAGGACCAGATGGATTCACAGCTGAATTCTACCAGAGGTACAAGGAGGAACTGGTACCATTCCTTCTGAAACTATTCCAATCAATAGAAAAAGAGGGAATCGTCCCTAACTCATTTTATGAGGCCAACATCATTCTGATACCAAAGCCAGGCAGAGACACAACAAAAAAAGAGGATTTTAGACCAATATCCTTGATGAACATTGATGCAAAAATCCTCAATAAAATACTGGCAGACCGAATCCAGCAGCACATCAAAAAGCTTATCCACCATGATCAAGTGGGCTTCATCCCTGGGATGCAAGGCTGGTTCAATATACGCAAATCAATAAATGTAATCCAGCATATAAACAGAGCCAAAGACAAAAACCACATGATTATCTCAATAGATGCAGAAAAAGCCTTTGACAAAATTCAACAACCCTTCATGCTAAAAACTCTCAATAAATTAGGTATTGATAGGACGTATTTCAAAATAATAAGAGCTATCTATGACAAACCCACAGCCAATATCATACTGAATGGGCAAAAACTGGAAGCATTCCCTTTGAAAACTGGCACAAGACAGGGATGCCCTCTCTCACCACTCCTATTCAACATAGTGTTGGAAGTTCTGGCCAGGGCAATTAGGCAGGAGAAGGAAATACAGGGTATTCAATTAGGAAAAGAGGAAGTCAAATTGTCCCTGTTTGCAGACGACATGATTGTATATCTAGAAAACCCCGTTGTCTCAGCCCAAAATCTCCTTAAGCTGATAAGCAACTTCAGCAAAGTCTCAGGATACAAAATCAATGTATAAAAATCACAAGCATTCTTATACACCAAACAACAGACAAACAGAGAGCCAAATCATGAGTGAACTCCCATTCACAATTGCTTCAAAGAGAATAAAATACCTAGGAATCCAACTTACAAGGGATGTGAAGGACCTCTTCAAGGAGAACTACAAACCACTGCTCAAGGAAATAAAAGAGGATACAAACAAATGGAAGAACATTCCATGCTCATGGGTAGGAAGAATCAATATCGTGAAAATGGCCATACTGCCCAAGGTAATTTACAGATTCAATGCCATCCCCATCAAGCTACCAATGACTTTCTTCACAGAATTGGAAAAAACTACTTTAAAGTTCATATGGAACCAAAAAAGAGCCCGCATCGCCAAGGCAATCCTAAGCCAAAAGAACAAAGCTGGAGGCATCACGCTACCTGACTTCAAACTATACTACAAGGCTACAGTAACCAAAACAGCATGGTACTGGTACCAAAACAGAGATATAGATCAATGGAACAGAACAGAGCCCTCAGAAATAACGCCGCATATCTACAACTATCTGATCTTTGACAAACCTGAGAAAAACAAGCAATGGGGAAAGGATTCCCTATTTAATAAATGGTGCTGGGAAAACTGGCTAGCCATATGTAGAAAGCTGAAACTGGATCCCTTCCTTACACCTTATACAAAAATCAATTCAAGATGGATTAAAGACTTAAACGTTAGACCTAAAACCATAAAAACCCTAGAAGAAAACCTAGGCATTACCATTCAGGACATAGGCATGGGCAAGGACTTCATGTCTAAAACACCAAAAGCAATGGCAACAAAAGACAAAATTGACAAATGGGATCTAATTAAATTAAAGAGCTTCTGCATAGCAAAAGAAACTACCATCAGAGTGAACAGGCAACCTACAACATGGGAGAAAATTTTCGCAACCTACTCATCTGACAAAGGGCTAATATCCAGAATCTACAATGAACTCAAACAAATTTACAAGAAAAAAACAAACAACCCCATCAAAAAGTGGGCGAAGGACATGAACAGACACTTCTCAAAAGAAGACATTTATGCAGCCAAAAAACACATGAAAAAATGCTCATCATCACTGGCCATCAGAGAAATGCAAATCAAAACCACAATGAGATACCATCTCACACCAGTTAGAATGGCAATCATGAAAAAGTCAGGAAACAACAGGTGCTGGAGAGGATGTGGAGAAATAGGAACACTTTTACACTGTTGGTGGGACTGTAAACTAGTTCAACCATTGTGGAAGTCAGTGTGGCGATTCCTCAGGGATCTAGAACTGGAAATACCATTTGACCCAGCCATCCCATTACTGGGTATATACCCAAAGGACTATAAATCATGCTGCTATAAAGACACATGCACATGTATGTTTATTGCGGCATTATTCACAATAGCAAAGACTTGGAACCAACCCAAATGTCCAACAATGATAGACTGGATTAAGAAAATGTGGCACATATACACCATGGAATACTATGCAGCCATAAAAAATGATGAGTTCATGTCCTTTGTAGGGACATGGATGAAATTGGAAAACATCATTCTCAGTAAACTATTGCAAGAACAAAAAACCAAACACCGCATATTCTCACTCATAGGTGGGAATTGAACAATGAGAACAGATGGACACAGGAAGGGGAATATCACACTGGAGACTGTTGTGGGGTGGGGGGAGGGGGGAGGTATAGCATTGGGAGATATACCTAATGCTAGATGACGAGTTAGTGGGTGCAGTGCACCAGCATGGCACACGTATACGTATGTAACTAACCTGCACAATGTGCACATGTACCCTAAAACTTAAAGTATAATTAAAAAAAAAAAAGAAAATTTTCAGGAAAAAAGCATGAGAGTTATTATAAAGGTGTTAATTTCCTCATATACATAATAAATGAATACCGTGATTCTATATATTTTCCCTGATGGCTAATCTAAAAAGATTAAATTCTTAAATAATAGTTAAAAGCAGAAAAATAGAAAATATCTAATTGTATGTTTTTGTATTAGATGCTGATCATACTTTAATTCTATAATTCAAAATAGTATCAACCCATTTCTAAAATGACACTCTGTAAAATAATTTAAAGTGTTAATTATATGAGAAAATTACACATACATGTCTTCTTTAAACTTTTTTAAGTGGCTTTGTTTTCATTAGACTGTATTATTTGTAATCAGTATAGTTTAGTAAAGTTATTTTGAAAATAAAGATAATTTTTGTTATCCTTTGTTTTTCTCACGTTTAATGTCAGTCTTCCAAAGAAAAATAAAATTTGGCACTAAGCACAAGAAAAAAAAAAAAAAGAATCTGACCTTCCCCCATCATTTTTGGGAGAAGTAATAAACAGGAGTAACTTCTCCAAGATACAATGCTATTTATCTCACTCTTGTTAAGCCCACAGTCCGGTACGTACAGGTATATAAATAATTTAAAAGGCCTCAAAGAGCATTAAGCCAGAAAGACCCATGCTTTAAATACACATTGGGCTTGAACAGAAGAGGTGTGTGCGTATGCATACGCAAACTCGTGGGTAAAGAGTCTCTTCATTTAGAAAACAGCACTTCAACTGCTTGTTCTTAAAATCAAGCAAACATGGTACAGACAGAACCAGAGAGCTCTGCTGCCGGCCCGTCTCCCTCACTCAGGTATCACTTTAGAGACCTGCTTTAGAGCAGGTGATCCAGGAGAAATCACGCATTGCTACCCAGGGGAAGGAACAAAAGAGGGCTTGCAGATTCAATATCCAGCCTCTACCTCATGACAAATGTATTTGCCAATGAAAAGGGAAGTGAGGCTTGGTTCCAATCCCTTTCTGATCCAAAGTATTAGGCTGGTGCAAAAGTAATTATGGTTTTTGTCATTACTTTATTTATTTATTTTTTTGAGATGGAGTCTCGCTCTGTGCCCAGACTGGAGTGCAGTGGCACAATCTCAGCTAACTGAAACCTCCGCCTCCCGGGTTCAAGTGATTCTCCTGCCTCAGCCTCCCATGTAGCTGGGAGTACAGGAACGTGCCACCACACCCGGCCGATTTTTGTATTTTTAGTAGACGGGGTTTCACTGTGTTGGCCAGGCTGGTCTCGAACTCCTGACCTCAAATGATCCGCCCGCCTTGGCCTCCCAAAGTGCTGGGATTACAGGCATGAGCCACCGCGCCCAGCCTGTCATTACTTTTAATGGCAAAAACCGCAACTACTTTGGCACCAACCTGATGATAGGTAACTCTCACTATGTATTTAATGTATCTTTCCCTATTAATGAGCTTAAACCAATGTCTGAGGCTGTGGTGACTGTTTGACTATGGAGGTACCTGCTGTAAAAGCAGCAAATAAATGCAGTTAGGGCAGCCCCCTGCCAATGTAAAGCTGCTAGAACATATGCCCAGTTAAAAGCTATATTATATGGAATTCGAAGTGAGAGAAATCCCTAGAAAATGAAAACTCAGTTTATTTAAAATCTGGCTCCTTCTAATTTAATAATGAATGCTCATAAAAGCAGAGACGGAAGAGAAATATGCTTCAGTATAAGGCTTTCCTCCCAAAGAGGTTTGTTCAAAAAAGAAGTCTGTTCAAAAATTCGAGACTCATCCAAAGACTATTTATGGAAGACCTACTATGTACAGCACTGCGGTAGGCACCACTGGAGATGAGATACAAATGAGGGAAATCCCTGGGAGATTCCTACTTTACATCTAAGAAATCACAACTTCAATTGTTCTTCATACTAGAAACAAAAGGGCACACTGGAGATCACCACTCCTCTATCCAATACTGCAGGGGAGGAAGTGGGCACACTAGATAAGGTCATAGCTCTGCAAATAAACAGCTGCTCAAATTCACACAACCTGGAATTTTTCCCTTACAAATAAGCACAGCGTTCTGAGTTTTCTATACAAAAACATAAAAGAAGTAAAGTACCTTAAAACCTGAGCCAAAAACTGCTAGGCTAGAATCAAGACACTGCGATGGTCAGGAATTGCTAAATCAGACGAGAGAGATGGGTTCCCCTAGCATCAAGAGCTTAATGATTTCCAGGCTACCAGTGGAGCTGAGTGCAAGCATGCCTTAAGATAGAAGGCAAATATGGCAAGGCCCTCCCCTCCTGGAGAATCTGCAAACAGTGGGGTTAGCAGCCCTAAAGCACCACTCCTGCCACCCCATCCTCACCTCAGGCTTTTCCAGAAGTCATTTCACCTGCTTGGAGACTGCTGTCACAGTACCTGCACACTGCGTCATTTTCTCAGAATAAGATAAAGAATAGAAAAGGTAAATCAATAGACAGAAAGTAGAGGAGTGGTTGCCTGGGCTGAGGTTAGAATGGGAGTGAGGTAAATGAGCATGAGACTTATTTTGGAGTGATGAAAATGTTCTAAAATTGGTTTGTGGTGGTGGTTGCACAACTCTGTAAATATACTAAACATCATTGAACTGTACACTTAAGACAGGCTATTTTTATGGTATGTAAATTATACCCCAATAAAGCTGTTAATTTTTTAAAAAGTGTTAACTGTGTTTAACATTAAGCCATGAGCATGTCTACCCAAACGTGGGAGAAACAGCCTTGCTGAAAATGTAAAAACACAAGCAAATAGATCACAAGTTTGTTCAGGATTCCTTCAACTTTAATTGTGGGGGTAAAATCAGGCAGCCACTGAAGATAAAATACGGTCCCTGGGAGTAATCACAATGCTGTTTTCTTTTGTAAAGTGGACATAAGAGTAGTTTTTTTTTTTTTTTATTAGCGCAAGTGGTCAAAAGTTGTCAAAATTGTCCTCATTCCTCGATTGTCTCTTTTTTACCAGTCTCTTGCCCTTCAAACAGAGGATACCTGGCCTCCACATCAGCCCATGTGATGTTGCCATTGGCTAGGTCTTGGACTATGCTGGGCAGCTCAGAGATCTAGAGACAAGGAAAGAGAAGCCAAGTATCAACCAACTTGTTCAGATTTTTAAGAAGAAGATTCATCCTGAACTCAGGAAACCTTACACAGAGCCAAACAATGTCATGCCAGGCATGGGTTCATGCTCTTCTAGCCCAAAACGCCCACCAGTTCCCCCAGACAACTCAATTCTGCCACAAAGCCTTTCCTAACTTTTCTAAATCTCCATGTCCCTTGAAGTTACTTCATGTGTATTAAATTTAACTATTAGAACAAACAGGACTCAGTCAAGTAACTCGTGTGAGGGAATTACATAAGACTGGCAAACTGGAGAGCTCTGACCAAGGCTACTGTTCCTCAGCCAAAACCAAACACTGGCTGCCACACAGCAATGGTTCTCAAACTTGAGTGCACGTCAGAATCATCTGGAGGTCTTGCTAAAACTAAGAAAGTTCTGCCTGCCCCCTCTGCCTCTCCACCCCCAGTTTATGATGCAGTAGGTCTGGGGTGGAGGTTTTGCTTATCTCATACATTTCCAGGGGATACTGATGCTGCTGGTCTAGGGACCACACTTTTGAGAACCACACCCAGATGGGGACACAGCTCCAGAGTAGCCAGATGGTCTCTAAAAAGTCAAGCTAGAAATTCACGACTTCTGGATTAGACTATAAACTCCTTCAGAAAAAAAAGCAGTCTTTTGCTTCTGTTTTCCCTATTACTTCTGTATCAAGCTAAGCACAGAACAGGCACTTGATGTATGTGCTCAAAGGTGATAAATTAGGCAGGCAGATGTCAATTAAAGCAGCTACTCTTTCCTTTCCCTTACCACTCATCCTTCTCCTTCTGTGCTTCTACCATCTCCATTACTGCCTTCCTATTGACCAAAACTACTGAAACATGATTCACTGTTTTGAATATATGAACACGGAAAAGCTTATACATACACATGTATACGCGTCTGTAAAAATAAAACATTAAAATGTCTAACCCTCCAAAGCCTACCAATAAAACTATGGCAACAAATTCTTAGGATCATATTTCTCTTGCCCAATAAACAAACAAGTATAAAAGCAAACTGCTGGAGAATAAGCCTGGAGCAACACAAATGTTTATAAAATATTAGAGAAGTGCTAATGGATATTTTCATAATTAAACCGGGGGACTTGAGAATCTGGGCTCTGTCTGATACAAGCCGTTCATTAAAATTAAAAAGAAAAAAAAAGGAAAGGGAGCATAAACACATCAAAATCCAACACAAATCAGTAAGAAGCAGTACACATTTCTAAGGCTAAAAATGCCAAAGAGAAGGCCAGATACCTCTGCTCTTATCTGCCGCATTGAGTCACGGTCCCTCAGAGTTGCAGTGTGGGGGGTCTTGTTCACTGTGTCAAAGTCAATGGTGACACCAAAAGCCACGCCAATCTCATCAGTCCTGGCATAGCGCCTTCCGATTGACCCAGAGGAATCGTCTACTTTGTGAGATACTCCATGCCTGGTCAGGGCTTCCGCTATCCAAAATAAACAAAGTAAATTAAAAATAAAACAATGGAGTTAAGCCCAGTGTTATCTAACTACTGTCTTACAAGCTCAGGAGACTTATAAATGGGACCAAGACAAGAAAGCAACAAGTTGAGTTGCAAGAGAAAGAAATATCCCTAAAGTTTAATAAATCCCTTGCGGGAATCCAAATCTTCACTCATACCTCCATCTGATACAGCTATAGGGGGAACAAATATGGGACCAAGAGCCAAGGCCAGAAGGTGAGTCCTGACTCCACCACCTCTATTTTTATGGCTCTAAGCAGGTCAATGGACTCTCCCCATTTCCCAGCTCTGAAATAAGTGGATGTGCCAGATGACCACCAGGATTCCTTTCAGGGCTGTGGATTCTGTGGCTGTAGATCCATTATGGTTGCTACACTCCACTCAGGTTCCCTCGATGAACTTGGCACCAAGGTCAGTATGAGAAGTAAATAATTTTTAAATCTGACTCTTGGGTCCTACCTTGCCTCACTCAAATGCCAGAATAAAACATCTGAGCAAGCATATCCTCTCGCTTAGAAATAAGAGTACAGGCTAAAATCATGTACTCTTTATAAAATCATTTATATTCTTTATTCAGTCTATATTTTTATTGAAATAAATGATACATTTCCTAAAATTCAGTCTCCTTGATGGTGTTCCCATGGAGTTTACCCAATTGAATTTGCTTACATAATTCCTTGACAAATGGCATGAACTCCTGGTTTTGGCTCAGTGGGAGGACGGAACATTTGAATGGAGCAACTACAGCAGGGAAACTGAAGAACTGGATGATTTAAAAAGAAAAAAATCCAAATATGTTAATTTGTAAATATCTAAATGCTAATATCCCAAACCAAAAGAGGTTAATATTCAGCAAGTGTTCAAGCATAACGTCATTACCAAAATGCCAGAAAACATGACATGAAAAGCAGTATGGCAAAAGAGAAGCAGAACCAGCATCAGAAACACCTGGTTTCAGCTCCGAATTTAGGCCAAGTCATGAACTCTTTCTGAACCTTAGTTTCTCCACCTAAAAAGCAGGTCTCTACCACCTGCTCTGCTTGCTTCACAAGCCCGTTACTAAAAAAGTCAAATGATGTGAAAGCATTCTGAAAGCTACTGTATATAAAAGACGGTAATTTTTTGGTTCCACATAAAAGACTTTCTGTGGAGACTACCTAAATATTCAAACAAGTGGCAGTGACCCAAACCAAAGCCCATTCTGTCTTTTAAGAGAAAAACCTATGAACCTCAGTGACCAAGTGAAACAGAAAAGTTTAATTAGCTCACAAACATATGTCCAAAAGAAATAGTACAAAACAAAAAAAGATGTTCCATATACCTACACTAAAAAGTACAGCCTTCTTAAACTGCCCTGAAATAGTTTCTGAGTAACTCAGAAATCAAAGAAAGCAAAAATAAGGCTGGACACAGTGGCTCATGCCTGTAATCCCAGCACTTTGGGAGGCTGAGGCAGAAGAATTGCTTGACCCCAGGAATTCAAGACCAGCCAGGGCAACATGGCAAGACCCCATCTCTACAAAAACTAAAAAATTAGCTGGGCATTGTGAGGCGCACCTGTGGTCCCAGCTACTTGGGAGGCTGAAGCAGGAGGATTGCTTGAGCCCAGAAGTTTGAGGCTGTAGTCAGCTGAGATTGTGCCACTGCACTCCAGCTGAGCAACAAAGCGAGACCAAAAAAAAAAAAAAAAAAAGGCGAAAATAAAAATATTCTGTGGAAGGCAAACCAATCAACCACTTTAGGTTGGAAATGGGAACTGAAGGCAGTTCTTAATACTTGTACAAAAGGTTCACTTGAAGGCAAAAACACAGAATAAATTTGTCCCATAAAAATAATGAATGACACAGGTTCCAGTTTAGCCTCTCACCCAAAGTTCAATTAACCTTTATTGCCAAGCAATGAATATCCCACTCTAAGTAAGGCCTGTATTCCACCAATATGGCTGCTCACATCACAGAAGGTTCAGAATTCTATTCCCTTCCTCCATCTTGTGATATTTCTATTTAATATAAGAGAGTAACAGGGACCTGCCTTTATAGAAAAATAATTTTTAAAATTTCACTAGCAATGTTTTTATACCAAATTTATAGGCAAATGGATTGAGGAACTAGGTGCTAATAATTTAGAAACATTTTTGGCTTCCCACAGCCTAATCAAATTTCTCTTCATGATGGGAATTCATGCAATTCATAAAACACTGTGACTAATTTATTCTTGTTTAGCCCTTACGAAATTTCTATTAAAGCTCTAGTTATATTAATATTGTTAGATTCAAAGGAACAGCTAAAAGATTTTCTAAAACCTTTTTATTAGAAAAATAAGCAGACAAAGCTTGAAGCAGACTTGACATCTAAAAAGAACACATGCAGTTATGTTTGTCATCATTTCTCAAAAAGAACCAAGCCTTATGTTTGCGCACCTGGGGCCTAGCCCAGGTTCTTACAATCTGTTGAATGAATAGGGCTGCTCCTTCAAGGTTGGGAAATGAAGATGCAACTTTAGGGCAGAGAGTACCATACTAACTTTATTAGCTATGTATTACAATAGTGTGTCAGACTAAAGTACTGGTGCCGAGAACTCACTAGTTCATTCTTTGAGGTTAAATGTCCTAGAAAGAACCACACGGTTGATGTCTAACATTACGTACACTCAAGCTTTAGAATGGCCAAGTGGATGACGCTGTTTCTTTCAATTAACCTGACATATACAACCTCTCCTTTCTAGCCATTCTTCTGGTTGGCTTTCCTAGTAATCTGCCCAGGAGTGTAACTTCTGCAGGCAGAGGTGAGGTAAAAATGGTGAAGTAAGGCAAGGAGATAAAGAGGAAGAAGGCAAGGAGCAGTGATTCAGAAGCATCAGACCGAAAAGAAAATTTGTGGGAGCTGATGAAGACTTCTTATAAACTTCTATCTTCAGCAATACTTGAATGCTAGGAAAGGCTATACCCCAGACAACTATTATCCCATTTATGATCTGTCAAGCTTTCACAGTGAAATCACTCAGGATTCTTATTTTTTTTAAAAAAACCCCAGATCCCTGGGTCTCAGACCTAGTGAATCAGCATCTCCAGAGTAGAACCTAGGAATTCACATCTTTACCCCAAAAGTACCCCAGACAATTTCATGCAGTTTGAGAGGGTTCCCTTTGATACTTTACCAGAGTACAGATACAGCTTAGTGGTCTGGCTAAATTCTAGGAGTTATCTCATCCTTCCCAATTTTCTGAAACACAGCATATCCAGAAAGTACCATTCCTTCCATTGACATAATATAGATTGTTCCCCAAAGTAATAGGTTCAGTCTAAGAATAGAGAGCACCAGGCAACTAAAACAATAGCTTCTAGAATAACCTAAAGCTCAAATAAGATAACACAGGAAACTGGTTTGTCTATACATACTTAAGCAAAGATGAGTGTTAATAGCACTAGATTATAGTAATAACTAATTGACCATTCTAGAGTCTTATTAATGTACTTCACAATGTAATTCAGAAAATTTTTATTTTCTGACACTATAACAGCACACTGTACACAACAACTTACTGTTCTCTGTTCATCTCCTTCTCGTACATGGAATGTATGTTCAAATACCGTATACATGATCCTACCCAGGCCGAAGGAAGGTTCAATTACATTCGGAACAACTTCTTCCACTGAAAAAGAGATAGAAATTCAATAACATTCTCTCAAATACCACATAATGCATTTCAGATTCTCTCTAAACAATTCACCAGCTGCGGTGGCTCACACCTGTAATCCCAGCATTTTGGGAGGCTGAGGTAGGTGGATCATCTGAGGTCAGGAGTTCGAGACCAGCCTGACCAACATGGTGAAACCCCGTCTCTACTAAAAATACAAAAATTAACTGGGTATGGTGGCAGGTGCGTGTAATCCCAGCTACTCCGGAGGCTGAGGCAGGAGAATTGCTTGAACCCAGGAGGCGGAGGTTGCAGTGAACCAAGATCGTGCCATTGCACTCCAGCCTGGAAGGCAAGGGCGAGACTTCATCTCAAAAAAAAAAAAAGAAAAGAAAAGAAAAAAATTCTTAGCACTAAAAATATCTCTATTCTAGATGGATTTTTATCTCTGTATATCAGAACAAAGAAACTAGAACATACCTAAAAACTATTTGCTGATAGGAAACATGCCTTTGAAGAGAAAGCTGGAGTGAAAAAACCTTTCACCAAATTCTGTTTATACTGTGTAAAAATGAAACCTGAGGTACTAGAATATTCCTTCACCAGTCAGCAAACTACGAATAGCAGCAGCTACACTTTATCTCTATTACCTGCCTCGGCTACCCAGAAAGCATAAAAAATCTAAGGCTTTTAATAAGATTTTGCTAGAATTTAAAATCTAACACAGCTGGCAAAATTCACAAAAACAATTCCTACATGCAAAAAGTATTACATGGTTTGTATTTGTTTAACTTTTTAGCTTGTTATCTTGATAAGAACTTGTTCAGAACCAAATTACTGGCATTGTATCACCAAGGTTCTGGGGTCAGGACGCCCTTAGGGGAGAGTTTGCTCAAAGAACAGCACTCCATCAAAGACATCTTACAGGGGCTCACAGCTCTTCATGTGGGTAAGACAACACCCGTGGTATACACAGGAAATATACTGATAATTATTACTTATTATGTGGAAAGGAAGAAGCACTGCTAAGCAATGTCCAGGTCTAAGATAACTGGTCATAACTTTGGAAGAGTTTATGTTTTTTGGGAAATGAGATCATTGGTACCAAAACTCACACACATATGGGAAAAGAGAGCCTGTTTGTCTATGATAAAGAGTTAATACTTTAGAAACATGATCAAGGCATTTTCCTCCCATCCTTCTGTGGTATCTGAGTAATGGTGATGTGCAGCTCTGAACCAGCTGCCAGGATCATGGCTATAAAGCCCCAGACTGTGACGGAAAAGCCCCAGAGTGTGATGGAGAAGCCCCCGCTTACTCCTAACACTGCTCACTGAAGCCTGGCTACAAGACAAGCCAAGAACAAAAGGAAAGGTATGCTCACTCTTTCCACTGGCAGTAGCTTCTCAAACACCCATTACTACTCCGTTTCCAGGAATTTCAATTCAGCCACAAATAAACTTCAGCATCCTTCATACGTGCTCCAAATTACTCATTGCCTAATTCACAGAATTTGTTCTACAAAAAAACATCTTCTTAACTTTTAAAAAAGCATGCAACATCACTGGTCTAAATTACTTTTTTTTTTTTTTTTGAGACGGAGTCTTGCACTGTCGCCCAGGCTGGAGTGCAATGGCGTGATCTCGGCTCACTCCAACCTCCACCTCCCGGGTTCAAGGGATTCTCCTGCCTCAGCCTCCCGAGTAGCTGGGATTACACGTGCGTGTCTCCATGCCTAGCTAATTTTTGTATTTTTAGTAGAGACGGGGTTTCACCATGTTGGCCAGGTTGATCTTGAACTCCTGACCTCGTGATCTACCCGCCTTGGCCTCCCAAAGTGCTGGGATTACAGGCGTAAGCCACCACGCCCGGCCCCTAAATGACTTTTTAACAAGTTATTTTGCCAAAGAAGACAGGGAATGAGGGCCAGGCGTGGTCACTCATGCCTGTAATCTCAGCACTTTGGGACGCGAAGGCAGGTGGACTGCTTGAGCCTAGGAGTTCAAGATCAGCCTGGGCAACATGGCAAAAACCTCATCTCTACAAAAAATACAAAAATTAGTTGGATATGGTAGCCTGCACCTGTAGTCCCAGCTAATTCGGAGGCTGAGACAGGAGGGAGGAACGCTTGAGCCGGGGAGGCAGAGGTTGTGCCACTGCACTCCAGCCTGGGTGACAGAGCAAGACCCTGTCTCAAACAACAACAAAAGCTTTAAGGAGCAGTGACTTTTTGTTTATTATTTTTACAAATTTACCATATAGTGTTTTCTGGAATCTCTTCACATTGATCATGTCTTTTGTTAACTGAAATGTTTTCCCTTCAGTTTCAATTGTGAATTCCCTACGAAGAAACAAAACACATTTTGTATTAGTTCAAACAGGCACCCTGTGCCTTAATTTAAAGGAATTTTGTAGATTGCTAAGTTGTTTTTTCTTTTTATAACTTGATCAACTCTCCAGATATAATAAGTGATGTCAAATTTAAATTATTTCATAAGAAACACCAAATTAAGCATTAGTCTAACAATGGCACCAAAAAGTACTCTGAGGACATACACCAAATTTTGACTAGTTTTATAAAACTCCACAAGTGACTTAATGACAAATTCCTTTGGTTTTGAATCAAGGTAAAACCAAAAACAACTTTTTGAAAATTCAGTTTTAGAATAATAACAACTTTGTCAGAAATAGGCCTGCTGGTAAAAACACAAGGGTTCTCATTACTGTCCCAACAAATGTACAAATGAACCAGCATGCCATCTTACAGAAGTAATTTTACAATCCAATACCCACACTATTTTCAAAATAAATTTGGACATTTGTGTTGATGAAGATCAGTTTAAAAGAAGTTTAATGTTTCTGTTTCATATGGCAATATAAAATATTATCCCCCTCAAAATCACTGGCTGCCATGTATTTGTGTCCTGAGATATGCCCATTCAGTTTCAGGTTATAAGAATTCATCTTTATAAAGAGCTTCATGTAATACCTGTATTTCAGCTTAGGAGGTATTTCCTCACATTTTGAATATCCATTTGGATTTCTCCTCCCTCCCAAGCAATTCAGTGCTAGGATAGAGAGCCCTCATGTGGTTGTCTCAGAAGCTGGATAGTTGGCATATGTTATAACTGTATTTTGCTAGTTTCCACCTGTGATAATCTCATGCCTCATCTGACTGGTGTTCACTGAATTCTTCCGTTTTTACTATTCTGTCTGAAGTCTGTGTGTGCATGCATTCAAGGTTCCATTACATACACAGTGTCACATGCATTCTCTCTGTGAGCACAGTCTAAGTGTATCATAGTTAACAGCTATAAAAGAGTTGCAATTGGGTCAGGCGAGGTGGCTCACACCTGTAATCCCAGCACTTTGGGAGGTCAAGGTAGGTGGATCACCTGAGGTCAGGAGTTCAAGACCAGCCTGGTCAACAAGGTGAAACCCCGTCTCTACTAAAAATACAAAAAATTAGCTAGGCGTGGTGGTGCACACCTGTAGTCCCAGCTACTCGGGAGGCTGAGGCAGGAGAATTGCTTGAACCTGGGAAGCAGAGGTTGCAGTGAGCTGAGATCACGCCACTGCACTCCAGCCTAGGTGACAGAGTGAGACTCCATCTCAAAAAAAAAAGAGTTGTAATTGACAAGGAGACAGCCATTATTTGAGAATAATTAATAAAGCAAACTGTGTTTATGGATAATGATATTTAACTAGTAATATAACTTAGTCCATTTTAATGGGATTTGATATTGTTTTAGTATAAATAGATGTTAATTCTGGAAGACGAGAAATGTTTTTAAATTTTTCTGAAACAGGTATCTTCAACTTGCAAGAGTTCATCTTTGTCCCATCTGTTCTTTGTTCCTTTTCCTTTTCTCCCATCTTCTTGTGGAATATTTTTTCTTATTCTACTTTATCTCCACTATTGGTTTATTAGTTACACCCCTTTTTTGTGTGTGTTTTTTTTCCAGGTGATTGCTCTAGAGTTCATTCTATCCATTTTTTAACTTATCATAGTTTATCTTCAAGTAATATTACACCATTTCACATATAATGTATACACCTCACAAGAGTATATTCCCAATTCTTTGCTCCCACCCTTTGTGCTACTGATAGCATACATTTTACTTCCATGTTATAAATTCCATATTACTTTAAATACTCCATTATCTTTTAAAGAAATTAAGAGATGACAGAGAAAATGCCATTTCTATTTACCCACATATTTATCATTTCTAGATCTCTCAAGTCCTCTGGGTACATCTAAACTTTCATACTTCTGCCTGAAGAAGTGCCTTTAACAATTCTCATAGTGGAGGTCTGCTGGCAATGCACTCTCAGAGCCCCGGATTGTCTAAAACAGAGGTGTTCAATCTTTTGGCTTCCCTGGGCCACACTAGAAAGAACTGTCTCGGACTGCACATAAAATACACTAACACTAACCACAGCTGATGAGCTAAGAAAAAAAAAATGCAAAAAAACCTCATAATGTTTTTTGAAAGTTTACGAATTTGTGTTGGGCAGCATCAAAAGCCATCCTGGGCCACATGCAGCCTGCAGGCCGCAGGTTGAACAAGCTTGGTCTTAAAGTACTTCCTCTTCATTTTTGAAAGATATTTTTGCTGGGTGTAGGAATTTTGTCTTAAAGCACTTTAAAAGATTTCATTCCATTATATTGTGATCCGCGCAGTTTTTGATATGAATTCTAATCATTCTTATCTTTGTTTGCTTTTATGTGATGAGTCTTTTTCCCCACTAGCTGCTTTAAAGGTTCTTCTCTTCATCCCTGGTTTTTAGCTATTTGATTCTCACGGGTCTTCATGTGGTCATCTTCGTGTTTATCCTGCTTGGGGCTAAGCTTCTTGAATCTGTAGTTTTAGCGTTTTCATCAAATTTGTAAATTTTCTAGCTACTGTATAATATTTTTTCTATACACCCTCTCTAGGACTCTCAATTACACATGCATTAGACTGCCTGATATTGTCCCACTGGACATCTTTTTCCCAGTCTCATTTTTTTCTATGCTTCATTTTGGATAGTTGCTATGTCTTTAAGTTCAATGACCTTTCTTCTGTAATGTTTAATCTACTGTTAATCCCATCCAGTGACATTTTCATTTGAGATATTGCCTCTAAATGTTTCATGTTGTTTATATATATAAAAAACATGTGTTTATATCCATATTACACATATATTTTTCCATTTCTCACCTCACATGTTAATGTTTTCCTTTACACCCTTGAGTACATGAAGCATATTTATAATAAGTGCTTTAACATCCTTATGTACTTACTGCATCATGTTTGTTTTTTCTGGGTGTTTCTTTTGACTGACTTTACTTCTCATTTTCCTGCTTTTTCATATATATAATAATTTTTATTGTTTGCTGGATATTGTAAGTTTTACACTGTTCAGTGCTGGATTTTGTTGTATTTCTTTAAAGGCTTTTCTCTATTTTTTTTTTTTGTTTTTTTTTTTTTGAGACGGAGTCTCACTCTGTTGCCCAGGCTGGAGTGCAGTGGCACGATGGTGGCTCACTGCAAGCTCCGCCTCCCAGGTTCACGCCATTCTCCTGCCTCAGCCTCCTGAGTAGCTGGGACTACAGGCGCCCGCCACCATGCCCGGACAATTTTTTTGTATTTTTAGTAGAGACGGGGTTTCACTGTGTTAGCCAGGATGGTCTCGATCTCCTGACCTCGTGATCTGCCCACCTCAGCCTCCCAAAGTGCTGGGATTACAGCCATGAGCCACTGTGCCCGGCCTTCTCTATTGTTTATATTCATGCTTAAACAATTACAGAGAGTATTCTAAACCTCCAAAAAGGAGAGAGAAGTGACCTGAGAGATAGTAGATGTAGTTTCTAACCCTTCCTTCCTCAGCCTGGCTGGACAAGTCTCTTTGTTTAAGACAGTTACTAGGAAAAAAAAAAAGTATATTCTATTTCAAATCTTTTTTCAGGCTATAATGCCAAAATCTCGGCAAAGACAGTCTTTTAAATGCAGCCAAGATACAGTACTTACCTGCAAAAAATCTTAAGAAATTAATCTCATCCTTTCAGAACCTGGCAGATGACACAACTGACTGGAGCCCATGGAAGAGTAAACATCTGATATCTTACCCTTTCTCATTCAGCAGCATCTCCATTTCTGTAATGTAGCACTCATCACAAATGGCAAGATACTCCATCACCAGTTTTGCATCCTTCTTATATGCCTTACCAATTGCTCCCTTACTGGGTTCAAACTGAACAACATTGACTGTTTTGTATGAAGTAGTCAAGGAATCCAAAACTACAGCACTGCCTCAGTATTTCAGAAAATGAGCCTGAGAACAATCAATCATCAACTTAAAACCATGCCAGCTCTCTATCAGTACTCCAGATCCTGTTTATGCTGATTTTAAGGCAAGATGAAACACCTGTCCACAAAATCATTCAGACAACTCTCATCCAAAATTAACACCATCAATAGAAACTTTTCCAGTTACAGTGAGAAAAAAGAGATATTATCTAATCAGCAATGACCCAACCCATAGCATAAGAACTTCTGATAAGTATTTCTAAAATGCTCAAAACAAGATCTATTTCCTGTCACTGACCTACCCCTAAGAAATCAGCTCATAACTTCACTGCCTACTAAAGAAAGAAAATTTCTATTTTGCTGATTTTCAGACCAAGTGAGCTAAATTATTATTTCAGCTACTATCAAATGGCACTCATCTTTTAATGGAAAAAGCTTTCACCAGGTACCCTTTATTTAAAGAGCACGTAGGTAGGTGCAGGTGTGAAGTGCGTTTTGGAAACAGCTGAGAAAAACTATTAACGTTCTGAAAGATATTCAGAGCATTTTTCTAAATATGCTTCTTTTAAAGGCCAAACATTGAGTGGGCACACGTCAGACTACAAGTACAGAGAATAGGAAAGGAACAAAGGGATAGGTAAAATAATAGGTTTAAACAAGCGTTACTACAGTGTCTAAAACATCTCCATTTATCCATAGAACAAGGTAAAGACTTGGACTTATTCATTAGCAAGATGTTCACATGTGAATCCTGAGTTTTTGGAGTGACCAGAAAGGATATGGGTTCTTTCAGAGGTTTCTCAGCTACAAGTGGGACTTTGGTGGCTCGTGCATGACAGGAGAGGTCATAACAGGAACGATCAGCACATCCAACAATCTCAATCCAACCCTAAAAAGATATAATCAATAAAAACATTACTTACTTATTATTACTTATATTGGGTTCATTCACAAATGCATGCAGATTATAAACCTTTCATATATTCAATGATAATTCGATGATATAATCTTCATTCAAATTTCATAAATATTTGAAATGGGAATAGCCTCATATATCAGGCAGCTAATAAGCCTATAAAATATAATTCACACTGATCTGGGTGTGATGGCTCATGCCTGTAATCCCAGGTACTTGGGACGCTGAGGTGGAAGGATCACTTGAGGCCAGGAGTTTGAGACCAATCTGGGCAACACAGTGAGACCCTATCTTAAAAAAAAAAAAAAAAAGAAAGAAAAAAATATATAATTCACACTGTACACAAAGTAGTCTTCCTTTCTGGATGGATTTATATTGTTATACTGAGTCTGTGGGGTAAACTAACATATTCTGGAATTTAATTATGGAAATTAAATGTGAACCTAGACAAAGCCTGTAAATTTGGTTCAAATTTGTGAACAGAAATCAAAATGAATTTGGCAGAAACCACTATTCTTTAGATGAAGTACCTAGTGTTCTCACAACTTGATATCAGATGGCTGACTAAACACATACTTCAGCTGGCCATAAATGTGGGCATTTGGATTCAATTCACTTTCTTCACTGAACAAAAGAAAACTCAGTATAAGAGTGGGTAAAGTTCAGGTCACACAATAAAATTATATAAGAGCATTATGATCACATTGATGCCAGGTTCCCTTTCTTATAAATACACACATAAGATACTTTTAAAAAGCAAAATTTAAATTATTTTCAAAGAACCTGCAATGAATTGAATGCTTGTGTCCTTGACAAAATTCGTATATTGAAATCCTAACTCCCAATGTGATGGTATTAGGAGGAGGTGCCTTTGGGAGGTGATTAGGTCATGAGGATGGAGCCCTAATCACTGGAATTTGGGACCCCAGAGAGCTCTCTTGCCCTCTTTCACCATGTGAGGATACAACAAGAAGTTGGCAGTATGCGACTGAGAATGGGGCCCTCACAAGGATCAGACGATGCTGGCACCCTGATCTCTCAATTCCAGCCTCCAGAACGGTGAGAAATCAATGTCCATTGTTTATAAGCCACTCTGTATGTGGTGCTTTCTTATAGAAACCCCAACTATGACAAACTCTTAAGAACCCGTTATTTCAATAAGAACAAGAGTTTGTAAAGAGCTTATTTTGGTAGATACCTAGTTAGTCCTTCTCAAGAAGATTCATTTTTTTTTTTTGCCCTTGATCCAAAGAGTTTGGGGAAATTCAACCATCAAAACTACTAAGCTTGGCCAGACACAGTGGTTCGTGTCTCTAATCCCAGCACTTTGGGAGGCTAAGGCGGGTGGATCACCTGAGGTCAGAAGTTCAAGACCAGCCTGGCTAACACGGAGAAATCCTGTCTTCATGAAAATACAAAAATTAGCTGGGTGCAGTGCCATGTATCTGTAATCCCAGCTATTTGGGAGGCCGAGGCAGGAGAATCGCTTGAACCCAGGAGGCAGAGGCTGCAGTGAGCTGAGAGTGCACCACTGCACTCCAGCCTGGGTGACAGAGTAAGACTCTGTCTCAAAAAAAAAAAAAAAAAAAGAAAAAAAGAAAAAACTACTAAGCTTTCCAAGCACATGTTATCACATGGGGTGTCTGTAATAAAGCAAGCAAATATAAAACTCATATGAGCTCAGAAACTCCAACACAAAACAACAACAAAAGGAATTAAAGAACAAAGCCTAAAAACATGTAACCTGGCAATCTGACATTCCCTATACATGTCGACTGGTTAAGTATACTTATGTTCTTAACCATATAGTTTGGTGGTTATAATTTACTGCAGATGTCAACTAACATTTATGTACTGAAAGGTAAAATTACAAAAACGTGCCTGAGAATAACAACATTGGGATAGTGGTTACTTCTCTGGATGGAAAGAGAATTGGTGTGGCATTAACTGCAACGGTAAATTTTTTTATTAAAAAAATATATAAAGTACACAAAAAGTATTAAACTCTCTAAGGGAGTTCTCCCCTCTCCTTAAGAGCCTCTGGGACTCTGGAGCTTCTTGTTTCATTTAGCCCTGTTTTCCAGTGACTTTCCATTTTCTGATCCCTAACCCTCACAATGGCACTTAGATAAGGACGAGCAGGCATCCAGTGGGGTTTATAAAGCAGTACAGCATAACTGTTAAGAGCATGAGTCTGGTGTCAGACAGCCAGGTTTATATCCCAGCCTCACCACTCACTGGCTGTGAGACTTAAGCAAATTACTTAACTGAGACAGCAAGAACAACATCTGGTTTAATCTGAAATCAGAATCAGAGCAAACTAAGAGAAGGAGCTGGGTATGAAACAAAAAGAAAAGTAATAATCTTTTCTCATACAAAAGGAAAAACATTTTATTGGTTTGATCTGAAAATAAAAAGAAGTCCCAGAAAATCTAAAAAGTGTAAAGAAATTAATGATCACCCATAATCCTAAAAATAATTACTATTATCATTTTGACATATGTCAAGCAAGCTTGCTAAGAAAATCCTAACAGATTACAGTAATTCTTTCTAATTCCACAAGGGAAAAAGAATATATTAAAAACAACATCATTAATAGCCATTTATAAACATATGCATATTATTATGCATTTATGCATGCATGTGTTAGAACACGTAGAAAAATCATCTAGAGAAGGCAGACATACCCAAGACCATGGAGCTAAGCATGATCTTTTTTCGTCTGTTTGTTTGAGACAGGGCCTCACTCTGTCACCCAGGCTTGAGTTCAGTGGTGCAATCATGGCTCACTACAGCCTCAACCTCCCGGGCTCATGTGATCTTCCCACCTCAGCCTCCCAAGTAGCTGAAACTACAGGGGCGTGCTATCACACCTGGCTAATTTTTGTATTTTTTGTAGAGACAGGGTCTTGCTATGTTGCCCAGGCTGGTCTCAAATTTCTGAGCTCAAGCAATCTTCCCACCTCGGCCTCCCAAAGTGCTAGGATTACAAGCATGAGCCACCACACCCAGCCAGTTTGGACATTTTTTAAAAGCTGTTTTTTACAAGCTGTAAAAAACAACAAAGTTATGTGACAGAGACTCATAAAGCTAAAAATATTTACCATCTGGTCCTTTATAGAAAATGTTTGCTCAATACAGAGAAGAGACATAAAACACCTGGGGAGAGGCATATAACTGGAAGTTTAATTTTCTACATAATAGTCTTCAGAATTATTTTTTCCTTTTTGTTTTAAAAAAAGTAGTCATTACTTTTTAAAATATGACTAATTTTGATTTTTAATTTTTAAAAATCCATAAAAAGAAAGCCATTCTGAAAAGTAAAAACTGAACCAAGGGTATACTGGAACCAGTGACCCCTGGACTAAAGTCTCTTTCTATGTAGGCGAGGAAGCCTCTCTAACACCCAATAAGAGAAATGCCAAAAGACTCTCAGCCTTGTTTTAGATGCCACATTTCCTCCTGCCACCAATATAGACAGCATCTCCTATATGCAAATGCCTTTCGTCCCTCCGCTTCAATACTGATGTTCATGTTTGGTGGTGGAGGCTGGAGGGGTGACAGGGCACAGGGGCAGGAGGGTACCTGGAGATCGTCTGTGAATTTTGAGTTAAATACATAACATTTGAGGAAGGTAGTTCTTAAGCCAGAGATCAGAATCAACTAGTATATTCCCCAAAGCTACTACATAGCTCATTGAGCTAAGAGCACTATGACTTTCTTTATTCAACCTCTCCACCATTTCCAATGTTTGCTGGGACTCTTGCCAGGAAGGAGAGGCCAATGTGTCTTAGATCCACTCCAGGATATTGCCAGTAATGCTGCCAATACACTGTACAGCAGTGTACACATCCGCACTGTCCCATCATACACTAACTCTGTCTCTCAGCTATCTAAGACTACAACGAGCTCCTTAGGACACTTATAAAAAGGCAGGAGGCAACTGCTTTTTCTGTTTTGCTCAGGAAAAGATCTCTTTTCTTTTCCCTTTGTTCCTCTGTGACATAAAGTGCACAAAAATTCATTTGGTACCTGTGCTTCTAAGTTAACAATGTGAAAATCACATGGTAAACAGCACTCCACTTACGTAGGATGTTTTGGATTCTGCATCCCAACAGTCACAGGCATAATGGGCCATCTCATTCTCCATGTGCTGCCGGAAGCGGAGTTTATCTGGAGATATTCCAACCTTCGTGAGGTAGAGGTAGATGCGGCCAATGAAATAGCCTAATACTGTGTTATTAATCACACCCTAAACCAACCAATAAGCAAGCATGGAGGAAGAAAAGAAAACACACATTAATACTCTTCAAAGCCAAGATATCGGTTTCCATTGACTCACTCTACTGAAAAATATTTGACACCCAACACAAACTATTTTATCTTGCTTTCAAAACAATTTCAAATACTCAGAATGAGATCTTGGTTATTTTTTAATGGGTTAATGTCAAGATGATGATAATGGAGTTATTCAAAATCTGTCCAACATACTTACTGGGTCAGCAAAAATTCAGCCCAGTACCTCATACCTCTAAATCTACAGTACTAAAAACAATATTCATAATTGACACTAAAGAATGGCAAAGACATTCCCCTCTGAATTAACCAAAGTAATGACACGTTGAGGGGATTTTAATGTATCCTTACCCACTGAAATTTGTGAACCCCGTAGAGTACACGTAATCATTTTAGTGTTTGCAAGGACCTTAGAAAACATCTAGCCCCATCTCCATACACTGCAGAGGTCTTCTCTGCAAAGTGGCTGACAAGCTATCGTCCAACCTTGCCAGGAGTATTTTCAGGGCCAGGAAGCTCACTGCTCCCTGAGGCAACTCATTCCACTAGTGGACAGCAGCTACTGTTGGCAAGTTTTCACGCACTCACTTCTCCAGGCAAATATTTACAAAGTGCTTATATGCAAGGCCTTATTCCACTGCTATGGGTAATACAGAAGAGTCTGAAACCCAGATGGCTTGCTTTCTGTGGGTCCAATGCTGTCTCCCCCAAAGTAGTACATACTGTTGAGTCAGATTGGTGAGGCACAATGCAAACCAAGATCTATTTTCCAAGTGCTCTGCTAAACATTTTTTTTCATGCTAGCCCCAAGGCCCACAAATTGAGATGTTCAGGTGATTTTTCTCTTACTATAATAATACTGTATAACAAATTCTGTACAAAACCAAGTACTGTAAAAAAGCAAATGACTGCCAAAATAAAATATCTTGTCACCCAGAACACATAGAATTTGCTAATTGCTGCAAACCCTGAACAGGCACAATCTAAGTTAAGTTACCTCCAGAATCCTACCTGTTCAACAGCATCTCCCAGGCGCATTTTCCGAGCGGACTGTCCGCTGACCTGGGCTTTTGCTGAATACAAATAAAGGTGAAGGTCTGCCACATTCTGGAACTTGGGGTGGTCTTTCTCACTGGGATCTACAAAGTGCTCAATTTCTGCCATTGTGAATTCTCTGAAAGCAAAAACGTAAGCGATAAACCTGCATATTTAACTACAAAAAACAAACAAACAAAAAACAAGGCCTCTATTTTCAACTGCATTCTAGTGATAAAGGCTCCATACTATAGTGGTCTTTTTCACTAAACAGAAAGTTGGTTTCCTAAGGGAATGGCCAAAAAAATTTTGAATTAAATTTGTCTGGGTAGTTGTTATTTTTATTTTTTTGATGTATTATATTTGTACAAATTTATGGGGTACATGTGAAGGTTATTTTTAAACACATTAATGAAAATTTTATTACTCACTATTTAAAATAAACATGATCTAACTTCTCTGAAGTATTAATTCCTTCCCTCCAGCTACATCCAAAAAGATTATTACTTTTAACTGAAAATAACTTGTTAAAGGCAGATTAATATAGTTTTTTAAATTAGGAAAACATACGCAAAAATCACATGAAAAATAAGAAATAAGATATTGAATAGTGACATGCAGATAAAATGGTTTTCCTTAAAGCATTAGCAAGTCTTTATAAGTATACACTAAATGAAGTTTCTTCATCCCATTTCAAAGAATGGGAAATTAAAAGCGAAATGAAATGGTTCTTTAGCTTTCATAGCAGTTTGATTTCTTCTTTTTTACTGCTACAAAAAAGTAAATGACTGATAATGGCATCATACAGTTGGTTTCTTTGGAGCAAGAGCTTCTTAAATAAAGTGTTATTCAAGGCAAAGGATATAAGGCATGAATTGAACAAGCTAACATCAAGCTAATTACCTAACGATGAAGTGCACATAGTAATGGTTTCCCAAAGAGATTTCTCTGAATGCAATTTAGTAGCTATTTGCGGGAGAAGTGTTTCAAGTTAATTTTATGAGTCAAAATCAATCTCTCTTCTTTCAAGAAAAATCACATTTTCTGGTGTGCTTCCATGATTATCTCAGATGTTTTACGAGTAATGTAAAATTGCTTAAATGGATCCTAAAAATACATGAAATACACTGCAAAAGAGGTTTAATTTTTTTTTTTTTTTTTTTGAGACGGAGTCTCGCTCGCCCAGGCTGGAGTGCAGTGGCGCGATCTCGGCTCACTGCAAGCTCCGCCTCCCGGGTTCACGCCATTCTCCTGCCTCAGCCTCCCGAGTAGCTGGGACTACAGGCGCCCGCCACCACGCCCGGCTAATTTTTTGTATTTTTAGTAGAGGCAGGGTTTCACTGTGTTAGCCAGGATGGCCTCAATCTCCTGAACCTCATGATCCGCCCGCCTCTGCCTCCCAAAGTGCTGGGATTACAGGCGTGAGCCACTGCGCCCGGCCAAGAGGTTTAATTTTTAAATTTTATTTTTTAATAGTGTCTCTTATTTGGTCCTGCTGCACCTATGTTTTAGTTGTCTTTCAACAACTAGGAAACATCTTCTGTGCCCATATAAATGTGAGAGAAACAAACATGGTGTTTGTCCTCACATAGCTTATAATTGGGCTGACAGCAACTGAACATCTACAATGTGGGACAGGATAAATTACGGGCCCTGCCTAGAATCTCCAAAATGCTGCTGCCAAAGTCTTTCCATCTGTTCTGTCACAAATCTCAGCACTGTGTCTATAGTTAATGATTCACTGTATACCTGAAATCCGCTCAAAGAGTAGATGTTAAGTAGATCTCACCACTAAAAAAAAAAAAAGTAACTATGTGAGGTGATAATTATGTTAATTAGCTTGACTGTGGTAATCATTTCACAATGTATAAGCATATCAAAGCACCACACTGTGTGACTTGAAATCATACAAATCATACAAAATTTACTCATCAATAATCTCAGCTCATAGATAGGAGGCAGGAATCATCAGAATTCTGAGTAACTGTATCTCAGTTCAGCAACTGTACCTGAAACTGTAGAGAACTAAAATACACACAGGCTAGGAAGACAGATAAGTCAATCAAAATAAAATAAAATTTTAGAAAAATCTTCATATGAACAATCTAATACCTCTAAACTAACAAAAGGACAAAAGGAAATACAGCTATGCAAAGATTAATCACCAGAGAACTCTGCCATCAAGAAGAATCAGAACACTAAATAAACCAATCCTAGTCCTACCATGGAACAAAAGCCAGGAGGATGCTGACTCATGAAAAAACTAGTGGACTTCTGGTCAGGAACTTGCAAGGGACATAACAAAACTAGCCAGAATTCAGACATGACACTTTGAAGTGAAAATGACCAAAGAATCCACTGTTGAGAAGCCCCAGAGCCTTTCTACCAGTTAACCCCTGGGATCACTCCCAAGTTCCAAGCTGGTTTCCCTACTCACCACTTTTTTACTGCACAGGCCCCAGACACTGCCTTACTTCTCAGTCCTTCTCAATAATCTTCCCATAGCTACTCTGTGTAAACCCTCTTCGTAACACTGGCTTCAGACAAGGTCAGCCTTACGCAGCTTCCTCAGTTTGGGAAGGCATACTTGCTAGATATTGAAACGGTGAAAAACAAAAAAACAAAAACACTCAGACACTGGGAAATAAAACAAAGACTCAAATCTGACAAATTTGTCATTGCCATCATACCTGGCTAAAGTTTCTGATGACCTCCTCTTTTTACATGAAAGCTCAGAGGGGTCATTCCCCCAACTTTCTCTAAGTTGGGCACATTCTTTCCTCTGTAAGTCCCTCCTTCCTAAACCGTAAACCTGTAGGGCCTAGAGATACAGTTTGCGCAGAACATAGGCATCTTCTCCCAGATGGCATCATGGGAACTAACAAGATGAGGCAGGTGCTGTGGATGCTTTGATCCAGAGTCAGTGACTGGGCTATGTTATGACCCAAGTCTGTAATTACAGTGAGTAAGAAGAGAAGACAGGAAATGGGTGGGCGCTGGGGCTGGGAAAACACTTTGGGGCCTTAGAAAGTTATGTTTAGCTACACCTCGTATTTTATATGGAATGTATTACTCTAAGAGATGATACCAGGAATAACGTATAGAAATCACAAAAAACTTAAGTCATAAACAGCTGAGTCATAATAAATTTCTAAAGAAATATAGAACTCACCAGCCCCAATATGCCTTCCCACACATCCCTGGATAGATCAGACAAAAGTAGGCTATTTGAATAGAGGCCAAGTGAGTGATGAGGGTAAGCTTGCTTGCTGGCCTTTCTGTCATATAGGCCCCCCAAATACCTGGACGGAGGTTGTTTCCAGAACTCCAGTTGGTTACTGATACATCCTCACCCCAACTTCAGCAATGTTGTCTGCCCTAGATATCTAGAACAATCCTCCTGCCACAACTTTCACCCTACCCCCACCCGACCCCACCCTTTTATACACATCACCATTGCCAGTATTGCCTTGGTTTAGACAATCAAGATATTACCATCCTCAAAATATACGATGAACAAGGAAAAAGGTAATTTTGGAGCAGGTGAGACTCTTAAGACAGTCTCCACCCTCCTTCCTTTCCCTTCAAGTTCACTTTTGTCACTCAAAACTGCCTGTCATCCTGGAGATTACATTTAGAGATTCCAAATGTAAAACATGATTTTTGGAGAAAACAAAAATAAATTCATAATCAGGATTATGAAGCAGAATTGCTTCAAAACAGCAAGCTTTCATTTTCAATGCAATGCCAAGGTCATTCACTAATTTGTAAGAGTAACCTGAGCAGTACCTGACTCTGATCAGTCCAGATCGAGGGGAGATCTCATTTCTAAAAGAATTTCCAATCTGGGCAGCAGCAAAAGGCAACTTTCCTTGGTTGAACTCCAAAAGTCGTTTGAAATTCAAGAAAATCCCCTGTGCAGTTTCTGGTCTCAAGTACCTATAAATTTAAGTAAGTCAGTCTGTTACAAAGAAAGAAATTATGTTTTCCAACAATCCTGAAATTCTAGATACAAATCCTAAAAGTCCTAAATATACCATTTTCACAACAAAGTTGAACAGGCCCTAAAATGAAGTTTTAGAAATATTTTCCTCGGTAGCAAACATTTTCATAGCACGTATTAGAAAATGTATTAAGTAATTAGTGTGGCAGTACTACTTTGGCAATGCCATTTCATTTAATTACACCAGTGAGTCAAAACCCCACTTCTCAAAAAGCAGAAATAAAAATAAATTTAAAAACACCACCTCAGGCCGCGCGCAGTCGCTCACACCTGTAATCCCAGCACTTTGGGAGGCTGAAGTGGGCGGATCACCTGAGGTTGGGAGTTCGAGATCAGCCTGACCAACATGGAGAAACCCTGTCTCTACTAAAAACACAAAATTAGCCAGGCGTGGTGGCACATGCCTGTAATCCCAGCTACTCAGGAGGCTGAGGCAAGAGAATCGCTTGAACCTGGGAGGCAGAGGTTGCAGTGAGCCGAGATCACGCCATTGCACTCCAGCCTGGGCAACAAGAGCGAAACTCCATCTCAAAACAAACAAACAAAAAACACCACCTCTCCCATAGTGCCCCTTAAACCCCTGATGTCTTCTAAGTCATCATGTACATGGAGGCAGATGACAATCTTAGGTCCTTTGGAAAATAATACCCATGCCTATGTTTAGCCCTGTTAACCCACATATTAAAACTTAACTGAGGGGCTAAAAAGAAATCAGTATAGGCTCACATTTAACATCAGCACTCACTTATCACTATCACCTCACCAAGCCAGGTAATTTTCAATGTTTTTCAAATCATTTTATTATCTGCAGTATTTTATATTTTCAACCAGAGGCTTCCGCATTTCTCTGTATTTTAAAGATATAGTCAAGCAAATACACTACTATAACCACTGCCCTCTCAATTTCCTAGAAGATATTCTGTGCAAAACATCCACTAAGGAAACGCTCCCAATGGCCTACTTCAGAATAAGTATTTTACTAAAATAACTTTAAAACCAAGGGCTAAAAACCCTAAAATTGTACCCTCTTCTTACTTAACAGACCAACTCTTTTGATTTTTATGGCCCTTTCCAGATTTCATCCAAATGTAAGTAAAGTTTATACATATATTTACAGTTAGTATGTATAAAATCATGTATTACCTATTTTATACTTCCCATTTTCTAAATAATGGCACAAATTTCTCACATTTAATAGTGACAGAATATTATCCCAAACTAATCCACTTTACCATAATTTGTTTAACCACTCTCAAATTACTGAATAGGTTATTTCTACTTTCAATTTATATACTTCTTCTAAGTATAATTTCCTTTCCTTCTGAATTATTTCCTTAGATCAATTCCCAGAAATGGAATGTCTGGGTCACAGGTTATGTCTCATTTTATGACTCTGTACATATGGCCAAAATGAAAGGCTTGCCACTGGCCTCTTTCCATGAAATATTCCAAATCAACCTGATGTCTCATTAGAATAATTAACTGCAACACATTTTGTCACAATTAATTTTTCTTATTCTTCAGTCCCTACTCTGGGAAACACGATCTATCTAGCTCATGTAGGAAAAACTTACTCTCTTACCCTATCATAGAAAAATATCTAAAGCTATGAAATGGAACACTGGCTAAGTCTGTTAAACAGTGGACAAGGAATCAGAAGATAAAGATTCCAATTCTGAATCATACTGTAAACTAACCAGATATTCTTTATCCATGAAAACCACATCTTTCAAATCAACAGGCTATACCTATGCTGTCCAATATGGTAGGACACCAGGCAGATGTCTATTTAAATTTCAATTAAGATGAAATAAATTTTAAAATTCAGTGCCTCAGAAGAACTGGACCCATTATGAGTGCTCAAGAGCCAAATGTGGCTGGTAGCTAATCATACTGGACAACACACATTACAGAACATTTCCATCACTGCAGAAAGTTCCGTTGGACAGTAGCATGCTAAACTAAATGGTTTCTAAAATATCCTTCAGCAATAAGTTCAACGGCTTTTAAAACCATTCTTCAACTGTCCCTTCTACCCTATGCAGCTATAACTAGAAGATATAGTGATCAGAGACTTTATTTTATGCCAAAAAAATACATATATGCCAAAAAAGAAATTATATTCAGAAAGAATTTTTTAAAAGATTTATTTCTGCCATTATTTCTCCATAATACATTCATCTGTACTTCTGTATATCACTTTTTAAAAATTTTTCCTTCATAACATTGATATTTACCTTTTAATATAAGCAATTTTAAAAACTTCATTACATAAACAGGTAAACAATAAGTGATACATACCCAGGCATGTTTCCTCCAGGCCCAATGAAAGTCTTGAACATTAAGTTAAAAGACACTGGAGGGGATAGATCATTTCCAGTAATGGGAGATTTTACATTATAGTTCACAAAAAGATCCGCAAGTTCTTGCTGTCCATAGTTATCAAGCTAAAAGACATATAAAGAAATTAGTGTAAAAGACAGAGAAAACAAGGCATAAGATATAAAGTATTATATATAACCCTAGCCATCCACTGCTACAATCACACAAAATTCAGGAACATCACAATTAACCTAACCTTCAGGACACCCACATTAAAACCATAACCAATTTATTCACTTTCCATTTATCAAGAGAGAAAAAAATATCCTTCTGGGACCTAAAACTCATATAGTCACTGTTTCAAAGTGAAAGATAAAGCAAAATACCTCTTATTCAATTATAATAGTTATTGGTTGGCAAGAATCTGAAATTACCTAAATAAGTTTTCAAAGCTGAATTTTACTACTCTGAACATATTTAAGGTGCATTTCTGCATTTCTCTGTATTTTAAAGATCCAGTCAAGCAAATATACTATTAATAGCCACCACCCTCTCCTCAATGGAGTAATTAAATGTGCATTGAACTTTCCTTTCCCATTAGATATTAAGCGCCTAGAAGACAGAAGCTGTATCTTATTCACCTCAGCATTTTCCAGTGTATTGCACATTCTATACATTGATCATCAGTGCCAAATCCTGTAAAATGATGTATGCCCTCCAATTTAAGAATTTCAAGTGACTATGACAAACCATCTAATAGTAAGCAGTATTTAAAACTTAAAAGTTTCCTAACAGAAACAAAATAATTCAGTAAATCAATTAATGGCCATAATAACTGAAGCTTCGAGTTCAGAAAGACCTTGGCGTATCTCCCAACTCTACACCACTTATGGGTTGTGTGACTAAAGATTAAGTTCTTACCTAACCTCTCTAAGAACAGGGGAGAACAGCTTCTACCTTGCTATGCAGGAATATGATGAAGATTAAACAAAACATGTAAAGTATTTAGCACAGGCAGGACCTGGTACATAATAACTACTCAATAAAGAGCAATTATATTTGCTACCCTCATAAATCCAATGGTATTTCCACTCCATAAAAAGGCAACCCACTCACACTAACAACATGTTCCAGATTTGAATGTGCAATTTAAAATATTAAGCCTTCTAGACTCTATTTCTACAGAATTTCTAGGAGGAATCCACAAAATAACATTATACAATTACCCAAGAGGCTGGATCAATGAGGAAACTGTTCCAGTGAACTTCAAGACACGGGTACCATAAATATAAGCTGGTCCTACTAGAGTAGAAAGTTAAAGAGCCTGAGGAACATCTATTTCCCAGGTAATTCAAGAATATATAGTGTTTTCCAATAAAAGGCATAATTTAAAAAGAAATCAGGAGGAAAAAGATTCTGCCAATACAGATAGAAAGCAAAACCCCTGGGAAAGGGAATCTGGCAATATCTAACATTACTATATTTGTATTTATCCTTTGTCCCATTTCTAGGCATCTATCCCAAAGACACAATAGCAAAAACATGAAAAGATATAAGCACAAGATTATTCAATGCAGCATTATCTGTAATGTTAAAGATGGGAAATAACCTAAATGTCCAGCAGTGGACAACTGGTTATGTAAAATATATCCACACAATGCCCAATTATGTAGCTATAAAATGGAAGGAGGCAATCTCTATATACTATGAGGGACCAATCTCTGAAATATTTTGTTATGTGAAGAAAACCACAATGGAGAAAAGTGTGTATGGAATGCAACCATTTATCTAGAAAGGAGGGCATACAAATATCTATATGTCTTTGTTTATATTCTATTTTTTTAAAAAAGGAAGTTGTTTTAAGTTAAAAACTGCTCAGGAAGCAGGGAAGCAGAAGGACGGAAGGTAAAGGGAAGAGAAAGATAGTAGACTAAATATACCTTGTTTTTTAGATTTGCCTTTAGAGGTATAAAAAATGCTTTATATGATTATAAAACAAATTTTAACTTTTTTATTATACTTTAAGTTCTAGTGTACATGTGCACAACATGCAGGTTTGATACATAAGTATACATGTGCCATGTTGGTTTGCTGCACCCATCAACTCGTCATTTACATTAGGTATTTCTCCTAATGCTATCCCTCCCCCAGCCTCCCACCCCCCGACAGGCCCAGGTGTATGATGTTCCCCACCCTGTGTCCATGTGTTCTCATTGTTCAATTCCCACCTATGAGTGAGAACATGCAGTGTTTGGTTTTCTGTCCTTGTCAGAGTTTGCTGAGAATAATTGTTTCCAGCTTCATCCATGTCCCTACAAAGGACATGAACTCATCCTTTTTTATGAATGCATAGTATTCCATGGTATATATGTGCCACATTTTCTTAATCCAGTCTATCATTGATGGACATTTGGGTTGGTTCCAAGTCTTTGCTATTGTGCTATATGATTATAAAACAAATTTTTAAAAAGGAAACCCTGAATACTGAAAATAAAATGAAATATATGGACTAACTGCATATCTAGCTGATGGCATAACCACACAGAGAGAATGACTCCAAGTGACTTTAAATACAGTTATCAGACTGTAAGACTACACAGTGCTGGCATATCCCTAAAGAAAAGAACAATAAAAGTGTTTTTAACTGTTTTCAACATTCATATTGCTGATGGTGGTGTTGGTATTGTCATTCTGAGACTGTTAACGTATACAGTGGGAGATAAGGCACATCAATCATTATGTTTTGTTGCTGAGAACTGCGATTTTTGGTAAGGGTAAAGGAGAGAGATTTAAGATTAATATAGTAAAAACCCTATAAACCTAACTTTAAGTTAACTATTAAGTATCTATATTAACTCATGAAAAGTTTATCTTTTAAAAAATATCAACTTCCTAGCTCAGATCACTGACAAGGTTTATAATTAGTGATCAATACCATCCCCACTAATAAGTACCAAGTACCAGGGCTCCTTGGAGAAATGTCTGATTCCAAGTCTGGGACAGGAAATGTATAAGATGAGATGGCAATATCTTGTCATATTAAAGGAAGTTTTCAGAGACTACAAGGGCTGTGTCAAAAGGACTCAGCAGAGAACTCCTAGTCACCAAAGACTGGACAATTTAACCACCAATAAGATAACTGCAACTGACTGAATATCAAATATTTGAATCTAAAGTTCACAACAGTAGGAGGAAAAAACGAAAAGGCAGGCAGGAACTCGTGCATTTCTGAAGGATGTTAGGGAACCAACTAATGGAAAACAGGTTTAAAAAGACAAGGGGTGGGAGAATGGATGAAGCACTTATTCTCACCTTTCTTTACAAATCGTGTCTCAGTTAAATCAAATAGTTGATAGAAAGTTTTTTCATATAGAAATAGTCTAGCTAAAAAAAAAAAAAAAAAAGAATAACAATGACAAAAATCACCATTTTGAAATCCCCTCATCAGTTAATGCATCTAAACAATGGACATCAATGGCCACAGCCCACAGAAGAGCTAACCAGGTACTATGTAGCTCTGGACAGAAGTCCATAACACCACTTAACCAAATGTCTCGCCAAAAATACCTGGTCAAGCTTCTAAATCTAATAGAGAAAAAGATGAACATGTGTAACCTCACTACAATAACGTAATTAGCCAAATCCAGACAGTAGAAAACAGTAAGGAACAAATGACTCAGCTTCTTGAAAAAAATTTTAATGAAAATGCGGGGAGGGAAAAGGGAATGAAGGAAGGCCATACAGATTGGAAGAGATATAAGAAACATATCAACCTATCACAAAGTATAGACTTTATCTGGATCCCAATTCAAATTTTAAAAACTGGAAACATTTAAGACAGCCTAGAAAACATGAACACTGATCAAATATTTGATGATATTAAATTATTAACATTTCCCAAGGTAAGAGGATTGAAAAGGATTTTTTAAATCCTTTATTTTTAAAGGATTTTTCTCTTTTAGAGATAGATAATGAAAAATTTACAGGTATAATAAAATAATGTTTGAGATCTGCTTCAAAAAAATTCAGGCTGGGCACCATGGCTCACATGTGTAATCCTAGCACTTTGGGAGGCCCAGACAGGAGGATTCTTGAGCTCAGGAGGTCCTGGCTGCAGTGAGCCATGTTCGTGCCCCTCCACTCCAGCCTGGGCTACAGAGTGGGGCTCTGTCCCCACCCTACCACACACAAAGAATTAGGGGAAAGAAGTCAGGAAAGTGAGAGGGGAATAGATACAAAAAAATCTAACAGTGAAGCAGGGTGATAGGTACATAATTGTTTATTATGTTTTTATTTAACATATAAAATTTTGTATGTTTTGAATTTTTCATAAACAAGTTAAAAATGGTTTTTAAAACTGGAACATCCAGAGATGGGCCACAAAAACAGACAGAGAAGAGAAACAAAAGAATTCGTTCTGAGCTGTTAAATCCACATAATAGGAGTAGAGGTCTTCCTACCACAGAAGGTGAATCAGGGCCTTTTAAAGAAACAATGATGCTTCATAAAGCTGAAAAGGAGTCAGACACTAAGGTGCAGAAAACGCTACTCTGTGCTTAAGCAACAGATGGGCTTTCAGCCAGTGAATCCACCAGGGCCATTTCTGAGTGCTACACCATTTCCCATGGGTCCCTTACTTTTCATTGAAGATTATATTGACAGCTGTACATGCATCTGATATGGCAAGTCAAAAAACAAATTGCTCTCCTAGAACACAGATCTGAAATAAGAGAGAAGGCCAATGCTCAAACAATAAATTGACTTGTCAAATCAACTAGTTACTTCCCAACTCTGACAACGTACTTGGAAATGAATAATACTGTTAAGATCAAAAACATATACACAAAACCTCAGTAAATCTAAAATTCTGAATGGAAAATTTTAGGGATACTTAGAGGCATTTTCCATTTTTTCTAATAAAGGGCATGCCTTTGGATAAGAAAATGAGATGAACGTGTGGCTTCAACAGTATCAAAATGTAAGAAATAATTTTCTAAACCATGAGTAATTACTAAAACAATGAGCTTCAAGCAAGGGATAAAATTACACTCCACAAGTATCAAAATAAATCAGCAGATGATTCAACAGCCAAATTAAGAAAGTTTTCAATGTAAATGAAGAAGGAGAAATTATTTTAGCTATGTTGGAAAGTTAACTATCACAGAGAAAAAAAGCATGCTAAAAAAAAAATTAGGACAACAGTGGAAAAGTATCCAGTAATTCCCATGAAAAACAACATATTAGGGAGTTCTATATTCAGGCAGAGAGAGAGAGAGAGATCGGTGTAAAGAAAATAGGTATAATCACAGTATTGGTTTTTTGTTTTTTGCCCAAGGAAGTAAATAAAATTTAAGAGGTGAGCCTCAGTAGACCTCATGACTAAACATGGTGTTGGAGAAATGTACTTTGCCTAAACGGAATAGCCAACAGATGAGGTGAGACACCAGCAACATATATACATGAGCACATGCATCTTCCCAGGGAGACGTGCAGTTTTGATCACATTCTTAGGGTGGTCTGTGACCCAACAAAAGGATAAGAACTACTTCTAATATAGAAAGTATTCCTGCAATTGGTAAAAGGTCAGAATAAATTATCTCTGTGGTCTCTTTTTTGTCTTCTCTAAAATTTGTCAGCTTAAATATTATACAAATTATAAAACTTTAGGCCTATAGGCAAACTGAGAAAAGCAAGGACAGAAAAGTCAGGACCTGCTCATGAGGTTCTAAGAATAATAGCATGAAATCAGGGTCCAAGCAGAGGCAGATCAAGTAGCCAGTGAGAAAGTGCTCATCAAGTTATCTGCCCCGAAGTCTCCACACCAGTGCTGAACACTACCCATCATCAGTCACTCCTGTGGTTTTAGCTATTAAATCCAGAAAAGTAGTTTCCAAGGTCAGACAAATTGAATGCCTATTAACACGGACTTGTTAGTTTGGGCTGAAATAAAGGGTTAGTCACAAAAGAGAGAAGAAAATAAAAATGCAAAAAAAGAGACGCTATACAGGACAGAATTAACCTCTGCTTCATTACAATGTGGCCAGGGTCAGCATAATGGGAAATGCAACAGTCATTAAACACTGAAAGAAGGACAGCGACCACCTAGGTTACTCTGATAACATCTCTAGAGTACTCACCTGGGCCAAAACACTTTCCATTTCTGATTTCTTTTCGACAGAACACTTCTTATCAGACATCAATTTCTGTAAATGAGCTGTAAGAACAGTGTTGACATATATCAATCAATGGGAAAAAGGACAATGCACTTTTCAGTTTCAATGCTAGACAATTAAAAAGTAAATCCAAGCATAAAGTTCTTAATTTACATGAATCCCACAGTTGATTTTACAACAGCAGTCATGGTATTGTCTTGATTCATTTGCTAATTAGAAAAATTATCTGTATATAACTAATTATCTACATATAACTTTTTTAAAAAATAAAGGACTTGATCTATATACTTAAGATCTGTGCACTTTGCTCTTTGAATGTTATGCCTCAATAAAAAATTTAATGAAAGACATCTGAGAGAAAGTTTAAACCTTTTATTTTGATCAATCCTACCTGAAGGAGATGAAGAACCTCACCTTTTAATAGATGGTCAGCACGAAAACATTCTCCATTTTTTACGTCTTTCACCATGAAGTCAGCAAATTTGTCTACATGGCCAGAGGTCCTAAATTAACAAATGCCAACCCAATTTGTCATTCTCATACAAATTACACATAGATATTACCTTATAAGATAATTCCCCATCAATATTTATATCCATCTCAAAGATGGAAGCTCCCATATCTATAGTAATGATGTATCCATGACAGTAATGGATGCCAGAGAAAATTCTTCCTCAAATCTATTTCTCACCCTCTCCCACATTCTTCCTTCCCATAAGAAAGAAGACATTAACTAGACAATAAAAAGACAATTCTTTTCTACAAGTTGTCATAAAGTCTGTACTATTCTTCAGGATCAATTAATCCATGCCTATGCCATTATTATTAGTGATCTAAGCAAAGGCCAAAATCACTGGGAATTTGACTAGTTAAGAATTCATGGCAGCTCAGTATAGACATTGAACCTTAAGGGAAGTGTTTTCTGCCACTGAAACCTGTACTGACATTGGTATTATCTCTACAAAGTTCCTATTGGTGGAACAAGTAGCTAAAATGATAGGTAGTCCTGATCTTATAGAGCCATCATTCAGAATTCCTCCTCTTCATTGGCTGAAATTATTAAGAGAACCTAACGGATGCCAATAGTAAAAATTAGCTCTCCACCAGTCAACCTTAAATGAATAATGACGAGTTACAAAATGGCAAGAATTCCTCTTTCAGGCCGGGCGCAGTGGCTCACGCCTGTAATCCCAGCACTTTGGGAGGCCGAGGCAGGCGGATCACGAGGTCAGGAGATCGAGACCATGGTGAAACCCCGTCTCTACTAAAAATACAAAAAAATTAGCCAGGCACGGTGGCAGGTGCCTGTAGTCCCAGCTGCTCTGGAGGCTGAGGCAAGAGAATGGCGTGAACCCGAGAGGCGGAGCTTGCAGTGAGCAGAGATCGCCCCACTGCACTCCAGCCTGGGGGACAGAGCGAGACTCCATCTCAAAAAATAAATAAATAAATAAAAGAATTCCTTTCAGTTTCACATTCTGAAATTCTGCCCTACTTTGGGAGGCCGAGGCGGGCGGATCACGAGGTCAGGAGATCGAGACCACCCTGGCTAACATGGTGAAACCCCGTCTGTACTAAAAATACAAAAAAAAAATTAGCCAGACGTGGTGGTGGGTGCCTGTAGTCCCAGCTACTTGGGAGGCTGAGGCAGGAGAATGGCGTGAACCTGGGAGGCAGAGCTTGCAGTGAGCCGAGATCAAGCCACTGCATTCCAGCTTGGGCGACAGAGCAAGACTCCATCTCACACACACAAAAAAAGGAAATTCTGCCCTACTTTCAATAACGTTGGTAGGAATAATCTAAGTTTCTGCATTGAAACTTTAAAACAAATAGTATTTAACTGAAAATCTCTACAAGTATACCTTTGCTCAGAACTTGTATTAAGGAAATAATCAAGGATATACCCAAAAATCCATCTATCAAGATATTCGGTGCAGTCAAAAATGAGAAACACTTTAATGCTTTCAATATGGCACAAACTAACATATTATGGCACTTCCATAAAACAGAATACTATGCTATCATTAAAAATGCTTTAGATGAATAGTTAATGATATGAGTATATGTTCATCAATATTACATGAAAATAAGCAGTGTACTGCTAACACTGAAATACATAGGGACGTACAGAAAAAACAGGAAGGACAAACACAATCATCTTAACATAGCTATCTGTGAGCAGAAGGTATACATTTCTTTGCTTTTCCATATTTTTCAGATTTTCTACATGAAATGAGTAGTTCTTTATAATCAGGAAGTTATTTAGATAAGTATATTAAATAATTTAATAAGTTATTTTATTTAAAGTAGGATACCCCCACTCCAAAGTAAGATCTCACTTTAAAACTGGCTCAGGGGTGAGCATGGTGCAATCGATCTCCAGGATCTGTTCCTCTTGGATAAAGTGCTGCCTCCAGGTCTGAATAATATTGTTCTTCAAAGCACAGCCAACTGGCCCAAAGTCATACAGACCACTAACACCTATAGAATATGAGAGGAAAACACATACTTTACCTTGTTACTCTGAACAAATGAAGGCAAGGAGACATGAGAAACTGATACCTATACTCCCTAAAAGTGTATTCAAGTCAACAATGCAAATCCCTCAATACTGAAGAACCTTACTTTCAGCTAGCTGATGGAAGTAAAATAAAAAAGCTCTTACGCCATTTACTAATTCTATATTTGTAATTTCAAGTAGGACTAGCCCAAAATCTACAACAAAAGTTCCCCCTTAGAGAACAGAATGAAAAAGCAGATTACAGTTTTCTGCCGTAAAAATTACAAAATAATTTCTCACCACATCTGATAACAATGATCTATAATTTTAGCATCCAATTCTCTAATTTTTTCCTGGGTATTTGAGGCACTATTTAACCTCAAAAGGGTAAACATTTACAGATCCACTTAGCCAAACTCAAGTCAACTTTCAGTGGCAAAGTACTATATGTCTAATGTTGTTGTAATAATCCGTTGACTATGAAAAATATAGTTTTACATTTCATCAGTGAATTGTATTTGCCTATATACCTTCATATGGCATTCACAGTGATTTATCTACATCCCTGGGAAGAATGTTTTCTCCTGGCAGATGACCATAAAGAATAATCTAAGGACTGTTTTATCACTGCCCCTGTGTGAAGGGGCATAGTATAGTTAGCCAGTACTACAATGGCCCTCTGTTACTCTTCAGTCTCCATTGCATTTTAAAAAGAGTACATGAGTACACAGACACATCAAATACATACATGGGCCTCCAACAATTCCCTACATCCTAATCAAAAAAAGTGCTGTCCAGGAATAAATGCAGTGGAGAAAAATAACAGGTATCACACCAAATGGTGACTCCAAGCAAACAAAAGCAAAACATCCATCCTCTGCTTTGTGGCCTGATACAAGTGGATACCAACAGGCAAGCCATGTTCTTGATTTAAGTATAATATTAGAGCCACTAACAACACAATAGTTCTTTTTGTCATTAATCCCTTACCTCCATAAATAGCAAAAGCTTGATCATAGAAAAACCTCCTCTTCAGGGTATCTTCCATTTTTGCTCGGTCTACAATATCATCTTTGGGCTGTAACGCCAGCTCCTGTTAGAGATTAAATAAAAAGTGAGTGAGTGGAGGGGTGGGTGGGAATCTGAACTTATATATCTGAATTTAGTTTATTCCTCACCAGAATTAAATATAAAATTTATCAAACAGACAAGATTTTGATAGGTTAAAAACAATAGAAGCCATAGGTCTTTTTTTCCCTTTGAGTAATATAAAAGATATCTTTACTTAATCATTTAGGAAAATATATGATCATTTCCAAGATTACAAGACTAAGCTTGACCAGGTGCGGTGGCTCACACCTGTAATCCCAGTACTTTGGGAGGCCGAAGTGGGTGGATCACCTGAGGTCAGGAGTTCAAGCCCAGCCTGGCCAACATGGCAAAACACTGTCTCTACTAAAAATACAAAAATTAGCTGGGCTTGGTGGTGGGCACCTGTAATCCCAGCTACTTGGGAGGCTGAGGCAGGAGAATCACTTGAACCCGGGAGGCAGAGGTTGCAGTGAGCTGAGATCGCACCATTGCACTCCAGCCTGGGCAACAGGGCGAGACTCCATCTCAAAAAAAAAACAAGACTAAGTTTACTTTGATGTAGATACTGATAAGCAATATAAAGCAATATTTGAATTGTCAGTGGATTGCTATAGCAAAATGGTTACTTTAAAACCCCAAAACAACTTAAGTTTGGTGATGGGAGATCTATTGTTTGAAAGGTCTGGGAGCAGGTATCAAATAAACAGACCTTTTCCTTAAAACAAACAAACAAACAAAAATCATTATTTTCAGGCATAAGAGAAGTCGTAAAGAAGAGCACAATCCTTTCCATGGAAATTCATATAGCGTATTGAGTCCAGCATTTGCAGGGTCAGGAAGGCTTTATTAAAAAGTTGACATTTTGAGTTGCATTTTGAAAGGATGAGGAGTCTACCAGGTAGAGGGAAAGGAGAAGGCGGCATTATGGATAAACAGATAAACCAAATGATACTTGTTCAGAAACTTTTCTAGGTCTCTCCCATCCAAAGAAATTAAAGATGAACAATCCTATACCTACTTATGTTCCTATTTTAGCATCCCAGGACTCACCTTTGCTTCCAGAACCCTCTTGCGGGCTTTGAGCTCAGCCACTGCTTTGTCTACGTCTACTTGGGGTGCTTTATCTTCTTTGAGTTTTCGCACAAGATCTCCCTAGCCAAGAAAGAGAATTTATATTCAGGATTGGTTTCAGAAGTTAAGAAATGTTAGGAATGTGTTTTTAAGCGTGCCTTTTAAAAAGTCTATGTAAGAATGATGCAATTCAGGCCAAGCGTGGTGGCTCACGCCTGTAATACCAGCACTTTGAAAGGCCCTCCTCACCATCTGAGATCAGGAGTTTCAGACCATCCTGGCCAACATGGTGATACACCATCGCTACTGAAAATACAAAAATTAGCCGGCCGTGGTGGTGGGCACCTGTAATCCCAGCCACTTGGGAGGCTGAGGCAGGAGAATCACTTGAACCCGGAAGGCGGAGGTTGCACTGAGCTAAGATCATGCTACTACACTCCAGCCTGGGTGACAAAGTGAGACTCCGTCTCAAAATGAAAAAAAAAAAAAAAAAAAAAAAGAATGATGCAATTCAAATGTTTATTATGTGAGTGATCATTATGAATCAAGGTCTCTGCCCTCTTCATTTAATAATCTAGAAGAACACACGGGCAAGTTAACAAATAACTGCTCACATGGTGAATTTTTTCCTTTGGGTATAGAGGGGTGAAAAAGGAGGAGACAAAAGCATTGATTAAAAAGTAGGAAAGAGCAAGATTTGTACTGAGAACACAGAAGAACCAATAAATTGACCACCTTCTTAAATCTCTCTCCTCTCGCTTACAAAAAAAAATAAAAACATTATTCAGTTTTCCTCCCACTTCTCTGACCATTCTTCTCAGTCACTGCTGGCTCATCTTCCTTTGCCTTTCTCTTTACAGTTGGAATTTTTTCCTTGCTAATATTTCTGAATTATTTTATTAACTTCCAACAACTTATACTAATTCCATATTTATAGTAATATGGTGGAATAGGTCATCTGAGTAAACAAACAAAATATTACCTATATAGGATGAAAAACTTTCAGCTGAGTAATTAAAGTTGTTAAATTGATATAGCCCTTGGGCACCCAACAGAGTTTCTAATTTCAGTGATCCATTTCCATACAATATGTGCTTCATTTTCACACTGTGTGATTGTTTTTGGTAGTCTCTTGTTCTTTGCTCATGTTTTTGAGTACTTCTTTTATTTTAAAAATTATCTTAAGCATTTTAAAAATATGTGATTATTCTAATACTTTTGGAGGATCTAATTCTATTATCATTTCCCCTAAGTCTCACTCAAGGTGGCTTGTTTCCTCATGGGTTTTTAAATTTTGAGTTTGGCACTTACTATTTTGGTAACCTTAATCTGTGAAAAATCCTAAAAGACCAATGTGGAAAGTCTGCTTCTTTTGTAATATGACGTTCTGGGTAAAGTATATGAAGAAAGACATATGTAGGTGGAAAAGGAAAAATAATTTTAAAAGCCGTTTCGGATAATTGTGGATATTCTTTGATACTACCTCAAAACTCTGACAAGTGGTAGCTTCTTCAAGGTTATTTCTAACTCAGAAACTATAGCAATGAATTTTTTGTACTGTCAGAATAAATCTATTAATGTATCTTAAGCTTTGAATGGCTCTTTCACCAATACCTGATTTCATAACATCATGCATTGGTCACCTGGAAAACACTGGTTCACTGAGTTACGCAGATTATCCAAATACTATCAAAAAAAAATCCACGTTTGTTAATATCACCACTCATCTCATCACAGATATCTTTAAGGACTGTGAAGCTGCCAAGCTCACAGCAAAAGATACGAGTCTTCCCAAATTCTAAAATTTCCCCAAAGTTTGAATTTTATTATTGGCCACAAATACTAACCGTTGTTTTCTTAAAGTGACAAACTCACTTCATTCATTTTCCAGATTAACAAATTTCTATGAAACATGTGCTACTAACAAGACCAGTCATTAAGTAAAAATCCCACTCCGGAAAGGTTTTCAATTGCACTTCACAATGGAGTTATCCAAAATGGATAGGGGTGACAGTGTGTCTCATTTCCCCATATACAAAAAATGGGTAAAATTAGATCATCTTTAAATTATTTTTCAGCTGACATAGGACTCAGTAATTCACACAATTAACTAACTGATATATGTGTGTTCTTGGAAAATTAGAAAAAAATATCCAAACTAACTTAAATCAACTAACTCGTATATTCGGAAAATATCTTAAAGTACAAAACAATAATCAAGACAACATAAACAATACACAAGACAGTAGTTAGTAGCATCGGAAAGCTGCCGCGATCAAAGTTTACTTTAGTTAACTAGATCCTGTCTTAACTACCGATGGATGATTTTCACTGCAGTTCCAGGCTAACGTGGCAGAGGGAGGGGTTTGGGTGTGGTGGTTTTTTTTTTTCTCCAAATTAGTTGTATGCTTCCTTCTAAAGGGAAGGATATTTTTTAAAATGGCAAGTTAAGAAAAGACAAAGGAACCACACCTAATTTTATTTGTGGAGTGGAAGGTGGGTGGAGGGAGACAGAATATGCAATCGGTGTTCTGACACCAATCATGAAGAAAAAAGTTAAGCCCGTGGTGATATTTCAAAATGAAAGGCTATTTATTAAAATCGGTCAGGCTCAAACCAGCGAAGAGGACAGATGGCAAAGTGGCTGAATTTGCGGCAGCTATGCCCCAATGAATTATTTCCGAGATAGGGTTCCACCCTCTGTAGCTAAGGCAAATTATTGCATCAGGCGCCCATGCAGGAGAAACCCGTTTGGTGTTTACTACTAAGTCATGATCTCCGGGGTCCTACTGCAAGCTCTGGCTCTCCCTAATTGCATATGGGAATCATCTGAAATAATCTTTTCCTTGATATCTCTAAATTCTAAACTCTATGGCAGTGCCCTAGGAAAAGGAGGTCTATATTAAATCACCAAGTCCTTCAGCCCATGAAACCTTCCCTCACCTTCGGGAAAATCAAATGTCAAAATATTCCATACTAAGGATGGCTGACTTCACTCCGCAACACTTAGTTTCCCAGGTTTACGATCTGAGGGCTCACTGGTTCCAAACGGCCTTTTCAGAAGCCAGAAAAGATGACAAGAGCAAAGGATGATGAGTTCACAGCATTAATAGAAAAGTTCGACACCTCCCCACATCCACATTTCAATTCTATTTTCTCAGCCAATCATTCCGCTAAACTAAGCACTGAATGAAGGAAGATGTTAAGGGGGAAACACTATCAAAGCATCCTAAAGATTAAAGGGCCTGGCCGTAAGACGAAAGAACCGGCAGTTTTTCGGCTCATCATTGACCACTGAAAGAATTAGGAGGCTTTCCACCCAGGGTGCACAAAGAGTACAGCAGAGCCTGGAAAACTGAAGTTAAGGTTATTCAGTTAGGAGGCGAGGACAACCAAAGGGTCACAGATCCCAGCCCCACTGGAAATAGAGGAGACGCGGGCTGTGACAGAATGGGGAAGGGAGAACGGAGCCGGAGAGGGACGCAGGAAGTCGGAGGGGTTCCAGGGAGTCATCCAAAAAGAGAGGAGGACGGAGGTCCGCGGGAGAGGAGGTGGCTGACGCACGGGGGACTTGGGACCAAAGTGGGGGAGGCGAAGAAGACGCCAGAGGATGAAGGGAAAGAAAGGGGTAACCGAAGAGGAGGACAGTTCCCCGGGGAGGAGGGAAGGATGACCAGAAGAAGGCCCTGGGAGGAGAGCCGGAGGCTTAGCGGAGAGCGCAAAACACCGGTACCTGCTGGCGCACTGCTAGCCTCAGAGGTGCCAGCACCTCCTCAGCCCCCGCGCCGTCCATGCTGCTCCGGGAGGCGGCGGCGGGCAAGGAGATCGGGGGGCAGGAGGCCGCGCTGAGGGACCGGCGGAGCAGGAGCGAGGGTCGGGCTAAGAGCCGGGGCGGCAGCAGCAGCAGCAGAGCGGCGCGAGCACCTCTAAGCAGCACTGGACGCGGAGAGGGCATGAGCCTGCGGCCCTGGGCTGTCCAGAGAGGGTGGCGACGGAAGCGGCGCGCGCCGCCCGGCTCGGAGCATGATGAAATCGCCGCGTAAACGACGCGGCGCGCGTGCTGCCGCACATTCACCACCGCGTGACGCGGCGCCGGGTCGCCGCCGCAGATTCGACACAAAACCCGGAAGGACCCCGCCGAAGGTTTTCTCCGGTTCGGGAGAGAGGTAGGTAGGGTTGCGAGCGAACAGATTTGCACAGAAGTGCGTCAAGCCACCCCAGCAGGGTGGATGTTCAGGGACACAGCTCTGAGCGAGACCTGCAGGCCGAGACACACGAGAACCTTCAAAGCATAGGTTTTTATACGAGTGACACCCCGGCCGACCTACTTGAACGGACACTTCTGTTTCTGTTCTTTCGCGCCCTGCGCCTTAAAAGGGTCGCAAAACATCAAATCAGATAGGGATCTTAGACTTCTGTTGCTCAAGTGCAGATGTTCCCCAGATAAGGAAATAGGCCCAGAGAGGTTAATGATTTGCCCAGAGTCACACATTCTTGGTCCGCCGATGTCAAGACAAAAGCTGGCGAACGGGGGAGGAGGAGTGAGGGGATAGAGTCACCCCAGGCTTTCTGGAGAAGGTAAATTCCAATCTGCCCTTGCGGGGCGAGCAGGATTTGAACCGGCAGAGATGAGGAAAGGCAAGAGGTGCCTGATAAGTCTTTCTGCTTGGCATAGCCTCAGTCTATCTGCCTCCTGTGGTTAGGCCCCAGCTGACCAACCACCCAGAGATGGCTTCCCCCCGCCCCACACACCCAGTTCCTCCTGCCCAAAGGGTGGAGGGCCTAGAAAAGCTGGGTTCCCCCTCCAGGAAAGGAAGAGAAAAATGATGTGTTGGTTATAAAAACAGCATTGCGCACACCTGCAAAAATGGCTAAAATGAAAATGATGGAAAATGCCAAGTGACCCTCTGAGACTCCCCTACACTGCTCAGGGGAGTGTTAACTGGTGCAGCCAGCCACTTGGGAGCTCTTCGGCAGTATGCACGTACGTCTCCCTGTGACCCACAATCCCACCCCAGGAGTGTGCAGGAGTAGACGGGCTCAGTATAATGAAGTCTCCTTTCCTAATGGTGTGAAAGTCCATGTTATTTCTCTTCCCGTTCCAGTGTGCAGTTCTGGAGAAGTACTTACAATTCAACATGAGCAGGGTGGGTTGCTTAAGAACCTTCTGCAATATTGAACAATTATATTTTTAAACACTTTTATTTCAAGATTTGATATTAATTATAATTTATTTGGCTTTTATTTTACTAGGCAATTTTGAATTTATTTTAATATCTTTAAATGTGAAAAATCATTTTAAGTTTTACTTTTATTTTTATTTAGATTTTTATTAAAATGTTGAAATTCTATATCCTTTGAATAAAACTATTTTATTTCTAAAAAATTCCTTAGATCAATAATGTCTCATCCATTTTCATGTTAGGACAGTCCTGAAAGGACTCCAAATCCGTTCTTCCCTCCTCCCCGACCAATTCATCCTCCCCACTGCTGCTTCAGTCATTCTTTCTTTCTTTTTTCTTTTTCTTTTTTTTTCCAGACGGAGTCTCGCTCTTTCACCCAGGCTGGAGTGCAGTGGCGTGATCTTGGCTCACTGCAACCTCCGCCTCCCGGGTTCAGGCGATTCTCCTGCCTCAGCCTCCTGAGTAGCTGGGATTACAGGCGTGCGCCACCACACCCAGCTAATTTTTTTATTTTTAGTAGAGACGAGGTTTCACCATGTTGGTCATGCTGGTCTCGAACTCCTGACCTCGTGATCCGCCCGCCTCAGCCTTCCAAAGTGCTGGGATTACAGGTGTGAGCCACTGCACTCGGCCCAGTCATTATTTCTGAAAGGCAAATCTGACTGTGTCCCTTCTCTTCTCAGGACACTTCAGTAGGCTCTTCATGGCCCTTGGAAGAATTTCCCAAACAGTTTTCTTTTGAAAACTGTGTCTGCACAATAATGATAATAGTTTATGTTTGTTGAGCACTCACTATGTACCAGTTAGTTCTAATTTATCTCATGGAATTTATTCACCAATTTAGTGAGATAGGTTCTATAGTTATTCAGAATTTTCACATGTGGGATTCAAGGGACTGAGATATCAAACAGCTTGTCCATGGTCACACAACTAAGTGAGTGTTGGGCCAGAATGTGAGCTGGGGGCAGAGGCAGATTTTCTACATAGCTAATGAAGCTTCAAGTGAGTTTAGCCCCTTTCTCTGTTGGGCTCTTTAAGTGCCCTGCAAGAGGCCCTAGTATTGTGTATGTATGATCATATATTTTTCTTGCTTTATTAAAGTTCATTTCTTTGAGGGAAATAAATTTTGCATACATTAAAATGAACAAAAATGTATAGTTCAATGGGTTTCGACAAAGCAATATCCTTTTGTAACCCCAACACCAAGCAAGATAAAGAACATTTTCCCCTGACTCCACAAAGTTCCCTTGCATGTCATCCCGGTCATCCCACCCTCCACAACCAGGCGATCACTATTCTCATTTATTTTCCTCTTAGATCTAGACTGTTGTATAAATGAAATAATGTAATATGTACTCTGTGTCTGATGTCTTTAATTGACCATAATGTGTGAGAGATTAATCCATATTGTTTCACATATCAGAAACTTGCCCTTTTTTGCTCTGAAGTATCCCATTGTGTGAATATACTATAATTTATTAATTTATTCACTAGTTGATAGACATTTGGGTTGTTTCATATTGTAGACCATTATGAATAATGCTGCTGTGAACATTCTCATACATCTTTTTTTGTAGCTATATGTTTTCATTTCTCTTGGGTAAATATCTAGGTGCGGAATTACTGAGTCAAACAATAGATGCATATTTAATTTTATTAGATTGTCACAAGTTTTTCCAATGTGGTCGTATTATTTTATGTTCTTAAGAGCAATATATAAGAGTTCTAGTTGCTCCACATCCTTGTTAACATTTGATGTTGCCGGCCTTCCAGATTTTAGCTATTCTAATAGTTGTATCTCATTGTGACTTGTATGCATTTTCCTGGTGATTAATAGAGTTGATTGTGTTTTCATGTGCTTAGTGGTCATTTGTACCTCTTCTTTTGTGAAACATCCACATTTTTTGTCTTTGCTTTTTAATATTGAATTATAGGAGATTTAGATATGCTGGATACAGTCCTTTGCTAGGTACATGTTTCATAAATATTTTCTTCCAGTCTGTGGCTTGCCTGTTTGTTAATGATGGTTTTGATAAGCAGAAATTTTTAATTTTGATGAAGTCTAATTTATCAATTTGTTTTTTTTCTGGGTTCTAAAAAATCTTTGCCTACTCTCAGATATTCACCCATATTTTTGTCCAAAATTTTAGTAGTTTTATGTTTAGGTCTATGATGCATCTTGAATTAACTTTTGTGTATAGTTTTAGGTAAGAGTCAAAGTTCATTCTTCCCATATAGATATCCAGTTGCTACAGCATCATTTGTTGGAAAAAAGTAGGGCTTACAAAAAATTACTGCCATTGATCAGCTCTAGTGCCTTTGTCAAAAATAAGTTCACCATATAAGGTGGACCTATATCTGGGGTCTCTATTCTGTTCTAATGATCCATTTATCTATCAATCTTTATGCTAGTATCACACTTCCTTGATGACTATTGCTTGAGGATAATTCCTGAAGTCAAATAATGTATATTGTCTACCCTTTCTTCTTTTTCAAAATTGTTTTTCTATTCCAGGTTCTTTCTATTTCTATATAAATTTTAGAATTGACTTATCAACTTTGTAAAAATACCTGCTGGAATTGTGAACCTGTAGTTTAATTTGGGGAGAATTCATAGTTTAAAGCACTGAATGCATTTTGATAAATATATTCCTAAGTATTTTATTCTTTGAGTCTTGTGAATGTTATTTTATTTTCCATTGATTTGCTGTTAATGTAGAGAAATATAATTGATTTTGTATAGTGACATTGAGACTTTCACTTATTAGTGCTATTATTTGTTTTGTAGGGGCGGGGGTTGTAGATTCCTTAGGATTTTCTTTTTTTTTTGAGACGGAGTCTCGCTCTGTCGCCCAGGCCGGACTGCGGACTGCAGTGGCGCAATCTCGGCTCACTGCAAGCTCCGCTTCCCGGGTTCACGCCATTCTCCTGCCTCAGCCTCCCGAGTAGCTGGGACTACAGGCGCCCGCCACCGCGCCCGGCTAATTTTTTGTATTTTTAGTAGAGACGGGGTTTCACCTTGTTAGCCAGGATGGTCTCGATCTCCTGACCTCATGATCCACCCGCCTCGGCCTCCCAAAGTGCTGGGATTACAGGCGTGAGCCACCGCGCCCGGCCGATTCCTTAGGATTTTCTGTATTAATATGCATATACTTTGTAAATAGAATCAGTTTTACTTCTTTCTTTCCAATATTTATGCCTTTTTCTTTTACTTGTGTGGTTGCGTAGTCTAGGTCATCTTGCACAATATTGAATAGAAGCAGTGAATGAACATCTTGCCTTGTTCCTGATATTAGAGGGAAAAGTGTTCAATGTTTCTCCATTTAGTGTAATGCTAACAAATTCAACTTGGTTTTGTCTTTCTTATATTCTGCTGGATTTTATTTACTAACATCTTGATAAAGATTTTTGCCTGTATGTTCATGAAAAATGAACATACAGGCAATCAGTGTATTGTTTTCTTTTCTTGTATCTTTGCCAGGTTTTGGCCTGGCTTTATAAAATCAGAGTTTCTTTCTTCTCTATTTTCTGAAATTTCAATATTTGTAAGATTGTTATCATTTCTTCCATAACCATTTGATAGAATTCACCAGTGAATTCTGGAGTTTTCTTTGTGGAAAAGTTTTTTTGCAGTTGCAGAGCCATCCATGCTTTCTATTTCATCTTTTGCCACTTTTGGTAAGTTTTGTTTTTCAGGGAATCTGGCCATTTCATATAAGTTATCAGATTTATTGTTTTAAAGTTGTTCATAATATTCCAGTAGTATTATTTGAATATATGTATAAGATCTGGAATGAAATCTCCTCTTTCATTCCTGATACCAGTAATTAGTTTTTTTCTCTCCCTCTCTTTTCTTGATTAGTCTTGCTAAAAGCTTACCAATTTTATCAATTTTGTTAAACATAAAAGTTTTGGGTTTGTTAATGTTCTCTATTATTTTGTCTATTTTCTATTCCATTGATTTCCACTTTTATCTTTATAATGTTTTCCTTTTTACTTACTCTGGGTTTAATTTGCTCTTCTTTTTTAGCTTCTCAATATGAAAATTTATAAGCCTTTCTTCTAAGACAAACATTTGAAATTATAGATTTCCTTCTACTTACTGCTTTAGTTAAATCCACAAATTTTTGATACATTGTTTTCATTTTCATTTAGTTCAAAGTACTTTCTAATTTTCTTTATGATTTCTTCTTTGACTTACTCCTTGTCGAGAAAAGTGTTATTTAATTTCCAAATATTTAGGGCTTTTTAACATATCCTATTATTTTAATTGTTGCTTTCTAGTTTAATTCCTGTGTGATCTGAGAAAGCCTTTTGAAATTTATTGACTTGTTTATGACTCAACATATGGTATATCTTGGCGAACACTCCATGTGTACTTAAAAATTGTGTATTATCCAGTTATCGTATGTAGTGTTTTATACATGTCAATTAGACCAAGGTGGTTGATAGTGTTGTTCAGATCTTCTGTATTACTTCAACCCAAATAACAGACAGAGGGAGATTCTCCAGAGATATTGAGTTTATTTGAGATGTGCAGGGGACTTGCAAATCCAGGATATAGGGCTCTTGGGACCATAGGCATAACTGAAGAGGCTGAGGCAAGGGGAAGCTTTTAAAGGCAACAGGGAGAAGGACACATAATTTGCCTTGAAACAGAGAATATTGGTTACAGGGGCTTATCACAGGAGTTGAAGCCAGTTCATTAGTGAAGACAGTGTGTCAGGCAGGTGTTGTTGTACATCTGGCTAGCTATCATTGTGATTCATGTAGCAGTTTGGGAAGTCTTTGACAAAAGTTCTTCTTACAGGCATGGGTGGGTAAGAGCTCTTCAGAGAGTCTTTGTAATCGTGTTCTTATCATAGATATGTGTGCAACACCCCCCCACACACCGCCCTGCTTCTCAGCCTCCCAGCCTTATTTATTTATTTTTGTTAGAGTTTGACATAAGTAATTCCACTTAGATTCTGACAACTTTCATGATCATTACTAATTTTTTATCTAGTTCTATCAGTAACTAAGAGAAGAAGTTAAAGTATCTAACCACGACTGTGGATTTGTCTATTTCTCCCTTTAGTTCTTTCACGTTTGCTTTATGTATTTTGAATTTGTTATGAGGCATGTACACATTTATAATTGTTATATCTTACTGGCAAATGGCATTTTTTTTATTATGAAATATTCTTCTTCATCTCAAAATATACTTTTTATCTTATAATATATTTAGCCTAACATTAATATAGCCACTCCAACTTTTTTATGATTAGTGCCAATAGTCAGTGAGGACCTGTGGCCTCCTGCCAACAGCCATGGGGTTGAGCTATGCAGGAGGTAGATTTTTCAGCCCCAGTCCAGCCTTCAGATGACTGCAGCCCCAGATGACATCTCAAATCTAACCTTATGAAAGACCCTGATCCAGAACTTGCCAGCTAAACTTCTTCCATATTTTTGACTTTCAAAAACATTGAGACAATAAATATTTGTTGTTTTTTAAGCTGCTAGTTTTAGAGTAATTTGTTACATAACAGTAGATAACTAATACAGGAATCTTCCCTGAACTGAGTATACAATTCCTTTTCTTGAGAAGTGAAGTCCCTTCAAGGTGCCTCTTGGGGCTTTGACAGTGAGTGTCACAGCAGTGAGGTAGTATCCTCCCTGAATCTTCTGTGCCATATAAGAGCCCTGGTACCTGTCATATAGTCATTTAATCAACATTTACCCCTTGAGAAGCTGAGAGTTCCAAAGTGATATGGTTTGGCTGTGTCCTCACCCAAATCTCATCTTGAATTCCCATATGTTGTGGAAGGGACCCAGTGGGAGGTAATTGAATCATGGGGCCAGGTCTTTCCTGTGTTGTTCTCATGATAGTGAATAAGTCTCACGAGATATGATGGTTATTATAAGGGGGAGTTTTCCTGCACAAGCTCTCTTTGCCTGCTGCCATCCATGTAAGATGTGACTTGCTCCTCCTTGCCTTCCGCCATAATTGTGAGGCTTCCCCAGCCACGTGGAACTGTAAGTCCAATTAAACCTCTTTCTTTTGTAAATTGCCCACTCCTGGGTATGTCTTTATTAGCAGCATGAAAACAGACTCATACACAAGGCTTGATTTTTTTAGTCTTATTTCCTTAGGCTCACGCAGCCCTAGCAGGAGCCAACACAGGTAGGTGCACTGAAGATCAAGCCTCAGAATGCAGGATGAGTCAGCCCAGCCTGTGGACCAGATGATCTGGCCTCATTAATCCTCTCTCATTGACTCTCCTTTCTGGCCTGTGACCCATTAATAATGTTTTGCCCCAACTTCCAGCCTCCCTTAGCAAAGATTTGTTTCAGCCTCTGTCGTCCAAAAACGAGGAGGTGAGGTCCCTCGAATTCTGTGGGACAGTGTCAATAGCTGAAGCAGTGCAATTTGTTGTAAGATTTAATTCTCTTTTGATTTTGCTGGTACAGAAGCATCAGGAGGGAAGAGGTTTGTTTCTCTTCCCTCCCTCCTTGATTCCCAGGGCATAGGTAAGGGAAAACTTTATCTTCTAATCTGTTAAAGTAGGGTTGGGTCGGGGGTAGGCATTCAGGGGCTTGGAGAGTGAGAAGCAGAAGTGGCCAGAGTGACAAGATTTTCTCTGAGGTGAAAGCCTGCAGAACCAAGGCCTGTGGATGCCAGAATAAATGGAGATGTGTTCACTGACTGTGACAGTGCCAGGGTCTCAGGGAGAAATGGTCTTGTGTTGCTCTGGCGGAGATTGGGTCCTAGCGATGGGATTCTGAACCTTTGAAAGGACTCCTGTGTTCCAGCTTGACACTGAGTGACCAAACTTTTGGCTTTTTTTTTTTTTTTTTTTTTGAGACGGAGTTTTGCTCTTGTTGCCCAGGCTGGAGTGCAATGGCACAATCTCAGCTCACCACAACCTCCCCCTCCCGGGTTCAAGTGATTCTCCTGCCTCAGCATCACTAGTAGCTGGAATTACAGGCACCTGCCACCATGCCTACAAAAATACCATGTATTTTTAGTAGAGACGGGGTTTCTCCATGTTGATCAGGCTGGTCTCGATCTCCCAACCTCAGGTGATCTGCCTGCCTCGGCCTCCCAAAGTGCTGGGATTACAGGTGTGAGCCAGCGCGCCCAGCCAACTTGTACTATTTCTAAGCTAATACAAGTCCATTTCACATAGATAACACATTACATTTCTACAGAAATCATTGTATTAAGCCTACTGAAATGCATCTTGCTGTTTTTTGAACTAAAGACCCATGTATAAGTGATAGTTCTTTCATATCAGTACATGAATCTGAGGAGACCCTAATTTTCAGTGGCCACAGGTCCTTAATCTGCTGTGCTTTTCCCTGGCAGTGCTCAACAGCTGGGAGCTGCCCCATGGAAAGGGACTACTGGCCTAATCCCAGACTGGGGTTTGACTAAAAGGTTGCGCCAGGAGGACAAAAGGGCAAGAGAGTAAGACCACCAGCAAGAGAATGACCAAAATGATAGACTTGGGCCATATTTTGGGCTAATTGTGCCCCCCAAAATATATATGTTGAAGCCCTAACCCCCAATGTATCAGTAGTTGGAGATGGGGCCTTTTGGGGGGTAATTAGGTTTAGATGAAGTTACAAAATAGAGCCCTCATGCTGGGATTAGTGCTCCTATAAGACATCAGGAAGTTTGCTCTCTCTTTCTGTCGTGTGAGGATACAGTGAGAAGGCAGCCATCTGCAAGCTAGGAAGAGGGCCCATGCCAGAACCTGACCATGCTGGCACTCTGATTTTGGATTTCTAGTCTCTAGAACTGTGAATAAGTACGTTTCTATTGCGTAAGCCACCCAGTCTATGGTATTTTATTATGGCAGCCTGAGCTGACTAATATAGGCTTCTAGATTGGAAGGGGAAGGAAGTAAAGAGAGAGAATTGATAGGGATAAAGAAGAGGCATCAAGAGACTTGGGGTATCTGCTACTGAAGACATCAGCTCTCTATGACAAAACAGCACAGCATGTTTGGAGTAAGAGAAAGCTGAAGTCTCAACAAACAAATAGATTCTTAATGTTCTATACCACCGGACAAACTGCAGCCCTTTTATACATATGGAGTACTTTCTGGGCCAGTCCTGTGGCCCCTTTCAAATGTATGGTGTTGAAACGTAGTAAGTTTATGTTTTTAAGGTCTGCCCCTCCCTTCTTGCATTATATCATAAACTCTTCTCTTTTTTTTTTTTTTTGAGACGGAGTCCCGCTCTGTCACGCAGGCTGCCAGGCTGGCGTACAGTGGCGCAATCTCAGCTCGCTGCAACCTCCACCTCCTGGGTTCAAGCGATTTTCTTGCCTCTGCCTCCTGAGTAGCTGGGATTACTGGCACACACCACCATGCACAGGTAATTTTTTTATATTTTTTAATAGAGACAGGGTGTTGGCCAGGCTGGTCTTGAAATCCTGACTTCAGTGATCTGCCCGTCTTGGCTTCCCGAAGTGCTGTGATTACAGCCATGAGCCACCGTGCCCGGCCAACTCTTCTCAGTTCTAAGTGTCCTAACACCCTTCATCTCCTGCTGACTGCAAGGCAGTTCTCAGGGAGGAGCCTGGATTGTGTCCATGTATAAAGAAAGACTCTGCTGCTGATGTGCAAAGGAATGTGGATGTGATAGTTTCCAGCCTGAAAGTCCCCCTCTTTTCATCTCCGCAGTATAGTTCTTAGAAACAACAAGCCTTGCTTTTACAGTGAGTCCATATCTAAAACTTTATCTGAACCCAAAATACCTGAGATAGGTCTCAGTCAATTTAGAGAGTTAATTTTGCTAAGATTAAGCATGTATCCAAGACAGCTTCAGGAGGTCTTGACAACGTGACAACATGTGTCCAAGGTGGTTGGGGCACAACTTGGTTTTATACATTTTAGGGAGATATGAGACATCAATCAATATATGTAAGATGTACATCAGTTTCGTCTGGAAAGATGGGACAACATGAAGCAGGGAGGGGGCTCCCTGGTGACAGGTACATTTGCATTCTTTTGAGTTTCTAATTAGCCTTTCACTGATACATACCTATGACCTGGGTTTCCAGGTCATAGGTACGACTGCATTCTTTTGAGTTTCTAATTAACCTTTCACTGAATACATAACTTACAGGAATAGTCACTTATGCCTTAGTCTGGCTTAGTGAAACAATAGGGAAAAGGAAGCAATTAGATATGCATTTATCTCACATGAGCAAAAGGATGACTTTGAGTTCTGTCTGTCTTTTGTCTACAGGGAATTTTCTTGTGGGCAAATTGTGAGGGAGGTATGTAGCTTTTTTATCTTTGTTGCTATCTTGTTTAGGAGTACAATGGGACGCAGGTTTGCCCCACAGTTCCCAGCTTGGCTTTTCCCTTTGGCTTAGTAATTTTGGAGTCCTGAGATTTATTTTCCTCTCACATCTCCCCGTTTTTCTTTTTAAAATCTTTCAGAGACAGCATTTTAGAAGAAAACAAGTCTCTGGTCTCAGGCTTTGTCTGATCTCTCATGGCTAGGATAGTTTATTCCTAGATGGATAAGTACCACGTTATTTGGAAAGCTCATTTTTAGTAGGTTATGAAGTCTCATGTCCTTTGAAGAGAAAATAGGGGGAGGAAGGAAGAAAAACAACAACAAACAAACAAAATGAAGAAGAATCCTGGAAAATCAATATAGGCCGTATTACTCTGAAGTCCATGTCAGTAGGCAGGTATGAAAGTGGTTTATGTGTGTAAATAGGTTGCTATTATTTTCTTCTGAAGTTTACATTGTCTAGCTTCAGTCTGTAGGGCTTTAAGAAAGACTGCTTAATTTTAAGTGATTTCAAATCAGGAAAAATGGGGTGGGGGGAAGTAAACGAAAGAAGAAAAAAATTGAAAACATTATTTTGGAGACTTGTAGCCAGGAAAAATTTTTGAATTCAATCTAAATTGTAGAAAATAAAAAAAACTGAAAAACATTAGGCAAGACTAGAATCTAATAACAGGTGTACTATAGTTTATGTTGAAATATAATTTTCCTCTCTCCAGTCTCATTTTCACTAAAGACAAGTCATAGGACAAATTCATTTGCAAAATAAGTTGTAGTCTTATTATACTTGGCTGGAGTATTTGCATAAAGTCAGAAGAATAATTATTTGCTATATAGGCTCCTCTTTTTTTTTAATTGGCTTTGCTAGAACTTTATTCCACTAAGAATCTCAGATTTAACTTTAATGCATTAAGCCTGGCCTGTGCCTGCAAATCCTTGCGTTAGTTGAGTGAATTCCTCACTTCAAGGTCCCAAGAAAACTTGGGGCTCCTGGGCCTGTCAGAAAGTGACATTCTTTACTCACTACAGGTCACCCTGTTCCGGGACTGTGCAGACAAGGTATGAGACCAGGTTTCTCAAGGAGTTTTTATTGGCTCTAAAGTCAACTTTCATTCTTTAAAGGAGTCTGTTTGTATCTGAAAGCATCCTATTCCAGTCAAAACCTTGGTAAAATAACCAGTGTCTCCAATTGTGCCCTGTTACAAAGGAACATTCTTGAGAAAGAATCTTTCTCAGAGGAAAGATTCTTATTGCATGTATGCAAATAACTATATTGCCATAAGTTAAGAATACTCACAACTAGTTTCTAAATTTTGGAGAAATCAGGTAGAGAGAAATATGCTCCAAATTTTGTTTACAGAAATATACTTTACTCCATTGTTAAAAGCTATAAATAGCTCAAAAGAAAAGTTTTCTTGGCTCTGAAAAACAAAGGGTCAGCAATGTTTTAGGCAAAAAGTCATAAAAGGACTATTTCAGTTTTCTATTAGTTCAGTCCATGCAGTTAACTTCTTTTCTGCTTGATATTCATGAACATTTCAGCTCTCCACTGGAGTCTTGGAAGTTTTTCCTCTATTCTAGTGTCACAGTCTCCAAAGTTATTAGAAGCCTGCATTCAAGAGCACCTGTCAGAGTCCCACAGCTGATTATAAAACCACCTTTTGAATAGGATAAAAGTAAAACAACTGTGGATAACAAAAGTCTTAGAACAGTCATAAAGACACAATTGACAAAGATATTTGGTTACTTCTGTGGCATACAACAATTTTACATAATTATAATTACCACAATTACATAATAATAATAATTACCACTGATAACATATGCCAAGTCATATCAGAATCACAGGAATTTCATACAATTCTCAAACATATACCAATAACATATGTGCATAAATATAATCCAAAGAAGATTAAACATTGTTTTATACTTGACAATACTTCCTGTATGATTTTATTATATCAAATAAACCAAATATGTCTCTTTTGGACTTCAGGGGACTAATATCAAAAAATTAATGAGGACCAAAGTTAGAATTTGATTGTCGAAGGTTTGTCAAACATAAAAAGTTTAAAACACTTAATATCACAAAGTAGGATCACAGGTCATTGTAAAGTCATTCATTTAGACAAAGCGATAACTCAAAGATTTTTTTTAAGGCGAAAACCTTTATTCTTTGAGAGGAGACTTCATTTCCCAAACAATAAGCCTTAATAAAGACAGGATGAGGCCAATTAAACTTGTTCTCCAAAATTTTATAAACAGCCTATAATATTAAATAGTTTAATCATCTTGACCATAAGATGTAATTTCCATAAGCCTTTTTTATAACCTTTTATTAAGGAGTGGGTTAACGCTCCAAGAAAACCTTGTTAATCTGACTCAGAGGCCCATATGCTAGTCTTGCATCAGTGCCTTCGACATTAATGGTTAATTTATAGAGAAACTAAACTTATTTTATCTCTCAAAATTGACCCTTACAATGTCACACACCCATGTCTTCCATGATAGTTCCTGGGTCTTGAGGAGTTGAATAGTTTTAATTTCTGGCCCTGTGTCTCATGAACACAGTTTATTTTGATTGGTATCTTCTACAGGGTCTGAAGATAAAGCTTTAACTGCTGTCAGTGTTTAAGATTTAGCCGGACTTGGCATCCTTTTTAGACCCAGGAGTCTAAACCCTGTAACTTGATGGCACAAGGACTTTAAAAGCACATACAGAAAGTTACACAGATGTAATAACCTTAATGAAAAATAGTTTTTCTTTTAATCTCAGTTTTTTCTAAGCAGACCAAAACTTAGTAATAATGACATAGGAATTATTTCAATATAAAGTGTAAAATCTGTTTGTTAGGCCAGTTACCCAAAAGCAAAAGCAAAGAGCTTCTGCACTGCGACTGCTGTTCCCTGTGGAGAATCCATTTAGATTAACTGCAAGTCAAAACTAATTAAAGAGATACTTGAATTAGTTATGAGAGGTGAAGCCAGCTGGGCTTCTGGGTCGGGTGGGGACTTGGAGAACTTTTCTGTCTAGCTAAAGGATTGTAAACACACCAATCAGCGCTCTGTGTCTACCTAAAGGTTTGTAAATGCACCAATCAGCACTCTGTAAAAACGCACCAATCAGCGCTCTGTGTCTAGCTAAAAGTTTGTAAGCACAACAATCAGCACTCGTAAAAACACACCAATCAGTGCTCTGCATCTAGCTAAAGGTTTGTAAACACACCAATCAGCACTCTGTAAAAACGCACCAATCAGCGCTCTGTGTCTAGCTAAAAGTTTGTAAGCACAACAATCAGCACTAGTAAAAACACACCAATCAGTGCTCTGCGTCTAGCTAAAGGTTTGTAAACAGACCAATCAGCACTCTGTAAAAACGCACCAATCAGCGCTCTGTGTCTAGCTAAAGGTTTGTAAATGCACCAATCAGCACTCTAAAAATGGACCAATCAGCACTCTGTAAAGTGGACCAATCAGCGCTCTGTAGAATGGACCGATCAGCAGGGCATGGGCAGGGCCAAATAAGGGAGTAAAAGCTCGCCACCCAAACCAGCAGCTGCAACTGGCTGAGGTCCTCTTCCACACTGTGGAAGCTTTGTTCTTTTGCTCTTCACAATAAATCTTGCTGCTGCTCACGCTTTGGGTCTGCACTACCTTTATGAGCTGTAACACTCATTGCAAAGGTCTGCGGCTTCACTCCTGAAGTCAGCAAGACCACGAACCCACCAGAAGTAAGAAACTCTGGACACATCTGAACATCTGAAGGAACAAACTCCAGACATACCATCTTTAAGAATTGTAACACTCACCACGAGGGTCTGCGGCTTCATTCTTGAAGTCAGTGAGACCAAGAACCCATAGGCAGGAACCAATTCTGGACACAGTTAGACATAGGAAGAGTGTTTCCTGGGTCGTAAGTGAAAATTTTTTATTTCATAGAACAATTTAAAGCCAAAAGCACAGAATATTATGTTGGAAGGAAACATTTCCTTTAGACCTTTAAGAGAAAACATTTTTAGCATCAGACCACAACAGAACCCGAAAAAAAAGAAGCTTACAGAAGCTGAAAATGAGTTGAAGAATAGAGTGATTATTTCAGGCACTTTAAAAGGGGAGAAAAAGCTGAAAACAGTGAGATGCAATACAAGTTGAAATTTACTTAAAAAATTATAATGTCTTTTATCAATTTTAATTTTATTAAGAATGAAGCAATACTTCAAGAAAATTCCATTGTTCTAACCAATTTTTTTTTTTTTTTTTTGTGTGTGACAGAGTCTCACTCTGTCACCCAAGCTGGAGTGCAGTGGTACAATCTCAGCTCACTGCAAACTCCGCCTCCTGGGTTCAAGCAACTCTCTGCCTCAGCCTCCCGAGTAGCTGGGATTACAGGCGTCTGCCACCACGCCTGGCTAATTTTTGTATTTTTAGTAGAGACGGGGTTTCACCATCTTGGCCAGGCTGGTCTTGAACCTGTGACCATGTGAGCCACCTGCCTTGGCCTCCCAAAGTGCTAAGATTCTTCAGTATATAAATGGTTTTTAGAAAATACCAAAACCCAATTCCTAGAAAGACCATTAAAAATAATTTCCCTTTAATTATAGACAACTTGATTATCTAAAAGCTTTTTTTTCCATAAATCCGCTTATGATTTACTCCAGACCATTCATGACATGCTTGTGAGGTAGAAGAATAGGGTCTGGAGGCAGGGAATCTAAGGCCAATTTGCCCTGACTTCCTAGAACTGAATCACAAGGAAAACCCCACCTCTCCACACCCAAGTAACAAAAGTATCAGAGGCTACTGTCTTTGCACTGCCTCACAGATAAAAATGGAAAGTACCTCTGATTGGTCCCCTCCCACAACCAATCAGACTTGTCGTGGGCCACTCCTTCACTTACATAGGGTATAACCAAGTAACCAATGGAAAACTTCTAGAGGGTATTTAAACTCCAGGAAATTCTGTAACCGGCCTCTTGAGCTCCTTGCTGGAGCCCAATCCCAGTCTGTGGAGTGTACTTTCATTTAAATAAATCTGTGCGTTCTTTGCTTCATTCTTTCATTGCTTGGTTTGTGCATTTTGTCCAGTTCCTTGTTCAAAATGCCAAGAACCTGGATGACTCATAGTCAAGACCCTCCACCAGTAACATATATTGGCGAGCCAGCCAGGAGGTAAGCCCAAAGTTTGGGATTTATTTTTCTTCTCTTGATTTCCCTTTTCCTCTCTGCTCCTTACAGGGGAACTCTTTTCTCTGTCTCTTTTTCCCTTTCCAGCTTGGAACCCTCGGTGGACAGTGCCTAAGCACAGAGGCAACCACAGGTTTCTAACAGGGCCACTCTCTGGTGAAACTGAAAGGTTTCTGTGTGAAAGTGCCTGACCACCACTGCCCAATTCAGGTGAGGGACCTGAGTCCTTTTCCTTTTTTCAGTCTTTCAGTGGCCGTTTCCTAGTAGCTTCTTGGTAATTGAGGGAAACTGGCCGGGACCACTCTCTACTGTTACCTGAAGGCCAAGGAGTGAACCTGGGATAGCTCTCCTGCCCAGAAGGCGGAAGGACTCTTTTGTATCTTTTTGAGTTATAGTCCCTGATCCCTACCTGTGATGCAATTGGCAGCAGAAGCTCGTCCAGGGTGAACTCACACACATTTCAGGCGACTTAAACCCTCTTTCTTAAGCTAAATTCTCCCATAAAGTTGGCCTGTAAGGACAAAAGATAATATCTCTTAGATATTTTGACCTCCCTTCTCCTACTGAATCTATTGACTGGCTGAGGACCTTTGGGACCCACAAGCTTTAGAACACATTCTACATCTTGGACCTCCACTTAAGGGAGCTTGGTGGTCATTGCTTTGGCATCAGTTTGCTTGCCCTGAACCCCGTAGAAATTCTATATATCTTTTATATACCCAATATAAACCCAATCTTTTATATAACCTCTGCACCATTTCTTCATGGGGAATATCCCACTAGCCTTGGTACCGTTAACTCTGCAGTGTTCGGGAACCTCCTTAGTCTTGCAAGGAATGCAGGAAGATATGGCCTATCTAAATTGGTAGGAAGCTAGAAGCTGAGACCTTCATCCAGGGACAAGAGAAAAGCTCATATTAGGCCATTGCCTCTGGAGGGAAAACATACAAAGCAACACTGGTGCCCACCTAAGGTCAGAGATGTCTGACACTTTTAGACTGGACCTCAAAGGGGGATGCCTAGGGGATCCAACTCCAGACCTCAGCCTCTCCAAAGGGGATGCCCTAGGCAAAGGTTCTCAGGTCTAGTACTAAGGCCTCCTTAGAATTGTCTCTCTCTTGCAGACCACTACAGGAAACACTCCATTTATTCCACCTGACTTCCCACTTGGCTGCATCCTCAACCATTGAAATGAATTTGACCCTGATAATCTAAGGAGGAAACATTTGATATTCTTTTGCAATAATACTTGGCCCCAGTATTGTTTGGAATCTGGAGTTTGCTGTTGAATGGGAAAGCAGGATGACGTTGCATGTATCCAGGCTTTGGTGCTGCTGTCCTAAGAAGGGTCAGGCCTAGTCAGCATATGGTGCTCTCCTTTGGTGCTATTTGGCTCCAGTGTCTTTGGAGTCTGAGGAGGTTTGGCCTTTAAAAATCAAACTGCCACCGGAACTGCTTTAAAAATGTTTGGTTCACAGCCTTCACTGGATTACCTATTGGAGCAAACAAAGTGTAACCATGTAAAACCTGTGAGCTTGTATTGATATCTCATGGCTAGAGTTCCAAGGTAAAAGCTATTGGATCTTCGTTTGTGTGTGTGTATACATGTCTAGATGTGTTTATTTGTATGTACACTTATTGTTATATGTTGTGTCAACCAAATCAGCTTATAAATAAAAAAGCACTCATAAATTAAATAAATAAGTCCAAGCAATTTTCAAGTTCATGTGACTTAAGTAAATCTTCATTAAATAGCTGGCTTTAAAATTATTGGTAAAATGAAAATAGAAATATCTTCAGAATTGTCAGCATACATTTTTGTCTGGGTTTTATATTTGTCTTTGCTAGAAATGTTGAAGTGTCAGCATTTGGCATAGAAGATTATAAAGCTATTAACCCAGCCAAAACAAAATGGCCTTAGTTTATGTGGCTTCTTTGACAAATGAGACTAATTTAATATTGTTAGCTAAATCTTCTGGGTTATTGGCAAAAACACCTATGTATTTAACTGTGAGGTTCTTATTTAGGTGAACACATAATGTTCATTGGCTATTAAAAATGGTTAACAAATAAATAACTAACTTTAAATGATGGTGTCTAATATCTCAGTTTTCAGAAGTAATCTAGATAAACTGTTAAAAATGAAAGACTTAAGTACATGTAAATGGGATGAATGATTAGGTAAATTTTGTGTAATTTAAAATCTTAAAAGTATTTTTGATGCCCATTGGATATCTCAGTCATTTCCAATTAAGAAAGGGTTATGATAGGGAGGAATATGTTTCCAAAAATTGTGGAATTATTCTCATCTATAAAATGCTAATATCTGATAGTTTAGGATTTTTTGCTTCCTAAGGTTTCACTAAAATTTAAGGTTACTAAGATGATATGGTTTGGCTTTGCATCCCCACCCAAATCTCTTCTTATAACTCCCATAATTACCGTGTGTTGTGGGGAGGGATCCAGTGGGTGAGAGATGATTGAATTATGCTGTTCTCATGATAGCGAATGGGTCTCATGAGATCTGATGGTTTTGAAAATGGGAGTTGCCCTGCACAAGCTCTCCTTTTGCCTGCTGCCATCCACATAAGATGTGATTTGCTCTTCCTTGCCTTCCACCATGATTGTGAGGCCTTCCCAGCATGTGGAAATGTAAGTCCAATAAACCTCTTTCTTTTGTAAATTGCCCAGTCTTAAGTATGTCTTTATCAGCAGCATGAAAACAGACTAATACATAAGGATATGAATTATAGTTAATATATAATTCTGTATACAAAATATGCCAAAAAATGTGTTATTGGTGAGAAAGAATTATTTTGTGTAGTTTGGAGGTTATCTGAAAGTTAATTCAAATTATGGACTTTAAAAAAAAGAGTTATTTATGAAACAAGGTAGTAAGGAACCAGTAAGTAGGGGAGAGATGTGAAGAAAGTTATATATATGAAGATATGTTTTTGTGAGGGAAGATTGTAGAGATGGTGGCTTTGTAGGAGAAAAGATCTTGTACGATAAATTCTTGTCCTAACGTAAAATGACTGGTTGTTTAAAAAGAAAGATGTTTAGGAAAACTCAGAAAGTCCAAGCATTTTGTAGATGGTCTGGGTAAGTTATGAAAAGAATTCATGTAAGAAAAGGATAATGTACCTTTGGTAAAAAGCATGGGAATGTGGATTTCTTGCCTAAGTTTAGAGGGTGAAAGGATGGTTTTAAGTGAGATAGGAATAATCTAAAAGGTTTGAACAAGTTGTGGAAGGCTTATGAAAAATTAATTGTAAAAGAGATTCTGTGTGTGAACATATTGGCTAAAGTTAAAGGGGAAGACTGGCAATTAGACTTCACCCATATGCCAGTGTGCAAAGTATACAAGTTTTTGGTAGTAGTAATAGATACTTTTACTGGCTGGGTTGAAGCTTGCTCTATGAGAACAAAGAAGGCTCATGAAGTTGCTAAGCTTCTTTTAAAGGAAATAAATCCCCTAGTTTGGGTTACCCCAAAGCCTCTAAAGTGATAAAGACCCATCTTTTAGAACTCAAGGGGCTGCTAAGGCTCTCAGAATCAAAAATTATTTACATGGGAAAGTAGAAAGGGCTAATCAAGCTCTTAAAATGGGTGTTAGCTAAGCTATGTTAGAAAACATCAGAAATTTGGGTCAGCTTATTGCCTGTAGCCCTCTTAAGAACCCTTAATTCTCCTAGAGCAAAAATTAATATGAGCTCATATGAAATGTTATACAGAAGGCCATTTTTTTTTGAGATGGAGTTTTGCTCTTGTCACCCAGGCTGGAGTGCAATGGCACAGTCTTGGCTCACTGCAACCTCTGCCTCCCTGGTTCAAGCAATTCTCCTGCCTCAGCCTCCTGAGTAGCTGGGATTACAGGCATGTGCCACCATGCCTGACTAGTTTTTGTATTTTTAGTAGAGACAGGGTTTCATCATGTTGGCCAGGCTGGTCTTGACCTCCTGACCTCAGGTGATTCGCCTGCCTCAACCTCCCAAAATGCTGGGATTACAGGCATGAACCACCGCTCCTGGCTGGCCATTTTTAAATAATGATCTAATTACTGATCCAGAAACAGCCAGTTTAGTAACATGCGTAATTAACCTGGGACAATTTCAGCAGGCTTTACAAAAGTTTAGAACTCAAAGACTCCCCACACCAGGAACTAACCAGCAACCCAAAATCAGGCCAGGAGATAAAGTACTTGTTAAAACATGGAAGGAGGGATCACCTGCTGAACAATTACAACCCAAATGGAAGGGACTATTTTCAGTGGTACTGGCCATGCCTTCTCCAGTCAAAGTACTGGGAATAGTTAGTTGGATATGTCTTTCCAGGGTCCAGCCTGCAATAACTGAAGCCCCCAGACCTGGAACCTGAAGATCCCATCAGCCACTAAACCTGTGAACCTGTAGAAGACCTGAAGTACCTGTTTAAAAGGCAGCCAAAAGATAAGTAAATTCCTATCAACTTTCCTTGGTGTCCTTCTTGTATATTTACTGTAAGCTGGATATAATAGTAGCCATTTTTATATTTTTACAATTTAATTGCTTTCTTCCAAATGGATTGAATCACTTCTTTTAAAGTGTTTTAATTAATTTTTATCTATAGAACAAAATAACAAATAAGTATTTTTTTTTTATACCATAATGGTCACCCACAGCCTGTGTATACTAAGACCATGCATACTGATAATCAGCTTTATTTTACAAAAGAGTTTCGCTTTACCCCTCTGGTAATTAATGGATTCTGGGTATTTATTAAAAACTTTAACACAAAGACTGTTAAATACCACCAGTCCAGCTTTGGCAAGGCACTGTTGGCTTTGTTTATCTCCATCATCATCCAAACAGACTACCAATCCTGATCCCAGCCCAATCTTGGGCCCTTGAAAAAATAACTTAACATCCTAACTACAAGGGAGAAACTCCTTTCAAATTAATGAACCTGGCTGACTTATATAGCCTTAAAATTATGGAAATGACAAGGGTTACAATGTCAGAATGAGCAGTAAACCTTCCCCAGTCCTATCAGAGCAAACTTTCTGGGGTTGCATCCCCTCAGAAACCCATTTGGGGCCCAATCTCAATGCACATATCAGTGCGCAAAGCACTAAAATTCCAGGCAACACTTTGTATTGAGAGAAGCCAAAATTTTGGTCCCGCCCTGGGACATCTAAAGTCACCAATGTAACTACACCATACAGATTAAACCCTCACATGATCATGTAAGCTATGCAGTTACCCAAGCTGCATCATTTAGAAAACCTGTACAGTTTTTATGGAAACCATCCCTAGTCAAGGACACTTTAAATATATAGTCTAAATACCGTTAAGGTAGGCCCACTAGCTGTGTTCACATTTTCCCTTGGCCACCTTACCAGGGACTTTAATAACTTGGGAAAGTGAAAACAACAAGCTAACCCACATGTTCACCATAGAAAACAATTTTGTCTTGAAAAACAAGGACTCTTTTTCCCGTGTGGGACCAGTTCCTACTTATGTTTTACCAGCCAATTGGACTGGAACCTATACAGTTGTTTATTTAGCCCCCGAAATTAATATAGCTCCCAACAACCAATCCTTCATTATACTTTTAACTGCAACCACCAGACACAAATGAGCCATCCAACTGATACCACTTTCGGTAGAGCTAGGAATAACAGCAGGAGTAGGAATGAGAGTTAGCAGCCTTGCAGTTTCCCTATCCTATTACCAATGCTTGTCCAAGGATTTTATGGAAAGCTTAGGTGACATTGCCCAAAAGTATCATCACCTTACAAAATCAGATAGAGTCTTTGGCAGTGGTGGCTTTGTAAAATAGAAGGGGACTGGATCTCCTAAATGCTGAAGAAGGTGGCTTATGTCTTTTTCCTAGAGGAAGAATGCTGTTTTTATGTCAACCAAACAGGATTAGTAAGGGATGCCACCCAAAAACTAGCCGATTGGTACCATAAGATATGACAACAGCTGTCTGAGTCATGGGGCGCCTAGTCAAAATGCTAATTTGGGGCTCACATCTCCTTCCTCTGGCCAGTCCACTATTAATTATTATACTTGCCTTGGCTTTTGGATCATGTTTGTTAAATCTTTTAACCAGATTTATTTCTTCTTGCCTAGAGACCATTATGATAATGCAGCAGGGCCACCAGTCAGTTTCAGATAATGATGTCAACCCCGGCCACCAAGAAGTAACCTTGTCTCCACTAGACAGAGCAGGGTGAGAGTTCTGTAATCCCCAGTAGGTAGGGACTGTGCCCCAAGTCAGCATGAAGTAGTTATGGAAGAAAGACCATGGGTCCCTCTGCCTCCCAGAAAGATTTATGGGGATCACATCTCTCAGGGGAAAATGAGGCAGGAGAATAGGGTCTGGAGACAGGGAACCTAAAGCTGATTTGTGCTGAGTTTCTAGGATTGAATGAAAAGGAAAACCCCACCTCTCCACACCCAAGTAACAAAAGGATCAGAGGCTACTCCCTTTGCACTGCATTGCAGATAAAAAATGGAAAGTACCTCAGATTGGTCCCCTCCCACAACCAATCAGACTGGCCATGGGCTACTCCTTCGTTTACATAGGGTGTAACCAAGTAACCAATGGGAAACCTCTAGCGGGTATGTAAACCCCAGAAAATTCTGTAACCAGTGCTCTTGAGCTGCTTGCTGGAGCCTACTCCCACTTTGTGAAGTGTACTTTCATTTCAATAAATTTGTGCTTTCATTGCTTCATTCCTTCGTTGCTTTGTGTGTTTTGTCCAATTCTTTGTTCAAAACACCAAGAACCTGGATGACTCATAGTCAAGATCCTCTACCAGTAACACTTGAACTTTCTGGTTTGTCCTGAACATCCCTCTTTCTTAAACAACCAGTCGTTTTATTCTAGGCCAAAATTTTACCATACAAGAATATTTCTCATATACAATTATCTTCCTTCTAACTTTTCTTGCCAGAAATACCTTTTATAACTTTCTTTACATTGCTTTTATTTAACGATTACTTTTACCTTGTTTCATAAGTTTTAAATAGCCTTGAATTAGATAAAAAATTATTTTCCTTTAAATAAGAACACATTTCTTTTTTTAGAAAAATATTTTTCTGTAATTTTTTTTTTTTCTTGAGACAGAGTCTTGCTCTGTCACCCAGGCTGGAGTGCAGTGGCACAATCTTGGCTCACTGCAAGTTCTGCCTCCCGGGTTCACGCCATCCTCCTGCCTCAGCCTCCAGGGTAGCTGGGACTAGAGGTGCACACCACCACGCCTGGCTAATTTTTTGTATTTTTAGTAGAGACGGGGTTTCACTGTGTTAGCCAGGATGATCTCGATCTCCTGACTATGATCTGTCTGCCTCAGCCTCCCAAAGTGCTGGGATTACAGGTGTGAGCCACTGCACCTGGCCTAATATTTTAAATTGGAAATGACCCAGATGTTTAATGAGTACCTATTATTTAACTTAATATAATTTTAGATTCTAAATTATATAACAAGTTTAATCACAAGCATTTATTCCATTACATTTACCTAATTAATTTTTTTAATAGTTTACTCAGATTACTTTTGAAAACTGAGAGTTATCATTGAAAGTTATTTCCCAGTTAATCATTTTTATAGACTGCGAATTTCAGGTTTTCCTAAGTAAGAAACTTAAGGTTAGATAAATGGTTTCTTTTTTTTTTTTTTTGCCAATAACTTAGGATTTAGCTGTTTTCATTAACTAAACAATATTAAATGCCTTATTTATGAAATTTTACATAGAGATAATTTTCCTTTGGGCTGCATTCATTGTTTTATAACCCTCATGCCAAATTTTGGCATCTAGCAGAGATAAATATGAAACCACTGTTCCAATAAATTTAAACAATAGTGTATGTTGACAATTCTGAAGCCATTCTAATTCTAATTTTATTTCATGACTACTTTCAAAACCAGCTTATTTATTAAAGATATACTTAAGTCACATGAACTTGAAAAGACATTTGGCTTAAAATCTCTATTTTCTCTGATACAGTATTTGATTTAAAGCCCCTTTTTTTCTTTAAGCCAATTAATTAGAGCACTTTTACATGTTTCTAGTAGTGAAACATCATATACATGACACATAAATACATAGATGTATTATACATGCAGATAGAAGTAGAGCTTATCATTTCACAAGACCTCTTTTTTTCCTCCAGTTCTAGACTTCTAATTTCTTGATCTTATTACCCTAGGCAGTTGTCAGCTAAGATAACCCTAAATTTGCATATTAAAGGAACTCTTAGATGAAAAAAATCAGATAGTGAAATTTACATCTCAAGGTACAGAGAGAAAGAGTCTGGTGCTAGTGTTTCCAGAATTTATTCCTTCTGGTGGGTTCTTGGTCTCTCTGACTTCAAGAAAGAAGCCTCGGACCTTGCAGTGAGTGTTACAGCTCTTAAAGGTGGCGTGTCCAGGGTTGTTTGTTCCTTCTGGTGGGTTTGTGGTCTCACTTCAGGAATGAAGCTGCAGACCCTCATGGTGAGTGTTACAGCAATTAAAGGTAGTGTGGACCCAAAGAGTGAGCAGCAGCAAGATTTATTATGAAGAGCGAAAGAACAAAGCTTCCACAGCATGGAAAGGGACCTGAGCGGGTTGATGCTGCTGGCTGTGGTGACCAGCTTTTATTCCCTTATTCGTCCCCACCCACGTCCTGGTGATTGGTCCATTTTACAGAGCACTGATTGGTCCATTTCACAGAGTGCTGATTGGTGCATTTTACAGAGTGCTGATTGGCGCATTTACAATCCTTTAGCTAGACACAGAGTGCTGATTGGTGCATTTTTACAGAGTGCTGATTGGTGCATTTACAATCCTTTAGCCACAGAGTGCTGATTGGTGCATTTACAATCCTTTAGCTAGACACAGAGCACTGATTGGTGCATTGTTATAGAGTGCTGCTTGGTGCATTTACAATCCTTTAGCTAGACACAGAGCACTGATTGGTGCATTGTTATAGAGTGCTGCTTGGTGCATTTACAATCCTTTAGCTAGACACAGAGCGCTGATTGGTGCGTTTTTACAGAGTGCTGATTGGTATATTTACAATCCTTTAGCTAGACACAGAGCACTGATTGGTGTGTTTATAATCCTCTAGCTAGACAGAAAAGTTCCCCAAGTCCCCACTCGACCCAGGAAGTCCAGCTGGTTTCACCTCTCACTAGTAGGAGGAGATTAAAAACGAATGCCAAATCAAACATAAAATTATAGAAATCTATCATAGGATTATATTAGAAGACTGACTTTATTTATATAAGTAGTTCTAAATTTAGTCTGCCTTTTAACTGGATCTCTGAGCTCTGGGCAGAGCCCACACTGAATTCCGGGTCTCCAAAAAGAGAATTATTATGAGGCTAAGACCATGTGATGGTTTTATGAGTGCACTCTCCTTTTTTTTTTTTTTTTAACAAAAATGTTTCTCTAAGTGTCTGAACTACTCTCTTCCTAACTTTAAACACCCAACAGTAACCTCTGTTGTTACTCTTTGACTAAAATAATTATTTTAGTTAAAAAAAAAAAAAAAAGAAGAAAGAAAGAAACCAGGTAACACTATACAAAAGGAAGCAGTGTAAGATCTGAGACGAAATTTTCTCTTTTACACTCTTTGAGTTCCATAAGGAGAAACAGAGGTTGCTCCCCAAAAGGGAGTCTAGTGCCTTCTCTGTTTTCTTTAAGGAATCCCAGGGTGTTAGAAACTATTTTAGATTCCTCATGCAGCACAGGGTAGCAAGAGAAAGAAGAGGCAGCAGAAGTAAAATGAAGAAAACAGAATTTGGTTGACGGAGAAGAAAAAAACTTTTGCTCAAAAAGTTGAAGGAGAGAAATAAAAAAGGCCTTAACTACACACACACACACACACACACACACACACCTTGGATGTTAGCTTTTATTTAAGCTTTTAGCCACTAAGCTCCTTAAAAAAAATACCTTCAAATCTCATTACTGTATTTTAGCTAGTACAAACTGCTGATATTTCAAAAGTAATGCAAATACCAAACCAGAAAGGGCTTGATTTAGGAACCAAACTTAGGCAGTCATGATGAAAATAAGGACAGAATCTTAGTTTCCAAACTGCAGTGCTGGGGGACAACCATTGCTCTTTCAGTTTGGCCTGGTTAGCAAAAGATGGCCTTGTTATGTAAATAAAGCCCCTAAGGTAGTCAAAATCAAAAAAAATTTTTTTTTCCTTTTGCTAGCTGTTTTTTTCTTTTTTCTTTTTCAGTTGCAGGAATTTAGCCAATTCAGAGGTCTTGTTCTCCATAATTTGGAATTTTCCTTCGGATTTGATCAAGTTGGATAGAGTTGGTCAAACCCAATGGGAAAAAGATGAAAACAACAAGAAACAGAAACAAACAGCAACAACAACAACAACAAAAACAGTTAAGTGAAACAAACAAACAATCACACAATTTATGTGGTCACTGAGTGCTCTAATAGTAAGGAGAAATTAAGACCAGCTGGCTGTTAGTCTTAACTCTAGCCAAGACAAAACTCCAATTCAGCTACTTACCTAGTAATGAGTCTCAGGCTGAAGTCTGCTCTCTCCCATCCTAGAAGCAGGAAAAAACTGAAACTCATCTTCCCTGCTGGAAACGAGCTCAAACTCCAGAAAGGAGTTACCTGCCTTCCATCATCATGGACGCAGGAAAATTTGCCTTCCTTGTTGGAAGCAAGTAAAACTCCAAAAAAGGAGTTGCACAGCAAAATAAACTTCAGATCTCAACAAATTTGGGGAGATCAGGGATTCTCTGGGGGTGGGGTGGCTCCCAGGCCTCAGCCAATTGTCCTATTGGTTTCAGCCATAAAGACAGCTCAGGCTGCTACCACGCACTGATAGGAGATTTGTCAAAGATCGAGGCATCTTCACTCAGAATCCCTCTGTGATTACCAATTGTGAACACAAAATATCTGATATGGGTCTCAGTCAATTTAGAAAGTTTATTTTGCCAAGGTTAAGGACACATCCATGACATAGCCTCAGGAGGTTCTGTTGACGTGTGCAAGGTGGTTGGGGCACAGCTTGGTTTTACACATTTTAGGGAGACATGAGATATCAATCAATATATGTTAAGACATATATCAGGTGGTCCAAAAAGGTGGGATGACTGGAAACAGGGAGGGGGCTTCCAGGTGATAGGTAGATAAGAGAAAAACAGTTGCATTCTTTTGAGTTTCTAATAAGCCTTTCACTGAATACACAATTTACAGGACTAATCACTTAAGCCTTAGCCTGGCTCAGTGAAACAACAGGGCAAAGGAAGCAATCAGCTATGCATTTGTCTCACGTGAGCAGAGGGATGACTTTGAGTTCTGTCTAGCTATCTTGTTTAGGAATATAATGAGAGGCAGGTTTGCGTGCAGTTTCCAGATTGACTTTTCCCTTTGGCTTAGTGACTTTGAGGTCCCAAGATTTATTTTCCTTTAACATTTACAAGGAGAAGTGAAGAAATAAGTAAATTAGAGAGCTAGAAGGATGGAAGTTTACAGTTAGAGAGAGTGGGATGTTGAAGGTAATACTGGTTGCATATTTCTTATCCAAAATGCTTGGGACCAGAAGTGTTTCAGATTTCAGATGTTTTCAGATTTTGGAATATTTGCATTATACAGGTTCAGCACCCCTAATCTGAAAACGTGAAATCCAAAATTCTCCAATGATTGTTTCCTTTGAGCATCACAATGGTGCTCAAAAGGTTTTGGATTTTAGAGCATTTCAAATTTCAGATTTTCAGATTAGGGATAATAAACCTATATCTCAGAAACGGTACATTTCTGAATAATGACAAATTGTCATTATTTGCCATGAGAATTGTCATTAATGTGGGTGGAGATGGGGATGATTGTAGGTCAAGAGACTGAAGCAATAGGGTAGGCTTGGGTGTTAGTACGGCCCTTCATGGGAATGTGTTGATGTCATCCAGGGTCACGGGAGGCTTCTGAGTGGGAAGGAAGCTGAGAGCCTATGATTACGGTCTTCACTGATGAAGGCAGACAGTAGGAGGTTGGCAGATGGTGGGCACTGACTAGACTGGAAGTGCCAAGAACTTCAGTGGAGCAAGGTTTTACCCAAGACACAGAGGTTGTGGTCTAGAGCAGCCCAGGGATGAAGGATCACCCATTGGAGAGGACTGTGGGGAAAGCAGAGTCCTGGGAGATGAACCAAGCATCAGTTGAGGCTGGAACAGTTAAAATGTATACATCAAATTCTCTCCAAGGACACTGTACCCTTGGCTGAAAATTCCCTCCTTAGTCTACTTCCCATCCCAAATTCTACCCATCCACACTGTGGCATCCTAGGTCTCTCTAGCAGCTGAACAGGCAGGCCTCTGTAACAACTGTTTCAGCGCTGACTGAGTGGTTAAGTTAAATATTAAAAGTTGAAAGAGCCAGTAACCTTATACAAAGGCTGGAATAGAACAAAAGCCCACCACAAGTTTTTGCCTAAGTCTTTCCTGTGCCTTGAACCATGACAAGAGGAGGAAGGAATTCTTAACCAGACCCATTTAGGATTAAGTAAGTTTTTATTGGCTGGGTACGGTGGCTCACACCTATAATCTCAGCACTTTGGGAGGCTGAGGCAGGCAGATCACCTGAGGTCAGGAGTTTGAGACCAGCCTCCTGGCCAACATGGTGAAACTCTGTCTCTACTAAAAGTACCAAAATGAGCCAAGCATGGTGGCGGGAGCCTGTAGTCCCAACTACTCAGGAGGCTGGGGCAGGAGAATCGCTTGAACCCAGAAAGCGGAGGTTGCAGTGACCTGGGATCACACCACTGCACTTCAGCCTGGGCAACAGAGTGAGACTCCATCTCAAAAAAAAAAAAAAAGAAAAGAAAAGTTTTTACTGGGGGTCTGAAGACACAAGTTTTATTGGAGGTCTAAATGAACTCCTCAAACCTCCGTGATTTAGCAGGAGATGTGATAAGGGTAATCACCCCAGCACTTGGACCCATCTAGATTCAATACATTTACTGAGGCTCCAGAAGAAGGTCTTCACACCTTAGTTATGGATTAGAAGAAGTTAATCACTTACGTCTTTAGATGAATGCACACTTACATGTAGACATATGGCTTAGAAGGTATATAAACCCTGGAAAGCTTTGTAATTTTGAGTTAGTCTGGTGATATATTCCAGGCCTTCTCCCTGTACCCGGTTACAAAAATAAACTTCCTTCCTTCCCAGTTCAACTGCATCTTGTTATTGGGCCGCGAGAATCAGCAGCCTGACCCTCGGCTTGGACCAGGAACAACATGGTCTGAGAGAGCTCATCCCATGTTCCAAAGGGAGATTAAATGACAAATTAAGATACCCCAATAATAAAATGCCAACAATAAGATGCCCTACAGTGTAATAGAAACAATGTACCATTATGAAATTCCCAGTAGGAAATGAAAGCTCAAAGACTAAATTCACTTGCCATTTCAAGATAAAAAGAAAATTTCAGGTCCAAACTTTTTTCCTGCCTCAATTTCATATTCTGATCAGGCTCAGCCAGAGGATGTCTCAGTATTTAGACAGAGTGGAGGTTCCTGCGGCACCATCCTGGAGAGGTGTAACATTCTTTGGGTGGAAAAGGTGAACTCTGCTCTCATATGCTATCTACTTAAAGAGTCTGGAATTAATAGGGCACCAAAGATGATCACAGCTCTGTCTCCACATCCACCAAATTTAGAAACCAAATCTGATAACTAAGTCATTTATCAGAGACTCAGTGGTACCCAAGTGAGGAAGGGCCACTGGAGACAATCTTGTTTTTTTCACCGGGGCTGGAGTGCAGTGGCGCGATCTCGGCTCACTGCAAGCCCCGCCTCCCGGGTTCACGCCATTCTCCTGCCTCAGCCTCCCGAGTAGCCCGGACTATAGGGGCCTGCCACCATGTCCAGCTAATTTTTTGTATTTTTAGTAGAGACGAGGTTTCACCGTGTTAGCCAGGATGGTCTCGATTTCCTGACTTCATGATCCACCTGCCTCGGCCTCCCAAAGTGCTGGGATTACAGGCTTTAGCTACGGCGCCCGGCCATTCCCCTCCCTTTTCTGCTAGGCTCACTGAACTATTAACGAGCAAAAAGTAAACTTCCCTTTTCTTTGAGTTATTATACATTTGGGGTCTATTTGTTAGAGCAATGCGCTTGCCCTACTATACTCTCCCTGGGCCTTGTATGATGAAATTGGTAACAGCCACAAAAACTGCATCTGGGACACAGAAGGTGGTAGAGGGGAAAATAATCTGACTGACAAAGATTCTGTTTATAGGTGACTTTTTAGGATTGTGGAGTTAGGCAAAGCTGGGATCACTCACACAGCCTGATAGGGGATTTTCCTACGTGGGTGGGCTGACCTGGTGGTCCTGGTTACACTGCCCACCAGCCTTCTGGTGTCTCTACTAGGAGTAAGGTGCCTTCTCTTTCTCCTCCAGGACCCCACACCTCCAGACCCTGCTGAGGGAGGGCCACCCATTTCTAGTCCCAGCTCCTACTCTAACTATCTGTGTGACCTTAAACAAGGCCTTTCCCCTCTCTGGCCTCAGTATCCGCCTCTGAATAATGGGGCTGGGCCTGCCGACCTTCTGGCCCTTTTCTGCTCTGTGAGTTTGTGAACTTGTGATAGGGAGACAGGAGTCCTAGGAAGGAAATGGAACTGGTGATAGGGAGACAAGAGTCCTAGGAAGGAAATGGAACTTGTGATAGGGAGACAAGAGTCCTAGGAAATGGAAGGAGAGCACGTTTCACTCTGTCCAGCAGAGGGCAGCAGCTACCCACAAATCAACAGCTGAGCAAGGCCAGGGCTGTGTGGGAGCTATGCACAGGTTCTGCCTCCAGAAGCCTTCAGTGCCTGCCTCTGAGCCAGAGGGTTCCAAGCAGAAGAGGTCCCGCCCCCGGAGAGGGACCTCAGAGAGGTCCTCCAAGCCCCTCTCAGCTCTTACTTACGGCATCCCAGATGCCCTATTCCTCTTCTGCAGAGAGAAGGTGGTTCAGCCACTAAATGGTGCTGGGACCTCGCAGTTTGGTGGGAAGGAGGAAGCTTACTCAAGCAAGGAATATGAGACAGGCAAAAACCCACGCATAAGCCAAAAGCCCCTCCAAAGCGAGGTGTTGTTCCAGGCTGACAAGTGTCCAGCAGGGTGGACTTCAGACTCCCTGTTAGGAACTGAATTGTGTCCCCCAAAAAGAGAAAGTCACCCCAGGGTATGACCTAATTCAGGAAAGGTCATTGCAGATGCATTTAATTAAATGAAGATGAGCTCATGCTGGAGTAGGGTGGACTCTGAACCCAGTGGGACAAGCGTCCTTATTAAGAAGAGGGAAATCTGGACACACACAGAGCAGAGACCGCCGTGTGAAGATGGAGGCAGAGATCGGAGAGATGCTGCCACACGCCACAAATGCCTGGGGCTCCCAGAAACTACACGGAGCCTCCCCCAGCGGCTTCAGCAGGAGCATGGCTCGGCCAACACTTTGATCTTGGTCTTCCAGCCTCCAGAACGGTGAGTCGGTGAGTTTCTGTGGTTTAGGCCCCCCAGTTGTGGTTGTTTCTTACGGCAGCCCCAAGAAACCAATACACTCCCCCGTCCACTTTCCACGGCAGAGTTTGGGCGTCACTGAATCCCACCTCCACAGCAGGTTTTGCTTGGACTGCACAGTATTTATTGATGCTGCTGTTGGTTTTAATTTCTAATGTGTGTGCCTGTAGCTGTACCACTCCTCCTGATGACTCACCTGGCTCCTGCGGGCATCTGAGATGTGGTTTCTGCTCCACACTTCCTGGGGGAGCAGAGGAACTCCTCAGCCTCCTCTCAAACTTCTCTCAGGTTGTGCTGTTCACTCCCTCCCCAGGCTTCCGGTCCACACGGACAGCTCTGACCCCGAGAAGATTCTTTGTCTTAGACAAACATCTGCCTCCCTGTAACTTCGGTTCACCGATACTTGCTCTGCACTCCAGGGCCATACAGAACCCCTCTGCTCCCTCTGCCCTTAGCCATTGGCTCCTAGGAGACACTAGCTTGTCCGGCCGTCGCTTTAAACTGTCTAGTTCCAACTCCCTCAGAACTTCCTCAGTGATGCAGTTTCCTGACGGTCATATTGCCTGGATAAGCTCCAGTATGTTCAACTCCCTCTGTGGTTCAGCAACCAGGACTAAACAGGATTCACCTGATGCACATTCTAACCAGAGTCAAGAGGGCAGAAGCATCGCCTCCTGCGTTCCAAGCTCAATATCTCAATTGTAATCCCCACATGTCAAGGGAGGGGCTTGGTGGGAGGTGATTGGATCATGGGGGTGGTTTGCCCCATGCTGTTCTCATAATAGTGAGGGGTTTCTCACGAGATCTGATGGTTTTATAAGGGGCTCTTTCCCCTTTGTGCACCCTCTCTCTTTCCTGCTTCCTTGTGAAGAAGGTACTTGCTTCTCTTTCTCCTGCCAAAGCATGACCTTATAATTGTAAGTTTCCGGAGGCCTCCCCAGCCATGCGGAACTGTGAGTCAATGAAACCTCTTTCTTTTATAAGTGACCCAGTCTTGGGTATTTCTTTATAGCAGTGTGAAAATGGACTAACACAGATATTTGGCAGGCATCCAGTAGTCTTCGATAAACACAACCACCATCTAGTGGCCAGAACAGCCTTATCGGACCCCACTGTCTGCAATGAAAAGCTGTTCCTTTCCTCATCCTTTACAGGGCCAAGCACCCAGCATCCTGGGACAGTGGCCCCGTGTGCCCAGCTTTGAGGATGAGCTCATGCCTGGTTGCTCTGGGTGGAGAGAGGGAAGAGTTGAATCAACATCCATATGTATAAATCTCCTTTTGTGCATTTAGAATCACGTCCTTAGAATAAATTGCGATCAGTGGCATTACTGAAGCAAATTGTATCAAAAATGCAAAAAAGACCCATTTTTCCAAATTGTTTTCTAACAAGGAAGTCATATTGTTTGCTTTTTGATACTGTTCTTTAGAAAACGATGCATGAGAGTTTTACATTTCATATAGTGTGTTCTATTTATTTTATACTTTGCAATTTCTGTAATTTTTAAGCACTGTTCTTCCCATACTAGAGGCTCTGCTCTAACTATTCAACTTTTGTTTGTCCTAGTTTTCCTAAAATTCCCTTTTCCACTGGTGTGTGGTGCAAGATGAGGCACATTTTCCATGGATGGTGAACAGAGGGAGGAGCCTTTTGATCACAACCAGGTCACCCCACTTCTAAGCCACTGTGCCTCCAGCCCCACAAGACTAAGGAGAGAGAGCGCAGCGTGGTGGAGAGTGAGCTGTGCTGGGACCATTGTTTCCGTAACCTCGTTTTCTGTGTCCAGCTGACACACCTTCAAAGTGGCATCAGGTCCTAAACTGTAGCTTGCAATGTGCCTGTTTCCAGAAACCAAGGTGAAAGTGCTTTTAGACAGTGTTCCCATGCAAGAGTCCCTTCCCAGCTTTTTTCTGGAAATGCATGTTTCTCTGAACTCTGAGTCCCAAGAAAAATCACTTGAGACACCAAGAAAATGGGGGAAGTGCTAAAATTGTGTGGGAATTCAAGCTTAACAATAAACATCAAGACATTTTTGATAAAAATGAATCCACTGACATCGGGGAGGAGCAAGAGAACAGCACGCTGACACTGGGTCAGAGGCTAAGACCGACATTTCTGGGAACCACTCCCGGAAGGGCACAGAGGAGACGCTTTCAGCCTCTCATCAGCCAGCCTGGCCTGTAGCTGCTGCACGTTATGAGTGTGTTCCTGGCATGACTGCTTCTAACAGTGAGTTTTCTGGCAAATCAAATAAATACTAATAAGTCTGTATGCACATTATACTTTATACAAATCCTATGAGTGATGTTCCAGAAATAACAAGTTTTGAAGGCAAAATAAGTCCTTAAATTGGCAACTTTGACACATAATTCCATGTAGTAGTTAATCTTGCTAGAAGATCCCAATGTTGTTATTCTAATACAATCTGATAATGTTCACTGGCATTTTCCACTGTTGGCATCTTTACTATAGCCTACAGTTGTTTGTTTGTTTATTTGAGATGGAGTCTTGCTCTGTTGCCTAGGCTAGAGTGCAGTGGCGTGATCTTGGCTCACTGCAACCTCCCCCTCCCAGGTTCAAGCAGTTCTCCTGCCTCGGCCTCCCTAGAAGCTGGGATTACAGGCACGTGCTACCACGCCCAGCTAATTTTTGTATTTTTGGTAGAGACGTGGTTTCATCATATTGGCCAGGCTGGTCTTGAACTCCTGACCTCAGGTGATCAGCCTGTCTCGGCCTCCCACACACAGTGCTGGGGTTACAGGTGTGAGCCACGATTCCTGGCTGCCTACAGTTCTTTGTAAAGCAGACAAAATAGTTTCATTTTTTAAAGAAATGAACATATATGAGGCAACCTGTACCTAACTTAGGAGTTCAGAAATTCCCTGGACTGCCTATACATTTTGGTTTCTCATTCCTAATTCCCAAAGATTAAAATCTGTCAGGAATTTGGAAACATTGAATCACAGGCCAAAATAGGACCATGTCTCCATTCATTCATTCATTCAACAATTATTTATTGAGCGCATGCTATTTTTCAGGCACTGTGCCACATATTGAGAATAGAGTAGTGAGTAAGACAAAGTCATCACTTTAGGGAGTTTATATTTTAGAGGAGAGAAAGACAAATGAAAGTGTTTAGGCTGGGCATGGTGGCTCACACCTGTAATCCCAGCACTTTGGGAGGTCAAGGCAGGTGGATCACCTGAGCTCAGGAGTTCAAGACCAGCCTGGGCAACAATCCCATCTCTAACAAAAACATAAAAAATTAACCAGGTGTGGTAGCACATGCCTGTGGTCTCAGCAACTTGGGAGGCTGAGGTGGAAGGATCTCTTGAGCCTGGGAGGCAGAGGTTGCAGTGAGCTGAGGTTGTGACACTGGACTTCAACCTGAGTGACAGATCCCATCTCAAAAACAACCCTGGGCCGGGTGTGGTGGCTCACACCTGTAATCCCAGCACTTTGGGAGGCCGAGGCAGGAAGATCTTGAGGTCAGGAGATTGAGACCATCCTGGCTAACATGGTGAAACCCCGTCTCTACTAAAAATACAAAAAATTAGCTGGGCATGGTGGCGGTTGCCTATAGTCCCAACTACTCGGGAGGCTGAGGCTGGAGAATTGCTTGAACCCGGGAGGCAGAAGTAGCAGTGAGCCGAGATTGCACCGCTGCACTCCAGCCTGGGCAACAGAGTGAGACTCCATCTCAAAAGAAAAAAAAAAAAAAAACTCAGAACTATTTAATACAATGTACTGGCAAGCGGTGATGAGCACTATGGAAACGTGAAGCAATGTTTGAGTGCAGCGAGTGAAGCGGTGCTGTTTTGTTTGTGATTGTCATGAGGACCCCTCAGAAGAGCAGAGAGCTGAATGCAGTGAGCATAGAACCTTACTGAGGCCTGGGCAAGGCTCTTCCAGACAGCAAACTGCCCTGAGGCAGGACTGTGTTTGGCGTGTCCTGGAAACAGGAAAGAAGCCAGGGCCTCTGGAATGTGGTGAAGGAGAGGGAAAAGTAGTAAATGAGGCTGGAGAGAGAGGCAGGGGCCAGAACATACAGGGCTGTGTAAGTCACATTGAGTTCTTTAGATTTTCCTGTAAGTGTGGATGGGAAGCAGTTGGAGGGTTTTGAGGAGGGGTGGTGTGATCTGACCCGCATTTTAGAATCATCCCGTTGGCTGAAGTGTGGAGGAAAAAAGCAGGGGGCAGAAGTAGAGGTGAGGGGCAGCCAGTTAGGAGGCTACAGGAGTAGCCCAGACCAGACAGGAGGGTGGCTCGGCCCTCAGAGATCTTGGTGGGGCAGATTAGAGAGTGATCAAGTTAGAGCTAACAGGACTTTTTTTTTTAGACTGGGTCTCGCTTGTTGCCCAGGCTGTAGTGCACTGGTGCAATCATGGCTCACTGCAGCCTTGACCTCCTGGATCAAGGTATCCTCCCACCTCTCAGCCTCCCAAGCAGCTGGGACTATGGGTGCATGCCACCACACCCAGCTAATTTTTGTATTTATGGAGATATGGGTCTCACCATGTTACCCAGGCTGGTCTTGAACTTCTGGGCTCAAGCCTTCTGCCTGCCCTGGCCTTCCAAAGCATTGGAATTACAGGCCTGAGCCACTGTGCTAGGCCAGAGCCAACAGGACTTACTGAGAAATTATCTGAGAGAGAGGGGTCAAGGAAGACTCCCCCTGTTCAACCAAGCAACGAGGTGAATGGTGCTGCTGCTTCCTGAGATGGGGAAGACTGTAGAGGAAACAAACCAGGAACGACAAATCAGTAATTTAGCTTTGAATACATTAGGTTTGAGATGGCTAGTCTGTACCCAAACAGACCACACTGTGGCATCTGGGCAGCAGGATCTGCAGAATCCAGCAGGATGGATGCTGATGCCAAGCTGAGTAGACAGTTGGGTCTGTGAGTCTAAAGCTCAGGGAAGACCTCAGGGTCTGGGATACAAATCTGGAGATCATCACCCTGTCCATGAAAGCCAAGGGAATGATGGAAGATACTATGAGAAAAAGTGAAGAGAGGAAAGAGAAGAGGTCCATGGAAGGAGACCTGGGAGAATCCAACCTTCGATTAGATCAGGAAGAGGAGAAGAATCCAGTAAAAAACTCTGAGAAGTCTCTGGGAAGGAAGTCTTCCTTCCTTCCCCTGTACCAGGAGAGGTGCTATCCCAGAAATTAGTAAAGAAACAGTTTTTGATGGGGAGAACAGGATCACCTTTGTCAACTGCTGCTGCGAGACTTGGAAAAATAAGGACTGGGAAGAGAGCAATAGAAACTTTGAAAGCCATTGGTTATCTTGATAAGAGTTGTTTCTGTGGGGGTGGTGAGAACTGGAGCCTGACTGGATGGGTTCAAGAGAGAATGGGGAGTTCTAGCCAAGAAGGCTGATGAGGATGAGTCAAATTAAAAATGTTTTCTTTTTATGAGTCCTCTCATATTTACTGATACAACTGATATATTGGGTCTCCATTCTGCCACATTACTTTATATTGATCATGTATTGTATCTGCTATGCAATTGTATTGCATGTATCTGCATGGCAATTGTATTGCCATGCAATGTATTTTTTTTTACTTTAAAAATTATATTTATAAAGGTTTGTAATTTTATTCCAGTGGTTATTTTATATGTACACTTTTTAAAATGCTCTTAATTTTTTTTTTAAGACAGGGTCTTGCTCTTTGCCCAGGCTGGAGTATAATGGCATGATCCTGGCTCATCAAAGCCTTGGCCTCCTGGGCTCAGTAAGTCCTCCCACCTCAGCCACCTGAGTAGCTGGGACTACAGTCATGTGCCACCACAACAAGCTAATTTTTTTGTATTTTTTGTAGAAATGGTGTCTCCCTGTGTTGCCCAGGATGGTCTCAGTCAGGCGATCCAGCGCACAAGCAATCCTCTCACCTCAGCCTCCCTTGGCTCTTACTCTTATTTTCTTGTTTAAGCTTTTACTATCTGGTTTATAAATACTGCAGTATTCTTCATCTCCCATCCATTGCTCATACAACAATCTAGGGGCATATTCCGTTTTTCTCTATTTCCCTTGTCCCATTTTTGAGTTGCACTATTTCCTTATCATCTCTTATCAGCTGAAGCTCATTCTCTAGTATACCGTCAGAAAACTTTTTATTTTTTGCAAGGGGCCAGATAGTAAATATGTTCAGTTTTGCAGGCATGCAATCTCTGCCACAGCTCTACCATTGTAGAGTATAAGCAGCCATAGACAATATGTAAACAAATGGGTATGGCTGTCTTCCAATAAAACTTTATTTGCAAAAACAGGTGGTGGGCCAGATTTGGCCTATAGGCTAAAGCCCTGTCTTAGAGTAGCAGCAGATAAGGAGACAGAAAAACTGTACAGGAGGTGAGAGAAAACTGGCAGGAGAGCTAGGGGGATATTGACAAAAGAGGAGCCCTTTAAATCTTCCAGGGGTAGAAAAAATGAAATTCTTTGATGTTACTCAATAGTTTACCTGCTCGGAAGGAGGAAAAGTGTCTCTTCCATCTCAGAGTTGGCTCAGCATCCATCCTGCTGGATTCTGCAGATCCTGCTGGCCAGATGCCACAGTGTGGTCAGCTGAAAGTGATTTGCTCATCCTGAAAACAGCAGGTATAGAAAGCGCTCTTTCAGCGCCATGGCAACCAGATCGTGTTTTTCTAAAAAAGGATCAGATCAGCGGGTGTGTCCCTCCAGGCATTGATCCATTAATATGCACTGAGCTCATTTCAGAGCCAGGCCCTGGGCTGAGTGCTTGGAATACAAAGATGCAAAAGGCTAAGTCCTTGTTTTTAAGGAGCTCATAGACTGGAGGAGGAGGCAGACATTTACAGTAAACAGTGTAATCACACGTCATCAAAGGAAGGGACACACAAAGGGCTGGGTGGGGAGCATCTCCTCCTCTTTGGGAGAAACTGACCTGGAGACCTAAGGTTGAGCTGAATTTTGGAGAATCAGTCAGAGTTGGTCAAGAGGACAAACTGGGATGGGTCAAGGAAAATGGAGAAGCTTGAGAGCTGTGGCAGCTCCGTGAAATGGCAAGTATGGCCAGAGGATGGCATCTCCAGGGTGCCGGAGATGGCCATGGAGAGGCACCGAGGCCAGGCCATGCCGGGCCTCTGCTGCCTCTGCTGTCACCAAGGTCAACCACAACCTAGTGCCCAAGCCAGTGGCATTTTCCAGCCTACTTTTACTCATCCCTTCTTTTAGAAAATGCTGCCTTGACAGTCTGATTTTCATGGTATCATGATCCGCTATCTCCTGATGTGTCCTCTGTACATCCAGCTGCTCTTTCTCACTCTCTTATTTGTGCTCTCACTTCCTTAAATTTTAACCTTCTTCTCGTGCTGCACTTTCTCCAGGTATATGAGAAACCTCTCCATTTTTCACTTTCATCTGTATTGCTCTTTGCCTGTTGGCCTCAATTTCTCCCACCACAAGATGAGCCCCTAAACGTATCTAAGAATGTGGCCTCAAGAACCCCAGTGTGGCAATCCCAGTGAAAAGCCTTTTCCCAGTACTCATCTTTCCATCCTGGGGAAGGCATGGGATTGCTTTTGGTTGGTTGTGTACCTACCCTGGCACACAGCACTATTATCAGAGTGATGGGCCAATACAATATATGGTGAGGGAAATGAGGTTCCATGATTGGCCCCATCAGTCACAAGGATGGAAAGGCAGTTTCCTAAGACAGATGTATCAGGCAGGAGAGAGGAGCTATACAATGTCAACAGGGAAAGTGTAATATAAATAATCATGAACTAATAATAGAGGGTTAGCCACTAAGGGATAAAAAGAAGTCTAAAGGTTACAGAAACAGGTGAATGGATAAACAAAATGAAATGTTATTCTGCCATAAAATGGAATGAAATTCTGATACATGCTACCCCATGGATAAACCTTGAAGACATTATGCAAAATGAAATAAGCCAGACTCAAAAGGGCAAATATTATATGGTGCCACTTATACAATGTACCATGAATAGTCAATCCATAAAGACAGAAAGCGGAATGGAGGTTTTCAGGAGCTGGAGGAAGGGGAGAATGGGAAGTTATTGTTTAATGGGTGATACGGTTTGGCTCTGGGTCCCCACCCAAATCTCATCTCAAATTGTAATCCCATGTCAAGGGAGGGACCTGGTGGGAGATGATTGGATCATGGAGGTGATTCTTGTGATAGTGAGTGAGTTCTCATGAGATTCGATGGTTTAAAAGTATGTGGCTCCCTTCTGTCTCTCTTTTTCTCTCTCTCCTGCCACTTTGTGAAGAGATCTGCCTTGCTTACCTTCACCTTCCACCATGAGAGTGTTTCCCAAGGCTTCCCCAGGCACACAGAATTGTGAATCAATCAAACCTCTTTTCTTCATAAATTACCCAGTCTCAGGTAGTATCTTTATAGCAGCGTGAGAACAGACTATTACAATGGGTATAGAGTTTCACCTTGGACTGATAGAAAAGTTTTGGAAATAGATAGTGGTGATGGCTGCAAAACATTGTGAATGTATCTAATGTCACTGAATTGTACACTTAAAAGTGGTTAAAATGATAAATGTTATGTATGTTTTACCACAAAAAAAAAAAAAATACAGGCCAGCCTGGCCAACATGGTGAAACCCTGTCTCTACTAAAAATACAAAAATGAGCTGGGTGTGGTGGCACATGCCTGTGATCCCAGCTACTCTGGAGGCTGAGGCAGGAAAATCGCTTGAACCTGAGAGGTGGAGGTTGGAGTGAGCCGAGATCGTGCCACTGCACCCCAGCCTGGGCAATAGAGTGAGATTCCATCTCAAAAACAACAAACAAACAAACAAACAAAGAAAAAACAGGAATCGTGGATATAGGGGCAGGCACTAGGTCTAGGGCTGAAGCAGAGAACCCAAGGAAGGAACCAACTTGGAAAAAGGTCTCCGCAGGAATGAGACTCAGATGCCATTGGAGATGGTGTGGCTAGAGCCCGCAGGATGGCAGAGAAGTTTGTTGTAGTGCTTGAGGCCGGGCTGGCATGCAAGAAACCCATGCACCGGTGGGGGCAGCAGGGTGGGGGCTGACAACACTCACTGAGAAGCTGCCCTCTGAGGTGCAGGCATTCACTAGGACTTCACCCGTGGTATGTTACTGAAACTCCGGGGAGCCAACTGCTGGAGCATTTATGAGACACACTATGCCACCATCCGGGGCTTCAGCAGCGTTTGGTGAAAACCTGCCTGTGGGGTTGCTGTTGAATTTGCTGGAGAGCTGACTGAGGTGCTAGCAGAACTCCTCAGGAAATCACCAGGAGGAGCATCCCTGGGTGCCCCATGCACCAGTCAAGAGCAGGAGCAAGAGGAAAGGAAGGTAGCCTCTTCTTCCTGCAGTGTCTCTCCAGAGCCCTCCATTGACAGCACTTAATATCGTGCTAGCAGGCAAAGAAATGTTTACAGGATTCATCTCCAGTATCACAAAGGAGGATAACGAAGAGTGGATTTGGAATTCAGAGGCTCTAAAGTGATAACTGTCACAGCCCACCCCTTTGGCTACTCAGTTTCCATATGCACCCTCCTACACATACCTGAACTTCTATATGACAACGAACAAAATACAGCTATCCTTCTTACCAGGGAAAATATTCCTACCCTTTCTCCCAAATGAGAAGATACTCGTGCCAACAACAATTTTATCTATCTCTGGCTATATTCATTACTCGAATTTGATCACAGTCCCTCTAAATATTCTGTTACCAAAAGACCAAATTGTAAAGCTAACCTCCAACAACTTGTATATAAACTGATAAAGGGAAGAAGGAGAGAGAGATAAAATGGATGGCATTTTCCCATCACCCATCTATCAGTGGGAAAGAACTCTGGGGAAGTGCTCTTGAGGAAGTATCTTTGGGAAGAATCCCTGATTGGCCCTACTTGGGTCATGTGTGTTGGAATCTGTGAAAGTCGGGAATTTTGCCCATCTTACAAGCTAGTAAGCCTGTTATGGTTTCATGGATGCTGGCAGATGACATGAGACTGGATCAGAGACAAAGGACTACACTACTCATGGCAGAACAAGTTGCACGAGGTTTGTGTTAGTTAGCATTGGTTTTCCTTGTCCCCAAGTCCCACAGGGGTGATGTGGAGGGGCCCAGGTGGTTACTGTACACGCAGTGTGTTTGTACTGCAGCTAAGGAACACTGAGCTTGGGAACATACAATTTAATAGTAAGTGGTGAGCAAGTCTGCCCTTTGTCTGGGGCAGGGGGATATTGCTTTGTCAAGGCTGTCTACTGCAAACACAACCCTGAGAAATATCCCAAGCAAGGAACAGTCAGGACCTTGCATTCTTGTCATCCCCAGCAAGAGCATGCAGAGACAATCAGAGCCTGTGGCAAATTGCCTGTCACAAAAATCCACCACAAGGCCTGACAGATCCTTGGCCAAATTCACATTTTCCCATGAGTATGCTACCTCATCAGCTGCTCTGATTAGTCTGACCAACAGAGGGACCAAATCTGTTTAATTTGATTCCTATCACATTTAAAATTAAGGCTGCTATTGACAGGACTTCAAGCAATACAGTGCAGCAAGTCTGCCATATTGATCTCACCCATGTCCCCAGGGTCCCGGGCTCAACCAACTGTCTAAAAGTTCTGGGGGCAAGGGAGACCAGTCATTCCTATTTCAGATAGCTAGGATAAAATCTAATATCAGTCTAGTATTCATTATGACCCACTCATGGGAGTTTAGATTCACTGATATCATTGCCAGTGACTACAGGAGGCAATGTAGGGAGCAAAGACCCTCATCCCTGATGGAAGGACATTCATGGCCTCTCCCTTTCAAAGAGACAATCCAAAGGGGAGCAGGTCACTCTAGTTTGGAATTTGTTGTTAAATTTGATTTGAATCATCATTGCATTGGTTTGGTTAGGTAAGATGGTTAAATTTTACGTGTCAACTTGGCTGGGTCATGAGACTAAGATATTTGGTCAAACATTACTCTGGATGTTTCTGTGAGGGTGTTTTTGGATGAGATTAACATTTAAATCATTGGACTTTGAGTAAAGCAGATGACTCTACCTAATGTGGATGGTCCTCAACCAATCAATTGGAGGCCTAAATAGAACAAAAGACTGACCTCTTCCAGGCAAGAAGGAATTCTGCCAGCACATGAACTTTGCACTTGAACTGAAACAGTGGCTCTCCTGGGTCTCCAGCCTGCCAGCCCCCACCCTGCAGATTTTGGACTTGCCAGCCTCCATAATCATGGCAGCCCATTCCTTAAAATAAATCTCACTCTCTCTCTTCCTCTAGAATATACATACATATATATATATATATACACACACACACGCACACACATATAATATTATATATATTTTATATGCACACACAAAATAACAGATAGATAGATATCGTATTAGTTCTGTTTTTTTGGAGAACCCTGACTAGTCCTAGTTGCCTTTCTTTTCTTTTTCCACTTTTCTTCTGAGCTCATGTTCCACCTTCTGATATCTTAACATCATTTCCCTGAGCTCACTTTATCCTTTTCCTTCTTAAAGGCGACCATTTCATTAAGTTTTTAAGTGCCTGGTAATTGCTTGGTTATGACCGGTGTCTGCTCCATGGCAGCCTCTTCCTGGTGAGTATTCCACATCTGCCATTGGTTTTTCCTATCCCTTTCCTACATTTGCAGAGATCCTGCATGTCTTCCTTTTTGATGACTCATCTTTGAACAAGTGGAATTTTTTTTTTTTTTTTTTTTTGAGACGGAGTCTCACTCTGTCGCCAGGCAGGAGTGCAGTGGCGCAATCTTGGTGCACTGCAACCTCCGCCTCCCGGGTTCCAGTGATTCTCCTGCCTCAGCCTCCCAAGTAGCTGGGACTACAGGTGCCCGCCACCATGCCCAGCTAATTTTTTGTATTTTTAGTAGAGACGGGGTTTCACCATGTTGGCCAGGATGGTCTTGATCTCTTGACCTCGTGATCCACCTGCCTCAGCCTCCCAAAGTGCTGGGATTACAGGCGTGAGCCACCACACCCGGCCAAACAAGTGGAATTTTTCCTGGACCAGCTCTTTGCTGGTCATGTGGGAGGAGTTGGGGCTGTGTTCCAAGTCAGCTGGAATTTTTCTTATAACCCAGGATTTTACATGTGAGCTTGATCAGCCTTTACTTCTCAGCTTAAGCAGGTCTGGGCATGTTTGGCAACCTGGCCTGCATAATGAAGATTTCCATAATTTGGTGTTCATCTATTTATTCAGTTTTTGCCCGAATGATGAAGGAGGAAGTTTACATCTTGCTCCCTGGGGACAGGCAGAGACAGTGTGTGCACTTCCATCCTACAGGGACCAGATCTGAACAGTCTGGAGAGAGGAGCTGTGGTGGCAGCAGACAGATCTCTGCTTCAGGGGCCAGGTGTCTAGGTGAGACGCCACAGCGCGGCAGAGAGAACAGAGGCTTCTCTGCATGCCTGCCAGGGAATTGGCACCATGTCAACAGAAATCTTAGGTTACAGGAACAGGAACCAGCCCTGACTGACGTGTGCAAGCCCGGAGCTTTCCTTTCTCCTTGCACTTCCCACATGTTCCCCACATAACCAGCAACCACAGAGCCACCCCCTGCCACCCAACAACTCCCTCCTGAGCTAGAAACTTGTAAGACTCAGCTAGGAGTCTGAATGGTTGGATATCTAAAGCAAAGAATAATCTAGTTTGTAACATGGGACCAAAGGAAGAACTGAATATCCACAATCTGTGTAAAAAGAGGCCACTTTGGAGATTTCTATGCCTCTCAGGGGCTCTATCTCAGGATGGCTCAGCTGTAATTATCTTTGGATTCCCATACAGATCCAACTTCCCTGGAAAGAGAAAGTCTCATGTTTGTTAATAATATGAGGAAAGAATTAAAATATATCAGCTGCTATGGGCTAATGTCATTTATTTTGACTTTTCTTTTGTAGAAGAAATGCTGAGGCAGTGTCACGCTGGTGTCTGTCCTCCTTACAGAATGCCTGAACAGTTCCATTGACTCAAAGTGAAGATCAAAAGAACCAAATGACAGCAATAGCCAAGTGTAATCATCAGTAACCCTGTGTTCTATCCACAGGTAAAAAACAATCATCCTCTTCATTATGGGTTTCAATTTTAAATGTAATACATTTTTAGAAATGCCTATTTCCTTTTATAATCTCTTTATATAATCTAGGTTATTCTGGCTCTTAGGTCTTCATTTAGCTACTGAAAAGATTTGATCTCAAATCAATGATCTAACCACCCATGACCATCTCCCACCTCTCTCCCCGTACACCCCCCAGCATGAATTCTGGGAACTCAGGTAAAATGCTTTCTGGAAACCTGCCTGTATTAGTCTGTTGTCAAGCTGCTAATAAACACATACCCGAAACTGGGTAGTTTATAAAGGAAAGAGGTTTCCTTTATAGTTCCACATGGCTTGGGAGGCCTCACAATCATGGTGGAAGGCGAATGAGAAGCAAAGTCACATCTTGCATGGCAGCAGGGAAGAGAGAGTTTGTGTAGGGGAACACCCCTTTAAAAAACCATCAGATCTTGTGACACTCATTCACTGTCACGAGAACAGCACGGGAAAGACCCGCCCCCATGATTCAATTACCTCCCATGACACAAGGGAAGTATAGGAGCTACAATTCACAATGAGATCTGGGTGGGGACACAGACAAACCATGTCACCGCCTAAAACCAACTCAATAGTCTAAGGAATTTGACTGGGGAGAATCTGGAGAGGATTTAATTAATTTGGCAAAAGGATTAGCAATTGAATCTAAGTGAGAAAAGAGAATTCTTGGAGGAAAAAAAGATGTTTAGTTACACTGAGAAATTAAAACCTGAAGTAATTGCCTTTGAGATTTTTTTCAGGAAATGAGTATTGATTGCCTACTGTGTGTCAAATTATGTGTTTCATGTCAAAGACTCCAAAGTAGATAAGATATAGGCCCAGCCTTGGGGAGCTCATTGAGTCACAGAGAAAGTTTGAATGTTTCAGAGGAATCATCAAGAACAGGGGATCAGCAATCTATTATATTTTAATTGCGTCTTTTCATGATTATAAAAGCAATGCATGCGTGCTGAAGAGAATTTGGAAAAACAAAGAAGAAATTAAAAATCGTCTCTGATCCTGCCACCAGAAATAACCACTGTTAGCAATTGTATCACTTCTGTAGGTCTACATGGTTATCATAATAAGCTCTAGTATTGATTACATGCATCTCATGTACCAGAGATTATGCTAGACTCTCATTTAATCTGTACATTAGCCCTATGAAGTAGGGACCATCATTCTCCTCATTTTACAGATGAGGAAACAGAGGCTTGGAGAGGTTACTCTGCCTAAAGTCTCATAGCTAGCGAGTGGCAGAGATTGGACTCACCCAAGCTTTGTCTTATTCTCAAGCTCTCAACCAACCCGGTGGTGAGAAGAGCCAGCAGCAAAGCCTGTCATCTTTGTCTTCTTTTTTTTTCTAACCTCAAATCAGGGAGAAAATGCCCTTTGTCATTAGAAGGGCAAGGCAATTCTGAAGACAGCCCAGTTGGCTTGTCTCCGATTTGGCTTTCAGGGGCCTGTCTGATACCTATGGAGAGACGAGGGCTGAACAAGCTGTACTCTCAAAACAAAACAAAGCAAAACAAAACTTTAGTCTCTTTAGGGACTCTCTGATAGTAATGCAGAGGGAGAAAGGCTTTCTTTGTCTCACTGGGAGGAAGGTTCCCTACGGAAATTGAAGGCAGTGCCTGTTGACATAGCGCTGCCACCTGGTGGAAATAATGGTGTAGGACATCATGTCCAGCACCACTAGCGCTGAGACACTCCCTGGGAAGAGAAATGTTTGGAGAGAAATTTGCAAGAAGTTGGAAGTCTCGCAGTAGCAGGTAGGAACAAGAATTATAACTGCTACTGTGACCCCCTAAGGCTCCTCACATCCTCTTAAGGCTTGGAGAAACTCACACTATGTATATTTTCCTGTATTTTTGAAAAATGTTTTCCTTTATGCTTTGTTGTAATGAAATTACCTCTGATGGTCACATACCTTAAATATTTAGTATATATATGAATACTAAATGTCCATTTTCAGGAGTTAGTTTACCTGCATCTAAAATCAGGAATAGGTCACAGAGTAACTGAGCAAAAAGTGCTGTTAGGTTTGTGCATTTCACCCTTTGCCTGGGATGAGAGGACCTCAATCATCTTGGTACTAATGACAGGAAAAGTGCCCTCCTATCCATGTGTATCGGCTACGTGACTCAAGTCTCCTTATTTCCTTTTCTAGCATAACAAGGGGTTGTTACTGTTGTTTTACATCTGTGTTAATGAGATAAATAAGTTTAAAATAAAAAGATGTGTACCAGGCAGATGGAAAGGTGAACCATGAAGTTTTTGCCATCTGGATCTTCTGTCAAAGACAGATGAAAAATTCTGCCCAGGGTGTATGCTGAAGAACACAAATACTTAATCTGGAGTTCAAGTATGGGCTTCAAGGAGTCTATACACCCCTGAAATTTTGGGACAGATGGAATGTGTCTGAAGTATATTCATTTTTCTGGGAGGAAGCTCCAGAGTTTTCATCAGCTTCTGAAAATAGTGCATGCCCAAAGAGAAGGTTCAAAATCATTGCCTGGGGCCTTTCAGAGGGTCCTTCTAATCATGGTGTTCCCTAATGTTAATCAACACCACAAGCACTATTATTATTAAAAGTAATTGGGTCAGGTGTGGTGGCTCATGCCTATAATCCCAGTACTTTGGAAAGCTGAGGGAGGTGGATTGGTTGAGTCCAGGAATTCCAGACCAGCCTGGCCAACATTAGCTGGGTGTGAAGGCACACATCTATAGTCCCAGCTACTCAGGAGGCTGAGGTGGGAGTATCTTCTGAGCCCAGGAGGTGGAGGCTGCAGTGAGTTGAGATCATGCCTCTGGCACTCCAGCCTGGGCAACAGAGCAGGACCCTGTTTCAATAATGATAATAGTAATCATCATCATCATCATCATGATGTCGCAAGCTGATTTGAAATAACTTATTTTTATATAAGCACTTGGATTTACATAGGCTTGACTGAGGAATTACACTAGTGATTAAGGGTTCAACCTGGACACTGGTAAGGTAGACCAAGCCACATGAACCCCTGCCATTGGCAGGCCAGCAGCCAGTCCATCCTTCCTCCTTTGGACCCGTGGACTGTACTCAAAATCAGTAGAGGCTCTGTCAGAAGGTCCTGGGAAACAAGACCTGTCCATGGTTTCTTTACCTGAAAGTAAAAATGTTTGATGATATAATTTTTAAGTTCCTTTGAATCATTAAAGCTCACTGATTTAGGAGAATGGCTTTTACAATTTTTCAGCTTTAAACTCCCTCCTAAGTTTCTGAAGATCCTCTTGGGCCACTTCATGGATCTGATTTAAATCTAAAGTCCTAGGGGTTTCAAGGAGCACAGTTTGGAATCTACCATCCCGGGACATTCATTATATTAGTCTGTTTTCATGCTGCTGATAAAGACATACCCAAGACTGGGCAATTTACAAAAGAAAGAGATTTAATTGGACTTACAGTCCCACGTGTTGTTCCCTTTTTGCTGACATTACCCTGTCTGAAGTCCTCTACCCAGGGAAGCCACAAGGCACTGTTCTGGGTGGAGGTGGGTGTGGTGTCCACTGCGCCATACCCACCAGGACCTGAGGTGGAAGCTGGCCAGACACTGGTGCTCTGCTGGCATTTGGGCTGCAGATTTGGGGCAGGTAATGGGCATGGAGAGAACAGAGCCAAAAGCAGCACAGGAAGATGTGGCCATTCTGGTCTGAGAGAGGCATGGGAAATGACGGTTGGTGGCAGAAGCGTTTTCTAAACTTAGGCTCGTGAACAGCTTTCAAGTCCAGCTCTTGTCCAGATGTTGTCTTATACCACATGCTCATGGCAACCAGACCACCTCTGATTTTTTTGCAACCAGGTGCCTAACACAGCACATCAGTCAGGATCTGGCAGGAAGCAGGTGACATTCACACAAGGTAACTGACGAAAGCTGCTTTTGTTTTTTGCTTTTGGAGGAAGATGTTGAGAACACCTCCATTTATTAAATTAGCTATAGTAAGTGTAGTTTACATATTAAGGAGAGATTAATGATAGGATTTATACAGATGTGACAGGTTTAGGGAATGACCCCACTCAGCTGTCCCCCTTTCTATGAGACCATGCCTCTGCCTTCTCCCAACTCCATTCCAGCCCAGATGGCCTTCCTTTGTCCTTCTGTGGGGTGGAGATGGGAATGGTTCTCAGTTCCAGCTAGAATCAATTCAACTGGGGAAGCTTCAAAATACGTCAGTGCCTGGGCCCCGCCCCCAGCATTTCTAATTTAATGGGGCTCAGGTGGGGCCTGGGCAGTGGTGCTGTGTAAAAGCTCTCAGTTGATTCCAACACGCCCAGACCAATTCATTGACACTCTCTGGGGTAGAGGGCCTGGGCACTGGTACTTTTTCAAATTTCTCCAGTGCAGCCAGAACCAAGAAGCTCTGTTTTCTTTCCAAATCTATTGTCTGTTGGGGTGATCAGACCCAACACCAGGTCATGGGGGTGACAAAGTCTGGTGGAGTCAAAGGATTGAGAAATAGGTTTGAAAGAGAAAGGTGGGACACCAGGGGGCCATCGCCATTGTGGAGGCTGTGAAGGCCCTGAGCTCTGGGAGCCCATGCTATTTATTGGCAGTCCAACAAAGAAACATGTGGTGAGAATGTGGAGGTCAAAAGGACATGTTGCATTAAGCACATGATTTACAGCTGTGATGGTTTAGCGTTTATATGGAACATGTTTTGCTACTTGAGATAATGGGAGTAGGAGCCTAGGAAGGCTAGAAGCAAGGAGCCAGCAAGGCTAGACACATTCCAGAGGACATTATGTCAGATATGCAAGCCCTGCCTCAGTTTCTCCCAACACTCAGCTTTTTCCTAACATGCCCCCCTTCTCTTTTTTGTAAAAGAGAAAGTATTATTACTAGCTATCATTAGCAAGGTGATTGCAGGCTGTGCAGCCCTTAATTGCCGGTTGGTGATCCAGCTTCATTTTTCTTAGCCCTTATTCAAACCGGAGTCACTCTGGTTTGAGTGCTTCCCACATATCTCCGCTTTCCCTTTTACAGGACCCTTAATCCTAGGGGTTGCAGAAGGATGAAGGTCCATCTTCTGTAACTTCTTCATGCTGAATAGGGGTGATGATACTCCTGCCTAACTATTAGGGTTTCTGTATTCAGGGTAGAGAGGAGCTCAGCCAGAAAGCATTGGTCTGTTAAGCATCAAGACTCCGGTCGGTCCTCGTTCCATCTTCTCATTCAGATTCAGCTGGCTCATGGCTCGTACTGGGGAACCCAGTCCATGCTTAGGATCCATGGGTCCCTCCAGTCTCCCATTCCATGGTCGTACACGTCTTGAGGGCATCCACATGGTTCGTTCATCTCCTGCAAAAACACAAGCATACCCTCACCCCCACATTAGTAAATCTACTGAAACAGAAGCAAAAACTGTTGTGGCTGTAGCTGGGAGGCCACTGATATTGAGAAACAGGCCCTTCCAACAGAAGGCACCAGGAAAGCAAATCAAGGCTTAAAAGCAATCCTTAAACCTTCAATTTGCACTGTACAGGTGGGTCCACTAGATGCTGTGGCTCATGACAGATCTTCAGATGTTTGGTGAGGACCCACACAGGCACCTGATCATCACCTGGAGAGACACAAACAAATCCTCTTCCTCATATTAAAGAATGGAATTCTTGTGCATCAGCAAAGACCACAGACACCAATGCATCTGCCCTTTAAGTTTAAAGGACCAAAGAGTCCTATTGGAGAAAAAAGAAAAAGCATTTTTATCCTTACCTTCCCCCGCTCTATTCCTTTTATATTTGCCCTTTGAGCCATAGCTAATTTCCATAATTCAGAATGTTCTCGTCTGTCCCTGCAAATCTCTGCTAGTCTTTGCTAGCCTCTACTTTTGTACCTCTTTAGGGCACTGACCTTATATTGCTAGTCTTTGCTTTTGTACCTCTTTAGGGCACTGATTTTATATTGCTAGTCTTCATCTATCCCTATCTGTCCCTGTGGTACCTGTGAGTTCCTGCAAGTCTCTGTCTCTATCTCTATCTCTATTTATCTCTATCTATCTATATCTCTATCTATCTCTATCTCTATTTATCTCTATATTTATCTCCTTTAGCTGTACTTACTTATCTCTACTTAGACTTACTTATCTCTACTTACTTACTTGTCTCTACTTATCTCTACTTACTTATCTCTGCATCTTTCCTGGAAACCTTTTCTATGACCCTGAGTAGAGCTCAGAAATCCACCCTTTAAGCTTCACCAAGAGAAAAACAGGGACACTGGACCCTGCACCAGATTGAAGGGAACAGGAAGTGCTCTCCCCGCCCCAAAGCAGGAAAACAAGAGTTTGGCCCTTGCAAATTTCCACTCCACATCAGCGTCATCCTCAATTTCCTGGAACATTATAGCAATGAATTTGTGGTTATAGCTGATGACCACTGATTTCACTTCAGAAAGTCCAAATATAGCCCAGAACAGTGTCTTAAAACTCTGTTGTGAAGGCTTCATTTTGTTTTGCACCAATGTAGTAGGAGTAGACGTTGAACATTCCCATCATAAAGGCCACAAATACCACAATGAACACATTCCTTGTGTGCTGATTAAATCGTTTTTCTGTAGCAGAGGTAGGTTAACCATGAAACTGAAGCGTGATGACTTCACTTGCCCTATGCAAAGCAGCCCATGATTTATTTTTTCTGGGGACTACTGACAACCAGTCCTGTGTGTCAACCGGTAAGCATCCAACAGCAGGTCTACTGTACAAATAGGTCTTTTGTCAGACACTTGATTAACCCAATATATAGCCTTTCCTGTTGGATTAGTGCTACCAAAGCCTCCAGTTCTTTTCACTGTACTGCTTCCCAGCTTTATGTCAACAACTGAGCAATTCTTTCTCCTAGGGAAGCAGACCACGGAGTTGAAGAACTAATAACTAATTGAATTTCTCCAGTATAATCAGAACCAATCATTCCCATATGCACAGTTACATCTCTAGGTCTTTCTTTTTATTATTATTATACTTTAAGTTCTAGGGTGCATGTGCACAACGTGCAGGTTTGTTACGTATGTATACATGTGCCATGTGGGTGTGCTGCACCCATTAACTCGTCATTTACATTAGGTATATCTCCTAATGCTATCTCTCTCCGCTCCCGCCACCCCACTACAGGCCCCAGTGTGTGATGTTCCACTTCCTGTGTCCAAGTGTTCTCATTGTTCAATTCCCACCTATGAGTGAGAACATGCGTGTTTGGTTTTCTGTCCTTGCGATAGTTTGCTGAGAATGATGGTTTCCAGCTTCATCCATGTCCCTACAAAGGACATAAACTTATCCCTTTTTATGGCTGCATAGTATTCCATGGTGTATATGTGCCACATTTTCTTAATCCAGTCTATCATTGATGGACATTTGGGTTGGTTCCAAGTATTTGCTATTGTGAATAGTGCCACAATAAACATAAGTGTGCATGTGTCTTTACAGCAGCATGATTTATAATCCCTTGGTTATATACCCAGTAATGGGATGGCTGGGTCAAATGGTATTTCTAGCTCTAGATCCTTGAGGAATTGCCACACTGTCTTCCACAATGGTTGAACTAGTTTACAGTCCCACCAACAGTGTAATAAAAGTGTTCCTATTTCTCCACATCCTCTCCAGCACCTGTTGTTTCCTGACTTTTTAATGATCGCCATTCTAACTGGTGTGAGATGGTATCTCATTGTGGTTTGGATTTGCATTTGTCTGATGGCCAGCGATGATGAGCATTTTTTCATGTGTCTGTTGGCTGCGTAAATGTCTTCTTTTGAGAGGTGTCCATTCATATCCTTTGCCCACTTTTTGATGGGGTTGTTTGATTTTTTTCTTGTAAATTTTGTTTAAGTTCTTTGTAGATTCTGGATATTAGCCCTTTGTCAGATGGGTAGATTGTAAAGATTTTCTCCCACTCTGTAGGTTACCTGCTCACTCTGATGGCAGTTTCTTTTGCTGTGCTGAAGCTCTTTAGTTTAATTAGATCCCATTTGTCAATTTTGGCTTTTGTTGCCATTGCTTTTGGTGTTTTAGTCATGAAGTTCTTGCCCATGCCTGTGTCCTGAATGGTATTGTCTAGGTTTTCTTCTAGAGTTTTTATGGTTTTAGGTCTAAAATTTAAGTCTTTAATCCATCCTGAATTAATTTTTGTGTAAGGTGTAAGGAAGGGATCAAGTTTCAGCATTCTACATATGGCTAGCCAGTTTTCCCAGCACCATTTATTAAATAGGGAATCCTTTCCCCATTTCTTGTTTTTGTCAGGTTTGTCAAAGATCAGATTGTTGTAGATGTGTGGCATTATTTCTGAGGGCTCTGTTCTGTTCCATTGGTCCATGTCTCTGTTTTGGTACCAGTACCATGCTGTTTTGGTTACTGTAGCCTTGTAGCATAGTTTGAAGTCAGGTAGCATGATGCCTCCAGCTTTGTTCTTTTGGCTTAGGATTGTCTTGGCAATGTGGGTTCTTTTTTGGTTCCATATGAACTTTAAAGTAGTTTTTTCCAATTCTGTGAAGAAAGTCATTGGTAGCTTGATGGGGATGGCATTGAATCTATAAATTACCTTGGGCAGTATGGCCATTTTCACGATATTGATTCTTCCTATCCATGAGCATGGAATGTTCTTCCATTTGTTTGTGTCGTCTTTTATTTCATTGAGCAGTGGTTTGTAGTTCTCCTTGAAGAGGTCCTTCACATCCCTTGCAAGTTGTATTCCTAGGTATTTTATTTGCTTTGAAGCCATTGTGAATGGGAGTTCACTCAAGATTTGGCTCTCTGTCTGTTACTGGTATATAGGAATGCTTGTGATTTTTGCACATTGATTTTGTATCCTGAGACTTTGCTGAAGTTGCTTATCAACTTAAGGAGATTTTGGGCTGAGACGATGGGGTTTTCTAAATATACAATCTTGTCATCTGCAAACAGGGACAATTTGACTTCCTCTTTTCCTAATTGAATACCCTTTATTTCTTTCTCCTGCCTGATTGCCCTGGCCAGAACTTCCAACACTATGTTGAATAGGAATGGTGATAGAGGGCATCCCTGTCTTGTGCCAGTTTTCAAAGGGAATGCTTCCAGTTTTTGCCCATTCAGTATGATATTGGGTGTGGGTTTGTCATAAATAGCTTTTATTATTTTGAGATACGTCCCATCAATACCTAGTTTATTGAGAGTTTTTAGCATGAAGGTTGTTGAATTTTGTCAAAGGCCTTTTCTGCATCTATTGAGATAATCATGTGGTTTTTGTCTCTGGTTCTGCTTATATGCTGGATTACGTTTATTGATTTGCATATGTTGCACCAGCCTTGAATCCCAGGGATGAAGCCAACTTGATTGTGGTGGATAAGCTTTTTGATGTGCTGCTGGATTCGGTTTGCCAGTATTTTATTGAGGATTTTTGCACTGATGTTCATCAGGGATGTTGGTCTAAAATTCTCTTTTTTTGTTTGTCTCTCTGCCAGACTTTGGTATCAGGATGATGCTGACCTCATAAAATGAGTTAGAGAGGATTCCCACTTTTTCTATTGATTGGAATAGTTTCAGAAGGAATGGTACCAGCTCCTCTTTGTACCTCTGGTAGAATTCGGCTGTGAATCCATCTGGTCCTGGACTTTTTTTGGTTGGTAGGCTATAAACTATTGCCTCAATTTCAGAGCCTGTTATTGGTCTATTCAGGGATTCAACTTCTTCCTGGTTTAGTCTTGGCAGGGTGTATGTGTTGAGGAATTTATTCATTTCTTCTAGATTTTCCAGTTTATTTGCATAGAGGTGTTTATAGTATTCTCTGATGGTAGTTTGTATTTCTGTGGGATAGGTGGTGATATCCCCTTTATCATTTTTTATTGTGCCTATTTGATTCTTCTCTCTTTTCTTCTTTATTAGTCTTGCTAGCAGTCTATCAATTTTGTTGATCTTTTCAAAAAACCAGCTCCTGAATTCATTGATTTTTTTGAAGGGTTTTTTATGTCTCTATCTCCTTCAGTTCTGCTCTAATCTTAGTTACTTCTTGCCTTCTGCTAGCTTTTGAATGTGTTTGCTCTTGCTTCTCTAGTTCTTTTAATTGTAATATTAGGGTGTCAATTTTAGATCTTTCCTCCTTTCTCTTGTGGACATTTAGCGCTATAAACTTCCCTCTACACACTGCTTTAAATATATCCCAGAGATTCTGGTATGTTGTGTCTTTGTTCTCGTTGGTTTCAAAGAACATCTTTATTTCTGCCTTCATTTCGTTGTGTATCCAGTAATTACGCAGGAGCAGGTTGTTCAGTTTCCATGTAGTTGAGCGGTTTTGAGTGATTTCTTAGTCCTGAGTTCCAGTTTGATTGCACTGTGGTCTGACAGACAGTTTGTTATATAATTTCTCTTCTTTTACATTTGTTGAGGAGTGCTTTACTTCCAACCATGTGGTTAATTTTGGAATAAGTGTGACGCGGTGATGACAAGAATGTATATTCTGTTGATTTGGGGTACAGAGTTCTGTAGATGTCTATTAGGTCCACTTGGTGCAGAGGTGAGTTCAATTCCTGGATATCCTTGTTAACTTTCGGCCTCATCGATCTGTCTAATGTTGACAGTGGGGTATTAAAGTCTCCCATTATTATTGTGTGGGAGTCTAAGTCTCTTTGTAGGTCTCTATGGGCTTGCTTTATGAATCTGGGTGCTCCTGTATTGGGTGCATATATATTTAGGATAGTTAGCTCTTCTTGTTGAATTGATCCCTTTTCCATTATGTAATGGCCTTCTTTTCTCTTTTGATCTTTGTTTGTTTAAAGTCTGTTTTATCACACTAGGATTGCAACCCCTGCTTTTTTTGTTTTCCATTTACTTGGTAGATCTTTCTCCAAACCTTTATTTTGAGCCTATGTGTGTCTCTGCACGTGAGATCCTGAATACAGCACACTGATGGGTCTTGGCTCTTTATCCAATTTGCCAGTTTGTGTCTTTTAATTGGAGCATTTAGTCCATTTACGTTCAAGGTTAATATTGTTATGTGTGAATTTGATCCTGTCATTATGATGTTAGCTGGTTATTTTGCTTATTAGTTGATGCAGTTTCTTCCTAGCATCGATGGTCTTTACAATTTTGCATGTTTTTGCAGTGGCTGGTACCAGTTGTTCCTTTCCATGTTTAGTGCTTCCTTCAGGAGCTCTTGTAAGGCAGGCCTGGTGGTGACAAAATCTCTCAGCATTTGTTTGTCTGTAAAGGACTTTATTTCTCCTTCATGTATGAAGCTTAATTTGGCTGGATATGAAATTCTGGGTTGAAAATTCTTTTCTTTAAGAATGTTGAATATTGGCCCCCTCTCTCTTCTGGCTTGTAGAGTTTCTGCCAAGAGATCCGCTATTAGTTTGATGGACTTCCCTTTGTGGGTATGCCGACCTTTCTCTCTGGCTGCCCTTAACATTTTTTCCTTCATTTCAACTTTGGTGAATCTGACAATTATGTGTTTTGGAGTTGCTCTTCTTGAGGAGTATCTTTGTGGCATTCTCTGTATTTCCTGAATTTGAATGTTGGCCTGCCTTGCTAGGTTGGGGAAGTTCTCCTGGATAATATCCTGAACAGTGTTTTCCAACTTGGTTCCATTCGCCCTGTCACTTTCAGGTACACCAATCAGACATAGATTTGGTCTTTTCACATAGTCCCATATTTCTTGGAGGCCTTGTTCATTTCTTTTTACTCTTTTTTTTTTTTCTAAACTCTTCTCACTTCATTTCATTCATTTGATCTTCAATCACTGATACCCTTTCTTCTGCTTGATTGAATTGGCTACTGAAGCTTGTGCATGCGTCACGTAGTTCTCATGCCATGGTTTTCAGCTCCATCAGGTCATTTAAGGTCTTCTCTACGCTGCTTATTCTAGTTATCCATTCATCTAATCTTTTTTCAAGGTTTTTAGCTTCTTTGCGATGGGTTTGAACATCCTCCTTTAGCTCAGAGAAGTTTGTTATTACCGATCATCTGAAACCTTCTTCTCCCAATTCGTCAAAGTCATTCTCTGTCCAGCTTTGTTCCATTGCTGGTGAGGAGCTGCATTCCTTTGGAGGAGAAGAGGTGCTCAGATTTTTAGAATTTTCAGCTTTTCTGTTCTGGTTTCTCCCCATCTTTGTGGTTTTATCTATCTTTGGTCTTTGGTGATGGTGATGTACAGATGGGGTTTTGGTGTGGATGTCCTTTCTGTTTGTTAGTTTTCCTTCTAACAGTCAGGACCCTCAGCTGCAGGTCTGTTGGAGTTTGCTGGAGGTCCACTCCAGACCCTTTTTGCCTGGGTATTGCCAGCAGAGCCTGCAGAACAGCAAATATTGCAGAAGAGCAAATGTTGCTGCCTGATCCTGCCTCTGGAAGCTTCATCTCAGAGGGGCACCCGGCTGCATGAGGTGTCAGTTGGCCCCTACTGGGAGGTGTTTCCCAGTTAGGCTACTCAGGGGTCAGGGACCCACTTGAGGAGGCAGTCTGTCCGTTCTCAGATCTGAAACTCCATGCTGGGAGAACCCCTACTCTCTTCAAAGCTGTCAGACAGGGATGTTTAAGTCTGCAGAAGTTTCTGCTGCCTTTTGTTCAGCTATGCCCTGCCCCCAGAGGTGGAGTCTACAGAGGCAGGCAGGCCTCCTTGAGCTGCAGTGGGCTCCACCCAGTTTGAGCTTCTGGCTGCTTTGTTTACCTACTCAAGCCTCAGCAATGGTGGGCACCCCTCCCCCAGCCTTGCTGCTGCCTTGCAGTTCGATCTCAGACTGCTGTGCTAGCAGAGAGAGAGGCTCCATGGGCATGGGACCCTCCAAGCCAGGTGTGGGATATAATCTCCTGGTGTGTCGTTTGCTAAGACCATTGGAAAAGTGCAGTATTAGGGTGGGAGTGTCCCGATTTTCCAGGTACCATCTGTCATGGCTTCCCTTGGCTAGGAAAGGGAATTCCCTGACCCCTTGCACTTCCCAGGTGAGGTGATGCCCTGCCCTGCTCCGTGGGCTGCACCCACTGTCCAACAAGCCCCAGTGAGATGAAACCGGTACCTCCATTGGAAATGCAGAAATCACCCATCTTCTGTATCGCTCACACTGGGAGCTGTAGGTTGGAGCTGTTCCTATTTGGCCATCTTGGAACCTCTCTAGATCTTTCAAGTAATAGACTGTTCCTGAGGGCAAGGGTCCCCCAACTCCCATGGGGACCCCCTCCGGTGCTCCCCAGGAAGCACAGAAATGGAAACTGCACTGCAAAGGTCCATGGCAGCACTGCCCACCAAGGCGGCAGACAATTGCTGCCATTTGTAAGGGCACTGGCTGTGCCAGATATGCCTTGGTTTATTGAGGTGCTCTCTGAATAAACAAGCCTCAGATTCCACTGGGTCTTAGTGCTACCAATTGCTCCAGGTTTTAATGTTGCAACTACAGGAATGGTAAGTTTTGTAGCTAATTCATTTTCTCGCCCATTAAGGAAAGAGAGAAGAGGTGGCCATTCACTTAATTCAGCAGGTGGAGCCAATGGGCTAGTAAAACATACTTTTTTCATTTTCCCTTTCTTTAATTTCCTGCGTTTCCTGTTCCTCACATTCAGAATCTGAATTTAGTTCTTTACACTCGTCCTCATCTTCCTCATCTGAATCTGCCTCATCATCTGTTTGAAATGGCTCAAGAGTTGCTTTTATTAGTGCCCATATTGACCAAACCAAGACTGGAATTTTTGCTCCATCTTTATATGCTTTTTAAAAAATCTCGGCCAATTCTCTCCCATTCCTCCAACTCTATAGTCCCTTGTTCTGGGAACCATGGGCAAAACTGCTTTACTGCACTGAAGAGTGAGTGATAACAAATTCTGAGGACTAACTTTCACTCTCCATCTTCATAATAAATGCCTTAAGAAATTTCGATAAGCAGAATGTCTGCTTTCACTTTGTCTCATTGTTACCCTGGTTCTTCCAAGTGCTCAGCTTTCCTACTGAGCTTCTTTTAGACATCCTCAGGTGTCCTTTGACGATGCATCCTCTGCTTTCACACACTCTAGCGTTCCTTCAGTGGGGTCTTTGTCGCCCCACATTGAGCAGCCAGGAATGTTGGGGTGATCAGACCCAACACCAGGTCTTGGGGGTGACAAAGTCCGACGGAGTCAAAGGATTGAGAAGTAGACAGTTTGAGAGAGAAAGGTGGGATACCAGGGGGCCATCACCATTGTGGAGGCTGTGAAGGCCCTGAGCTCTGGGAGCCCATGCTATTTATTGGTAATCCAACAAAGAAACAAGTGGTGAGAATGTGGAGGTGGAAAGGACACATTGCATTAAGCACATGATTTACAGCTGTAATGGTTTAGCATTTATATGGAACATGTTCTGCTACTTGAGATAATGGGAGTAGGAGCCTAGGAAGGCTAGAAGCAAAAAGCCAGCAAGTCTAGATACATTCCAGAGGACATGTCAGACATGCAAGCCCTGCCTCAGTTTCTCCCGACACTCAGCTTTTTCCCAACAATTGTCTTAGCAAAAACTCAGAGCTCTGTTCTCCTCATACCTTCCTTTAGTTTTGAAGGTATATTTCAGAAGTAAAATAATATAATTACATTTAAAAACTGAACATTGATTATTTTTACCCTAACAACACTACCTGAGGTACTGTCAGAATCTCCATCCAGAGGAGGGTCAAGAACAAGGGAATAAAAGAAAAGCAACACCTCTATTTGATAGCAGCATTCTTCACAACAGCCAAGAGGTGGAAGCAACCCAGTGTCCACCATGGATGAATGGATAAGCAAAACGTGTCATGTACATACAGTGGCATGTTACTCAGCCTTAAAAAAGAAGAAAACTCTGGGGTGGGCACAGTGGCTCATGTCTGTAATCTCAGCACTTTGGGAGGCCAAGGCGGGTGGATCACCTGAGGTCAGGAGCTCGAGACCAGTCTGGCCAACATGGCAAAACCCCATCTCTAATAAAAATACAAAAATTAGACTCTACCTCAAAAAAAAAAAGAAGAAAAAGCAGAAGAAGAGGAAGAACAGGAAGAAGAAAACTGTGAGACATGATACATGCTATACCATGTAGGAATGTTGACATGATGCTAAGTGAAATAAGCCAGTCACAAAAAGACAAATGCTATGTGATTTCTCTTATATGAGATGTCTATGGTACTCAAATTTACCGAGACAGGAAGCAGAATGGTCGTTGCCAAAAGCTGTGGGGAGAGAGGCATGGAGAGTTGTTGTTTAATGGGTAAGAGTTTCAGATTTCTTAAGATGAAAGTCCTGGAGAGGGAGGGTGGTCACTGCATTGTACAGCAACGTGAATGTGCTGAACGCTACTGACTTGTACACTTAAGAATGGTTACAATCGTAAATTTTATGTGTATTTTACCCCAATTAAACAAAATTGTAGCCAAGCATGGTGGCTCACATCTGTAATCACAGCACTTTGAGAGGCCAAAGCAGGTGGATCACTTGAGCCCAGAAGTATGAGACAAGCCTGGGCAACATAGTGATATCCCATCTCTACCAAAAAAAAAAAAAAAATTAGCCAGGTGTGATGGTGCTCACCTGTAGTCCCAGCTACTCAGGGGGCTGAGGCAGGAGGATCATTTGAGCCTGGGAAGTTAAGGCTAAAGGAAGCCATGATTGCATCACTGCTCTCTAGCCTGGGTGACAGAGCAAGACCCTGTCTAAAGAAAAAAGGGAGCTGGGTGCGGTGGCTCACGCCTGTAATCCCAGCACTTTGGGAGGCTGAGATGGGTGGATCACTTGTGGTCAATAGTTCGAGACCAGCCTGGTCAACATAGTGAAACCCCCATCTCTAATAAAAATACAAAAATTAGCCAGGCATGGTGGCACATGCCTGTAATCCCAGCTACTCAGGAGGCTGAGGCAGGACAATCACTTGAACCTGGGAGGTGGAGGGTGCAGTGAGCCGAGATCGCACCACTGCACTCCAGCCTGGGTGACAAGAAAGAAAAAGAAAAAAAAGAAAAGAAAAAGGCCAAAATTTTAAAGCAGCAATATTTAAATATGTAAGTATTCAAGCAATATTCAAGTCGTATCTTCCTACACAAGTTTGAGTGGAAAAACTCTCCCCACCCCCCACTATCTTCACTCCTACCCATTAGGGTTTGCTCTGGATAAGGGGAGAGCAAATCTTCATACTCTCACTTTCTTCTTAATCCGGACTTGTGAGAAGACACAGCAGTGTTTAAGAATATGAACTGCAAATAAAAACCAGCTTTCCAAGCTCCTCCTCATTCTCCGTGTGGTCAGCGAGGCACAAGGTGAGGATTAGGTGGTTTGGAGGGTGCCAACAAGGACTCCAAAATGGTGGACAGGAAGACCCCAGGCAGGGTCAGGAAGTGGAGGAAGAGCAAAGTGCAAGTAAAATTCTGCATAGTGAGGTACAGGAAAGAGGATGATTCTTCCAATCATGTGGGAAGAGTGAGGTTTTTTTACGGCAAAGGAACCTTATTTCCAATTATGCTACTTTAGGAAAATGTTCCTCTTTGTTGACACAGGTTCCCGCTGCACCATCCCTGAGCGTTGTTTGTCCATGTGAGCTCTATGTGTGGGCTTCTGCCCAAGGGTTATCCTCGTGGGACTGGGAGGCTGTCTGCAAAGAGAAGGGCTGTGACTTCGCTTTGCCTTGTGTGGGAGAGCTGCAAGGGCCCCACCCTGGGGTGCCTGTGCCCAGCCTGGACTCCTCTGTTGGAGCTCCTCAGTGACATTATTCTAAATTAAAGTCCCACTCTGGGAAAGGGATTCCTGCACATTGCCAGGCTCTGCTGCACTGTTCAGGGTCTAGGGAGGGAGGCCAGGAGAAGGCCCGCCTGTCAGGGAGAGCTGTGTGTTTCCCTCACATGGCCCATGGAATCGAAGAGGGCCAAATTCGAAAAACCCAAAGTAAGGCTAAACTTAGTTATGCCCATCAGAGAACCTTCACCAAGTATTTGACGTTTTTCCTCCTTTGATTCTGGGAACGGTATCTGGCATCCAGTTTAAAGGTACTTTTTCTATTGTGGAAATAAATGAAGATGAACCAAATGAAATCAAGCAAAGCCTATTTATTGAGAGCCTGCTCTAACAAGGGAGTCACATGCAATCACTTGTATTTTGGAAGAGATGCGAAAGCAGGCAGAGGAGTGGGAAAGCTTCCTAACAGAAGAAAGGGGCATCTTGACCAGACCCCAGAGCCACAGCTTCTTGCACTACCCTGCACTGTCCTCTACTGTCTCTGTCCTCAGGTCATCTTTGTATGAGAGCTGAAACAAGAAGACGAAGGGTCACCTTTTTTGACCTTAGCTTGGGACGTGTGCAAAGAGTGACAGAGTTTTCACTACTGTGTGTCTATCCAGGAGCCACCTTGAAAGCTCCACAAGTATTAATTTGGGGATTACAAAGACACTTTTAGCAAGTAAGCAAATTTGCAAATATGGGATTCGCAAATAATGAGGGTCAACTGTATTTGTAAGTGACTGCTAGGGCCTGTTTCATGGTAATCTCTTTCCCCAAGAATGTAGAATGTTTCTTTAGCTTCTTTGATAGTTTATTTATTCATTAATGTATTTATTAAGTACTTATTATAAGCCAGGCTCTGCTTTAATCTGTGATGAACAAACTAGAGATTAAGGTCCTGCCCCGTGGATTTTATATTTGAGTAAGAAAGACAGATAGCTAAGTCTGGAGCTCAGGGGGTGAGGCCCAGATTGAAATTATAGATTCACTTGACCAAGGTGAAACCTGGTGTGCCCCCTCCTACTTCACATCCCCAGACATACTTCCAGAACATTTCTGTTCTGTTCTTGTGTATAAACTCTTCCTTTTGAGCCTCTCTCCATTGACGCATATCAACCTCTACTTGTCTTTTGTTGATTTTGAGGCCACTTGCCCATTTTACTGGCAAGATACTGAAGAAGAATCATACTGACCTGGTTCTGCTACATACCAGCTGAGTTACTTTGGTCAAGCTCTTGGACTTCTGAGCCTGTTTCCTAATTTCAGAAGTGGTGATATGATGTGTTAGGCCCTGGTGGGTTGCAAGGAAGAGGCATACACACACCACCTTTGGTGGTGAAGGCTGAATGTTAACTTTGATGGAAAGTCATCCAAGCAGCCATATTGTCTCTGGCCCTAGTACTTTCAAAACCCCACAGAACATTAATTTAGCAGTATTTAGGATAGGATTTGAGCTCTGAAGACCTATAGTGTGGTTATTTGTTCATATGGCTGTTTTCCATACTAGACCATGAGCTCATGAGGGCAGGGTCTACAGTCTCATCTTTCTATCCCTAGGCATTCAGTTCAGTGCCTGATACATAGTAATAGAGGCACAAATGTTTCAAAAGTTGAGGAATTTTCAACTCTTCCTGAAAGAACAGGAAGATATAAAGGCTTCTCAGAGAAGGTATTATTTAAGGTTTTTTTTTTTTTTTTTTTTAAGATGACATCTCGCTCTGTCACCCAGTCTGGAGTGCAGGGGCATGATCTCAGCTCACTGCAACCTCTGCAGTTCAAGCAATTCTCCTGCCTCAGCCTCCCGGGTGGCTGAGATTACAGGCATCTGCCACCATGCCCAACTATTTTTTGTATTTTTAGTAGAGATGGGGTTTCACCATGTTGGGCAGGCTAGTCTTGAACTCTGACCTCAGGTGATCCACCTGCTTTGGCCTCCCAAAGTGCTGGGATTACAGGCATGAGCCACAATGCCAGGCCTATTTAAGCTGATTCTTTAAAGATGAGTAGAAATGTTTTCCAGGTGAATAAAACCTTGAGACATTATTCCAAGCAGAGACCAGCAGGTGCAAAGACACAGGGATATAGAGATGTTGAAGTTTACCAAACACTGCTAGATTTAGAAAACAAAAAGGAAACAATCAAAATCAAAAATTAAAATTAAAAATCACCAAAAAAAAAAAAAACTATGAATGGGCTTGGTGAGAGGTCACGTCACAATTGAGTCAACTATGACCGTAGACACTCAGTAATTTATGGAAGTTTTAGGGAAAAACCATAACATTCTCAGGTTGTTGGCAGAGTATCTAGAACAATTTAGAAATACAGGTATTGAATTCTGAGAATAATTACACTGTAGTGAAATCATTTCCTTCTCTGCGCATGAAGCATGTATGTGTCACACATTGATCAAGGTGCTGAAAATCAGACTCTTCTCAAGGAACTCATGAGCAATCAAGGGAGATGGATGGGTGAGCAACTGATTATCATGTGACAAGTGAGGTAATAGAGATATGACTACAATGCTATCTAAAGAAGAAGAAAGGAATTATTCGTAATATATGGAGTGCTGGGGAAAGATTTCTGAAATGAAGCCGGCCAGGCATGATGTCTCACACTTGTAATACCAGCACTTTGGGAGGTGGAAGTAGGAGGATCCAGGATGATCTAGGAGTTCGAGACCAGCCTGGTCAACAGAGCAAGACCCTGCCATCTCTATATTTGAAAAATAAATAAATAAATTTTTGTTAATGAAGTTATATTTGAGCACCATACAATAATAATGAAGTGATATGGAGCGCCATACAAATATAGGACAGACTGAAGGAATATATGCAGCTTAATTTAACATTTTTTGAAATTTTATATTGCAGAAGTTGTACATATTTACTGTTGTGAAATTAGAAAGAATTGACAGGCAAGGAGGGTGGTCTACAAAGCACTCCATAGATCCACCATACTGAGACAATGCTTAATGCTTTGATGGATTTATTTATTTTATACTTTCTATGCATATGCATGTATTGTATAAATACGTATGCATGGTTAAATAGAAATGGTTCTCCTTGGTGTTCTGTTTATCCATTTATTGTTGTGAAGTAAATCCCCAAAGAGTAGGTTTGCTTTGCCTGAGGAGTCTTTTGCTACATACTGCTGTACATAATGAAAACTAAAAAAGGGGCTAACTTTTCAGCCTTGTGACCTTATGGTGATTCAAACAGAGGCTTCATCAAAGGCAGATTCAGAAATGAACTTGGTGTGTGTAGGTGGTTATGCTTGTCATTATTGTTTGTAATAGTATGATAGGGATGATTTCAGTGTCTGCCAACAGGGAACTGGTTGAGGTTAAGTAAACTGTGGTACATCCAAATGATGCATACTGTGCAGTTGAAAAGAAGAATGAGAAAGACCTCTGTACTCATGTAGAAGAACTCAGATATATTGTGCGTGTTTTTTAAAAAGAAGAAGGAATGGTATCCTATGTATGGTATGCTACTTTTTGTGTTGAGAGAGAAGAGTAGAGTAAGAATATACATGTGTATTTGCAAAGATAAATTCTGAAAAGATATATAAGAAGCCAATTAAAAGTGTTTGGCTGTGGAAGGAGAATAAGACTGTGAATGGGATTTTGCTGTATACTTTTATAGTTATATTTAAAATTTTTCTGAACTATGTATTTGTACACATGACCCTTTTAAAAATAAGTGAATGAAGGAATGAAGTAGGATTATGAGAAAGAGATAAGAAAAAAGGATCTAAGGGGCTGCCCATCTTTTTAGTACCCAGTGAATATTAATACATAACAATAGCAGGAAAAATTGGAAGAGTAGCCCCAGTAGGGTAGGGAGTCAGCTTTTCCTTTGTCTTTTCCTCAATTTCATATATTAAAAAATATATATTCTAAGAACGATAAAACAATTTGAAATAAAAATGTTTCCAGATCTCTTGAAATGAAAGGAAGATGGGGCAGCTTTATGTAGAGCACTTCCCAAAAATGGGCTGGTTTCTTTCAAGAGGCAGGGATGCTAGCCTTCATGGGATACATACGGGAGAAAAAAATAAGAAAAAGAAAAGAGATTTAAATATAAATAAATGAAAATAACACTTCTCTCTGATTATAAAGGAAATCACATTCTTTTTGTAATAATTTAGATGACAAATATTAAGAAAAATCTTTAATTTGCCACTCAAAACATTCTGGTTTGTTGCTTTTTATACTTTTTTATGCATGTAAACATTTTAAAAAGTGGAATCACAATAGATAGTCTTCTGTCACTTACTATATTTTGGGCATATTTCTGTGGCAGTAAATATATTCTGGCATCATCATTTTTAATAGCTGGATGTATATTAAGTTAATCATTGCCACCCCAGAGGTGAATTTTCTTACATATAGATTTTAATGGACTCGAGCAAGCATTTTTGGACTGAATTCATAGAAGTAGAATTTCTGGAGGGCAATAAGTTTTAGAGTCTTTAATAGAAATTTTCAAATTATCCTCCAGGAAAAGTGGCTCAGTTTATACTCCCACCAACAGGGACAGAGCTCCAGGTTCCCCCTTCCATTCATCATCTTTGCTGCCTTTGTACAGAAAATATCATTGTTTTCATGACATTTCCTTGATTTCCGGTGCTTTTGAATCTTTTTTATATACCTATTGGCCATTTTTATTTTTGTGAGAAATGCCTGTTTCTCCGTTGCCCATTTTCTGTTGAAAATCATTTGTATTTTTCTGAGTAATTTAAAAGATTTCTTTACAGGCTAAGAATACAAACCTTTTATTTGTTATTGAGGTTACAAAAACTTTCTCCCAGTAAGTAATTTATCATTTCATTTTATTTTTTCTTTTCTTTCTTCCTACCCTTCCCTTTCCTTCCCTTTCCTTTCCTTTCTTTTCTTTTCCTTTCCTATCTTTTCTTTTTTCTTTCCTTTCTTTCCTTCCTTTCCTTCCTTTCTTTCCTTTTCCTTCCTTCTTACTTTCCTTTCCTTTCTTTTTTTTCCTTCCTTCCTTCCTTCCCTCCCTCCCTCCTTCCTTCCCTCCCTCCCTCCTTCCTTCCCTCCCTCCCTTCCTTCCTTCTCCCTCCAAACCCCAAAGTCACATTTCACCAATTTTTATTTGGTCAAATTTGAAAGCATTTTAACTTAGTGATTTTAGTGTAAACAGGAGCAGGAGAGAATGTAATTATCTAGGTCTTGCTCTGTCACCCAGGCTGGAATGCAGTGCCATCATCATAGCTACTGCAGCCTTGAACTCCTGGGCAGAAGCAATTTTCCCACCTCAGCCTGCCAAGTAGCTAGGACTACAGGTGTGTGCCACCATGCCCAGCTGTTTTTTAAAATTTTTTGTGGAGATGTGAACTCACTAAGCTTCCGAGGCTTTTCTTGAACTCCTGACTTCAAGTAATCCTCCCACCTTGGCTTGTCAAAGTCCTGGGATTACAGGTGTGAGCTCCTGCTCCTGGTCAAGAATTTAGTTTTGTTTGCTAGTGGTGTTCTTGGTATCTTTTCATATTTGAGGCTTTGGTGCTAGTGCTGAAGTATTACACTCACCATCCAAGGTTCACAGGACTTTTGTTTTAATATGGAACAGATGGAACTGTTTAGTTCTGCATCTTTGCAGGTATGCAAAATGTGCCTACCAGGACTCTGCTTCATATCCATGGAAAGCAAGAAGTAATACAGTAAAACTTTGTCTGGCTAGAGGCTTTGAAGGAATGGAGTGTTCTGGTTGAATTCTATTAACTTGGAAGTATGAAGGTGAAAAAAATTCAGAACTTAAATTTCCTTTGAATGCAATTTGAAAATATAGCCAATAATTCCACTTTTCTTCTCTAGTAAGTTTGGACATTCTGATCTACTTGGTGTTTTATGATAGAACCCCTAGTGTGCCTGAGACTTACTTTGTGAAGATACTTTTTTAAAACTTTAGCTGTAAGAGGATGTAAATGACTTTGTATGAGATCAAGCTGGATGAGAACTAATACTTGTAAATATACTTTTTAGACTAAACTTCTGATTGCCAGTTGTTTTCTTATTGAATTCATAAAAATAAAACACATTGGATGGAGGGTGGGAGTAGGAAGGAGAGTTATGTGTTTTAATTGCATGTCATTGTTTCATATCAAGACAGAACATATAATATCCCTGGCTTTGGAAGTACAGAAGGAAACATATTTTTCTACCTGCTGTATGCCAGAGGTTCCTGAACACCTGGAGGGATTACTGCAGCACAGATTGCTGAGCCCTACTCCAGAGTTTCTGATTCACCAGGTCCAGGGTAGGGCCTGAGAATTTGCACTTATAAAAAGTTCTCAGGTGCTGCTGGTGCTGCCAGTCCAGAGACTACATTACTGAGATCCACTCTTGTCTACTAACTGTAAATTGTAGAACTCTAGACAAAAGCTTAGTTTGGTATGGGATAAGAAGCACAGAGGTTATGGAGCAAATCATGAAAGATTCAACCCTTGATCCTAGCCTCGTGTGAAATTCAGGTAACAAGCAGCACAAAGTGACATAACACAATTCTTGGTTTTCATGATTGCAAGTCATAGCCAAGTATCAAGTGAGAAATTCAGTTTCATTTGCAAGGCTTAGAGAAACCAGGTGATTCTAGAAAAATGGGCCTTGTATTTGTTTTAAATTGGTAAAGAGCTTTGAGTGCTTATTAAATTGAAAGCTTTTAAAATTTATTTTGTATTTTATTTCTTTTGAGATGGAGTCTGACTCTGTCACCAAGGCTGGAGTGCAGTGGCATGAGCTTGGCTCACTGCAACCTCCGTCTCCCAGGTTCAAGTGATTCTCCTGCCTCAGCCTCCCAAATAGTGGGGATTACAGGCACCCACCACCACGCCTGGCTAGTTTTTGTATTTTTAGTAGAGACGGGGTTTCACCATGTTGGCCAGGCTGGTCTCAAACTCCTGATCTCAAGTGATCCACCTGCTTTGGGCTCCCAAAGTGCGGGGATTACAGGTGTAAGCCACTGCACCCAGCCCAAAAGCTTTGTGTTTTTACAGATATTAGACATGTTTCTTTTTTAAGAAAAAAATCTTAACAATAACGTAGGAGAATAAGAGAAATGTTTTTCCAAAAAAGAGAAATCATTGGGATTATTTTATCTTATTAGAATGTTGGATAATATAGTCTGCTTCATTAATCATCAAGCATGCTATAGATTTTCCATTTTTATAGGAACTGTATCTCAGTTAAGGTAATACTGGTCATTTTTGTACTGTATTTGAAGATGAAAAATATAGACCAAAATCATAGACCTTGCATAGAAGCTGGGTAATGAAGACAGCTCTGGAGGAACACACAGATACACATACACAGACACACACACACACACACACACACACATATATAAAGTACACACACATGTATTTTTTAAAGTTTTAAAGCTTTTAAAGCAAAAGCTGGCCCCTCCCCTCTCCCAGAGTGGGCAGGGACAGTGGTTGCATGGGCAGCTTTCCTTGTGAGCCACAGGTCCCCCTGGACACACTGCTGCCTGGCCAAGCCCCCTTTCCCTTTCATCTTTCTTATTGACCAATGGGCTTGGAGTATTAAGGCCACACCCCTATTCTGCATTCTACTGGGGCCCTGGTTACGCCTCCTCTGGCTTAGTTGCACAGCTGCCTGGTAGATGACTGGAGGCGTTGATCAGTGCTCGCTGGGATTTTGCTGATGTGGCCCCAACCCTGCCTCCCTCCCCACCCTGCAATGGCAGAAGAAACTCGACAAAGCAAATTGGCCATAGCCAAGGAAAAGGTAAAAATGCACCAGATCAGGGCCCCCCAACCCGGCCACAGATCCCCTTGATGACAAGACCAGTGCCAGAGTCCATACCACTCCTGAGGCACACTGGACTGGGCCCCGCAACCCTGGTGCCTCTGGATTCCTCCACCAAAGTCTCGTCAGTCAGCCCCACCCCTTCAGCAAGCAGCCCAGTCCCTGCCCTTGCCAATCTCCCCAGGGTGACTTTGGGTGGGTGACTCCCGGGGTTTCCCACTCCATTACTGGGCCCTCACCTCCTGCTACCCCAAACTCGACCTCCCTGGGCTCTTTGGGCTCATGTCTCCAAGGACTTTGGTCCCCCAGCCCCAGGCCCCACCTTCACCAGTTGTCCCTGGGTGACTTTGGGCTGGTGACTCCTGGGGCTCCCTGCTGCAGACTCTACCCTCCCCTCCTGAAGCCTCAAGGTCAACCTCCCTGGGCTCTTTGCGCTGGCGTCTCCAAGGACCTGGGTCCCAACCCTGTGTTTCCCTCCCCCATCATGGAGCGGTGACTCAGACAATGCGCTGATGTGGTCCCTCCCCACAACCAGGAGGAGTGGAATGTAGTGATATCACAATCGGCCTAGGAACTGTCATTACTGCAATACTGGCCTTTGATCTTACAACCCAGTCCCCTAAGCATTGTCACCCTATTTCTGGTTCCTCTGGTCACAGCACAAATTTCCAGCTGGAAGAAGAATGGAGACTATGGGACCTAGGAGCAAGAGGTTTCAGGCTGCCTTACTCCCTTAACATAGACATTGACAGTGGGAAAAGCCTACACTTCCCCCATGAGCTCAAAACATTGACAATATCTCTGGGTGGCAATGAGAGAATGGGTTTGGTTTGGTTTTCTTCCAGGCTTCTACTTTCCAGACAGATTTTAACATTTTTTCTGAGTTCTCCACCTCATATTCTAATTTTCCATGGTTCTGGGACCAGACTGCCCTTCAGTCAGTGGTCTCTGAAGTGAGATTTGCTCATCTTCTGTGGAATAGATCTTGGGAAACTGAACTTGACAGCTTGAATCTTCCTCATATTATCTCAACCTGGGGTACTTTGAGTGCCACAGGATAAATGTGGGACATCTTTCTGAAGCATCAGTTTCCCTTGATTCTCTTGAGATCAAGAGAAAAAACATTAATGTACTTAGGGATGACAGTCACGTAGGTTTCTAAAAGTATACCAGATTTCTCTCTGAAATGAGGCTTGGGTTGTCCTCTTTCTGATAAACTCCCAGATTTAACAGAAAGGCTGCCTTCTGCCATGAGGACACATTGATATAAAAGTTTGAGGTACTGGTGCACTTCTTCACACTAACAGACGTGTGAGGATGTATGACTCTAAACCACACAGCAAACAGTTCCTGCCTATTTAATGTTTACTTTTCAACCTCTGCCTCTGGTTTTGGTCCCTGGTAGCTGCTGATTCTTGGCAAAACCCCAGAGTCAGAAGACTGAGTTTCAAAGTTCCAGTATCGCCTTTTTCTTTTTTTTCATAGCCATGATATCAATCCCTCTCAGTCACTAAATGATTGTGACAACACCTTATACAGTTGTTGGTGTCATTAAATCAGATGGTGTATAAGAGTATTTTGTAAAAACTAAAGAAGGATGTGGCTGTAGGGGCTGATAGTTCTCATGAGTGTTACTGCTCTTCTTTCCCACAGTTAAAAGAATATTGGCAGAGAAACAGCCTTGGTGTTCCAGCAGGAGTGAAGAGGAACAGGAAAACGAGTGGCAGTAGCCCTGAAACAGCCACTTCTGGTGGTTGCCACTCACCTGAGGATGTGAGTCTTGGCAGGCCAGGCTTCTGGGGACAGGGGGCCCAAGGCACAGTAGACGGTAATTTTTAAGATTATGGATGGACTGTTGGGTACTGGTTAAGAATTCTGGGTTTGGCCAGGCACAGTGGCTCATGCCTGTAATCCCAGCACTTTGGGAGACTGAGGCCGGTGGATCACGAGCTCAGGAAATTGAGACCATCCTGGCTAACACGGTGAAACCCTGTCTCTCCTAAAAATACAAAAAAATTAGCCAGGCTTGGTGATGGGTGCCTGTAGTCCCAGCTACTCGGGAGGCTGAGGCAGGAGAATGGTGTGAACCTGGGAGGCGGAGCTTGCAGTGAGTTGACATTGTGCCACCACACTCCAGCCTGGGAGACAAAGCGAGACTCCATCTCAGAAAAAAAAAAAAAAAGGAATTCTGGGTTTGAATCCTGCCTCTCCGTCTGCTAGGGATATGATTTAGGGCAAGTTGCTTGAGCTCTTTGGGCCTCTCTTATTACATCTGCATAATAGAGGTGGTATTGTTTGACTTCCATTTGTGAAGTTTAAATGAGATTTTTTTATTGTTGTTTTTATGTTAATCCCTAGTACATGGCCTGCTGTAAACACCCAGGACACCCAGGATATGGTCATTGCTCTTTGATTTTCCTCATCCCCAGTCTCAAGGGGAAGCCAGGACAATGAGAACAGCCACTTGCCATCAAGAGTCACTGAAAGGGCCTCAGGGTGGGATGGTGGGGGGATAAGAACCATGAGAGAAGTCGGCACAAAGGAGTTATGGGACAAAGCGTCCAAGATAGGCAGAAAAGAAAATGTAGCCAGTTGATGGGGAAGAAAGGAAGTCAGAGGGCTTAGACACTGAGGGGGACAGAACATCTCCATGTGCATTCTCATCTCTGGTAGTCAGCAACAGGTATCCACGGGGAGGGCCCTACATCATCTGCTACCCTGAAGGATCTGGAGGTAAGAGGCTCTGGGGAGAGGTGCAGTGACCCTGCAGGCCAGCCCTCCAACCTCCTCCCACAGTGGACACGGCATGCCCCTCTGCCAGCTGAGACAGCCCACACACACCCCAGCCTTAATGATTGTTCTCTCTACCTCTCCCCCACTCCTCCTCCACCTCCTCGTCTCTGCATGCACCTCAGAGCCCATGCCAAGAACTAGCAGTAGTCCTGGACCCGAGGTCCATAAAAATCAGTCAACTGAATAACACCATCAAATCTTTGGTAAGAGTCCAGTGGGGTCCCCTTATTCCACGCTGCCAATCCTGGGCTCCAGTTTCCCCTTGGGGCCCTGAGGAAAGGAGCTGGGGGCACCTGGTGCCAAGGACAAATAGGGAACTGGGGCGCCCAGGCCTCACCTAGAGGGACCCCAGAGCATGCAGTATGGCTCTTCTTTTGCTGCCCTCTTTGCCGACTCTCTCTTCTCCAGACACCCCTGGAGAGGGGTATAAACACCTTTGTTTTATCAACCCAAAGTGCCATTGATTTAAAGACACCTCTATTTGAGAAATGTTGGAAATCGTATGTCTTAGAATTGATCAAATACACCAGAATGTGAGCTGAAAAGAAAGCACCGGACTTAAAATTTAGGAAGTCACTGGTGATCTTACTTGGAGAAATCCATTTCAGTAGATTGGTAAGTGCAGCACTAGATGGCTGTGAGTTGGACAAATGGGAGGTGTGGCATTGTATGCAGCAGAGATGCATGGATGGTGTGCAGACCAGTATTGCAAAAAAATTGTGGTGATGGGAAGATGTGATAAAGCTCAAGATGTGGTACGATTTAAAGGAAGGTAATTTTTGTATGAGGACAACTTGAGCCTTTGTCAAGGCTAAGGAGAAGAAGCTGATGGAGAGACTAAAGGAGTATATGAGGCGCTGTGGAAATAGATTAGTGGAGGGGGCATAGATATGAAATTAGTCAGGGCTGGCCTTAAGTGTAACTTTTTAACTTATTAGCTGACGTTGGACATCTCACCTCTGTGAGCTCAGGAGGCTCACAATCTCCTGAGCTTTGGTCTCCTCAATTGTAAAAGTGAGTTAATCATTTCCCTACCTTATGGAACTGTTGTTTGTATTAAGTAATTTATCTACATAAAGTTCTTGGAACATTATGGTCAGGACATAGTAGATACTCAATAAATGGGGTCTACTATTATGAAGTAGATACTCAATAAATGGGATCTACTATTATGAGACTACGAGAGACAGCATAATTGATTAGCCACGTCCAGGTGGGAAGGGATGGGATCAAGCTCACAGGTTGAAGAATTCACCCTGAAAAGGAAGAGAAATCCCTCTGTGGTGGTTTGAAAAGATGTCCACAGATTCTTTGCTATCCCTTCCTTCAAAAGATAGGATCTAATTCCTCTCTTCTTGAGTGCAAGGGATGCTTAATGAATTACCTCTAAATAATAGAATGTGGTTGAAATGACAATGTTCAGCTTTTGAGAGTAAGTTGTAAAAGGCATGTGACTTACTCCATGCTTCTTCTCTTGGATCACACAATCTGGAGGAAGCCAGCTGACTTTTCACTTGAACACTCAAGCACTCTCTGGGGAGGTGCCGGGCAGTGAGGGACTGAGGCCTCCTGCCAACAGCCATGTGAGTACACCATCTTGGAAGTGAAGCCTCCACTCCTAGTCTAGCTTTCAGATGACTGCAGCCCCAGCTGATATCTTGTCTGCAACCTCATGAAAGACTCTGTACTAGAACCACTCAGCTAAGCAACCTCCAAATTCCTGACTCACAGAAACTATGAGATAACACATATTTGTTCTTTTAAGCTGCTAAGTTTTAGGGTAATTTGTTACAAAGGGTAACATATACAGATTTTCTCTGAGGCAGAAGGAAATCAGAGAATGACAGGTGAAAGATGAAAAGATAGAAAGGAAAAAAGATAAATGTTTCTGTAACATTAAAATATGAGGTATGTTGTCTGCTGACAATGAGGTGGCTTGGCAAGACTGCTAAGAGATTGGAACAGCCAGGCAGAAAACAGGAAAGGGAATTAACTTGGAACACAAATAAGATTGAGCCTACCTACCTTTATGCTAAACCCAACTACAGAAATCATTTTGCTAATGGAACCAGATCAGACTCCACATAATGAGTCTTTATCTCAATCGTGAAATTCAGAGGCTGGGGGCCTCTCTGAGCCTACCCCAGAGACCACCTTTGTGAGCAAACTGCTAATGAGTGAATTCAGGGATGAGGATGGCTCAGGCTTATCTTGAAAAGTACTCCCTGATGTCAAAATGATTTGCTACAGCTACATCAAGTCTAGCACATTATTTATGAATAGGGATAGACTACCAGAAGTATTGTAAGAGAATAATCAACAAGTCTTATGTAATCTGCAGCAAACATACTGCAGTAACAGGAAAATCCACTGTCTTTCAAATGACTCAAGTTTGCATTATTCCTTCCTGTTTGGACTGTCTCTCTCTCTCTCTCTCTCTCTCTCTCTCTCTCTCTCTCTCTCTCTCTCTCTCTCTCTCTCTCTCCTTCTCTCTCTCTCTTTCTCTCTCCCTTCCTTCCTGCCTCTCTCCACTCTGGCTGCTAGCAAGAGAGCCCTGGGAATTCTCTGTGATGTAGCCAGCCAACAGTTTTTAGGGTGGTGCTCCAGCACATAAAAGGGACCAGGCCAGGACTGCCATCTCCTAAAGTTAATTTAAAGAAACTAAGCCCTGGTTTTTGTAAACCCCACAGGTCAACCAGGAATTGAGTCACTGCATCTCCCTGCAGAATGACAAATCATGCTCTCCTTAGTAGCTTTACACCAGTTCTGTTTGCAAATTGGGGAACTGAAACATCACTGTAAAATTGGTGCCTTTTGTATCTTATACAATAGGGCTCATTCATTCATTCACCCTTTCATTCACTCAGCTGTTTATTTAGCAACTGATTATTGAGTGCCTCTTCCATGAGGGGACAGGCATGTACTAATTTTGGGAATAAAGAGATGTATATTGTGATCCTAAGGAGAAGCAAAATGTCCTGGCACATAGTAAGCACTCAATAAATATATATTGAATAAATAATAATTCCTGCTCTCTCTGGGCATCATAGTCTAGTAGGGGGAAGAGGCATGTAAACAAATAAAGTTGTTTTAGTACAATAGTAAAGGAATCGATCAAGTACTATACATGTAGAATACCATATCTACCTGGAAGTTAGGGATGATTTGATAGAAGAGGTAACATTTGCTTGATGTTGAAGAACAAATATGAGTTTTCCAGGAATGGAAAGTAGGAAAGGTCTTTGCAGGCAGACCAAAATTATTATACTCATAGGTCTTATTGTCCGCGGGATTGGTTTTGTCACTCCTGTCTAATCCTAACTTGCAAATATAAATATTTATCAATATTTCCCTGGATTTTAATTGTTTTTGTGTTTGTTTCCAAGACAGTGATAGGTGGTCAAAGTTAGATGCAAAATAACTCTACAAAAGAGATTATTTTTTACAAAGTAGATGACATTAATTCAAGAAAAAAAGTATTTTAAGTTTCTTCCTGAAAGAACCTTTTAATTTCTTGTATTTTCTAGGCCAGGTGGAAGATATTCTTCCTAAAAAATGGTCTTCAGATTACCTCTAAACCTTCCTCTTTGACACCTGGCTGAGAACCCAGAAAACACCCCCTGTTCCATAGCAGACCAGTGTTTACTGTTATTTGCCTCTTTAGAGCAGTTCAGAGGACCATCAGCTACCATACCCACTAAACGAAAATGGCAAAAGGACTTGTAATGGCCAAATGCAGCAATATAATTTGTTATTATCAATTCACTAGTGATTTGAAATATTGAGAAAATTCCCAATTGAATGACAGCATGGAAAATCACATTACATCAGGGAATAGTATTTTCTAGGCCACCAGATTTCTCTAAATTGGAATTTGGAAATAAATTTTATTTGCAGCAAGAAACATGTATTAATACTGACACTTACTAAAATGTTTTAATGAGTTAGAGCAAGCATTTTGTGTCAAGATACTACTGGTCTAACAAGGCCTGCCACTATTATTGATGCCCATTATGTACTTTTCCGTGAAGTTGTCTAACCTGTTCTATTAAACCCGTAAACTGCTTTGACAATCGTAAAAGAGACAAAAAGGAACAAAGTAAGAATGATGGGAAATAGAAAGCCAAGGCACCCAATTTTCTTCTAGTTTAATCAATAATTTGGGGCTCTATCACATTTGCTCTCAGCCTTACAGTCTGATCCTTATTTTTTGCCAGGCTGCAACCCTCACTGCATTTAATAGAGGTTGATGGATATTTTTATAGCCCTGCAGTTTCAAACTGATTATCAGGTGTTTAACCAGCAAAGCCATGCAATATTTGTATAAATCAATCCTGTAATGAAAGGTTATCACCCACAAACCCAGTCAGTGTCAAACCAGAACAAGGTAAAGATTTGGAATGCTTCCCTTTCTGGATAACACACTATTGCTTATCTTCAATTTTCTGGATAATTTAGGATTTTATTGAATATGATTCTTCAAGAACTGAACGATCATCCTAAACAAATCAAAGTCACTGTATCATCACAGAGCAGCATTTCCCACACTCTCAGTAAAACGCTGTCTACATCAAAGGGGTTCTGTGACCCAGGAGGTTTTGGAAACTCAGGATTAAACAGAGCTCCACAGGTTCCCTTGCTACAGGCATTCTCAGCTGCCTTCATAAGGCGATGTGCATTGTGAATCTCTAAGTGGAAATATGGAATGCAGTGTTTTCCAGGTCACTGGACCACAGAAGCCTTGTTTGAGAATCACCTAGTGGCCCCAGTGGCCCACAGATCATATTTTGGGAAATGTTGCTATTTGAGTATAATTGTTATTCTTGAACACCCCAAATTGTTTTGGTGTGGGATTTTTTGTTTTGCTTTGTTTTTGTTTTTGTTTTGAGACAGGGTGTCACTCTATCACCCAGGCTGGAGTGCAGTGGTGCGATCACTGCTCACCACAGCCTCGATCACCTGGGCTCTGGTGATCCTCCTGTCTCAGCCTCCCAAGTAGCTGGAACTACAGGCATGCATTACCATGCCTGGTTCATTGTTTTGTATTTTTTGTAGAGACTGGGTTTTGCCATGTTGCACAGGCTGGTCTTGAAGTCCTGAGCTCAAGCAATCCATTTGCCTGAGCCTCCCAAAGTGCTGGGGTTACCGGAGTGAGCCACTGCGCCTGGCTAGGTTTCTCATTTTTTTTTAAAGGTGAAATTCACATAACATAAAATTAACGATTTTAATGTGAACAATTCAGTGGCATGTAGTCCATTCACATTGTTGTGCATCCACCACTTCTATCTAGTATTAAAGCATTCCATCTCCCCAAAATAAAACTCTGTACCTGATGAGTAGTTAATTTCCTATTCCCTCTTTCCCCTAGCCCCTAGTAACTACCAATCAGCTTTCTATTCCTATGGGTCTACCTATTCTGCATATTTCATATAAATTTAATCAACCAGTATGTGACCTTTCATGTCTGGTTTCTTTCTAATAGCAGCATGCTTTTTAGTTTCATCTACATTGTGGCATACACCTGTGCTTCGATTCTCTTTATGGCTGCATGACGTTCCATTGTATGGATAGACCACATTTGTTTGTCCATTCACCCATTGACGGTCATTTGTTTTCACCTTTGGACCATTGTGAATAGTGCTGCTATGAAGACTCTTGTCCCAGTATTTTGTTTCCAATTTGTTTGGGGATACACCTAGGTGTGGAATTGCTGGGTTAGAGAATTCATCTTGCCACTACAATTTTGTGGCTTCCTAAGGCAAATTGAATAGTTCGTATGACTTAGCTAGCTTGAGACATCATTTTTAATACCTTTTGTTGTTGTTGTTGTTTTGTTTTGTTTTTTCAGAGATGGAGTCTCGTTCTGTCACCCAGGCTGGAGTGCAGTGGCGCAATCTCGGCTCGCTGCAAGCTCTGCCTCCCGGATTCCCGCCATTCTCCTGCCTCAGCCTCCCTAGTAGCTGGGACTACAGGCGCCCCCCACCATGCCCGGCTAATTTTTGATATTTTTAGTAGAGACAGGGTTTCACTGTGTTAGCCAGGATGGTCTCGATCTCCTGACCTCGTGATCCACCTGCCTCGGCCTCCCAAAGTGCTGGGATTACATGTGTGAGCCACCACACCCGGCCCCATTTTTAATACGTTTTTTAAAGATGCATATAAAATGCATTACCCTCTGGAAGATTCCAGTAACTTACTGAAGCAAGTTTCTCCTCTACATATACCTATTTCTGCCATGAGTAACTGTTCATTTTCAGTGAGTCATTTGAGTTTCTGTTATTCAGGTATACAGAGTTCCTGTTGTCTTTTTAGTCAACAAAGTTTAACAAAGACCATAATAAAGATGGCTTTCAGCAGCTCTGTTATTGGGAAGGGTTGTATTCATGTGAAGAAAGAAATTATTTTATTTTATTTTTAAGTTTTAGTAGAGGGGGGGTTTTGCTATGTTGGTTAGGCTGGTCTCGAACTCCCATCCTCAAGTGATCCACCTGCCTCGGTCTCTCAAAGTGCTGGGATTACGGGCATGAGCCACTGTGCCTGGACAGTAATAATATTTTTTAAAAGGCTGACATCAGCAGATCAGCTATTCTGGAAAGATTTTTAAACACTCAGAGGTTTTTTTGTGTTTGTTTGTTTTCTTTTCTTTTCTTTTTTAGAGGCAGGGTCTTGCTCTGTCGCCCAGGCTAAGGTGGAGTGGTGCAATCATAGCTCACTACAGCCTCAAACTCCTGGGCTCAAACAATCCTCACACCTTTCATACCTTAGGCCCCTGAGTAGCTGGGTGGGACTACAGGCATGCATCACCATGCTTGGCTAATTTTTAATTTTGTATAGGTGGGGTCTTGCCATTTGCCCAGGCTGGTGTCAAACTCCTCAAGTAATCCTTCTGCCTCGGCCTCCTAAAGTGCCAGGATTATAGGCCTGAGCCACTACACACAGCCCGGAGTTTTTAAAAAATACTCAATTAAAATGCTTCATTTAAGTGTATGTCTCTAAGAAAATTTAATAATTGATTAAATATTGTTGAATAGACTGAAAGCACAACATCCAAGCACATGAATTAAGCAAATAATGCAAGCATAGCTCCCACACTCCACAAATGTTTTCTAGTCATTCCAAAGCCATTCTTTTTAGAGGATCTTTAAGAAAATGCTTGGCTCTCATCCGATTATTATACAAGAGATTAAGAATTTACTGAGTTTACAGTTCTTTCTATGAAGGAAAGAATGAGGTCTACACCCAAAAGAAACATTGGGATTTTCATTTAAGTAAAGCTGTATTCTCATTTAAAATGGTACTAGTGCTCTTGTTGGCAACAGACACATGAAGCAAAATTTTCCTTTTACATTTGAATTTCAACTGCATTTAAAGTGTTATAAATACCATGACTACATAAGCTAAGGGAATGAATGTATTAACTCTGATGCAGTCTGTCAGGTTTTAACAGTAGTGAATCTTGGGATCGGTACATCTCATTCCAGTATAGCTATGGTAAATGACATAGAGATCGCTGAATTGTTGTATTTCCAGGACTTTTCAAAAGTGACTATTAAGGTTGGCTGTGGGATCTAGCAGGTTATTGTCCTAGAACACTTGTGGCCTTCTCCTAAAACAGACTGGGAAAATTCTGGTTCTTTATTCACTGACATCTCAAAGGGCAAAGAGGGAGGCACCATGACATTCTGCAGTTGCAGGCCTCTCAGGATGAGACTGTATTTTTCCATACAGCAATGTTGATTTGATCTGGCCTAATTCTCCGATTGATGTGGTGAGAGGCAGGACTACTTGGGAATGTATTCACTGTGCCTGATTTCTCTCTGGGCAATTTATTTGGTCATCAATCTTTTTATCCTCCTGACATTTGATTTCTAGATATTGGCCCAAATTCCATAAGATAGGAATTTTTGTTCTGAATTTTAATAACATATGTATTTTAATTAATAGTATATTTTAAAATAAAAGTAACACGACAAAAAGAAAAAACAAAGACAAAAAAGTAACCTAAGAATATATGCTCAAAAGTGCCAAAAATACAAAAGACTACAGAATTTTTAAAATAGAAGCTTTTTGTTCAACTTGCTGCTCTTCTTCCCACTTCTTCAATTCCATTTCTTTTCCTATAGGTGATCATGGCTAACATTTTGGTGTTTGTCTTTCCAAAGTGTATAGTTATAGATCTGAATAGAAATGTAGATACAGAGATATCAAAGATGAGCATGGGCTAAGCACTCAACAATAAACTACGTTGGGTCTATTTTTCAAAGTTACTCTCAAAACAAGAATACAGATTGTCCATTAAACATACTGGAATTTTAATACATTCTTTTTTTTCCCCCAGAACATTTCTGATTTCATATATTCTGGCATGTTTCCTGCCATGTGGCAAACCATAAGCTGAAAGAGATATAAATATAAATAACACTATGTCTAACAAAATTTGCTCAGAATATGCTAAAGCATTAGTATAAATGTCTACATCTTAAGTCAGAGCTAAAGAACAAGTTTCTCTCAGTAAATCAAGGAAAGCCAGGGGAAAAGACCATAGAGAAAAAGGATATGGGTGCCTGTATGAAGCAGGGGAGGTTTTTGACTCCAGTGCACCTAATTAGCAAATAAGTATCATTCATCTGTGCTGTGGTAAGCACTGCAGTATGCATAAATAGAAGGTGTGATACCTGCCTCCAAAGGGCTTACCATCTACTGAGAAATCCGACTAATCAGACAGGAAAGACTCAGATAATGAAGGCTTGCATAAGAGCCTGAATCTGATAAGGTAATGAACAAAAGACAGCCTCTACAGGTTTTTATAGATAGAAATGAGATGATAAAATCAAATTTAAACAATGTATCTTAACTCCCTTCCGGCCTTTCATTTCCATTCCATGAATGCTACCCTGGCTTAGGCTTTCATGACTTTGCCTATTTGCAGTGACCTTGTATTCAGCACTCTGCCATCTCTCCCACTACTTCCTCCCAAGCCATCCTGAACACAGGCCACATGTTTGATTTTCTAATCGTACACAAGGGAACGTCTCTGCTCAAAAGCCAAAAATGACTCTTCTTTGGCCACCAAATAATCTGAACTTTTTGGTGTGAAACTCAAGGCCCTGCCAGAAACAATATTAATCTCCTTCCAGACTGTCTCCCATTTCCTAATATTAACCCCTTGCTCTGTTGAAATTGAAGCCATTTTCCAAAGCCACCTCTGTGATGTCCTTATGTAATTCCCGCCCTCTTCTTGTCCTCCCCTGCAACCCTATCTCCATAGAAAAGCAGTCAGAAAAACCACCCTAGGAATTGATGCAGTAATCCAGGAGTGAGATGAGGATGGGAGGGAGAGGGTGAGCATGTGGGGATGAGGAGGAGGGTGGGACACAGGGAGTAGCCACAGACCTTAATGACTGATGGCAGATAGGGTGTGAAGGAGAGAGGTGAGTCAAAGGTAACTTATTTTCGGTTTTAGGCAACAAATACAAATCTTTCTCAATAACTACTCATCCCACATCCTTGTGGCTATTGGAGGTTGATATTTATTTCATACTGCCTGTATAACCTGGGACCATATATAATTAATGATGATTACTCTGTATTCTAGATCACGAATATATATATCTATATAAATATATACAAATATATAAATACAAATATATATATATATATATATATATTTACCTTAATGCAGGCACAACCAAATACTTTACTTTTGGAGCCAGATGTCTTTAAGATACACTCTAAAATATTATTGTGGAATTAGATACACTGCTTTCCACGTAAACCATTAATAGATACATTGAATAAGAATCTTTATTTCATTCCCAGTGTGGTTTGGAGTATAAGACTTAGGAAAGTGTCTGTGAAACCTACAGTGAGAAATTCCACTGGGTCTTGACAGCTGGAGTGAGCACTCAAATGTGCCCAGCACTTTTCTCTAGCTCCCTTCTCTGCTTGAGCTGTGGTCTGCTTTCTCCTTCTCTGTAGCTCAGATCATCTTCCTCCACTTCTCAGCCCACATGTCTAACGTGGCTGGGACCAGCTCAGAGTGTTTCAAATGTGTAGGTGCTCGGAGAGAGAGAGACCCAACCCTCTTAGACTCAGGTACACATTCTCAGGGAAGAAAACTGGAACCAGTAGAAATATCAGATCCCTATGTTCCCTGACGAGTGCTTCCTTCTCTAAGAAGAAAAACCTACTAAGAAGACAAATTACAGCTGGAAGGTTGTTTGGTAAGCGTGGAATCACCTATCTAATCTCCCAGCAAGTCTTAATTGCTCTACCATAAAAAAAAAGCAACCCAAATCCATCCTTTTCCCAGCTTCACTCCCTAGTCCAAAGCCACCATCCACCCTTGTCTAAACCTCTGCAGGACTGTCTTTGCTTATTTCTTTTCTTTTCTTTTTCTTTTTCTTTTTTTTAAGCGGAGTCTCACTCTGTCACCCAGGCTGGAGTGCAGTGGCGCGATCTCGGCTCACTGCAAGCTCTGCCTCCCGGGTTCACGCCATTCTCCTGCCTCAGCCTCCCGAGTAGCTGGGAGTACAGGCGCCCGCCACCATGCCCAGCTAATTTTTTTGTATTTTTAGTAGAGATGGGGTTTCACTGTGTTAGCCAGAATGGTCTCCATCTTCTGACCTCGTAATCCACCCACCTCAGTCTCCCAAAGTGCTGGGATTACAGGCGTGAGCCACCGCACCTGGCCCTGTCTTTTCTAATTTCTTAACTATCATTTCTATCCCCTTAGAATTGATTCTCCACTCAGCATGCAGAATTATCCCTTTGAAAATCAGATTATATTCCTACCTAAACCACCCCCAATAGCTTGTGACCTCTTAGAATCTAGATTCCTTAACATGGCCTCAAGGGCCCACGTGACCCAGCCCCTGCCTGTCTCTCTACCTCATCTCCTACTGCTCCTGCTTTTGTTCCTTCCACTCTAATCACTTGACCTCCTGACCTCAGTCATGCTAATAAACTCATGCCTCATTTAGATTTATTTTCCTAGTGGAAGAAAATGCATTGATCTGTGAACACAAATACATGGTTTATCTGTTACAGTTCTCATTGCATGTCAACAAACTGACATTCTGATGTGTACATCCATCTCTTATGAGTCTGCTTAGTGTGAATCTGCCCCCTCTGGTAGTACTGACAAGATTGTGTTTCTCAGCCCACAGAGCTAAGACACAGACTCATGAGACCCAGTCTCTGTCTATACCACTAGAGTTCTACTGCCCCTGAATGGCATTGCCTGCACAGACAGCTGGCCTTCCTCAGCAGACACACAGCCTTTGTACCATATAACTCTTCAGACTTGCTATGATGTACCAATGTCTTTCCTTGAAATGCTCTTCTGAAAATGATAAATGCTAAAACTGATTACAATGCTATTGAAAGTGGATGAGCAAGTTGATCTGCTGAGATGTGAAAACAAATTCTATTTTAATTTTTAATCTAAAATATTAGAAAGAATTTTGTTTCCTATACTTTGCTATATTTAGTAAATATACACTAATATAAGAATTTTGCTTTACTAAAACAGTAGAACCCTCAGTTAGCCAGGCAGTCATCATCTGTCACATAAAAGGTGTCCTGAGGAGGAATGGGAGTGCCTCCCCTGGGGAAGAGGCTGATGGTGGCTCTGGCTCTCAGTCAGTCGCTTTCCTTATCTTGGTATTTACTGTCATTTATCTGGGCTTAGCTAAACAGATTTATAGAGAATTAACTCTCACAAAATGGGAACATAATTTAAAAGATTTCTGCAAAGAATTGGACAGGAACTCTTGTCAAAATTGTAAGCAGAAGAAAAGAAAAAAAGAAAGGGACAGAGCCGACATTTCTCATACTTCTGGTACAAGCTCCTCATCACATTCATTGTGTTGTAAAAATAATGGTGATCTAGTAACATCTGACAAGGTCAGCCAAAATGATACATATAAGAATTTAGCTCTCCACCTAGGAGGGCTATTAGCAATAAAATTTCCATCTACTATAACTTATAATTAACTTTGACCTATATGTGTATTTCCCTTGAGATTGGCCAATGATTGATTGAAACTACCACAATTAATGACAGATAAAATAGCTTTTTTATTTTAAAATTTCTATTTTGTGGGTATTATAGAATGTATTTTATATATTAATATACATATAATTATATACTATTATAATCATATATTAATATTAACATATAATTGTGTGTGTTCAAAAATTTTTAATGGCACAATCAAAAAACTTTAAAGACCACTGGATTAAAAGATGGTATTTAGGGCCCAGCACAATGACTCAAGTCTGTAGTCTCAGCACTTTGGGAAGCTGAGGTGAGGGGATCGCTTGAGCCCAGGAGATCAAGACCAGCCATGGGCAATATGGCAAAACCCCATCTCTACAAAAAATACAAAAATTAGCCAGATGTGTTGCAACTGTAGTCCCAGCTATTCAAGAAACTGAAGTGGGAAGATCACTTGAGCCTGCAAGGTCGACGCTGCAGTGAGCCATGATTGCACCACTCCAGCCTGGGAGACAGAGCAAGGCCTTGCTTCAAAAAATAAAAATAAAAGATGACATTAAGAAGAAATCTGATCTCATTGTCTTTATTATCAAGTGATTGAAGGCTATAATCATTATTTAATAATCTTGTAGATAATGATTGTACTTGAAAGTGGGCTATTAATAACTAGATATATCTAGAGCACCAAGGTTTTACAATTGTTAGAAATTTGAGAAGCAGCACCCAGTAGTGACTTAGAGTCAGACTGCATGGCTGAATCTCTGCTTCAGTCATTGCTAACTACAACCTGGGGCAAGTTAGTTGACCTACTATGCCTGTTTCCTCACTGTAAAAGGAGAATAATATCAGTACTTTCCATATATGACTATTTTCAGGATTAAATGAGCTAATACATTTAAGAATTTAGGCCAGTGCCTGGCATTTCAGAAGTGCTCAATGAATGTTAACTAATATTAACCTGGCTTTGGTTAAATTTGAAAAAACAAACACAAAAACACAACTTTGTGTAGGTAACTTTGTTACCTACTGCCCCTTGCTGGCCAACCTGGGTCAGTACACTGCCATCTATGTGGGGAAGCTAAATAAATAAGTGCTTGGAGTAAGGAAAGATTTTCAGCGTTGAGGGTAATATCAATGCTAAACTTATGAATATTTTTGCAAAATAGTCTTGAGAAAAATCAATTGTCATGAAATTAAGTAATTAGCAAGAAGTATAGGAAGAGAAATTAAATATCTGTAACAATAATTAAATAATAAGCACATTTTAGATTCTTAAGAGCAGTTGAAAAGCAAGACATTTTAAATTGCAGTGCTCTAAAATAGGACCCTTGAGAATTTATGGTGTAATAGAATATGATTTGCCAGGAAAAGCAACTTGCTCCCTGAAATGACCAAGTATGTATTTCAAGTTCTGCCTAGATGTTTGAGGGGTGGGAGGAGGTATTATCTTCTGTAGGGAGACCCCCTGAAACTACTGCTACAGAATAAAAGATGAAATGCTCCTGGTTATTGTAAATACAAAGTTGCATGCAGGATTGTGTAAAGACAATGCCAGGTTGGGCTGCCAGAATGAGCCAACAGCGCGTGATGTGCTTCCCCCTGCAGAGAGCCTATGAACAGACGTGCAGTCAGGGAGGTTTCACATCACCAAGATTCCTATCCCAGAAAAGCAGATGTTCAGAGCTCTGGGAATGGAATGCAACGCTTGTGGAGAGCCTATAAGCAGATGCATGAGGGGCACCTGTTCATATGGATAAGATAGGGCTACAAACACCCTCATCTTGCCATGGCTCTTCTAGGCCTCTTTAGGGTTAAGGCATACTCCCTTCTGAGAATTTCTGGTCTAACCGGTTGTCTAGCTTCACGTCCTGTTTCCATGGATTGTTTGTAACCAGCTTTTGCTGCAACAGTTACTGCTGATTAATATCTTGCTAATCATAGGTTATGGACAGACTGTGTTTCTGTTTCAAGGCTCTGTTAGAAATGACTGATGTAAATTCTTATCTCTGTATACTGTACTTCTGCATATAGATGTTATGTTAAAGAATTACTTCATCTCCATGTGACTATCTCACCTCATAATCAAACGACCCTAAATCCCTCACTAACCTACCCCTGACCTCACTAAACTTAATAATAAATGCTGGTATATCCAGTGCATTGGCGGCACCACGGGACCAGAAGATGGTGACCCCCCCTGGACCCAGTTTTCACTATCTTGTGTGCGTCTATTATTTCTCGACCTGCCGATCTGCCCGTGAACAAGGAAAGAGCCCCATTGCATTGCGGGCTGCGGGGCAGATCCCACAATAATCTTCCTATTTGCAGATTGTATAATAATAATAATGCTATTGCTTATTGAGTGCTCACTACATGGCAAGGGCTTTCCATATATCACCTTTTTCCTTGTTCTTTTTTTAACATGAAAATATTCAAACATATATACATTAAAAATATAATGAACATCCATGTACATCACTACATTTAACATTTAACACTTTCTGTATTTTTTTGTTCTGAATTATCTTAAAATATAGGTATCAAATATTTCAACCCTATATATGCCAGTATACATGTCTAAAAATAGAGACATTTTTCTACCGAAGCACAATACCATTATCACACCTAATAACAATTGCCTAATATCACCTAATGCCCCAGTGAAAACTCAAATTTCTTCAGTTGTCCCCGAAATATCTTTTATATCTGGCTTATTAAACCAGAATCAACAGAGGACAAGCCATACATTTGGTTATTGTTTGTTTGTTTGTTTGTTTGTTTTTGAGATGGAGTCTTGCTCCGTTGCCAAGCTGGAGTGCAAAGGCGTGATCTTGGCTCACTGCAAATTCTGCCTCCCAGGTTCAAACAATTCTTCTGCCTCAGCCTCCCGAGTAGCTGGGACTAGAGGCATGCCACCATGCCCAGCTAATTTTTGTATTTTTAGTAGAGATGGGGTTTCACCATGTTGGCCAGGAAGGTCTCCATCTCTTGACATTGTGATCTGCCTGCCTCAGCCTCCCAAATTGCTGGGATTACAGGTGTGAACCACCACACCCAGCCACATTTTTAAAATTTCTTTTAATCTAGAGCAGCCATCCCTCAGTGCTGCTTTTTTTCTTTTTAATGACACTGACTTATTGAAGACACTGGGCCATGTGTTCAGTAGGGTGTTCCACCATTTATTCTGGGTTTTTCTGGTTGTTTTCTCCTGTTGTAATTTTATTCTTCTATCCTTGCAGTTCCTGAGACAGGAAGATAGATTTAAAGGCTTGATGATGTTGAGGTTAAAATTTTTTGGAAAGAATACTTCATAGATGATGCTGGAGCTTCATATTGCATCAAATTGGGAGATATTTAATGTCAGGCTGGGCCACTTTTATGGTGATAAGATTGTTCTGGGTTAAGGTAGGAGGGGCAAGATTTCCCTGTGTTGTAAAAATGTAACCAGCAGTAGGCCAGGCGCGGTGGCTCACGCCTGTAATCCCAGTGACAGGTGAAGCCAGCTGGGCTTCTGGGTCGGGTGGGCACTTGGAGAACTTTTCTGTCTAGCTAAAGGATTGTAAACGCACCAATCAGCACTCTGTGCCTAGCTAAAGGTTTGTAAACGCACCAATCAGCACTCTGTGTATAGCTAAAGGTTTTTAAGTGCACCAATCGGGGCTCTGTGTCTAGCTAACCAGGTAGGAGGCTTAGAGAACTTTTCTGTCTAGTTAAAGGATTGTAAATGCACCAATCAGTGCTCTGTGTCTAGCTAAAGGTTTGTAAACACACCAATCAGGGCTCTGTCAAAACAGACCAATCAGCTCTCTGTGAAATGGACCAATCAGCAGGATGTGGGTGGGGCCAAATAAGGGAATAAAAGCAGGCCACCAGAGCCAGCATGGGCAACCCACTTGGGTCCCCCTCCAGGCTGTGGAAGCTTTGTTCTTTTACTCTTTGCACTAAATCTTGCTGCTGCTCACTCTTTGGGTCCGCACCGCCTTTATGAGCTGTAACACTCACCACGAAGGTCTGCAGCTTCACTCCTGAAGCCAGCGAGACCATGAACCCACAGGAAGGAACAACTCCAGACGGGAGGAACGAACAATTCTGGACGGGAGGAACGAACAACTCCGGATGGGAGGAATGAACAACTCTGGACGTGCCACCTTTATGAACTGTAACACTCACCATGAAGGTCTGCAGCTTCACTCTTGAAGTCAGCAAGACCACAAACCCACCAGAAGGAATGAACAACTCCAGATGCACCGCCTTTAAGAGCCGTAACACTCAACCGCGAGGGTCTGCAGCTTCACTCCTGAAGCCAGCGAGACCATGAACCCACAGGAAGGAACAACTCCAGACAGGAGGAACGAACAATTCTGGACGGGAGGAACAAACAACTCCGGATGGGAGGAATGAACAACTCTGGACGAGCCACCTTTATGAACTGTAACACTCACCATGAAGGTCTGCAGCTTCATTCCTGAAGTCAGCAAGACCACAAACCCACCAGAAGGAATGAACAACTCCAGATGCACCGCCTTTAAGAGCCGTAACACTCACCGCGAGGGTCTGCAGCTTCACTCCTGAAGTCAGTGAGACCACAAACCCACCAGAAGGAAGAAACTCCAGACACATCTGAACATCTGAAGGAACGAACTCCGGACACACCATCATTAAGAACTGTAACACTCACCGCGAGGGTCAGCGGCTTCATTCTTTAAGTCAGTGAAACCAAGAACCCACAATTCCGGACACACCAGCACTTTGGGAGGCCGAGGCGGGCAGATCACGAGGTCAGGAGATCAAGACCATCCTGGCCAACATGGTGAAACCCCGTCTCTACTAAAAATACAAAAAATTAGCCAGGCATGGTGGCGGGTGCCTGTAGTCCCAGCTACTCAGGAAGCTGAGGCAGGAGAATGGTGTGAACCCGGGAGGCGGAGCTTGCAGTGAGCCGACATCACACCACTGCACTTCAGCCTGGGCGACGGAGTGAGACTCTGTCTCAAAAAAATAAAAATAAAATAAATAAATTGTAACCAGCAGTAATCCTCAGGGAGTAATTTGGCATCAAGTGAATATCCTGTTCCCTATCACCTTTTCACCAAATGATATCACTGATGATCCTGGCATGAATCAATTATAAAATTCCATTATTCATTTAGGATGACTTAGTTGGCATACTTTTGTAAAGAGAACTGTTTCCTCATCAACTGATGCTCGTCATCAGCTGTATTTCAGTTACCCCGAAATACAGCTGCTACTAGAAAGGCGGAATACCTGTTTGTTTTCTTAAATTATCACTTTGCAGAGTAAAGTTGGTGTAATAGTCACCACCAATAGTGTGGCAAATGAAGTTATAGTTTTTTTTTTAATTTGGATTACTCTTTGGGGGGAATGGCTTTTTTATGTTTAAAGTTTCCAATCATTTTTCAGTTTGCAGTCATTGTTATTTTTGATTCTCAAATTGTTCTAATTTTGGCCAGTGGGCAACTTCAGGCTGGTTCCCATGTCCTTTTAGAAGGACCTCGTTCGTCTTGAGAGGCGTCCTGAGCTTCTGACACAAGATGTTCCAAGTTGTCCTCATTCACTCCTAGCTCCTGACCTGGCATCAGTCATTTCTCGAAGGATCACTTGGTACCTTTTAGTGGGGGGTGGTATTTAGAGATTAATAGCTGGGTGTCAAGGATAGACAATGTTCCTATGCCCTTATGTTCATTCAAAAGTTAACAATATAGGTTTTAAAAAATACACCCAGGATGTGTGTGTGTGTGGGAGGGGGTAACCAAAACACAATATAGGGGTTTCTACTGTGACCCTAACTTATATTATGATCCCGATTTTTAAAAAGAGGAAACGGAGACCAGAGGTGCCCAAAGTTACTTGGCTAGTAAATGGCAGCGTCGGGATTTAAGCCCAGGCATGTAACTTCCATGTAACAGGGAAGGGAGTCCCAAGCATTCAGAGGGGCCGCTCCAGCAGGCGACGGGTCCGTGGAAAGGGGTCAGATTGATGACCAGTGCTGGGGGTGCCGGAACCAGCAGAAAGGGTGAACGGACCCGTCCTGCCCGACTCCTCTAGGCCAGGAAGGCAGGACCCGGCGAGCTGCCGGATGAGGGAGCCGTTGATGGAGTCGCCTGGGCCGCTGTTTCGCCTCAGATCTGACCAGAACTTCCTAAGGCACAGAAAGTACCAAAGAACCACACACAAGCACCCCAGAGCGAAGAAACCAGTCACGCGCCACGACCTTCAGCCAGTGTCCATGGGACCCGACCCGCCTGTGAGGAGTGCCTGTCCACCCCTCAATCAGAGGAAGCCTTGAGCAAGGAGGGGCGGGACATCAGTAGGTCGTGTCCAATGAGGAGCCAGCGCCGGATTGCTTCAGGACAGACTATTTCTGAGTCTCGGCGGAAGGCGGAGGGAAGGCCGTGGGGATGGCCAATCAAAGGGGGCGACTCAGGTCGGTGGGGACCGGCAGCCAATCAGGAGAGCGCTCGCTCCTGACTCGACCGGCCCACGCTTCCCGCCAGTCCCCTAACCCTGAGGCTGCCGCGCGGCGGTCACTGCGCCGGGGTAGTGGGCCCCAGTGTTGCGCTCTCTGGCCGTTCCTTACACTCTGCTTCAGGCTCCAGTGCAGGGGCGTAGTGGGATATGGCCAACTCGGGCTGCAAGGACGTCACGGGTCCAGATGAGGAGAGTTTTCTGTACTTTGCCTACGGCAGCAACCTGCTGACAGAGAGGATCCACCTCCGAAACCCCTCGGCGGCGTTCTTCTGTGTGGCCCGCCTGCAGGTGAGTGCCCCCTCCCGCGCTACCCACGCCGGGGCCGGGATGCCCAGAAGGCGCTTCCTCGGGGGCACACGTGGCCGATCGGGCCAGGAATGCAGTTCTTCTTGATGAGGGTACTAGGACGCGGCTTCCGCCTCCTGGGCGGGTCCACCTCCTCCGCTGCGCCCACTGCCCGGCCCTGCCCGGGCCACGGTGCCCTCTCGGGCTGCCTGGAGCTTTCCCCCTCCTGGCCTTTGCACCGGCTGCTCGGTCTGCACCGATTTGGCCTCTCGTCCACTAACTTAACAGATTGCATACAGTTGGTACTTCTGGAGAGTCTTCTCTGACCCGTGTCTGGGAATTGGTTGCCTTCTGTTCTGTACATAACCTTTGTTACAGCACTTCTCACCTGGCATTGTGAAAATCCGTTTACCTGCCTTTCGCTCCTCATCTAAGAGGTCCTGAAAGCTGGGACCATGTCTTATTTGTAATAATGCTGTGTTCAGTTAGGTCAAGGGGCTGCATGAACTATAACCAGTGTTGGTAAATCATTGCTCTTCAGCCCAGTCCATTCATTCATTTAGTACATATTCTTCCGGCACTTAACACTAAGGGTATAAACATGATTGAGTAAAGTGGCTGTTTCGAGGAACTCTCAGTCTGTAGGACAGAGGTGCAATAGATTATGTTCAAAACCTTTTTGACAGCGTCGAATGAGACAAACATGATCTCTGCTAACATCGTGAGTTCTTAGTTGCAAGCAACAGAAACTGGCTGATTTAAGCAAAAAAAAAAAAAAAAAAAAAAAAAAGAATGTGTTGAAAGGCTATTGGAGAGCTCACAGAATGACCAGGAAGGCAGGAGTACAAAGCTGACAAAACGGACAAGCATAAAGGGAGGCACAGCAACTGTAATACAGTGGGCATCACACAACAGAACCAGCCCACGGAGCCTCTTCCACGCCACTGCTGAACTTGGTAAACGTGGATGCTGTATTGTCCACCACCCCCTGCCCTGGACACTGCCTGCCTCTGTACATCCCTGCAGTTCCTGAAACCCAAATGTGTCAGCCTCTCTGGAGTCCCTGCTGTCTTGGGCACTAGCTTCTAATTGAAAGCCCCAGAATGTCCCGATTGGCTAAGTTTTGGCCACGTACCCATGCCGTGATTTTAAGCAAAACTGAGAGAACCAGCTTCTGGCCTTTGAAGCCTCAAAAATGGGAGTCAGGCTCTGATACTCCCTATTCCCAAACTCGTAAGGTAGGGAATTTCCCAACTGTAGGAAGGGAGTCCAAATGCTTACAGTCAGGGCAAGGGGAAGAGATATTAAACAAGGGATTATTCAGTTACAGGTATATGGTCCATCTTAAAAAGGAGGCATGCAAAGTGCAATGGGGCGTATGACCAGGGTACCTGACCTAACCAGGATGCTCAGGAAAGCCCTGCCTGAAAATGTGACTTTTAAGTTGAGACCTGAATGATTGTAGAGGTGGGGAGCACACAAAACAGGGAACAGCATCTTCTGCAAAGGACCTGAAGAAAGAGGAAGCTGGATCTTTCAGTCAGTGTGGCTGGAGTTTAGTAAGGGGAATGTGGCATGAAGACTGGAGATATGTGGAAGGGCCACATCTTCCAGGACCACAGAAGCCAAATAAGACACACTGCAGAACTAAAGCACATGAAAGATAGATTTCTATCTCCAAAAGCCCATTCTGGTCACATGGAAAATAGATTTGAAGGAGGGAAGAGTGAATGTGGAGAGTTCAAGAAGTTTTTGCAGCAATTTATGCCAAAGATAATGAATGGCATCTTGAACTAGGGTGGTGGCAGGGCAGGGTGGATGGATTTGAGAACTAATTTGGAGATAACATTGTTAAAGCATAGTGATTGAGTGTGAAGAGAATACCAAAGATGACTCAGGTTTTTGGCACCAGGTAGATGCAGGTGATGTTTGCAGAGAAAAGAGGAAAATCCGGCTTGGGAGGAGAAAATTTTAAGTTCAGTTTGAACATTTTGAATTTGAAATGCTTGCTAAACAGTCAAGTGAACAGAATAATATTAGCAAACATTTATTAAGTACTTACTGTGTGCTAGGCCCTGTTCTAAGCACTTCTGAAGCTCAGAAGAGAGATCTGGTCTGGGTTTAAAGATGATCAGAATATTTGAAGCCATTGGAGGGGATGAGAATGTCTTGAGCAAATTGCCAAATGAATAGAGAAAATGGCCTAGACCATGGGTGTCCAACCTTTTGGCTTCCTTGGGCCACACTGGAAGAAGAAAAATTGTCTTGGGCCACACATAAAATACACTAAAACTAATGATAGCTGATGAGCTAAAACAAAAACAAAAACAAAAAAAAGGCCCATGCATAATTTTTGTGATGTCCGCCACCACAGGTAAGCAAAAAAGTTCTTGCATCCAAAGGGTTGGACACCCATGGCCTAGACTGAGCCTTGAGCAACTCCAACATTTAAAAATCAGGTAATGGAGGAGGAGTTGGCAAAGGGGATTGAGATCAAGGAACAGCCTGAAAATCAGGAAAGAGGCAGATCAGGAGAAGGTGGTTACCTATGTTCCGCTGAGAAGTGGAACAAGATGAGGAATGAAAATAGTTTATTGGATTTAGCAATACACAACCAGTTAGTGTGAATTGTAACTTTTATCACATCTCCTGGTGTCCTGCCAGGGACATGTGGTCCTAGAAGAACATCTCTTATGCTGAATAAAGGTACTGGTCACTCCAACCACCCCAATTCCTGAGATGTCTGACAAGTTTTTCTAGAAAATATAAGTGACAGGGATAAAATATAAACCTGAAAAGGATCCTAGAATTATCGTTTAGTTCAACTTTTTAAATTTATCTATAAGGAAACTAAGCTCTGGAAAGATGGAAAGAAATCTTCCTAGACCAAATAAGCCACATAAGGATTCTGTATTTTATTTGTTTTGTTTTTGTTTATTTTTTAGTTTGTTTTTTCATGTAAGGATTTTTAATCTTCCCCAGGACTCTATCCCCTGATTGCCCACCTCTGTGAGGAAAGAAGTTAAACTAGAAACCTAATTTCATTACTTATTAGTTCCAAGACCTTAGGAAGATTGCTTAATCTTTCTAACCCACAGTGTTTATTGCTGTAAAATGGGTATAAGAAAGTTGTTAGCAAAATAAAACGGAATGGTCCATAATTATATATTAGCCAATAGCACTGTGTACAAAATGATCCACCCGCCACGGCCTCCCAGAATGTTGGGATTACAGACGTAAGCCCCTGCACCTGGCCCCCAAAACACACTCTTTTATCCATGTCTTTGGGCATGCTCGTCCCCTGCTTAAATGGCCTTCCCATTTGCAGTTAGTGTTAGGTGCTCTTATGATTATTGTAGATAAATTAGTATAATTCGTGAGTATTAGTGTTCATAAGTACACAAATCATTCATCCTCAAATGCCAGGTCCCTCAGGGCAAATTTGGTGATATATGTTGGTAGGATACTCTACAGACATAAAAGGAGAGAGAATATTATAACCCACATGTAGCCATCACCCAGCTTGTCTCTAAGTAAAAATTTATGTGTATGTAAGAAGACTGGGAAGTAATTTGCAAAAATGAAAACAATTGTGTTCAGGCATTGGGGTTATGGGATTTTTTTTCCTTAAACTTTTTGTTTTTGTTAAGATGTCTATACATATTCAGTGTATGTTTCATTTTTAAAGAAAAATATTTAAAAAACGTAATCCTTGGGATCTGGGTCCTGTCTGTTTAACTTTATATTTTCCACAGCTTCTTATGCATAGAAGGAACTCAGTTTATTGACTGTTTTAATTGCATGGAGTTCAAGGTAAATCCTTTTTATTTTGATGAGGGAAATTTGGATTCAAGTGGATATTGATCATATCACTTTGATTTCCTTTGTAGGATTTTAAGCTTGACTTTGGCAATTCCCAAGGCAAAACAAGTCAAACTTGGCATGGAGGGATAGCCACCATTTTTCAGAGTCCTGGCGATGAAGTGTGGGGAGTAGTATGGAAAATGAACAAAAGCAATTTAAATTCTCTGGATGAGTAGGTGGCTTCTAATTATAAGTTAAACAGTAATTAATTCAGAAAGCAGATTGTATGTGAGGATGTGTACCTGTGTGTTAGTTTTTCAAAACCACATACTACAGACATATTCATTATACTTTTAGAGTCAACATAAAAGGCATGATAATGTGAGTTTGCTAAAAGGTCTAGAAAGGCTATATTTTCTGATAAAGATTTGGGGGGATGTTTGTAATCTCTTATGTAAAAGATGGAAGCCCTTATTTTTCATTCTATTGTCTTTCATAATTTTTCTTTATAGTTTCATACTGTGAAAAGGCATGAAGATTTCTGTAATTGTTACATATTTTTGTTGATTTTGAAAGTACTTGAATTCAGTTTTTAAAGAACAATTATTTAAGATGGCAGGTGAATCAGTAAATAAGTAATACTTTGTAAAAGCATCTGAGGACATGTTAGAAATGCTTTGATACTTTTTATGACTAGAGCTCTCAGAGTTGTGTGGCAGAGCATTTCATACAAAGAAAAGTTGCAGAAAAGAGTAGGCCTTGAGAAGAGAGGGTTATCTGACATGCTCGATACTTTACCTCACTTGTGAAGGAGAAAGAGCCATCCTCTCTACCTTTGTTCTAGGTGGATATTCTCTTGCTGTCAGAACACCATCCATTTTTGTAGCCCAAAGAACAATGTTTCCATAGTATAAAGTTGAAAAAAAAAACAAACTATATTGAAGCCTCTTTAAAGACAAGATAAATACAGAGAGTTATGTTAGGAGTATAACAAGTAATATTATGTCTCAGGCCTTCTAATTGAAATGCTAAGCTAAGCTTACTTTTTTTTTTTTGTAACGGAGTCTCGCTCTTGTTGCCCAGGCTAGAGTGCAATGGCGTGATCTCGGCTCACCCCAACCTCTGCCTCCCGGGTTCCAGTGATTCTCCCGCCTCAGCCTCCCGAGTAGCTGGGATTACAGGCATGCACCACCATGTCGGACTAATTTTTTGTGTGTTTTTTTTTTAGTAGAGACAAGGTTTCTCCATGTTGGTCAGGCTGGCCTCGAACTCCTGACCTCAGATGATCCACCCACCTCGGCCTCCCAAAGTGCTAGGATTACAGGTGTGAGCCACTGCACCCGGCCTTTTTTTTTTTCTTTTTGAGATGGAGTCTTGCTGTCTCCCAGCCTGGATTGCCACAGTGCAATCTCGGCTCACTGCAACCTCCACCTCCCGGGTTCAAGTGATTCTCTAGCCTCAGCCTATTGAGTAGCTGGGACTATAGGCGCCCACCACCACGCCCGGCTAATTTTTGTATTTTAGTGGAGATGGCGTTTCACCATGTTGGCCAGGCTGGTCTTGAACTCCTGACCTCAAGTGATCCACCTCAGCCTCCCAAAGTGCTGGGATTACAGATGTGAGCCACCGTACCCAGCCTAAATGCTAAGCTTACTTTTGATGTGGTAAATTTATATATTCTCTATCCCAAATACATAGGGAGCAAGTATGTTCAGATGTAGTTAAATGTTTAATCCCATACACCATCTTGACTATTATAAAAAGACCTTACCCAGTGAGCTAAATTGGCTAGGTCAAATGTGGTTAAAATTTGGCTGTTCTGGTTTCAGGCAAGAAGGGGTTAAAAGTGGAATGTATGTTGTAATAGAAGTTAAAGTTGCAACTCAAGAAGGAAAAGAAATAACCTGTCGAAGTTATCTGATGACAAATTACGAAAGTGCTCCCCCATCCCCACAGTATAAAAAGGTAAGCTATTTACAGACTGGTGGTGATTACTTTTTAAATTTCACTGAGAGAAACTAAAGAATATATTGTTTTTAAAAGACTTTAGGCCCAACGTGGTGGCTCATGCCTGTAATGCCACCACTTTGGAAGGCTGGGGCGGGCAGATCACCTGAAGTTAGGAGTTTGAGACCAGCCTAGCCAACGTGGTGAAACCTCATCTCTACTAAAAATACAAAACTAGGAGGCCGTGGTGGCGAGCACCTGTAATCCCAGCTACTTGGAAGGCTGAGGCATAAGAATTGCTTGAACCCAGGAGGTGGAGGTTGCAGTGAGCTGAGATCAGGCCACCACACTCCAGCCTGGGTGATAGTGAGACACTCTCAAAAAAATTTCTAAAAAAGAAATAAAAGGTTTTGTATGTTTTAAATTCCATGTAAACATTTATTTTAATAAAAATGTTTTTAAATATAAAAATGATAGTTATTTACCTAATGTACAGATTCAAAAATATTATGTGTAATGATAGAATTATGTTTTTAAAACTATTTATTAAAAAAATTTTTAGAAATATATGTGAGTCAGAATTCTAGACATGTATTTTCTCCCTTTCTTTTTTTCTTTCTCTCTTTCTTTCTTTCTTTTGCCTGGCAATAAATTTTTGCTTCATTTTTATGATGTAGACATGTATTAAAGTAGGAAAGAATATTTATGAGTGTATTTTAATAGATTTAGTCTCTCTCTCTTTCTCTTTCTATATATATATACATATATGTATATATATGTATATGTGTGTGTGTATCTATATATATATATATATGCTTTTGTAATGTTTTTCTCCCCGTAACACAGTATTTTATGAATACCAAGATTCATTTTTATAGGGGAAAAAAACATACTTTCTACTGCTGAAATGTTTTTCATCCCTAGGTGGAGAAAGAAACGTCACACTGCCTTTCAGAATCAGGGAAATCACCCTTGCAAGCACAAGACAAGAATGTGGGATAGAGACCCCAAAATTCCTGTTCAGAACCTAAGCTTAGCTCTCTGTTGGCAGGCCCAATCAGGTCATGGCACCTGTAATAGGTAATCTGGTTCCTAGGCCTCGTTTGGAATTTTTTAGTATGAAACCTAGAGAAATTAGCCTGGTATAGATTATGAAAGTACCGCTAAACACAGTTGCCATTTATTCCCCCATGTCCAATTCAGAGCAAGGGTAACCTCTGGCGTTGTAACCGAAACTGCTCTCTGTAAACTTTAAATTTTTTTTGAAGAATGGTATTTTTTTTCTTAAAAGGTCATATAAATTTTATATAGATATGTTTGTCTTAATATTAAAATATTTAAAATCATATATTGAGAAAGTTGATATTCCATGAGGATGCTTCATTTGGCTTTGAAAACTCCATACACATTCATGCTCAGTGTGAGAGGAATGATGGTATTCTATTTTATATAATTGTTTATTCTAGAGTTATCTGAAAGCTAATACTTCATACTTTGAGAAGGCAAATAAAGCTGTGGTATGGTACGTTAAATTATATTCCTAACTGAAAGGGTTTTTTTGTCTGTTTGTTTTAACCATTTCCAGATTATTTGCATGGGTGCAAAAGAAAATGGTTTGCCGCTGGAGTATCAAGAGAAGTTAAAAGCAATAGAACCAAATGACTATACAGGAAAGGTCTCAGAAGAAATTGAAGACATCATCAAAAAGGGGGAAACACAAACTCTTTAGAACATAACAGAATATATCTAAGGGTATTCTATGTGCTAATATAAAATATTTTTAACACTTGAGAACAGGGATCTGGGGGATCTCCACGTTTGATCCATTTTCAGCAGTGCTCTGAAGGAGTATCTTACTTGGGTGATTCCTTGTTTTTAGACTATAAAAAGAAACTGGGATAGGAGTTAGACAATTTAAAAGGGGTGTATGAGGGCCTGAAATATGTGACAAATGAATGTGAGTACCCCTTCTGTGAACACTGAAAGCTATTCTCTTGAATTGATCTTAAGTGTCTCCTTGCTCTGGTAAAAGATAGATTTGTAGCTCACTTGATGATGGTGCTGGTGAATTGCTCTGCTCTGTCTGAGATTTTTAAAAATCAGCTTAATGAGAGTAATCTGCAGACAATTGATAATAACATTTTGAAAATTGGAAAGATGGTATACTGTTTTTAGAGGAATAAACGTATTTGTGGTTTAACCTGTTGTCTCTACTAAAGTACTTCATTTCATTATGTTGTTAAATCATCACACATGCTGGGTCTGCTCTTGGCCATGCAGCATCTGTAGTGGAGTGGTATTGTACAGACTCTGGAGCCAAATAGCCAAGGATCAATTGTCTGTGCCACCATTTCTCACTGTGAGACTTTGGGTTCGTTTATTCTCTGTGTCTCAGTTTCCTCACATATAAAGTGAGGATAATCAAAACATCTACATCTTAGGATTATTTTGAGGATTAAATGAGTATATGTGTGTGTGTGTGTGTGTGTGTGTGTGTGTGTGTGTATAAAATAAGCTTAGGATAGCCGGGCGCGGTGGCTCACGCCTGTAATCCCAGCACTTTGGGAGGCCGAGGCGGGCGGATCACGAGGTCAGGAGATCGAGACCATCCTGGCTAACACGGTGAAACCCCGTCTCTACTAAAAATACAAAAAATTAGCCGGGCGTGGTGGCGGGCGCCTGTAGTCCCAGCTACTCGGGAGGCTGAGGCAGGAGAATGGCGTGAACCCAGGAGGCGGAGCTTGCAGTGAGCCGAGATCGCGCCACTGCACTCCAGCCTGGGCGACAGAGCGAGACTCTGTCTCAAAAAAAAAAAAAAAAAAAAAAAAAAAAAAAAAAATAAGCTTAGGATAGAAAGTGGCATATGGTAAGTATTAGCAATTCTTATTTTATTGAAGAATTAAATTTGTCCAGGGCCATCCTTGGATTTTAAAGTGAGAGAGTCAGTACTATGAAGTGAAAAGTGTGGGGAGGCAGAGGCACTTGACTTTTTGAGAAATGGTGACCTTAAATTTATTTACTGAATAAATGAAGGAAACAAGAGTCATGCATATTAGTTATCAAAAATTCTCTTAATGTCTCTGTGGAATGCAGTGAGCTGTGCCTTCTGAACTGGAATGCGGCTGATCTAGTTGCAGGAGTATAAAATAAAAATGTGTTCTCTTGTGAAAAATGTAAAAGGAGTTTTCAGGCTACAGGTGCAATTCTGTAGTGAGGCTATCATAGGCTACATGTTAGACCATATTTCATAGCTGTCACACCTCACTATTTCCCATATATCCGCTCCCATATTCTAATTTCCTCCTTGTTCTTAATTCCTCCCAAGAAAACCAAGTTTGTCAGTGAGCAAGAACCCACTTATAAGGCTTATAGTAGTATAGTGAGCAAGGCTCAGTTTTGCTGTAGATACTACGAATTGAATATTATTCTAATAATCTCTCACATAAAATGACAACTTTAGTTAAAGAATTCAAAATGCTAACAATAAAAACCTTCATGTCTGCCTTTTAAGAAAAATCTGGGGCTGGGCACGGTGGCGTACACCTGTAATCCAGCACTCTGGGAGGCAGAGGTGGGAGGATCACTTGAGGATAGGAGCTCAAGACCAGCCTGGGAAACACAGCAAAAACCCGTCTCTACAAAAAAGTTAAAAAATTAGGTATGGTGGCACGTACTTGTAGTCCCAGCTACTCAGGAAGCTGAGGTGGGAGGATCACTTGAGCCTAGGAGTTCGAGGCTGCAGCAAGCTATGATTGTGCCACTGGTTTCCAGCCTGGGCAACAGAGCGAGACCCTGTCTAAAAAAAAAAAAAAATAGAAGAAAGAAAAGCCTGATAGTCATGAGAAATACTGGTGTTTTTTTTTTTAATTGTATTCAAGGTAATATTTAAAATGCAAATGTTATATGTAAGAGGTTTCCCTTTCTACCAGTGATTTTGGCCCTCTAACCACAATACTGACAGATCCTGTATAAACTATAACAAATAGTTTTTGAAAACCACCTCTGGACTTGCAAGAAAATAAGGAAAATCTTCAAGGTGTACCAACTCCTCCTCCACAAAAAGAAGAAAGATGAACTGTGAGCTGAAAGGACAAAGAGTACTGGTAAACAAATGATCCTGATGTTCTTGGGCACAAACGCCAATAATAGCTCTAGAATTGGACTACTAACACTGGAGCACCCTTGCTGCAGGACAGGAAAACTGAACCTGAGAATTCTGTATGAAGCCAGGACCCTTAAAGAGAACTAAAATGGTCCCCAGTTGGTAGCCCCAGTGGCTCCCGGCAGAAGCAGAAGCAAATCCTCTCTGGAGAAAGCTTAAATTTAGGTTCTCAGGACTTCCCTTAAAAATGTAAAAGATAAAAAGGAAAATGATACATCATGAATGAGAGCAGAAAAAACTGATTTGTTAAGAAAAAACACATTTAGATCCCCAAGGTTTTAAGATATCGAAACTATCGGCCGGGCGCAGTGGCTCATGCCTGTAATCCCAGCACTTTGGGAGGCTGAGGCGGGCGGATCATGAGGTCAGGAGATCAAGACCATGCTGGCTAACACAGTGAAACCCCGTCTCTACTAAAAAAATACCAAAAAAATTAGCCGGGCATGATGGCGGGTGGCTGTAGTCCCAGCTACTCAGGAGGCTGAGGCAGGAGAATGGCGTGAACCTGGGAGGCGGAGCTTGCAGTGAGCCGAGTTCGTGCCACTGCACTCTAGCCTGGACGACAGAGCGAGACTCCGTCTCAAAAAAAAAAAGATATTGAAACTATTTAAAACAATATGAAATAAGTATGTGTGGAGACCGGCTTCTGTGAAGATGGAATCGGTGTGATTTTCCCTATTCCTCTAGTTAAGAGCAACTAAAAATCTTTGAACATTATACATAAAACAAAGAGAAGAAGACTCTGAAAGGTGGAGAAAGGACAGACTATTCAGGGATCTCAGGACCCAAGGTACAACATGATGCTGAATTCTCCATTTTCTTTTGCTTCATACATCTCGTACTTGCAGCTTAAGAAATCAGCAACTTGAAAGCACCAGTGAGCACAGACACACACACACGCACACCCCAAAAGAAAAGCCTGCTCTCGTCAAAGAACCAAGAAAAGGACAGCCTAGTATGACAAAGATTTTAGAGAATAATCAGTCTATCCCAGTTATACCACAGAAAAAATTGTGGATGCCAGTCTCCACTCATGCCAGCAAAGGTCAAGAGGAGAGCCTAGACTTCCACATTTGCCAGGCTGTAATGAGGAACCCTAACCTCACCACCACCAGGTAGGGTCAGAAAAAGCTAAGTAGGGAGCCTCCTGGCAATAACAAGACTCCTTCCCTCAAGGTGTTGGTGGAAACCATGTGGGGAGCCTGGACTTACACCCCCATCTGGCAGTAATAGTGCCCCTGGCCCTTCCTGCTGGGTTGGGATCAAAGTCCAAGTAAAGAGTCAGGACTTTCACTACCTCTCAGTGGTAACTAAGCCACTCTTTTTGTGGTGTTGGTGGAGGTCACATGGGAAGCAGTAACAAAGCATTCCCACTCCCAGCCAAGAAGGTATCATTAGAGAACTAATGGGCAATTGAAACTCCCAGCCCTCCCACCCCTACTGTTACTCCTCAGTAACAAGGTGCATTCCACCCACCCCGCCCACTTTGGTGACAAGAGAAACTGAGTGGGAAACCTGAACTTCTACCCCCACCTGGCAGTATTGAAGAAGTGCCCCTCACTTTCTCTTACTGAAGTGGTTTCAGAGTAAGCCAGCTAAAATAGTAAATTTAAATAAGATGTAGAATCTCTTAACAATCTCCAAAATGCCCAGGTTTCAAATGAAAAATCACTCATTCCAAGAACCAGAAAGATCTCAAATTAAATGGAAAAAGACAATCCATAGATGCCAAAACTAAGATAACATTAGAATTATCTGACAAAGATTTTAAAGCAGCCATCATAAAAATATTTTAGTGAGCAATGAGGAACATGCTTGAAACAAATGAAAATATAGAAAGTCTTGGCAAAGAAATAGAAGACATAAAGAAGAACCAAATGGAAATTTTAGAACTGAAAAAATATAATAACTGAAACTACAGACTCAACAGATGGGCTCAACAACAAAATGGTGGGGGCAGAGGGAAGAATCAGGGAACTGGAAAGATAGAACAACAGAAATTATCCAATTTGAACAATAGACATAAAATATACTTGAGGGAAAATAAAACTATGAGAGCCTCAGGGACTTGTGGGACTATACTAGAAGATCTAATGCTTGTATCATGGGAGCCTCAGCAGACGAGAAAGAGCAGGCTGAGAAAGTACCCAAATAAATGACTAAAATGTCTCTCAAGTTTGGCAAAAGACATAAACCTACAGATTCAGGAAGTGGAGTGAACCCCTAACATGAAGAAATTCACACCAAGTCACATCATAGTTAAACTTCTGAAAACTAAAGACAGAAAAATTCTTAAGAACAGCAAGAAATGACACCTTATCTATAGGGAAAAAGCTATTCGAATGACACCAGATTTCTCATCACAAACCATGGTAGTCCAAAGGAAAGGGCACATTTTTCAAGTGCTGAAAGAAAAGAACCATCAACTCAGAATCCAGTGAAAACAGCCTTTGAGAATGGAGAAATCAAGACATTCTCAGATGAGGGAAAACTAATAAAATTTGTTGCCAGAAACTTTCCCTAAAAAGAATGGCTGAAGGGAGTTCTCTAAACAGAGAGAAAATAATAAATATAGGAACACTGGAACATCAGAAAGGAAAAAATGATCACTGTGAGCAAAAATATGGGTAAATACAATACACTTTACTTCTCTTGAGTTTCTTTAAATGTTTGTTGAAGCAGAAATTATAACACTAATGGTTCTAAATATATGTAGAGGTAATATTTTAAATGATTATAAATGGGGAGAGCTAAGGGAAATAAGTTTTCTGCATTTTATTTGAACTGGTAAAACGATGATACCAGTAGACTGAAAAATTATACATATATAGTACCTAGAACCACTAAAAAAGTATACAAAGAGATATACTCAAAAACACAAAAATAAATCAAAATCAAATTCCAAAACAATGTTCAAGTAACCCACAGGAAGGCAGGGATAAGAAAAGAGAGAAATTAAAAACAGAACAAACAGAACATAAAACATGAAATGGCAGGCTTAAACCCTAATATATTAATGATTACATTAAATATAAATGGTTTAAATACACAAGGTAAAAGACAGACATTGGCAGAGTGGACTAAAAATCATTACCCAAATTTATGCTGTCCACAAGAAACTTACTTCAACTATAACAATATAGGCAATTTGGAAGTAAAAATGATGGAAAAAGATATACAATGCAAACATTAACCAAAGGAAAAAACAAGTGGCTATATTAATATCAGATAAAGTAAACTGTAGAGCAAAGAAAATTACCAGAGACAGGGAAGGGTATATGGTAACCCCCAACAATTCATTTAATGAAACTTGCATTGTTCTGATACCAAAATCAGAGACAATATAAACACAAGTAAACAAAAATAAGCCAACGGATCAATATCTCTATAGATGCAAAAATCGTTATCAATATATAAGCAAACAATTCAGGAGTACATAAAAACAATTATACATCATAACCAAGTGGGGTTTATTCCAGAGATGCAATGCTGGTTCAATACTTGAAAATCAATCAAAATATGCCACTTTTTTTTAACAGGCTAAAGAAGAAAGGCTATATGATCATATCAACTGGTGCAGAAAAAGCATCTGGCATAATTCAACACCGATGCATGATAAAAGTTCTCAGAAAAATAGGAATAGAGGGGAATTTCAACAATTTGATTAAGAGCATCTATAAATTACCTAGATCTAACATTATATTAATACATAATAATAAAAGACTGAATGATTTCTACCTAAAATTGAGAACAAGACAAGGATGTTTGCTCTCACCAGTCTTTTTTTTTTTTCTTTTCGAGACACTCTGTCACCCAGTCTGGAGTGCCGTGGCACAATCATAGGTCACTGTAGCCTCAAAATCCTGGACTTCAGCAATCCTCTTGCATCAGCCTCCTTAGTAGCTGGGACTACAGGTGCACACCACCACACCTGGCTAACTTTTGAAAAAATGTTTGTAGAGATGGGTCTCACTATGTTGCCTACATTGGTCTCAATCTTCTGGCCTCAGGCAGTCCTCCTGCCTCAGCCTCCCAAAGGAGTGGGATTACAGGTTTGAGGCACTGCACCCAGCCTGCTCTTACCCATCTTATTCAACATAGTGCTGGAAGTTCTAGCCAGTGCAATAAGGTAAGAAAGGGAAATAAAAAGCACACAAATCAGAAAGGAATAAATGAAACCATCCCTATTTTCAGATGACATTATTGTCTATGCAGAAAATCCCAAAGAATCTACAAAACATATCCCCTAGAACAAGTAAGTAAGTTCAGCAGCATTATGGGATACAATATAAACATAAAAAATCAATTGCATTCCTATATACTAGAAATAAATACATGGACACCAAATTTTAAAATGCAATAACATTTACAATTGCATTTTAATTGCATATTTATTTATAAGATGAAATTAACATAGCAAAATTAATTTTAAAGTAAACAATACAGTAGCATTTAATAAATTCACAATGTTGTGCAACCACCACCTCTACCTACTCCAAAAATATTTTCATCACCCCTAAAGGAAACCACATACCCATTAAGTAGTTACTGCCCATTTCTCCTTTCCCCAGACCCTGGAAACTTCTAATCTATTTTTTGTCTCTATGGATTTAGGTATCCTGGGTATTTAATATAAATGGAACCATACAATATGTGACCTTGTGTATGGTGTCTCTCACTTAGCATAATATCTTCAAGCTCCATCCACATTGTATCATGTATCAGTATTTCATTCCTTTTTATGGTTGAATAATATTCTGCTTTATGGGTATACCATAAATTGCTTATCCATATATCGATGGACATTTAGATTATTTTCACCCTTGATCATTGTGAATAGTGCTGCTCTAAACATTTATGTACATATGTTTGTGTGAGTACCTTTTTTCAATTATAGAGTCATACCAAGGAGTAGAATTACTGGGCTATATGGTAATTCTATGTTTAACTGTTTGAGGAACTCCCAAAATGTTTCCCACATTGGCTGAACCATTTTACATTCCTACCAGCAATATATACAATTGCTTTATTTAAAAAAAAAGAAATACATAAGTGTAACTCTCACAAAACATGTGCAGGACTTGTATGCTAAAAACTATAAAACACTAATGAAAGAACTCACAGAAGATCTAAATAAATGGAAAGGCATGCCATGTTCATGGATTGGAAGACTCAACATAGTAGAGATGTCAATTCTCCCCCAGATTGATATGCAGGTTTAACAAAATTCCTCTCAAAATACCAGCATAATTATTTTTCTAAAATTTATATGGAAAGCAAAGGGAACTCAAACAATTTTTAAAAAGAAGAATAAATTGAGAGGGATCACTCTACCCAATTTCAAGATTGTATGTTATTAGCATAGAGATAAACACATAGATCGATGGAACAGAACAGAGAATCTAGAAATAGATCAACACGAATATACTCACCTGGTTTTTTGGAAAGGTGCAAAGGGAATTTAATGGAGGAGGGACAGTCTTTTCAACAAATGGTGTCAGAGCAGCAATTAGACATCCATAGTCAAAAGAAAAAGACAAAAATAACCTTGACCTAAGTCTCACACCTTATACAAAAATTACCTCAAAGTCCATCTTGCGCTTAAATGTCTGACATAAAACTATAAAACTCCTAGTAAACATAAATAAATAAATAAATAAACATAGTAAAAAATCTTTGCAATCTAGGGCTTGGCAAACGGTTCTTAGATTTGACACCAAAAACATGATTCATAAAGGGAAAAATGGATAAATTAGACTTCATTAAAAAAACAAACAAACAAACAAAACCTTTGCTCTCTGAAAGACCCTAAGAGAATGAAAAGACAAGCTAGGAGAGGGACAAAACATTTACACACCAAATATAGAACTCTCAAAACTCAACAGTAAAAAAGCAAACAATCCAATCAGAAAAGGAAGCAAAAAGGCTGGGCATGGTAGTTCATGCCTGTAGTCCCAGCATTTTAGGAGGCCAAGGCAGGAGGATCACTTCAGCCTAGGAGGTGAAGGCTGCAGTAAGCCATGATCGTGCCACTGCACTCCAGCCTGGGTGACAGAGTGAGACCCAGTCTCAAAAAATAAAAAACAAAAAAAAAAAAAAATGAAGAAAAGCTACGAAGATACATTTCACCCAAGAGAAGACACAGCAAATAAGTGCATGAAAAGATGTTCAAAATCATTATTAGCAGATTAAAACCACAATGATGTATCAGTTGCTCTATACATATATCAGAATAGCTAAAACAAAAAATTATGACAGCACCAAATGCAGGTGAGTATGCCATGAAGTTGGACCACTCATACATTGCTGGTGGAATGTAAAATAGTACAGTCATTCTGGGGAAAACTTTATAAGTTTCTCAACTCAGCAGTTGCACTTCTGGACATTTCCCAGGGAAATGAAAACTTATTTTCACACATAAACTTGTATATGAATGCCTATAGTGGCTTTATTCATAATAGTCCAAATCTGGAGATAACCCAGATGCCTTTCAACAAACTATGGTAATTCACACCTAGCAATACTACTTACAATAAAAAGGAAAGAACTATTGATACATGCAACAGCCTGAATGAATCTTCAAAGAATTATGCTGACTGAAAACAACTATTCCAAAATGTTACATAATGTATGATTCCATTTATGTATGATTCTTGAAATGACAAAACTGTAGAAATGGATAACAGACAGTGGTTGCCAAGTGTTAAGTAGAGGAGGAGGTAGTATAAAGAGCAACATGAAGGAGGTTTGTGGTGATGGAAATGATCTGTATCTTGATGGCATTAATGTCTACCTTCTGGTCGTAATATTGTATTATAGCTTTGCAAGATGTTACCACTGAGGAAAATTGGGTTAGGATACATGGATCTCTCTTTCTTGCAACTGTATGTGAATTTAGAGTGATCTCAAAAGGTTTAAAAACAAACCAAATATATACATGACAGAATACTATTTGTCCATAAAAAGAATGAGATCCTGTCATTTGCAGCAACATGGATGGAACTGGAGGTCATTATGTTAAGTGAAATAAGCCAGGTACAGAAAGACAGATACTGCATGTTCTCACTTACATGTGGGAGCTAAAAATAAGTTAGTCTCATGGAGGTAGAGGGTAGAATAGCATGATAGTTACCACAGGCTGGGAATCGGGGAAGGGCAGGTGGTGGGGTGATGAAGAGCCATAGGTTAATGTGTACAAAAATAGAGTTAGAGAGAAGGAGTAAGTTCTAATGTTCTATATCAGAGTGGAGTGACTATAGTTATTGACAATGTATTTTATGTTTCATAAGAGCTAGAAGAGAGGACTTGAAATGTTCCCAATACACACAAATAATGAATACTCACGGCTGAGTGTGGTGGCTCAAGGCTGTAATCCCAGCACTTTGGGAGGCCGAGGTGGGTGGATCACCTGAGGTCAGAAGTTCAAGACCAGCCTGGCCAACATGGTGAAACCCCGTCTCAACTAAAAATACAAAGAATTAGCTGAGCGTGGTGGTGGGTGCCTGTAATCCCAGCTACTTCAGGAGGCTGAGGCAGAAGAATCGTTTGAACCTGTGATGCGGAAGTTGCAGTGAGCCAAGATCATGCCACTCACTGCAGTCCAGCCTGGGTGACAAGAGTGAAACTCCGTCTCAAAAAAAGAAAAGAAAAGAAAAGAAAGAAAGAAAGAGAGAGAAAGAAAGAGAGACAAGAAAGAAAGAAAGAAAGAAAGAAAGAAAGAAAGAAAGAAAGAAAGAAAGAAGGAAGGAAGGAAGGAAGGAAGGAAGGAAGGAAGGAAGGAAAGAAAGAAAGAAAGAAAGAAAGAAAGAAAGAAAGAAAGAAAGAAAGAAAGAAAGAAAAGAAAGAAAGGAAAGAAAGAAAGAAAGGATAAATACTCCATCTCAAAAAAACAGAAAAAAAAGAAAGAAAGTGGTGGACACTCCAAATACCCTGACTTGATTATTACACACAATCTATGCATGTAACAAAATACCACATGTACCCCATAAAAATACAAACATTATGTCTCAATAATAAATTATTTTAAAAGCAAAAACAACTATAAAATAGTTTTAAAATATAAAATCAACAAAGAAAAGGAGACTATTAAAAATGACCAAGAAAGCTAGAAAGACCAAAAAATATCTAAAAATCCTAGAAAATAAAGATATTATTGTTAAAATTAAGAACTTAAATAGACGGTGTATTACTTTCCTACTGCTGCTATAACAAGTTACCATAAATTTAGTGTCTTAAACAATACAAATTTATTGTCTTAGGGTTCTGGAGGCCAGCATTCCAAAATGGGTCTCACTGGACTAAAATCATAGTGTTGGCAGGTCTGCATTCCTTCTGGAGGGTCTGTGGGAGAATCCATTTCCTTGTCTTTTGCAGCACCAGAGGCCACCTGCATTCCTTGGCTCAGTCTCATTTCTCCATCTTCAAAGCCAGCAATGTCGGCCGAGTCCTTCTCAGGCAAGTCCTTCTCAGGCTGCCATCTCTCTGGTTCTCCCTCTTCTGCCTCCTTCTTCCACTTTTTAGTTCCCTTGTGATTACATTGGGCCCACCTCAATAACCCAGGATAATCCCTCCATCAAGATCAGTTGATTAGCAATCTTAATTCCACCTGCAACTTTAGTGTCCCTTTGCCATATTCACAGGTTCCAGGGGTAGGATGTGGACATCACTGGGGGGAGATTACTCTGCCTGCCATAGACAGGTTAAAAAGCAGATTCAAACATCTACAAAATAATTGCTGAGTCAAAAGACAGAACTGAAGTGACTCAGAATGCAGCCAGAGAAACAGGATAAGGAAAATAGAATGAGAGGTTACGACATGGAAGATAAAGTTCAGAATCCTAGAGGAAAAGAAAAAAAAAGTGTCTAATTTTTCTACCATAGGCTCATATAAGGATAGACTGGAGGAATTAGTATCTGTGAAGGAAAATAAATCTTGGGGCCCCAAAATCACTAAGCTAAAGGGAAAAGTCAAGTTAGGGCAAACCTGCCTCCCATTCTATTCAAAGTCATCCCTCTGCTCACTGAGATAAATGCATATCTGATTGGCTCCTTTGGAAAGGCTAATCAGAAACTCAAAAGGATGCAACGTTTGTCTCTCACCTACCTGTGACCTGGAAGACATCCTTGCTTGAGTTGTCCTGCCTTTCCAGACCGAACCAATGTTCATCTTACATATATCGATTGATGTCTCACGTGTCCCTAAAATATATAAAACCAAACTGTGCTCTGACCACCTTGGGCACATGTCATCAAGACCTCCCGAGGCTGCGTCACAGGTAAGCACCCTCAACCTTGGCAAAATAAACTTTCTAAATTAACTGAGACCGCCTCAGATATTGGGGGTTCACATATCCTAGCCATAATTCTGGTTCTTACTGTCACGCACGTCCGTGTGAAGAGACCACCAAACAGGCTTTGCATGAGCAACTAAGTTTTTTAATCACCTGGGTGGAGGTGGGCTGAGTCCAAAAAGAGAGTCAGCAAAGGGAGTTAGGGGTGGGACAGTTTTATAGGATTTGGGTGGGTAGTGGAAAATTACAGTCAAAGGGGGTTGTTCTCTGGTGGGCAGGGGCAGGGGTCACAAGGTGCTTGGTGGGGGAGTTTCTGAGCCAGGAGAAGGAATTTCACAAGGTAATGTCATCAGTTAGGCAGGAACCAGACATTTTCCTTTCTTTTGTGATTCTTCAGTTGCTTCAGGCCATCTGGATGTATACGTGCAGGCTTGGGCTCAGAGGCCTGCATTCCTGTCTTTTTATATTAATAAGAAAAATAAAACAAAATAGTGTTGAAGTGTTGGGGCAGTGAATATTTTGGGGGGTGGTATGGAGAGATAATGGGCGATGTTTCTCAAGGCTGCTTTGAGTGGGATTAGGGGCAGTGTGGGAACCTAGAGTGGGAAATATTAAGCTGAAGGAAGATTTTGTGGTAAGGCTGTTAGAAGGAACATTTGTCATATAGAACGATTGGTGATGGCCTGGACGCAGTTTTGTATGAATTGAAAAACTAAACGGAAGACACAGGTCCGAATAAGAGAAGGAGAAAAACAGGTATTAAAGGACTAAGAATTGGGAGGACCCAGGACATCTAATTGGAGAGTAACCAAAGGGGTTCAGCATAATTACTTGCTTGGTTGGCAAGTTTTTAGGTTCTATCCAAGTTTTTGGGGTGCAGTTCAAGTTGGGCTGGTATCTGGAATGAGACTGGGGCCTAATAAAAAGGAGTGTCCATACAGGAGCTCAAATGGGCTGTACCCTGTAGCAACCCAAGGACAGGCCCGAATTCTGAGAAGGGCAAGTGGTAAAAGTATTGTCCAGTTCTTTTTAAGTTGGAGGCTGAGCTTGGTGAGGTGTGTTTTTAAAAGACCATTAGTCCATTTTACCATTCCTGAAGATTGAGAATGGTAAGGGGTATTGAAGGTTTTACTGAATATCAAGAGCCTGAGAAACTGCTTGGGTGATTTGACTAATAAAGGCTGGTCCGTTATTGGACTGTATAGAGGTGGGAAGGCCAAACCGAGCAATTATGTCTGACAGAAGGGAAGAAATGACCGCGGTGGCCTTCTCAGACCCTGTGGGAAAGGCCTCTACCTATCTAGTGAAAGCGTATACCCAGACCAAGAGGTATTTTAGTTTTCTGACTCGGGGCATGTGAGTAAAGTCAATTTACCAGTCCTGGGCAGGGGTAAATTCTCGAGCTTGATGTGTAGGGAAGGGAGGGGGCCTGAGAAATCCCTGAGGAGAAACAGAATAGCAGATGGAACACTGAGAAGTGATTTTCTGAGGATAGATTTTTACAATGGAAAGGAAATGAGAGGTTTTAAGAGATGGGCTAGCGGCTTGTAACCTACATGGAAGAGGTTATGAAATGATGACAGAATAGAATGGGCCTGTGAGGCTGGAAAGAGATATTTTCCTTGGTCCTAGAACCATTTGCCTTATGTGGGAAGAGATTGATAAGTGGAAGTTTCAGTGGGACAGTAGGTGGGAGTGACCGAAGAGAAGGATAAAAACTGGCCATGAGGGACAGAAGTTGGAACTCTAGCTGCTTCTTTAGCTACCTTATCAGCATAAGCATTGCCCTGAGTGATGGGATCTGATGCCTTTTGATGGCCCTTGCAGTGAATGACTCCAGCTTCCTTTGGAAGTAAAGTGGTCTTGAGAAGAGTTTTTATTAAAGAGGCATTAATGATGGAGGACCTTTGCGTAGTGAGGGAACCTTTTTCTGCCTATATAACAGCATGGTGGTGCAGGATATGGGAGGCATATTTAGAGACAGTATAAATATTGACGTGTAGTCCTTTTGCAAGAGTGAGGGCTCAAGTTAAGGCAATGAGTTTGGCTTGCTGAGAGGTAGGGGAGCGGGGCAGAGTGGTAGCCTCAAGGATAGATGTGGAAGATACTACTATAGCATAGCCTGCCTTTGCTGGTGAATGGCAATTAGGCCTGGTGGAACTGCCAACAATAAACCAAGTGCGATCAAGGTGAGGAACAGGAAAGAAAGAAATATGGGGAAATGGAGTGAATGCCAGGTGGATTTAGAGAGATACAGTCATGGGGGTCAGGTGTGGTATCAGGAATAATGGGGGCTAGCTAAAACAGTAGGGTTAAGTTATTTGGACAGAAAGGCTACAGGGCACAATCCCAGCTCTTGTGTAAGAATTCTGACTGCACAGCCCTGCACTTCGGCTGTGTGTAATGAAAAAAGGGTTGGGATGAGTTACGGAGAGCTAGTGTGGGAGCAGCTTTTAGGGCTGTTTTTTAAGGAACGGAAAGAGGAGTGGGGAAAGGATTTAGGATTAATGGGGTCAGCTAGGTTTGCTTTTGTGAGTTTATATAATGGTTTAGTCAGGATGGTAAAACTAGGTATCCAAAGGCGGAAGTACCTACCCATGCCTAGGAAGGAAAGGAGTTGTTGTTTTGTAGAAGTGGCTGGGGTTTGGGAGATTAGCCAGTCAGGATCAGCAGAGAGAGCATGTGTTTTTTCATGAAGAATTATGCCAAGACAGGTAATGGATGAGGAAGAAATTTGGGCTTGACTGAAGCAATGGGGGCTGTCCATGAAGCCTTGTGGCAGTACAGCCCAAGTAAGTTGCTGAGGCTGATGGATGTCAGGATCAGTCTAAGTGAGAGCAAAGAGAGGCTGGGATGAAGGGTGCAAAGGAATAGTAAAGAAAGCATGTTTGAGATCCAGAACAGAATAATGGGCTATGGAGGGGTTGTGGAGGGAGGTATTGAGGATAGGAGAGTATATGGGTTTGGCACCACAGGGTGGATAGGCAAGACAATTTGGTTGATAAGGCGCAGATCCTGAACTAACCTGTAAGGCTTGTCCGGTTTTTGGACAGGTAAAATGGGGGAATTGTAAGGAGAGTTTATAGGATTTAAAAGGCCATGCTGTTAACAGGTGAGTGATAACAGGCTTTAATCCTTTTAAAGCGTGCTGTGGGATGGGATATTGGCGTTGAGCGGGGTAAGGGTGATTAGGTTTTAATGGGATGGTACGGGTTGCGTGATCGGTTGCCAAGGAGGGAGTAGAGGTGTCCTACACTTGTGGATTAAGGTGGGGGGATACAAAAGGAGGATGCAAAGGAGGCTTTGAACTGGGAAAAAGGGCAGCATTGAGGTGTGGCTGTAGCCTAGGAATAGTCAGGGAAGCAGATAATTTAGTTAAAATTTCTCGACCTAATAAGGGAACTGGGCAGGTGGGGATAACTAAAAAGGAGTGCATAAAAGAATGTTGTCCAAGTTGGCACCAGAATTGGGAAGTTTTAAGAGGTTTAGAAGCCTGGCCATCAATACCCACAACATTTATGGAGGCAAAGGAAACAGGCCTTTGTAAAGAAGGTAATGTGGAGTGGGTAGCCTCCGTATTAATTAAGAAGGGGATGGACTTACCCTCCACTGTAAGAGTTACCCAAAGCATCTGTGATGGTCCAGGAGGCTTCTGAGGCGATCGGGCAGCGTCAGTCCGAGAAGATCTGTAAAGGAGTCAGTCAGAGAGCCTTGGGCCAGACAGAGTTCCAGGGGCTCTAGCAGTGGCTGCTGGGCGAGTTGGACAGTCTGATTTCCAGTGGGGTCCTGCACAGATGGGACATGGCTTGGGAGGAATCCCGGGCTGCACACATTCCTTGGCCCAGTGGCCAGATTTCTGGCACTTGAAGCAAGATCCTGATGGAGGAGGTCCTGTAGGAATGCTTGACCACTGCGGCTTAGGCATTCTGATGTTCTTGTGTGCTGGAGGTGCGGCTGGGTTTTGTCTTACAGCAGAGGCAAGTAATTGTAACTCAGAAATGCATTGCTGTCTGGCTGCCTCCTTTCTATTATTGTACACCTTGAAGGTGAGGTTGATTAATTCCTTTTGTGGGGTTTGAGGGCCGAATTCTAATTTTTGGAGCTTTATGTAACGTCGGGAGTGGATTGGGTACTAAAATGCATACTAAGACAGCCTTCTGACCTTTCAGAGTCTAGGGCTGTAAAGTGTCTAAGGGTTGTTGCCAAAAGAGCCATGGACTGGGCTATGTTTTCATATTTGATGAAAAAAAGCCTAAATGCTAATTGATTTGGGAGAGGTTGGATAAAGAAAAAGGAGCATTAACCTTGAGGAAATTGTTGGGTAGGTAGGGGAGGGCTAGTTGCGGAACGAAACTGTAAGCTGGACCGGGTGTGAGGAGGTGAGGTGATAGAAGGATTATAGGGTGGGGGAGTGGAGGCAGAGGAAGAATTGGGACCTGGCTCAGCCTGGCGAGGAGCAGCCTGGGGAGGAGGGGAGAGGTTAGATGGGTCCATAGAAAAGGAGGATTCACAGGACTCAGAGCTTGGGGTGGAGACTGAAGGAACAGACAGGAGAGAAAGAAGATTTGGGATGAGTCACATTGGGAGCAGAGATTAGGAAGGGACCAATGTGTAAAAGAATGCCTGGACATCAGGCACCTCAGACTATTTGCCCATTTTACGACAATAATTATCTAGCTCATGTAGGATGGAGAAATTGAAAGTGCCGTTTTCTGGCTATTTGGAACCATTGTTGAGTCTGTATTGGGGTCAAACGGTATTGCAGAAGAAAATAAGGCGTTTAGGTTTTAGGTCAGGTGTGAGTTGAAGAGGTTTTAAGTTCTTGAGAACACAGGCTAAGGGAGAAGAAGGGGGAATGGAGGGTGGAAGGTTGCCCATAGTGAAGGAGGCAAGCCCAGAGAAAAGAAGGTAGAGACCCGGAGAAGGGGGGTGGTGAGCAGCCCTGGGCTGCAATGTGGCTGAGCAGCCAAAGCAGGCGACCCACAATTGACTTGCCACCAAGGGAATGTGGGTGAATGACCAAGGCAGGCATCCCCACGGTGATCAGACACCAATGAAATGTACGTGAATAATCAGGCAGGTGTCCCTGCAGTGATTAAACACCAAGGGACGACTGTTTTCCTGAGTCCGTGACCGGAGCTGGAGTTTTGGGTCCATGGATAAAATATGTCTCCTTTGTCTCTACTAGAGAGGAGAAAGAACTGGAATTGGAAATAGAGGGAGATTTAAGGGTAGTGAGAGAGGCTGGAGAAGACAGTGAAAAGACCGCTTACCCGATTTGAAATTGGTGAGATGTTCCTTGGGCTGTTTGGTCTGAGGACCCGAGGTCATAGGTGGATCTCCTCACAGAGTGAGGGTGAGGACAGGGGACTGGTCTCCTGAAGGAGTCCTCCTGTCCCGGGTCTTCGGCACCAAATGTCACACGTGTCCGTGTGAAGAGACCACCAAAAGGCTTTGCGTGAGCAATAAAGCTGTTTATTTCACCTGGGTGCAGGTGGGCCGAGTACGAAAAAAAGAGTCAGCAAAGGGAGTTAGGGGTGTGGTAGCTTTATAGGATTTGTGTGGGTAGTGGAAAATTACAGTCAAAGGGGGTTGTTCTCTGGTGGGCAAGGCGGGGGCCGGGGGGGTGGAAGGTCTACAAAGTGCTCAGTGGGGGAGCTTCTGAGCCAGGAGAAGGAATTTCACAAGGTAATGTCATCAGTTAAGGCAGGAACCAGCCATTTTCACTACCTTTGTGATTCCTCAGTTGCTTCAGGCCATCTGGATGTATACATGCAGGCTTGGGCTCAGAGGCCTGACACAAGTTGGCACATTTGATCCTATCAACTTTAGTTTGCACTTTCACTTTTGATTTAAGAACATACTTTCTGTTTCTCAGAGGGCAGCCTCTGATGGGAATTTTAATACTCACAAGCATCAGTGGCTATATGATTGAATGTACTTCTTCAGTGTGAGTAAGTGACAACTTTCTGTAGCATGATATCCCTTATGGACACGATCCCCATTCAAAACGTTTTAAAACTATTTTATTGGGGACATTTATTAGCATGTTAAAACTCTTTTACAACCTATTAGAGCATATGCATAGAACATAAAATGTACACTGCCAAGAACAAATTTAAGGATAGGAAGAAAAGCTTACATTTTTTAAAAAGTATAAATTGAAATGTATGCAGTGTAATTTAAATTTGATTACGTTAACCTCCATTTCATCAGGACCACGTGTCGCGTTTTAACAAGAGTTTCCCTATCATGTCCAGGCTTTGGCTCTGGTTGCAGGCGCTGGGTAGGCACTTTTACGAGGAGGGACCTGGCACGATGGCACCACAAATTCCCAAGTGTGTCACCTCTGGGCGAACTTGGGCCTGTCCACTCGGCCCTGCGCGGTGGCCAGGGGCTCACCCTCTCGCACCGGGCGTCCCTCTGCGCGCAGCTTCTCTCGCCCCCCCGCGCCAGACCCGGGCGAATGGCAGCACCGTGGGACCCTGCCTTGACCGCCCCCGCCCTTCGGCGGCCTCTCCCAGCAGCCGGCAGGCTCTTGGGCGCGCCAACAGAGGGGCGCGGCTGCGGCTGTAGTCGCAGCCAGTTCCCGTTCCGGGCCCGCGAGGCAGCCGCCCCGGTCCTGCCCCTCCCTCGCGCTACTGCGGGAGCAGCGTCCTCCCGGGCCACGGCGCTTCCCGGCCCCGGCGTCCCCGGACCATGGCGCTCTCCGGGCTCTTCTCTAGCTCTCAGCGGCTGCGAAGTCTGTAAACCTGGTGGCCAAGTAAGTCCCAGCGACTGGGGATTCGCGCGGGGCAGGCCCTTTCTGAGGTCCTGGGCGCTGCGAGTGAGGAGGCGCAGGGAGGCGGGATTTGCGTGCGGGCGGAACGCAGCGCGGCTCTGGAGGAGCTCTGGGTGGAACCAAGCGGAGAAACCCGCGAGTTTGAAGCATGTAGCGAAAGTTGAGAGGGATGAACTTCACAGTCAGCGGAATCGTTTATCCCACTGTGGTCGAACGCAGGGGTTCTCAATCGTGCCAGCAGCTTAGAACCACCTGGGGAGCTTTTAAAATCCAGATATCCAGGCTGCACCCTAGATCAATTCCATCAGAATCTCACGGAGTCAGACCCAGGCCTCCGTATCTTTTAAAAGCTCCCCAAGTGATTCCAGTGTGCAGCCAGCGTTCGAGGGTTTGTGGCAAAGGCTGGAAGGGCAGACAGGGGCCTTCATGGAGTCCCGCCTGCAGACGGGACAGCAGCTCCCAGTGTCCTGCTTGGTCCTGGAGAGAGGGTGAGAACTTCCCTTGGGTTTCATGCTCCACAAAGTAAGGAAATGAGACAATGCTTGGCAAGGTCGCCTGAATATCACATTCAAAAACGCCTCCAATGTGTGCAGTTGTTTTGGCACATTGTGAAAAACATAGGAAATGACAGAGGTTGATGTCTCATTAGCTCTGCATTCTAGGAAACATTTCGGTTGTTGGTGTTTGAAATTAAGTCTGGGGAAGCTAAGCTAGTAAACCCATGGCCTTGATGACTTCTGGCCTTTCTGCTTTAAGGGTGAAGCCAGGGCCGGGCGCGGTGGCTCACGCCTGTAATCCCAGCACTTTGGGAGGCCAAGGCAGGCGGATCACCTGAGGTCGAGAGTTCGAGACCAGCCTGGCCCAACATGGTGAAACCGTCTCTACTAAAAAAAAAAAAAAAAAAAATTAACCGGGCGTGGTGGCGCATGCCTGTAATCCCAGCTACTCGGGAGGCTGAAGCAGGAGAATTGCTTGAACCCGGGAGGCAGAGGTTGCAGTGAGCCGAGATCGCCCTGTTGCGCTCCAGCCTGGGCAACAAGAGCAAAACTCCGTCAAAAACAAACAAACAAACAAAAAACAAAAAAACGGTGAAGCCAGAAGTCGTGCTTGCCAAAGGGTCGAGTTTGTTCTCCCTCAAAGCCCCTGTTGAAGATTGAACTATCACTTTCAGGGAAGAGTAAAAGAGTAACTCCACGATGCATCTTAGAGAGGAGTGGATTCCCTGTTCTCACCCAGGCTTAGATGCCAGGGGCCAGGTAGCTGAAATCCAGGCAAACCAGGCATTGACAAAGTACAGACTTCTACCGAATATGCCAGACAGATAAGCAAGCTGTGTTTAAAACAAACAGCAGAGTGGTAGAAGAGGGCTCTTTCAAATATTGTAAGAAGAGTAGGTTTTATTTTTGTGGAGTGGAGAAATAAGTTCACGCTTTGGAACCCATCAAATCTGGGTCAAAACTCGGATTCTGTCACTTCTATGCTGTGACTTTGGGCAAGTTCCTTGACCTCTCCAAGCCCCTGTTTTCCCACCTGTAAAATAAAGAGCAACCCTCTCCTGAGGCTAGCATAGTTCAGCGAGATGATGTGCATCACACACCTGGAAGGTGGTGGCGCTGGCAGGTGCTCTGGCAGAGGTAGTTATTAGACACTGGAGTGGCAGTTTGTGCCCGTTAATTGTTTACTTAGTACAGCCACTATGAGGGAGAATGTCTATAAAATGTTCCCTTCAACGCTCCATTCCTTCTCCTGCCCTGCTGCCCCGCTCAGGGCCTTAGCGGGCTTTAAGTCTGAAATCTTAGGCTGCAAATCCCCTCAGTCCCCCAGGGCGTATTAATGGCTCTGGAATACAGTTTTACTGCATGTGATAGGAATGAATATTTTGACACACACACACTCAAAAGCTGTTCTTAATCTTGAGACTTCCTCCTCTCTGTTGCCACATATATATCTTTTAAATGGCTTTCCAAGAAAGCTGGGCTGTGCACAGTGTCTCAGAATTAGTGTATGTGCACACACACGCACGTTGCTCCCTGCTGACAACATCCTCAGACCATACCCTTGGTGTTCCTGTTTTGCTCCTGACTCTTGGCCTAGGGACAGTGAATCTTTCTTGAATGACCAAGGACAGTCAGGGATCTGAGGAAGGGAGAACCCAAATTCTACAATTGCTGATGCCTGCGTCCCAGCTGGAACTTTACCCTGGTACGTGCTCTGTGCATCATGGATGGTCACTTTGATCCTAACAGCAGTGCTGTTTAGATTAGACATCAGAAATAGAAACAGTAAGTAATATAGGCATAAAGATCAAGTGTTTTTCTAGTGTATGTGTGATCACTGATATTTGCTTACACAAGACTATCAAAGTCTTATCTCTTATTCAAAGAAAAGGATTCAATATTTGTTCAAAATCTAAGATATGAACGTAGGATTTAAGGTTTAAGTTACTAGTTTCTTCTATCATTCTTATTATTGGGGGGATTTTTTTTAGGCAAGAAGAAATTAGAAAAGCTAAAATGTGTACTTATGCTGAATTTTTGTCATGCAGAGGCTCTAGGTATTTTGCAAGTTTTCAGAAGTCCCATTTTCTTTTATCTTCTAGGGACAGTCAGTTGCATGTCACACAAGGGGCCTCCTTTGATTTATCCAAAAGGTCTGACCTGGTTTCTGGAAAAACTCTTTAGCGCATCAAATACTCGTTGAGGGCAAGTGTTGTTTCTAAACTTGACTCTTGTGGTGAGAGGTGAGTAGTCACTGGCATGTCAGTTAGCTGACATTTTTTACCCACGCTAGAAAGTTCATTCAGGCAAGACTTCCTGGCTTGAACTCTTATTTAAACATGTGTTTTATCTGGAACTGCCACAGTCCAAACTGTGGGCAGAGATTCCTGTGCAGAGTTGGCTAAGGCAGGCATGCCACCGGCCCTTCTCTTCGCCATCCTCCCTGTCTCTGGAGCCATTGAGCCAACCGGGGATGATGCCACTCTGAAGGGATCTCACCTTGGTCCTCTAATGGGGCAGAGTTCCCTGATGAGGGATGCACGTCCTTAGAGCCAACAAGGCAATTTTGTATTATACTGCATGGAAATTAAAAGTTACTCTCCAGTAAACTGCCACTTTAGAATTTGTTTTACTGAAGCGTCCTTTTCCTCTAAATTATAGAGCACTGTAGTAAGGGCCCAGATAATTTCAAAGTGAGCACCAGATTAGTGCCAGATTTTGGCAGATTAAGATTTTAATAAAACATGAACATTCACCTTGATTACATTTGTTTCAGAAAGTTGATGTCCCTTGGCCTTCTGTTCTGTCATTGCCACCATACAGGTTAGGGTCAGAATTGGGAGAATGTAGTCATTTGGTAGATATTTTCAGAGCCACATGCAACTGGGCCTGGCAGTCACATATTGCTAAGGAAACGCCTTACATGATAGCAGAGCTGAGAGCAGATGATGATTTACTTGGGAGAGTATTCGTTTTCTAATTCCCAAAAGATTAAAAGTCTAATGAGTAAGAACTTCCCCTGCTTCTTGTAACACATGCCCAGATTGCTGCCTATGACCTCAAAACCAAACCTTCTTGGAAGGAACTGGGGGAAAGCTAGGCTTTTTTGGCAGGGGATATCCTAACTCCTTACAACACAGGCCCCTTCAGTGAGTGGGTCATTTCTGGACTCCATTTAACAAAGCTAGTGTTTCATACTTAATATGAAAACAGGCGTGTTGATGATTTCAAATAGAGATGTTGGGTCTATAAAGTATACCAGACATGCAGGGCTGAAATGGAAGAAACAATGGGTTTTGGAGTCAGAACCAGGATCCAATTCCTGTTTTATTCCTTACTTCAGGGGTCCCCAATCCCTAGGCCATGGACCAATACCAGTCGGTGGCCTCTTAGGTGGGCCGCACAGCAGAAGGTGAGCAGCAGTGAGCAAGCATTACCGCCTGAACTCTGCCTCCTGTCAGATCAGCGGTGGCATCAGATTCTCATGCGAGGGGAACCCTATGGTGAACCGCACACGCGAGGGATCTAGGCTGCACATTCCTTATGAGAATTTAATGCCTGATGATCTGAGGTAGACAGTTTCATCCTAAAACGATCTCCCCTGTGCCCCTACTCGCCGCTGTCTGTGGAAAAATTGTCTTCCATGAAACCAGTTCCTCGTGCCAAAAAGGTTGGGGATCACTGCCTTAACTAACTGTGTGACCTTCACCAACATACTTAACCACTCCAACTCTGTGTCCTCCTTTGTAAACTAGTTACAATAATGCTTTCCTTGCTGGGCAGTTTTCAGTATTTGATGAGCTAATCTATGTAAAGTGCTTAGCACATCACCCAGCTTCTAGTAAGTCATGATTATGATGATAAAGATTATGATGATTACTTTGGTTCCAGGGCTGGTCTTTCCTTCTCCTAGTTGTGTGACTTCAGATAAGGTTTTTAATCTTCTTGAGCCTTGGCTTTTGAATCTGTAAAATGGGCTAACTCTACCTATCTGGAAAGATTGCTTTGAGGCTTGATTTGATTAAATGAAATGATGACAGGCCTGATCTGGTAGACCCTAAATAAGAATAGCATTTACATAGACTTCCTGTGTCCCACACTGGTCTAAGAGTTTAGGGTTTTTGTTGTTTGTTTTTAGCTCATTTTATCTTCCCAGCGCCCCTGTGCAGTGGTTATCATTTCCCTTGTTTTATAGAGGAGACAACTGAGGCTCAACAAGATTAAATAACTAGCCCAAAGTCTATCCCAGGACTTGAAGCAGAGTCCCTGTTCTTAACCACTGCCCCAGCTGCTCAGTGAGTACCCCCACCCCTGCTTATTCTACCTACCTCCTGATGCCCATCTCCTGCCATTAACAGTCAGATGTGCTTATGCTCTGTGTAGGGCCATATTTCTGGAAACAGAGCCCCTGCTTCCAAAGAGCAGCTTACTTAGGAAGTGAAAGTGGCAGCTCACTCCTCCTGTCGCCTCCTCCCACTTCCAGATAACATTAAACCTCATCCATTGCTTAGGCTGGTTAATATCAACTGGAAAAAAAAATCTGATACCGATATTGACTAACATTATTAGAGTGGGTTGCAATGTTAGTTTTGAGATAAATGTCATCTCGATGCACTGAGATTGTTAGCCTGTGTGTAATAAAACATGCCTTCACCCAGACAGATGTGGGGGGTGTTTGGAAGACAGAAACCAGGCCTAGGAGATCCCAGGTTGAGACTCAGGTGGACAGCAACAGTATTGAAAATAATATTACATCAAAGGTGCAGTGGTCTGTTCTAAGTACACCACCTTTTCTGACATTCCTTACTCATCCTCCCTCTCCTTTACCCCAGTGGCTTTGGCCTCTTCTTGAGTTCTGGCAATCTTCCCTGAGGTCTGGGTCAGTGGAATTTGGGGGCCCAGAAAGGCAAATTCTCAGTTGAGTGAGGTGTGGCTTCTTTAGCATTCCTGATAATGAGGTAGTAATTGCTTTTCTGGCTTTCTGTGTGTGTGAAGTGCTCTGCTGGCCCCCTACCCTGGTGTGGAAGGCTGTTAGAAAGCTATTTATAGCTCTTGGTTCCTTCTGGCACTTTGGGGCTTCAATTCTGCAACATGTTAATTCAACAAATATTATCAGAAAGTCTTGCTGGTGCCAGGAGTCTACTAAGTACTTGGATTACAGCAATGAATGAAACAGACCCTGCCTCTGGCCATATGGAATTTGGAGGCTGCCGGGTGGAGAGGATGTCTTAGTCAGCTTGGGTTGCTAAAACTATCACAGACTGGGGGACTTAAGCAACAAACATTTATCTCTCACAGTTCTGCAGGCTGGAAGTGTGAGACCTGGTTGCCAGCATGGGAGTTTGGTGAGGACCCTCTTCCTGATTTGTGAAAGAGGTTTCTCATGTCTCTTGCTATAAGGGCACTAATCCCATCATTGGGGCTCCACCCCCACGACCTCATTTAAACCTATTCACCTCCCAACAGCCCTATCTGTAAACACCATCAAATCGGGGGTTCTCCCTCACCATGTGAACTTTGGAGGGACATAAACATCAGTCCATAAGTAGGAGGTTAGGGCAGTAAGCACACAGGTAAATACATAATTGTAACTTGTGGAAAGTGCTTTAAGTGAAAACAACAGCATGTCATGAGACAGGAGATCAGAGCAGAACTAGAATTAGGAGAGTCTGGGGACGCCTCTCAAGGAATGAGCCTTTTCAACTAGGACTTGGGATGAAAAAAAGAGTGAAATCATGCTGGATGCAGAGAACAGTGGGTTCAAAGACCCAGAGGTGAATGGGAAGGATGTGGGTGTGTTGAGTGGCTGGTGTGGTAAGGCCCAAGCCCAGGAGGGTACAGAGCTAAATAATGAGACACACTCAGGCCAAGTAGGGCCTCCTGGGCTGGGTAAGGATTTGGGATTTTATTCTGAAGTGCGGAGGGAAGCTTTGGAGGAATTTCCCCTCCTGACTTTTTCCTGTCATTCATAATATACAAGAAAAAGATCATTAGTCACTTCTATTTATTCAGATAATGAACAATCTCTACTTCTTAAGCTATATAAACCTTGTCTTAGTGTGTGAAACAATTCTGGAGTGTCTAGTTTTCAATCTCCAGATGAGGGAACTGAGGCTCAAAACAAAGTGAAAGAAGGCAGAGGCAGGATTTGGAACCAGGCCTGCCCAGCCCACGGCACATGCTCTGTAGTTTTCTGGGACAGATGAGTGTAAATGCATATGGGCCTCCTAGGCACCCGGCATCCTTCATCAGGAGCTTCAGTGGATGGACTAGGGTGGAGTCCAGTCCTTCCTGGCTCTTTAGAAACAGGAACAAAAGACCCCGAAGAGTGGAGGGAGGTTGGGCATGTACAGGTCAGGGGGTCAGAATCTGTAGGCACCAAATGTCAGGGCCCCCTGGCTATGGGAAGGGCTGTCAGTTTTTCACGCTAGTCTGTTCTGCTCCGCCTAGCTGTTGCCCAGAAATCCCAAAGAGGGTGCCTTCCCAGCTCTGTTCACCTTTGAAAATCTGAATTCATCATTTGTGTGCACTTGAGAGACCCAGGGTTTGGTAAAAACAAAATTCTTTATTGGGTGTTTTCAGGTCACAGGAAAAGCCTCCACTGTGTGGGACCCACATCCTTAGCACTGCATGCTGGCTGCTTCCAGGCATCTGCACTGACCCTGTTTCTCCTTCCTTGCTGTGAAGCGGTCATGAGGTTGCAGTGCCAGATGTGTTGCAGGCCAGGTGTATCTCGGCTGGTTGGGCAGGCCTTCTGCTTAACATGGGACCTCACTTAGTGAGGGAAGAGAGCAGTCCTGGCCCAAGGGGTGCAGTGTCTGGGGCAGATGCTTTAGGGGTTATGGCTCTATCATCTTCTCAACCTCTTAATGCCACTCAGGGTCACCACACATAAATCCCTGGGTACTCTCCCACTTAGCTCTGTGACAGGTTTGTGTCCTAGATGCTTGCTGACTCTGTATACATGTTCAATGGGGTTAATAAACGTCTTCAGCTAAGCATTTTGGCCAGCGATCAGCAGAGTGTTTATTTGCTGTGGGCCCGGTTTCAACTCCCACTTTGGTGGTGACTAATATATTTTGTTCTTGTGGAGTGCTTTTCACTTGATAAGCCCCAGACACTTTCTGTGTCAGTCCTAAATGCCATATCCAGATGTCCTCCAGCTTCCAGATCGGCCACTTCTGTGGCACTTTCCTCTGCATAAACACTTCAGCCCTCTCGCAGAGTGGAGTTCCAGGAAACCGGTTTCCACTTCAAGGCTCTGTTGTTTTCTGCTGGCTTTCTTCATTAAGATATTTTTATTCACTGGCCCCTCAGAGATGAATATCAAGTGCAGTGTTTTGGGAACTTTGTTTTTCAAAGCCTGGATAAAACCAAGAAAATGTCAAGCAGTAGGTGATTAAGTACCAAGTGGTCGCACAGGCAATGCTTTTGACATTGACAGCTGGGCTCTGGTTAACCTTTTAAAGACAGCAGCGAAGATAAATGCCTTAGAGCAACAGAAACTATTGGTGATGGAAAGTTGAATTTATTCACCAATAAACTTGGTAAGTGACATTCCCTAAGTGAGCCTGTGAATTATGGAAATCCACGTATCAGTGGACATGATGAAGCACCTGCTATACGCAGTGCACCCGGCCAGATTCATTCATTCGACGGTTCCTATCGAGCACCCTCTATGTGCTGGAGATACGGTGACTCACCAGATGGTCGCCCTCCCTTGTCATCAGTGCTGGCCTTGAAGATGACAGATGGAAATGCTGGCCTAGGCTGCCCTCTTGTAGGTCACGGCCGGTGCTTACTATGTGACCAGTGCTGTTCTAAATACCGTATGTACGTGTATTAACTCACTGCATGCTCACAGAGATCCCTACATGGAGTAGGTGCAGTTATTATCTGTACTTACAGAGAAGAAAACAGAAGCACAGAAGAGAGCATTATTTGTCCAAGTCACATAGCTGGTGATTGGAACCAGATAGCCTGGCTTTAGAGTCTGTGTCCTTCACTGCCACTACCAACCAATGTGAAAGGAAAATAATCAACTTAGGACACAAAGTTGCACGCCCTCTGAGAGAGGCGGGGATAGAATACCATGGGCCTTCCCAGCAGGGAGAGATGGGCTTAGGGGAGAAACAGAGTAAGGTGGGAACCCTACCCTTTTCCCATTCTGACAGGTGACATCCCCGCTGGGGGGATGGAGGAAATGTTTGGCTACTGAGGAGGCTACTCTGGCCAGAAGTAGACAAAAGAAGCAACTGTCTCGCAGCCAGGAGACTTGGATGCTAGTTTTGATTGATCCGGACAAGTCCAGGGCCCTGCCCAGGGCCTCTGTTTTCCCATCTCTAAAATAGGTGGCTTGGACAACATTCTGTTTGACCTCAGGAGCCCAGGATTTCAGCAGAGAAGGGAGGAGCTGGCTCTCTGTGCACTCTGAACAGGGTTTCCTGACCAGAAGAAGATGTTTGGCTCTGAGAGATGTGGGGGCAGGCATTGGACTTCCCAGAAGGCCTTGGCAGCTGTGAAAGGATGTATGCGTTCCACTGTGGTCCCACCCCGAATGCTGACGTTGGCTGTGTCTGCATTCCTTTCTTTGTAGGCAGGATGGCAGTGTCTGTGTGTCTGGAGCTCACACTATAAGGTACTTTGTATGAGAGACAGAGGGAGCTAGAGGGAGGGAAGAGGGAGTAGGGAGGGGAAGGAAGCCGGGAGAGAGAGAGGTGATTCCGGGAGGGACTGACTTCCATCTGCTTTCAAATTCTGAGGGATTAAGTGCTTTCAGATACTTAAAGTCAGTGAGTGTCAATGGAGTTAAAAAGCTTCCAATAATAATTGTAGCTTCATCCATCTGCTAAATTGTCTCCAGAGTCGGCTGCCTATAGTGTTCTGGCATGGCAGAGGCCCACATGACCGGGCTTGTTTTCCAGGTTAAGTTCCTTAAGAAATTGTAAACCAAGCAAGAAAAACAAACAGACAACAACAGAACACAGATTGTTGTGGATCATGCAGCAGGAAAAGTAGGACACCATTTGAGCTGACCAAGCATATGTGTTCTCCGTGCAGCTCTGTCGAAGCTGTGTAAGGTGTGCTTGGTGCTGGCTCCTGCCAGATGCTGTTGGCATGGCTTCATCCACCCAGCTTGCTGTTGGGTAACTTGCAGAGTGAAGAAGTCTGTTGTTCACGTCATCACCACAACCCTGAACATCCAAGCAGTTCATGTCAACAACTAGAGTATAATTATCTTCTTTACTTGTAAAACTGTGGAGCCTGTGGATTAAATTCACCAAAATGAATCATATTCAAGAGAAGTCATTTCCTAAAGGAGAATTCAGATGTGGTCCCCATTCATGGGTATATGTGTGCCAGTTATGTTGGGGGTTGGTGGAGCCCACTCTAATTGACATTTGCAATCTGGGTTATATCACCTCTGAGGTAGGCAGGTACCTACATGAGGTAGGCAGGGAATGATGGCTTTAACTTAGTTCATTCAATAAATGAATATCAGTTATCTATTCCTATTGTCCAGGATGGTGGTGGGCAGAATGTCTGAGAAGCCCATGTTGTGTATGGCAGGTTGTGACTTTACCAGAGATGGCATTTTCTGGTTAAACTTGGGTGATAGGATGTGTTTTTAACAGAAAGGGAAAAAGAATCTGAACTAGTTTCCTTGGTAATAATAACCATTTGGGTTGGGGAGCTGATACTGGTTAGGAAAATGTGAGGCCCCTTTGACATCATCCATTTGCTGCTGAGAAATCAAAATTAAAACATCACTCGGTGTCAGAATGTTCCAGAAGGCAGTTGAGCTGCTAATGTTTTGAAGTGTTCAGAGGTATGTGTTTTATGAAAAAAAGAGGAAATACAAGACAAAGGAAATGAAACGTTTGGCAACCATTGAGCATTTCTTCAATATGGTATTTCTTGTGGCTCTGGGATTTTAAAAATCCACTTGAAAGCCAGTATTGTTGACTTTTGCTCTGTACTATTTTTGTGGGGACTGATTATTTTTCACTTTATATTCCTTATTTCTAACTAGGCTTAATGGTAATACCCTAAGTTGATGGCCTTCTACTAAATTTAAAACAAAATATAGGCCGGGTGCGGTGGCTCACTCCTGTAATCCTAGCACTTTGGGAGGTCGAGGCAGGTGGATCACCTGAGGTCAGGAGTTCAAGACCAGCCTGGCCAACGTGGTGAAACCCCGTCTCTACTAAAAATACAAAAATTAGCCGGGTGTGGTGGCAGGTGCCTGTAATCCCAGCTACTCAGGAGGCTGAGGCAGGAGAATCACTTGAACCTATGAGGCGGAGGTTGCAGTGAGCCAAGATCACGCCATCGCACTCCAGCCTGGGTGACAAGAGTGAAACTCTGTCTCAAAACAAACAAACAAACAAAAATAACAACAACAACAAAAAAAACTGTTCCCACCCACAATCCCATCAGATTTATTGTGATACTTTCACAAAACAGGAAGAGCTTTTTATTGATTTACAGGTGCACAGAAAGTCTTAACATCTCATCTGAGTTTGTTTGGTCTTAATGAACCATCGTTTAGTTTAATGAAGACCAAGCATTTTCTCTCTAGGGCAGGTGGGCCCTTTGAGTTGAAAGTCATAGTTCCTCAAAACAAGGCAGTCGCTGAGAATGTTGTGCTGGCCTGCCTCAAGATGTCCTGAGATGCCCTAATGAGGAAAAGGCCCTAAAATATTTCAATCATGCAAGTGTATAGCCTTCTTATAAAAAAAAAAACATTACGAATAAAAGTCCTACCCTACTCCTGGTGTCCTCTCCCTTTCCAGAAGTAATTTTCATTCTCACACCGTGTGTCTTCTCACAGGTGGTTTTCTTTGCATTTACATTCACGGGCGTATGCCTATAGAGAACGTGGAGTGCTTTGTGTATTTGGAGGGCAGGGGATGTGGGCAAGCCATATAAATGTTATTATACTCTATATTTCTTTCTGCAACTTACATTTTTCAAGTGACAGGATGTCTTAAGGCTCTTTCTATGTCAGTACATGCAGCTCCACCGTGTTCTTTTTCATCACTGGTCGGCTTGGCTTTTAGGGATACCAACCCAGTAATTCTAACAGAAATGATGGATGTGGTTCTGTGGAGCCAAGTGAGGGGTGGAGTGAGGTGGCAGGACCCAACACAAGTTGGGAGAAGGTGAATGATGTAACCCAAGGACAAATAAAGAAGGTGCATGTCCTGCCTATTTTTCTTCCTAGTAAAGCAGTATCTCCCTATATAGATTACTGCTGAGTCTGAGGTAGACAGGGAATGGTGTTATATTTTATCTTAAATCTTAATTCCATAAATAGTTATAGTATCTGAAAAAGGTTGTAGTGACTTTTCTGTGCTAAGAGGGATCCTTTAATGTAGTGGGCTCAGACAACGAAGGTTTTTTGTTTTGTTTATTTTTTAAGAAACAGGGGTCTCACTTGTCACCCAGGCTGGAGTACAGTGGTGTGATCATAGCTCACTGTAGCCTCGAACTCTGAACTCCTGGGCTCAAGTGATCCTCCTGCCTCGGCCTCCTGAGTCATTAGGACAGTAGGCGTGCACCACCATGCCTGGCTATCAAACAATCAAGGTTGATTTCTTCCTCATATCTTATGTCCTTTGCGAGTTGGCAAGAGCTACTCATTGTGGTTATTTGTGGGCCTGAGCTGATGCAGCTGCCCCCATCTTGTGCTAATCATAGTGCCAGAAGCAAAAAAAAAAAAATTGCACATTGATAAATTAAGCAGTGATGGCTAAAAGCCTCCTACCCAAAGCAACACATTCTGTTTCTGCTCATGTTTCATGAGTTAAAGCCTGTAACTTCAAAGGGGTAGGGAAGTGTAATCCTACCAGGTGTCTAGGAGAAGAACCTGAACTGTTTGATGAACTGAATACTTCTACCACTGTGTTGGTTTTCAAGGAAGGGGTGGGAAAGTCTTTGAAAACTCTCCTGTGACCCATAAAGTTATATCCTAGAAGCCAATCCTTTCTGTGTTCATAAAATCACTGGCCTTTTCCTGTGGCCGCCAAGGTTGCAGAGAGCAGAGCTGTTTGGGAACTCACTTCAAGAAGTGGTCAGAGCTTGAGGAGGGAGGGTCAGGACAGGAGCAGAGGCAGATGGCATGGCACTGGGCCAGGTTCCATATGACCTGGGTGCCAGCAAAGCTGGCCTTGGTTTTGCTTATGCTTGTATTTGTTACCAACCTATATAGCAAGTATCACAGTAGAAAAACTTACAGAATGGCCTGACTACACAGAGCTCACTGTTGAAAAACGCTGGGTTGTAACTCTAAGATAGCATCTGCTACATTGCTAAAGAATGTTTTATAACAGGGCTTAGATCTGTTAGGAATCTTAGCTGCTACTGTTGCAACACCAATTTATGGAAAGCTGTGTTATTTATTTTGAAATATAAACATGAAAAAAAAAAAGAGCGAATAATGATTCCCAACAATTGGGTGCCTGAAGAAAGAGTGAAATCATGAGGCCAGTGTTGATGATGGGAAATGACTTTCTTGAGGTTTCTGTTCTCAATCTGGCCCCATCAGTTGGGATGGAGTCTAGTCTTGTCTGCTCATGCTGGGAGGAAGGCGCTCATAGTCACAATGGAGCAGGGAAACCTCTGCTGGGTGATTCTGCACAGCATGAAGCTCCTGCTAAATGGATCATGTTTGCTAGTGTTTTTTAGGCTGCAGAGAACAGGGGCACACTGAGGCTATGTTCATGGGGGTTTATTATAAAGATACACAAAATAAGGGAAGCCGTGGCTGGTGGCCTCAGCTGTGGGCAGCCAAACCCACACCTCCTGTGGGTTTTTGGGACTCAGCATCTCTCTAAATGTCTCAAATTCAAACTCCCTGAGAGAGGAGCTCTAACTGGGTCTCCCTGTCACCTGCCATTACAGAGGGCTGCAGGGGAGCAGACACGTCTGTGATCATGCTGGCTGGAGCCCAAGGAAGCCCTTGAGAGCCACGGCACCCCCCTGTCTCTCTCTGCTCATTTCTGCTTCCACACATTCACCATACTTGTGATTCCTTGTTCTGTGTCTGTCTGTCCTGCCCAGTTGTAAACTCTGTGAGGGCAGGGAGCTACTTGACCTCTGTGTGCCTCAGTTTCCTCATGTGTAAATTGGCGGTAACAATGACCCCTGGCACCTAGGGTTGTTGCAAGGATTGAGATAACAGAAATTAGTAAATGATTCGCTCATTACTGAGTGCCAGCCCTGGCCTAGGCATTTTGTGCATATTAACTCACTTAATCCTTACAGCAACATTTTGAGGTGGAACTCTTACCTTGAGGCAATCACGGCACAGAAAGGCTGGCTAACTTGCTAACAAGTGATGGTCCTTATAATCAGTGATCTTATAATAAAGTCCCATGAACAGACATAAACTGAGAGTGCCCCTGTTCCCCACAGCCTAAAATCACCAGCAAACATGGTCCATTTAGCAGGAACTTCCCTCTAATTTGCTCATGAGTCAGAATTTGAACACTGCTGTCTCTAGAGATCCCAGACACCACAGATTTCACCCTTATGTTGTCCTGCCTCTCACCATGTGTATAAAGCCTTAACATCCATGCTGATGCCCTAGTACAACACTTGGTGTTAGCTATTATCAGACTAGGCCCTGCTGGGGCCCTTGCACGTTGCAGGGCCGGACATGAGGAAGTGCTCAGTGGATCTCTGTAGAAGGAATGAACAGCTGCAACCTCATGGAGTTGTCCCACCACTCTCTGCCCCTGCCCACCCCCTTGCAGCTATCCCACGGGTCACGCTGATGGTAGAGCACTGTCATGTGCCTCGCAGCTGGCAGAGGCTGCTGGGCAAGGTGTCCAGGTTTGCTTTAGCAGTTCAGGCAGGCATGGCCGGGCCGAGGAAAGGGAGACCATTTGCCATTATCTTTGAGCCTCCCTTTGGCACGTGGAATTTCTCAGATGCAGAGCTTTAAAGCAGCAGAGTGGCAGGTGAGTTCTTACCCTTCTTTATAAGAGAAAAACCAGGGAAAGCAAAACATTCTGCTTTCTAGAAGCCAAGTCATCCAGAAGCCAGCTTCTGCAGCTCCAAAGAGGGCCTTAGCAGTTACAAAGAAACACAAGATAACGGTAAGAGAACAACAAAAACATGGTGTAATGCCAAACATGCAAAAAGTCAGTGTGGGCGCAAATGCATGCAGAGAAAAGCTGAAAGGAAGTGCTCCAAAATGAGAATAGTGGTTATTGCATGTGGATAATAGGGAACTTAATTTATTCCTCTAATTTTTTTTTTTGCATTTCCCAAGTTTTCTACAGTGAGCAGGTATTGTTTTATACTTACAGAAAAAGTTATTAAAACATAGAAAGGTACATGTGGAGAACATCTTTATAAAATGTTTTTTTTTTTTTAATCTTAGCATCTCAGTTATAAGAAATGCACATCTCCGCTCAAGGTCCCCTGGGACAGTGCAAGGAAAGAAAGAAGCCTGCGGTGAAAGTGACACTGAGTGAGTGTGTATCTGTGGTTTCTCTGGGGCCACCCCAGGATTCAGGGACAGAGTCCTGGTTGCTCTCCAGGAGGTGAGACTCCTTTCTAGGTCAATCATTTCCTGAGGGGTCCTGGTGACCTCACGAGATATTAATATAATATAGTTCGGTTAGTACCCATTTCTGTTTCCCAGCTTATGAACACTTCCTGTTGCTCATCATTTTTGTTTTTGTCTTGGGATCATTTTTTTTCTACCTGAAAAACTCTATTTAGTGTTCATTTTAGTGCAGATACGGTAGCAACAAAGTCTCAGTTTTTGTCTGGAAAAACTTTATTTTGCCTTTCCTTAAAAGAAAATCAATTTCATGGAAGTGTAATTTCATACAATAACATTCACAGATTTCAAGCATATGGGTTGCTGACTTTTGACAAGTCGTATGTATCTATATGTATATTCATATATATACATACACACACATATGTGACTGTATACAAGGGAGAGAGCAAGCATGCAATCAAGACACAGAACATTTCTATCTCCCCAGAAATTTTCCTTATTCCTCTTTGCAGTCAATTTCTCCCCCACTCCCATCTGCCCCCTGCCTCAGGAAACCATTGATCTGATTTCTAGATCAGATTTTCAGAATCATATGCATGAAATCTTTTTTTTTTTTTTTTTGAGATGGAGTCTCACTCTGTCACCCAGGCTGGAGTGCAATGGTACGATCTTGGCTCGCTGCAACCTCCGCCTCCCGGATTCAACCAATTCTCCTGCCTCAGCCTCCCTAGTAGCTGGGATTACAGGTGTGCACCACGATGCCCTGCTAATTTTTGTATTTTTCGTGGAGACAGGGTTTCACAATGTTGGCCAGGCTGGTCTCGAACTCCTGGCCTCAAGTGATCCACCTGCCTTGGCCTCCCAAAGTGCTAGGATTACAAGCGTGAGCCACTGCACCCAGCCCTAAGTACTCTTTTGAGTCTGGCTTCTCTCACTCAGTGTAGTATCTGTGACACTCATTCATGATGGATTCTTGTTTCATTGGCATTTATTGTTGAATTGTGTTCTACTGTATGAATATGCTATACTTTGTCAATCCATTCACCAGCAGTTGTCCTCTGTGTGAGCTACAAGTTATTCTATTATAGCCAGGACTGGAAGTCCCTTGTTTAAAAAGAAAAAACAGCAAAAAAAAAAAAAAAACCCATCAGAACCCCTGATTCTTTTCAAAAGGCGGGTTTCTAGAAGGGGAAGTTACTAAATAGAAAGTTTTCAGAGTCTGTTGACACATATTGTGTCAAAGGACTTTCCAGAGACTTCCACAGATTTACATTTCCACCAGTGGTATAGGAGAGTCCTGACTCACCAAACATCAACAGCATTTTTGTATCTTACTCTCTATCTTTGCAAGGATGCAAAGCTGCAAAATTGTATGCAGCAGTGAAGAGAATTTTACATTGAGTATAAACCAGTAGGTCCAGTGTGTATTTTCTTCCTGAGTTTGCAGAATTTTCAGTGACCTCACGTCTTTAACCTCTGTCTCACTGAGTTGCCGATGAAACTGATCTGAAAAGCCAATTAAGATCATTCCTGGCCAGGCACGGTGGCTCACACCTGTAATCCCAGCACTTTGGGAGGCCGAGGTGGGTGGATCACGAGGTCAGGAGATCAAGACCATCCTGGCTAACACGGTGAAACCGCGTCCCTACTAAAAATACAAAAAATTAGCTGGGCATGGTGGCAGGTGCCTGTAGTCCCAGCTACTTGGGAGGCTGAGGCAGGAGAATGGCGTGAACCCGGGAGGCGGAGCTTGCAGTGGGCCAAGATTGTGCCACTGCACTCCCGCCTGGGTGACAGAGCGAGACTCCGTCTCAACAACAACAACAACAACAACAAAGATCATTCCTGGCATCAGTATTTCAAATGGAAGGGCAGCAGGCAGGAACTCTGATGTCTCAACACCCTAGCTTTTAGTGATTGCCCTGGAGTGGCACTGTCCACTTGAGTAGCCCCTGGCCGCATGTGGCTCTTGAGCACTGGAAATGTGGTTGATCCAAACTGAGATGTGCGATTAAAACACATGCCAGGTTTCCAAGCCATAGTATGAAGAAAAAGAATGTAAACTATCTCATTAATAAATTTTTTGTTGATGGGCTGGGTGCAGTGGCTCACACCTGTAATCCCAGCACTTTGGGAGGCTGAGGTGGGAGGATCACTTGAGGCCAGGAGTTCAAGACCAGCCTGGGCAATATGATGAAACCCTGTCTCTACTAAAAATACAAAAAGTAGCCAGGCATGGGGGTGTGCACCTGTAATCCCAGCTACTTAGGAGGCGGAGGCAGGAGAATTGCTTGAACCTGGGAGGCGGAGGCTGCAGTGAGCCGAGATTGCGCCACCGCACTCCAGCCTGGGCGACAGAGTGAGTGAGACTTCATCTCAAAAAATAATAATAAATAAATTTTGTATGGATGACATACTGAAATATTTTGAGTGTATTAGAATTAAAATATATCATTGAAATTAATTTCACCTGTCCATTTTTACTTTTATTAGTGTGGCTATTAGAAAGTTTTAAATTACTAGGAAAGCTGTGTCATATTTCAATTCAACAGAGCTGCTCTATGGTCTCCTTTTTCCCTTTGAAGATCCGCCATCCTGCAATCCCTGCTTCCTTTTCACCAGAGCAGCTTCCCTGAATCTTCTCCTGGAGGCTCTGCAGACCTTTTCTTTAGTTTGGAAGATCACATTGCAGGAGGGGACTTGGGCACTGGTTTCTGTGAGGAGCCCGGAGTGGTGAATTGCCCCTGGGATTCCCTTACCCTGGAAACTAACCCTCTCTGAGGGCAGAAAGCTAGAAAGAAGAGCGGTTGAGAGGAAATGCCTGTGCAACCCCCAGCTCCCTTCGGGGCTCCCTCACTGCCCACAGGCTCTACCCCCACCTGCCTTTGCCTCAGGAGATGGCTTTTGGTGGTGGACTCACCCTCCTCCGATCTCCTCTGCTTCATTTTTCCACTTGGTGATCCATCTTTTGTTCTGCGGTGTGTCCTGTTTTCTGGCTGCCTCCATTAGCTTGGTTTTTTCCTTTGGGTATCCCTGGAGCTGTCTTACCAGGATCTCCAACTTCAGTCCCCATTGGTCTGCACCACTGGCCTGGGAAAGCTCCACCCAGGAGAGCAGACCCAGCTCCCAGATACCTGGCCCCAGCCCAATCTCCGTCCTCTCTTTGCCTGGAAGAGAGGACCAGACCGTCTTCATCAACTGGACCCACCCTTTACCAAGCAAAGAAAGGAAAGGATTGCCCCCCAGGGCCAGCAGATCTCTGGCTGTCTGGTGTTTCTGGTAATAAGTGCCCATGAACTTCGAATTGATCTCCAGTCTCCCATGGTATGGTTTTGGTCTACCCTTAGATTCTGTTTACCAAGGCAGAGTTCAGTTTCTCTGCTTTCCCTTCCAACATCCATACCTTGTTAAGTTCTTGCTGAATTGAGCTAACTCTGCACACCTGATTAAATCTTCAGCCAGGGCTCTGGACATTATAAAGCAGCCTCCTTGCCAGATGGCTGTCATATAATATATTGCTTTATTTAGGTGATTGTAAGTCAGGAGACTTTCCTTCGGTTTCTGCCTTTGATGGCAAGAGGTGGAGATTGTGGCGGCGATTACAGAAAACATCTGGGAAGACAAGTTGCTGTTTTTATGGGAATCGCAGGCTTGGAAGAGACAGAAGCAGTGAGTAAAACGGGCCCCTCGTGGTAGGCGGGCAAAGGTCGGGAAAGGAGGGATGAAGGAAGCTGTGCAACACCCCTTCCCAGCTTTCTAAAGAATGGAGCATGGCATTGCAAAATGCTGAATCACAAAGTGAGAAGTGACTTCTTTCCAGTTTTCTCTCAGCCTTGTGATGATCTTAAAGAGAAAGTCTCAATTCTGTGCTACTGTGTCTTTAACATCTCTCAAATGCTTCCGAGAGAAAACAGGCCCCAACCCTGGAGCCTTTCCAGGCAGCAGGACTAGCTGGAATACAGTAACATTGTGGTATTTCTGGTGAATTAATTTTTGTGTTACTTTCTATGTATTGCAAAGGATATTTTTTTTCTGTTTCTAATGGTGACATTACATTCCTTTAAAATTATTAGAGTTTTCAAAACTCAATTGAAAGCAAAAGGTTAAGCAAATAAAGGACAGGTGTGACTCAATTATGGCAAGAACAACAAAAAAGTGACTATGGTGGGGACGTTGAACATTTAGAAAACACTGTCCTAAAAGAAGAAGGTACAGAGAGTAGTCTGATACCTGGGAGTACTAGATTTTAAAATTATTCTCTTGCCAATTTTATTCATTCATTCACCATGTGCCACAATAATTTTTTTAAGTCTTTCTTTGATTTTGCAGATTCCAGAAATAAATTGGAAATTGAAGATTTAAACAATGTTGTTTTAAAATATTCTAACTTCAAAGAATGATGCCAGAAACTTAAAAAGGTATTATTAACTGCTAATTTAAATTTAATATTGTCAGCTGGTATGCTTTAAATGAACCGATTTTCTAAAGCTAAGGATCCTAAAGTGGGTCATAGAATTGACTGCCATGGAAAATAGCCGGGTGTGGTGGCTCACACCTGTAATCCAAGCACTTTGGGAGGCCGAGGTGGGCAGATCACTTGAGGTCAGGAGTTCAAGACCAGCTTGGCCAACGTGGTGAAACCCTGTCTCTACTAAAAATACAAAAATTAGCTGGGCATGGTGGCACCCGCCTGTAGTTCTAGCTACTCGGGTGGCTGATGCAGGAGAATTGCTTGAGCTCAGGAGGCAGATGTTGCAGTGAGCCGAGATTGTGCCACTGCACTCCAGCCTGAGCCACACAGTGGGACTCTGTCAAAAAAAAAAAAAAAAGAAAAGGCTGGATTAGTATTTAATAACTTTTATTGGAACAATAACTAATATTTTCATACCTTTAAATTTTTTTGGTGAGGATCTCTTGCCCTTCTGTTGCTGATAATTTTAAATTTTACTCTTTCCTGCTCTATCATTTGGATTCTAAAAAGAAAGCTATTGTGTGGGGTCTGGCATTTGATAGGTTAAAAAAAGAAAACATAGAAGCATGTCAAAGAGCAGGAGACTCATGTGCCACTTGGTGGAAAAAAAATTGAGAACCACTGGACCTGAATGTTAACAGATGTGGCTTGTGAAACATATTAATGATGTGGATAGTGTTAAAAGATCTATGAGCTTTTTTTTGAACTACAAAAAAACCTTTTTTTTACTCTCTCTCTGAAATGCATGAGTTTTCCTGCCTAGACAAACGACAAAGTGGCCAATTCCAGGCCTTTCCACTTCCAAGATCATTTTACACACGCAAGTATTCCTGGACAAGAAGAGGCTGAAGGATCTTCTGTGGGATTTTTTTAAAAAATTATTATTTTTTGCTGTTATTGTTACAAGGAAGGTAGTGAGTGCAATTTTGGGATAACTCAGATGAACCCAAATGTTTTTTAATGCCCAAATAAAATAGCCTGGGTCCCTGTTCCTACCCAGACAAGAAACTCAGCACTTGTACCAGGTTTTCAAGGGTTTCCAGAGAGATACCTCTCTTGGGAATCTAATCCCAGGAACTCTGTGCCGGCTCTCCCTCTTCCTCCTGCCCCTCTGCCCTCCCTCTGTCCCACTTCATGCCACATGGGCTATTGCTTTTCCCTCCTTTCCCAGGGTGCTTGTGTATAACAGACTTTGCTGAAGGTCAAGGACACGGGGGAAGAGGTTATAGCACAACCCAAAATGGGCAACAGTGACTGAGACATCACCGTCCGCAGGTTCCTTGCCTCTGGCTACCACAGGAGACTTCATGCTGCTGTCTCTCTTCTCAGGCTATTTTGTGCTGAGACCGTCTCCCACCAAACCCCACAGGTCTTTCTTTCTCAGTTCTGGGCCTGTTCCCTGCTTGGGGAATGCAGAAACCTCCAAGCCCTGTTAACCTTATTATGTAAAATAAACACCTTTCCATCTCTATCCCAGTATAGGATCAAAGCACACTTTTGCTTTATAGTAATAATAAAGATGTTTTGATTTAAAAATAAAAAAGAGTTGGCTATCTCTGGTCACCTACCCTAGAGATGTAACCCTCAAGTGCAAACAATTAAATTATGATTTTTTTTCTTTAATGCATCTAAGATAAAAGTTTTTTTAGAGACAGGGCCTTGCTCTGTCACCCAGGCTGGAGTGCAGTGGTGTGATCATCGTTCACTGCAGCCTTGAACTCTTGTGCTCATGTGATCCTCCTGCCTTAGCCTCCCCAATAGCTGGGACTACAGGTGCGCCACCATGCCTGGCTAATTTTTTTTATTTTTGTAGAGATGGGTGTCTCACTATGTTGCACAGGTTGGTCTCAAACTACTGGCCTTACTTCAAGCTATCTACCCATCTCAGCCTCCCAAAGCGCTGGGATTACAGTCATGAGCCAACTTGCCTGGCCAGATAAAGGTCTTAAGCATGGTTCCTTCCTGCTCTAGGTAGAGAAACCCCACAACCAGTGGGAGGTGGGGTGAGCTCTTTCTGTAGCTTTTGCTTTGCTGATGATGTCATTGATCTCTTCAGGGGCTGCGCAGAGTAGCAGGGGCCCTGGAGGGCGCGGCCTGAATCCTGATTGCCCTTCTGCTGAGAGGACACACGCAGCTGAAGATGAATTTGGGAAAAGTAGCCGCTTGCTACTTTAACTATGGAAGAGCAGGGCCACAGTGAGATGGAAATAATCCCATCAGAGTCTCACCCCCACATTCAATTACTGAAAAGCAATCGGGAACTTCTGGTCACTCACATCCGCAATACTCAGTGTCTGGTGGACAACTTGCTGAAGAATGACTACTTCTCGGCCGAAGATGCGGAGATTGTGTGTGCCTGCCCCACCCAGCCTGACAAGGTGCCCCGGGGACAGGGACGGGCATGGCATTGTGTGGACCCCGGGAGCTAGAAGAGGCCTCTCCCTGCTGATCTGAGTGAAGAGCGTGGGAGTTTAGTCCAGCGGGCAGGGCTGCATTTTGGGGTACTAATAGCACACAAATGCCTGGGTTAGCAGGTTGCACAGTCAGGTATTTTACTTCTGTGTTTGTGTCTGGAGCAAACCCTGACATCTCAGTTCTCATTGCTGTGTGTATTGGTTCCCAGACACTTCATTTTTAGATCCCCTTTAAATTAGGAGGGAAAAAGAACATAAGCATAAGAGCATCCCCAGCAGCGATGTTCATTCAGTGCCTCTGAAGGCTGGAGGGCTGCTTGTTGCTGGGTGAGACTCGGAGGGGAACCGACTCAGGGTCAGGAATGATGACATCCCACGGTGGGTCCACAGTGAAGAATCTTCCCCGCTCCACTGTGGGACGCCTTAACAGCCCTTACTTCCACTTACGCTTTGCGTTATCTCCTGAAAAATAAAATGGAGACCACAAATTCCTTCTTGGTTAGAGGAATGACACAACTCATTTATGACATGACCCCGCTGGGACTCAGAAGAGACCAGGACGGTTTCTGGGGGAAGCAGTAGCACACTCGTGTGCTTTGTTCTCTTCTCTTGATTTGTTTTCCCACATTTTTAACAAGAAAAAAAGCCGTTTTTAATATATGGCCTATCGCCCTCCTACTGTGTGGCCCAGGTGCCTACCTCATTATGCCCAAGGGGTGGTTCTCACCTCTCCACTCTCATTCCTGCACAGCAGTTGTGTCAGGTTAAGAGGGACAAGGAGAAGGCTGGGCACCGTGGCTCACGCCTGTAATCCCAGCACTTTGGGAGGCCGAGGCAGGCAGATCACCTAAGGTCAGGAGTTTGAGACCAGCCTGGCCAACATGGGGAAAACCCGTCTCTAATAAAAACACAAAAATTAGTCGGGCATGGTGGTGGGTGCCTGTAATCCCAGCCACTTGGGAGGCTGAGGAAAGAGAATTCCTTGAACCTGGGAGGTGGAGGTTGCAGTGAGCCAAGATTGTGCCATTGCACTCCAGCCCTCCAGCCTGGGTGACAGAGCAAGACTCTGTCTCAAAAAAGAAAAAAAAAAAAAAGAGGTAGAGAAGTCCATGGCTATTTGTCTGTCCTTTTTATTTTTAGGCTCATGGAAGCCTCCTGGTTTCTTAGAGCTGAGTGGTTTTATTTCTTGCTCAGGAGGTCATTTCACAGATTTTCGGGCTCCAATATGTTGACTGTCACAGCAGCTGGGGGGATGGCATAGCTACCGGCTGTACTAAGAACTCAGAGCCCTGCCCTGAGCCTGCCTGAGGGTCCTTATGGTAGGAGGATGCCCCTCATGCCAGCCCGTGCCCTCATGCTTGTGTCACCTCCAGGTCCGCAAAATTCTGGACCTGGTACAGAGCAAGGGCGAGGAGGTGTCCGAGTTCTTCCTCTACTTGCTCCAGCAACTCGCAGATGCCTACGTGGACCTCAGGCCTTGGCTGCTGGAGATCGGCTTCTCCCCTTCCCTGCTCACTCAGAGCAAAGTCGTGGTCAACACTGACCCAGGTAGGAGTCAGCCCCAGCAAGACCGCAGGCACCAGTGCAAGCAGGGCCCTGGGGGGTTTGGTAATGGCTGGGCCAGCCCTGAGTGCCACCTCAGGAAGCAGGCCCAGGTGCTATTTTGATTTTAGAAAGGAACAGCTGAATCCTGTCTCCCAAGTGCAGCCCAGGTGGCTGCGATTGAACTGCCCACACCTCGATGGTCTGGTTTATAGAGGGGCCTTTGGAAGTATGGGAATGGCCTGTGTTCTGACCCCTTGCTTTCTTCCTATTCTGACATATGTAGACATTTTAATGGTTGCACAAATTCAAGGTTGTATTTTTTTTTCTTTTAAAAAAATCTTTAGCTGGACATGGTAGCACACACCTGTAGTTCCAGCTACTCAGGAGGCTGAGGCAAGAGGACTGCTTGAGCCCCAGAGTCTAAGGCTGCAGCGAGCTATGATTGTGCCCCTACACTCCAGCCTGGGTGACAGAGTGAGACCCTGTCTCTAAAAAAGGAAAGAAAAAAATTAAAAAGCCTTGCCAGGTTTGATTCTAGGCAAAGTATTCTGTCACCGTTGAGTGCCAGTCCTTATTTCCAAACTAATGGAAGACCCCATCAGTTAACTGATTAGTTCAATAAGTATTTTTTGCTGTATCCACCACATGCCAAGACCCTACACTGTGCTGGATGTCAGGGAGACAGTGGTGAGCAGACACAGACAGGGTTCCTGCCCTCAGGGAGCTTCAAGTCAGCTGGAAGAGACCACCAGTCAGCAATCTCAAAAATGTGTCAGGACAGCGGCAGTCCAAGGCATGTGAGAACATATCATTAGGGCCAGGATCTGCTCTGGGGCAGGAGTCTTCTTTCCCTGCTTTTGAACTCTCCACTTTGAGACAGCTGTTGGTAACATACCAGCACCAAGGACCTAAGTCCTGCCTTTTAAAGAATCCAATATGTTGTTGGAAACAGAAGCACAAGACAGGTGTGTGCTTAGGGGAAACAAGGCCAGCCGGCAGAGTGTCAGTGCTAGGCTCCAGCTTCCACAGCCCCTGCAGGTGCCTGCCAGCCACTGCTAGCTTCTGACTCTGTCTGCTCCTTCCTGTCTCCCCTTGTTTCCTTCCCCCATGAAAAAAAAAGAAAGTATTCCCATGAGGAATCATTCTTTCGAAAGACTTCTCTGTTGGTTCCGTTAGCCAGCTACTTTACTAGCTTTTACAGTGTAATTCACTCTACAAGCAGTCTCACACAAAAGACTACATATTGTATGATTCTGTTTATATGAAATGTCCAGAAAAGGTAAATCTATAGACAAAGCAAATCAGTAGTTGCCTACGGCCCAGGGATTGGCTACAAATAGGCTCCAGAAAACTCTGGGAAGATGGTAGAGATGTTCTAGACCTGGACTGTGGTGAGGTTTGCACAACTTTGTAAACTTACTAAAAATTACTGACAAATATATAACACTCCCTAACACTTTGGGAGGCCGAGGTGGGCAGATCGCTTGAACCCAGGAATTTGAGACCAGCCTGGGCAACATGGCGAGACCCCGTCTCTACAAAAAAACACAAAAATTAGTTGGGCTTGGTGGCATATGCCTGTGTCCCAGCTACTTGGGAGGCTGAGGTGGGAGGATTGCTTGAGCCTGGGAGTTTGAGACTGCATGATTGGGTCACTGCACCCTAGCCTGAGTGACAGAGCAGGACCCTATCTCTAACAACAAAAAAGCAGTGTTGGTGGAGGAGGGCCAGCGTGGCCATCTGGCCTGGCCCTCGAGTGCGAGGGGCTTCAGTGTTTAGCTGCAGTTCAGTGATGACACTGTGCGGAGGAATAAGGGTGGCCTGTCTCAGACACTGATCCCAGCTGAAGTTTGTCACCTTCTTTCTGGCAAATCTGAGGTCAAGCAGAGAGATCAAAGCCTGGGGCCCTCAGGGTCAGGAATGCTGGCTCTGTGACGCTCCCCAGGTCCTGCATCTGAGGAGTGGCTGCGCTGGCCTCAGGGCCCAGGTTGTGAATTTTGTTTATGCACTCGCCTCTCCTCTTTGAGACCTCCCTGTTTGATGCTGTTTCTGCCTCTCTCCTCACCCTGCTGCTGTGCCCTGCCACCCCCTCCCTCCAGTGAGCAGGTATACCCAGCAGCTGCGACACCATCTGGGCCGTGACTCCAAGTTCGTGCTGTGCTATGCCCAGAAGGAGGAGCTGCTGCTGGAGGAGATCTACATGGACACCATCATGGAGCTGGTTGGCTTCAGCAATGAGAGCCTGGGCAGCCTGAACAGCCTGGCCTGCCTCCTGGACCACACCACCGGCATCCTCAATGAGCAGGGTGAGACCATCTTCATCCTGGGTGATGCTGGGGTGGGCAAGTCCATGCTGCTACAGCGGCTGCAGAGCCTCTGGGCCACGGGCCGGCTAGACGCAGGGGTCAAATTCTTCTTCCACTTTCGCTGCCGCATGTTCAGCTGCTTCAAGGAAAGTGACAGGCTGTGTCTGCAGGACCTGCTCTTCAAGCACTACTGCTACCCAGAGCGGGACCCCGAGGAGGTGTTTGCCTTCCTGCTGCGCTTCCCCCACGTGGCCCTCTTCACCTTCGATGGCCTGGACGAGCTGCACTCGGACTTGGACCTGAGCCGCGTGCCTGACAGCTCCTGCCCCTGGGAGCCTGCCCACCCCCTGGTCTTGCTGGCCAACCTGCTCAGTGGGAAGCTGCTCAAGGGGGCTAGCAAGCTGCTCACAGCCCGCACAGGCATCGAGGTCCCGCGCCAGTTCCTGCGGAAGAAGGTGCTTCTCCGGGGCTTCTCCCCCAGCCACCTGCGCGCCTATGCCAGGAGGATGTTCCCCGAGCGGGCCCTGCAGGACCGCCTGCTGAGCCAGCTGGAGGCCAACCCCAACCTCTGCAGCCTGTGCTCTGTGCCCCTCTTCTGCTGGATCATCTTCCGGTGCTTCCAGCACTTCCGTGCTGCCTTTGAAGGCTCACCACAGCTGCCCGACTGCACGATGACCCTGACAGATGTCTTCCTCCTGGTCACTGAGGTCCATCTGAACAGGATGCAGCCCAGCAGCCTGGTGCAGCGGAACACACGCAGCCCAGTGGAGACCCTCCACGCCGGCCGGGACACTCTGTGCTCGCTGGGGCAGGTGGCCCACCGGGGCATGGAGAAGAGCCTCTTTGTCTTCACCCAGGAGGAGGTGCAGGCCTCCGGGCTGCAGGAGAGAGACATGCAGCTGGGCTTCCTGCGGGCTTTGCCGGAGCTGGGCCCCGGGGGTGACCAGCAGTCCTATGAGTTTTTCCACCTCACCCTCCAGGCCTTCTTTACAGCCTTCTTCCTCGTGCTGGACGACAGGGTGGGCACTCAGGAGCTGCTCAGGTTCTTCCAGGAGTGGATGCCCCCTGCGGGGGCAGCGACCACGTCCTGCTATCCTCCCTTCCTCCCGTTCCAGTGCCTGCAGGGCAGTGGTCCGGCGCGGGAAGACCTCTTCAAGAACAAGGATCACTTCCAGTTCACCAACCTCTTCCTGTGCGGGCTGTTGTCCAAAGCCAAACAGAAACTCCTGCGGCATCTGGTGCCCGCGGCAGCCCTGAGGAGAAAGCGCAAGGCCCTGTGGGCACACCTGTTTTCCAGCCTGCGGGGCTACCTGAAGAGCCTGCCCCGCGTTCAGGTCGAAAGCTTCAACCAGGTGCAGGCCATGCCCACGTTCATCTGGATGCTGCGCTGCATCTACGAGACACAGAGCCAGAAGGTGGGGCAGCTGGCGGCCAGGGGCATCTGCGCCAACTACCTCAAGCTGACCTACTGCAACGCCTGCTCGGCCGACTGCAGCGCCCTCTCCTTCGTCCTGCATCACTTCCCCAAGCGGCTGGCCCTAGACCTAGACAACAACAATCTCAACGACTACGGCGTGCGGGAGCTGCAGCCCTGCTTCAGCCGCCTCACTGTTCTCAGGTGAGGCTGCCAGGCAAGGGGAGCAACAGGTGGGCCGGGCGGGCCAGGCTCGGAGGGCATCGGGAATGGCATCATGGACCAGGATCCCCCAGGACTCATGACCATGGCCCTTGGAATGTCCAGACCTTTTCTTTCTTAGCAGGGCAGAGGTCAAGGTGCAAAGCTTCGAGGCAGGTGGACCTGGATCAGCCACAGCTGGGTGCCCTTGAACAAAGTGCTTAACTCTCAGAGCCTCCACGCCCTCATCTGGAAAAAGAAGATGCTCATAATCCTATCAATTATGGCCACAGGGACCAATGTTAGTTGAGAATGGGTGAAGTGCATTACAAATATTACCTAATGGAATGCTCTTTACAACCCTGTAACTTAGGTACTGTTATTGTCTCTATTTTGGCAGATAAGGAAGTAGAGGCACAGAGAAGTTAATAGCTTGCTTTAGGTCACACAGCTCAGACATAGCAGTGCCAGAATGCATAAAGAACCTTCCTTTTAAGATTAATGTAAGGCTCCGAGATAGCCCTCAAAAAGTTTCTGGAATATGGGAGCTTTTATTACTGCAGAGAAAGCAGACCTTGTGCCAGTTGGCACTGGTGACTTTCTGTGATCAACGCTAGCAGCCCTTCACACTGCTAGAGACCTCAGTTAAAATGCTGACTCGTGGTTGTTTTCCTGTTCCATAGTTTACGGGAAACAGAGCCCAGTCTGTTTTCTTCTATTAGCATTTCCTATGTAAAATAAACCTTGTAAATCTCTACAGGGGGTTAAATTTGCCATTACTTGACTCATGCATTTCTAAAAAGCAGTAGGGATTTGGAACTGACTCCCAGTGCCTGTCACACCAGTGTCAGAGTGTAAATAATTGCATGGGGACATGGGGTGCAGGGGGTCGAAGGCTGCCCTAGCCTGGGAATTGGAAAACCTGGAGTCTGTTCTCTGTACTCTCAGCCAGTGACTCTCCCTCTGTAGCCCCAGGCAGTCTCACACTCAGTGCCACCCTCTGTCCATCTTTTTTTTTTCTCCCCCAAATGGAGTCCCGCTCTGTTGCCCAGGCTGGAGTGCAGTGGCGTGATCTCAGCTCACTGCAACCTCCGCCTCCTGGGTTCAAGCGATTCTCTTGCCCCAGCCTCCTGAGTAGCTGGGATTACAGGCACACGCCACCATGTCCGGCTAAGTTTTTTGTATTTTTAGTAGGACGGGGTTTCCCCATGTTGGCCAGGCTGGTCTTGAAATCCTGACCTCAGGTGATCCGCCCGCCTCGGCCTTCCAAAATGTTGGGGTTACAGGCATGAGCCGCCGCACCCGACCCCTCTGTCCATCTTTTCAATGGGAAACTCCACACCAGTGTGGTGGCCCTGCCCTTCCTGCTGTCCCCAGGTGAAGCTTTCCTTCACACCAGTGCAAGAAAAAACAGCTTGTAGGAAAGCAGAGGATATGGGTAACCACGGGAAGCACACTCAGTTCTCTGGCTGCATCAGTTAGGATTAGTTTTAGCTGAGAGCGAAAACCCCAAATGTTGGTGAGTTACAAGCTTATTTCTCTCATGTAAAAGTCTAGAGGTAGGTAGTTCAGGACTGGTATGGAGTCTCCATGACCCTCCGGAGCCCAGGCTCTCTTCTGCCTTCCTGTTCTGCCATCCTCACTACCCGGCTTTCCCATCTTGGCCCAAGAGGGCTGCTCAAACTCCAGCCATCTAGTCGACACTCTAGCTATCAGTAAGAAGGAAGGGCAAAGATTGAGAGCATGCCTCAATCTTTTAAGAACACTTCTTGGCTATTACTAATTATATTGCTGCTTAGATTTCAGAACTTAATGGTATGGGCAGAATTTAATGAGATGGGCCCAGCTAAAAGATGGGGGAATCTATTGCTAAGAAAGTATAGATATTGGGAATGTCTAGCAGCCTGTGCTGTCTTGGGCTGGCCATGCCATGTACATACACACTATTTCCCAGCACCAAGCTGGGGACTCTGAGGGAAAGGGTCCAGAGTGTCTGACTTGATCATTTTGATGTGGCCTAAAAATCAAGCTTTTAATTGTTCAGCCTTTTACTTGTTATCAAGGTCAGCTTGTGGGTCTAATTGGGCCCAAGGCTTGTGTTTCTAAGTAAAGTTTTATTGGAACGCAGCCATACCCATTTATTTACTTACTGGCTGCTTCACACTACACAGTTGAGTAGCTGTGACAGAGACCACATGGCCCACAGAGCCTAAAATATTTGCTGTCTGACACTTTACAGAATGACATGAGCAGTCTCCTTTGACAGTGGGACTCACAGCCTTTTCCAGTGACAAATCAGGGTTAGCCCATGTGTTTCTGGATGGGGGGAAGCTGTTGGCATTTTGGGTATAACAGTTCTTGTGAGACCTGTCCAGCATTTTGCAGGACACCTAACATCATTGGCCCTGCCTGCAAGATGACAGGGCACTCCCTCCTCCAGTCACAACCACTAAAAGCAGCCCCTGACATTTCCAAACCCATGCCCTCCACCATACGAGAACCAGGTACAGGGTCTGGCTGACACATAGGTCACACGCAAAGGGTGGATGTCAGAGGTGGCTGGCCTCACACGTCCTCCCTGTGTCCTTCACGGTCGTGTGAGGAGCCAGGGGCTGTGCTGCAGCCTCGCTCATGGGCTGGTGCAGGATGGGTCTGGCGGCCCCACGTTGGCCAGGCTTTGTAAGGGGCTATTTGGCTGATTGCTGTGGCCATTCTCCAGGGGCGTCTATACCTGAGAAAACTCCAGGGCCTGAAGGCTTCTGGATCTTTGTAAGATTAATGGTCCTTCATAATGAGTGCCTGCCCTGACTCGTAATTTTTTTGCTGTTTTATTTCAGACTCAGCGTAAACCAGATCACTGACGGTGGGGTAAAGGTGCTAAGCGAAGAGCTGACCAAATACAAAATTGTGACCTATTTGGGGTATGTCTTTCTCCAGAACACTGGGCCAACTACCTAGTAATAATACAGAGCTGCAGGGAATTCACATTCCCATAGGTCCCTGGATGATCGGCACGGATGGCCCAGGGCTGGGAAGAGCGCTGGCCCAGGAGTTGAGAGTCCTGGGTTCTCTTTGTGGCTCGGCCAGTCATGAAGTCTTGCTGAGCCTCAGCCTCCTCACCTGTAAAACTGGGATCCCAGTATAGGCAAGTAGGCTTACAACTGGTTATTGGGGGATGCAACGAGAATATAAGGGGATATATTTAATAAATGCTAGAATCCTGTTTACATATTAGTCTGGACTATTTTGGGTCCATAATCCCTCATCCAGAGCCTTTGGGGCAAGACCCGAATGGGGATTCTGAGTGCATGCTATGGCATGACGTGGCCGCAGGGGTCTAAGGCAGTGCCCCATTTTCAAACACTTTCATATTTCTCCCGCAGAATGTATGAAACAGTCAAACCAAGTGTGGTAAGAAAGACTATAAGTAGCTCCACATCAGTTGCCAAAAGAATTGTGAGAAACTTTGGGCATTCAGAGCCTTTGAGGTTTTGGAGTCTGAGAGAAGGGATTGCGGGCCAGCCCCACACAACTGGTGGCTCTGCAAGCTGGAGCAGTTGTTCAGTTTCTTGGGGCCTCAGTGGCCTTCGATGTTAATGAGGACATGGACGCAAACGACCCCGGGCCACACTCGGCTCCAGGGCTCTGTGTGGCTGTGGAACCCTGGAAGCCTGAGCTTAGCTGCCTTTCAACTTCCATCTGCTGTACTATTGAATTGGCATTGAGCGGTGAGATGGCTGAAAGGTAGACATCGAGAAGTTTTAATATTCAGAATCTTTTCTTCTCAAGACGCTGAATGTAATCTTAGTTGTAAATACCCATCACCTGCCAGTCACCGAGCACTCATGCACCAGGGCTTTGCGTTATGTCCTAAGATCCTCATAACCACCCTGCAAGGGGACTATCATCATTACCTCTGTATTACAGATGGAGAAACTGAGGCACAGAGAGGTAACGTGACTTGTCTCAGGCCATAAAGCTGGGGAAAGTAGTGGAGCTGGTTTTGAACCTGAGCTGTGAGACCTCAGAGCCCTAAACTCTGGTGCCTGTGTGTTCCCCTTTCAACCCAGACTTTGGAAATCAGTAGACACCATATGCTTCAAAAAACAGGGGCTATTAAAATGACATCAGGAGCCAGAAAGTCTCATGGCTGTGCTTTCTCTTGAAGTTTATACAACAACCAGATCACCGATGTCGGAGCCAGGTACGTCACCAAAATCCTGGATGAATGCAAAGGCCTCACGCATCTTAAGTAAGTGGGGTAGGCACCAGGTTCCTTAGTATATTCTCTTGATCACCCCCTTCTGTTGTTCAAAGATTAAATGTCACAGTAAAGAGCTTTCATCCTAAAGCCTTCCACTTGTCCCAGGGCCATGTTGGTCAAGTAAAGATACCTCTGTGTGATCTGTGAGGCTTGGATTCTGGAAGGGCCTCCCGTTATTGGTAGGGGGAAAGGTTGGCATTTTGATTTCATTAACTACTAGGCCGAAGAAAGGACTAACTCTCACCCTTTCTGGTGGTCTTTTTGCCCCAAGGGAGTTTCCTGTCGGGTTGCAAGGAAGAGCTTGGGCCCTTGCCCTGCTGTAGGTGTGCCCTGCGCAGGGGGTGACAGTGCGCCAGGCTTGGAGCCTCTGGTCCTGCCCTGACAGTGGCCACATACCTTGACCCTTGGCAGTCAAAGTGGGACCTCCCAGGTCTCCCGAGGGAAGTCAGTGATGCTGCTGAGGTCAATTAGAGGACCCCAGGGAGGGCTCAGGTCCCTGAGCTTCTGCAGAGACTGTGGACCATCTCCTGGAGAGGAACCCTGACTGACTGTCCTCAGGGCTTCAGTTCCCTCCCTGACAGGAGGCCCAGGCCATGGCTCTTGTGGATCCCAGAAGAAAGTGTACGGTTCCCAAGATGGGGCTGGAAGGGGCTCTGTGCTGGGGAGGAGGGTGACCCACATTGGAGCCCCTGCATAGCTGGAGGCTGACTGTGTGTGACTCTCTCTGCAGACTGGGAAAAAACAAAATAACAAGTGAAGGAGGGAAGTATCTCGCCCTGGCTGTGAAGAACAGCAAATCAATCTCTGAGGTTGGGTGAGTAGAAGGGGATGGATGTATGTGGTACAACCTGCTGTGTGTGTGGGGGGCGGGCCTTGCTGTTCTTTTCATACATCAGTACACCAGAAGGACCACTGGGGCTCGCTGTCGGGGAGAGATAGTGGAGAGCTTTCACCATGCTGCGAAACTGAAACCGTGCCCATTAAGCAATAACTCCCCGGTCCCCCTCCCCCCTGCCTCTTGCAGCCACCCTGCTACTTACTCTCTCTATGGTTTTGACTACTCTACCTCATGTAAGTGGAATCATACAGTATTTGCCTTTTGGGGATGGCTGATTTCACTAGCATCATGTCCTCAAGATTCGTCCACATGGAAGCATGGGACAGGATTTCCTTTTTTTTTTTTTTTTTTTTTTTTTTTGACAGAGTCTCGCTCTGTTGCCCAGGCTGGAGTGCAGTGGCATGATCTCGGCTCACTGCAACCTCTGCCTTCTGGGTTCAAGCGATTCTCTCGCCTCAGCCACACGAGTAGCTGGGATTATAGGCACCCGCCACCAATCCCAGCTAATTTTTGTATTTTTAGTAGAGGCGGGGTTTCACCATGTTGGCCAGGCTGGTCTCAAACTCCTGACCTCAAATGATCCACCCACCTCGGTCTCCCAAAGTGTCAGGATTATAGGCGTGAGCCACCGTGCCCCGCCAGGATTTCCTTCTTTTTTAAGGCTGAGTAATACTCCATTGCATGGCTATGCCACATTTTGTTTACTCATTCATCCAAGAACAGACACTGGCTTGCTTCTATGCTTTGGCTGTTGTGAATAATGCTGCTGTGCACATGGGCATACAAATGTCTCTTCAAGGACTGCCTTCAATTCTTTTTTTTTTTTTTTTTTTTTTTTAGATTCTTTTTTTTTTTATTATACTCTAAGTTTTAGGGTACATGTGCACATTGTGCAGGTTAGTTACATATGTATACATGTGCCATGCTGGTGCGCTGCACCCACTAATGTGTCATCTAGCATTAGGTATATCTCCCAATGCTATCCCTCCCCCCTCCCCCGACCCCACCACAGTCCCCAGAGTGTGATATTCCCCTTCCTGTGTCCATGTGATCTCATTGTTCAATTCCCACCTATGAGTGAGAATATGCGGTGTTTGGTTTTTTGTTCTTGCGATAGTTTACTGAGAATGATGGTTTCCAATTTCATCCATGTCCCTACAAAGGATATGAACTCATCATTTTTTATGGCTGCATAGTATTCCATGGTGTATATGTGCCACATTTTCTTAATCCAGTCTATCATTGTTGGACATTTGGGTTGGTTCCAAGTCTTTGCTATTGTGAATAGTGCCACAATAAACATACGTGTGCATGTGTCTTTATAGCAGCATGATTTATACTCATTTGGGTATATACCCAGTAATGGGATGGCTGGGTCAAATGGTATTTCTAGTTCTAGATCCCTGAGGAATCGCCACACTGACTTCCACAATGGTTGAACTAGTTTACAGTCCCACCAACAGTGTAAAAGTGTTCCTATTTCTCCGCATCCTCTCCAGCACCTGCTGTTTCCTGACTTTTTAATGATTGCCATTCTAACTGGTGTGAGATGATATCTCATAGTGGTTTTGATTTGCATTTCTCTGATGGCCAGTGATGATGAGCATTTCTTCATGTGTTTTTTGGCTGCATAAATGTCTTCTTTTGAGAAGTGTCTGTTCATGTCCTTCGCCCACTTTTTGATGGGGTTGTTTGTTTTTTTCTTGTAAATTTGTTTGAGTTCATTGTAGATTCTGGATATTAGCCCTTTGTCAGATGAGTAGGTTGCGAAAATTTTCTCCCATGTTGTAGGTTGCCTGTTCACTCTGATGGTAGTTTCTTTTGCTGTGCAGAAGCTCTTTAGTTTAATTAGATCCCATTTGTCAATTTTGTCTTTTGTTGCCATTGCTTTTGGTGTTTTGGACATGAAGTCCTTGCCCACGCCTATGTCCTGAATGGTAATGCCTAGGTTTTCTTCTAGGGTTTTTATGGTTTTAGGTTTAACGTTTAAATCTTTAATCCATCTTGAATTGATTTTTGTATAAGGTGTAAGGAAGGGATCCAGTTTCAGCTTTCTACATATGGCTAGCCAGTTTTCCCAGCACCATTTATTAAATAGGGAATCCTTTCCCCATTGCTTGTTTTTCTCAGGTTTGTCAAAGATCAGATAGTTGTAGATATGCGGCATTATTTCTGAGGGCTCTGTTCTGTTCCATTGATCTATATCTCTGTTTTGGTACCAGTACCATGCTGTTTTGGTTACTGTAGCCTTGTAGTATAGTTTGAAGTCAGGTAGTGTGATGCCTCCAGCTTTGTTCTTTTGGCTTAGGATTGACTTGGCGATGCGGGCTCTTTTTTGGTTCCATATGAACTTTAAAGTAGTTTTTTCCAATTCTGTGAAGAAAGTCATTGGTAGCTTGATGGGGATGGCATTGAATCTGTAAATTACCTTGGGCAGTATGGCCATTTTCACGATATTGATTCTTCCTACCCATGAGCATGGAATGTTCTTCCATTTGTTTGTGTCCTCTTTTATTTCCTTGAGCAGTGGTTTGTAGTTCTCCTTGAAGAGGTCCTTCACATCCCTTGTAAGTTGGATTCCTAGGTATTTTATTCTCTTTGAAGCAATTGTGAATGGGAGTTCACCCATGATTTGGCTCTCTGTTTGTCTGTTGTTGGTGTATAAGAATGCTTGTGATTTTTGTACATTGATTTTGTATCCTGAGACTTTGCTGAAGTTGCTTATCAGCTTAAGGAGATTTTGGGCTGAGACGATGGGGTTTTCTAGATAAACAATCATGTCGTCTGCAAACAGGGACAATTTGACTTCCTCTTTTCCTAATTGAATACCCTTTATTTCCTTCTCCTGCCTGATTGCCCTGGCCAGAACTTCCAACACTATGTTGAATAGGAGCGGTGAGAGAGGGCATCCCTGTCTTGTGCCAGTTTTCAAAGGGAATGCTTCCAGTTTTTGCCCATTCAGTATGATATTGGCTGTGGGTTTGTCATAGATAGCTCTTATTATTTTGAAATACGTCCCATCAATACCTAATTTATTGAGAGTTTTTAGCATGAAGGGTTGTTGAATTTTGTCAAAGGCTTTTTCTGCATCTATTGAGATAATCATGTGGTTTTTGTCTTTGGCTCTGTTTATATGCTGGATTACATTTATTGATTTGCGTATATTGAACCAGCCTTGCATCCCAGGGATGAAGCCCACTTGATCATGGTGGATAAGCTTTTTGATGTGCTGCTGGATTCGGTTTGCCAGTATTTTATTGAGGATTTTTGCATCAATGTTCATCAAGGATATTGGTCTAAAATTCTCTTTTTTGGTTGTGTCTCTGCCCGGCTTTGGTATCAGAATGATGCTGGCCTCATAAAATGAGTTAGGGAGGATTCCCTCTTTTTCTATTGATTGGAATAGTTTCAGAAGGAATGGTACCAGTTCCTCCTTGTACCTCTGGTAGAATTCGGCTGTGAATCCATCTGGTCCTGGACTCTTTTTGGTTGGTAAACTATTGATTATTGCCACAATTTCAGAGCCTGTTATTGGTCTATTCAGAGATTCAACTTCTTCCTGGTTTAGTCTTGGGAGAGTGTATGTGTCGAGGAATGTATCCATTTCTTCTAGATTTTCTAGTTTATTTGCGTAGAGGTGTTTGTAGTATTCTCTGATGGTAGTTTGTATTTCTGTGGGATCGGTGGTGATATCCCCTTTATCATTTTTTATTGTGTCTATTTGATTCTTCTCTCTTTTTTTCTTTATTAGTCTTGCTAGCGGTCTATCAATTTTGTTGATCCTTTCGAAAAACCAGCTCCTGGATTCATTGATTTTTTGAAGGGTTTTTTGTGTCTCTATTTCCTTCAGTTCTGCTCTGATTTTAGTTATTTCTTGCCTTCTGCTAGCTTTTGAATGTGTTTGCTCTTGCTTTTCTAGTTCTTTTAATTGTGATGTTAGGGTGTCAATTTTGGATCTTTCCTGCTTTCTCTTGTAGGCATTTAGTGCTATAAATTTCCCTCTACACACTGCTTTGAATGCGTCCCAGAGATTCTGGTATGTGGTGTCTTTGTTCTCGTTGGTTTCAAAGAACATCTTTATTTCTGCCTTCATTTCGTTATGTACCCAGTAGTCATTCAGGAGCAGGTTGTTCAGTTTCCATGTAGTTGAGCGGCTTTGAGTGAGATTCTTAATCCTGAGTTCTAGTTTGATTGCACTGTGGTCTGAGAGATAGTTTGTTATAATTTCTGTTCTTTTACATTTGCTGAGGAGAGCTTTACTTCCAACTATGTGGTCAATTTTGGAATAGGTGTGGTGTGGTGCTGAAAAAAATGTATATTCTGTTGATTTGGGGTGGAGAGTTCTGTAGATGTCTATTAGGTCTGCTTGGTGCAGAGCTGAGTTCAATTCCTGGGTATCCTTGTTGACTTTCTGTCTCATTGATCTGTCTAATGTTGACAGTGGGGTGTTAAAGTCTCCCATTATTAATGTGTGGGAGTCTAAGTCTCTTTGTAGGTCACTGAGGACTTGCTTTATGAATCTGGGTGCTCCTGTATTGGGTGCATAAATATTTAGGATAGTTAGCTCCTCTTGTTGAATTGATCCCTTTACCATTATGTAATGGCCTTCTTTGTCTCTTTTGATCTTTGTTGGTTTAAAGTCTGTTTTATCAGAGACTAGGATTGCAACCCCTGCCTTTTTTTGTTTTCCATTGGCTTGGTAGATCTTCCTCCATCCTTTTATTTTGAGCCTATGTGTGTCTCTGCACGTGAGATGGGTTTCCTGAATACAGCACACTGATGGGTCTTGACTCTTTATCCAACTTGCCAGTCTGTGTCTTTTAATTGCAGAATTTAGTCCATTTATATTTAAAGTTAATATTGTTATGTGTGAATTTGATCCTGTCATTATGATGTTAGCTGGCGATTTTGCTCATTAGTTGATGCAGTTTCTTCCTAGTCTCGATGGTCTTTACATTTTGGCATGATTTTGCAGCGGCTGGTACCGGTTGTTCCTTTCCATGTTTACCGCTTCCTTCAGGAGCTCTTTTAGGGCAGGCCTGGTGGTGACAAAATCTCTCAGCATTTGCTTGTCTATAAAGTATTTTATTTCTCCTTCACTTATGAAGCTTAGTTTGGCTGGATATGAAATTCTGGGTTGAAAATTCTTTTCTTTAAGAATGTTGAATATTGGCCCCCACTCTCTTCTGGCTTGTAGGGTTTCTGCCGAGAGATCCGCTGTTAGTCTGATGGGCTTTCCTTTGAGGGTAACCCGAACTTTCTCTCTGGCTGCCCTTAACATTTTTTCCTTCATTTCAACTTTGGTGAATCTGACAATTATGTGTCTTGGAGTTGCTCTTCTCGAGGAGTATCTTTGTGGCGTTCTCTGTATTTCCTGAATCTGAACGTTGGCCTGCCTTGCTAGATTGGGGAAGTTCTCCTGGATAATATCCTGCAGAGTGTTTTCCAACTTGGTTCCATTCTCCACATCACTTTCAGGTACACCAATCAGACGTAGATTTGGTCTTTTCACATAGTCCCATATTTCTTGGAGGCTTTGCTCATTTCTTTTTATTCTTTTTTCTCTAAACTTCCCTTCTCGCTTCATTTCATTCATTTCATCTTCCATTGCTGATACCCTTTCTTCCAGTTGATCGCATCGGCTCCTGAGGCTTCTGCATTCTTCACGTAGTTCTCGAGCCTTGGTTTTCAGCTCCATCAGCTCCTTTAAGCACTTCTCTGTATTGGTTATTCTAGTTATACATTCTTCTAAATTTTTTTCAAAGTTTTCAACTTCTTTGCCTTTGGTTTGAATGTCCTCCCGTAGCTCAGAGTAATTTGATCGTCTGAAGCCTTCTTCTCTCAGCTCGTCAAAATCATTCTCCATCCAGCTTTGTTCTGTTGCTGGTGAGGAACTGCGTTCCTTTGGAGGAGGAGAGGCGCTCTGCGTTTTAGAGTTTCCAGTTTTTCTGTTCTGTTTTTTCCCCATCTTTGTGGTTTTATCTACTTTTGGTCTTTGATGATGGTGATGTACAGATGGGTTTTCAGTGTAGATGTCCTTTCTGGTTGTTAGTTTTCCTTCTAACAGACAGGACCCTCAGCTGCAGGTCTGTTGGAATACCCTGCCGTGTGAGGTGTCAGTGTGCCTCTGCTGGGGGGTGCCTCCCAGTTAGGCTGCTCGGGGGTCAGGGGTCAGGGACCCACTTGAGGAGGCAGTCTGCCCGTTCTCAGATCTCCAGCTGCGTGCTGGGAGAACCACTGCTCTCTTCAAAGCTGTCAGACAGGGACACTTAAGTCTGCAGAGGTTACTGCTGTCTTTTTGTTTGTCTGTGCCCTGCCCCCAGAGGTGGAGCCTACAGAGGCAGGCAGGCCTCCTTGAGCTGTGGTGGGCTCCACCCAGTTCGAGCTTCCCGGCTGCTTTGTTTACCTAAGCAAGCCTGGGCTATGGCGGGCGCCCCTCCCCCAGCCTCGTTGCCGCCTTGCAGTTTGATCTCAGACTGCTGTGCTAGCAATCAGCGAGATTCCGTGGGCGTAGGACCCTCTGAGCCAGGTGTGGGATATAGTCTCGTGGTGCGCCGTTTCTTAAGCCGGTCTGAAAAGCGCAATATTCGGGTGGGAGTGACCCGATTTTCCAGGTGCGTCCGTCACCCCTTTCTTTGACTCGGAAAGGGAACTCCCTGATCCCTTGCGCTTCCCAGGTGAGGCAATGCCTCGCCCTGCTTCGGCTCGCGCACGGTGCGCGCACACACTGGCCTGCGCCCACTGTCTGGCGCTCCCTAGTGAGATGAACCCGGTACCTCAGATGGAAATGCAGAAATCACCCGTCTTCTGCGTCGCTCACGCTGGGAGCTGTAGACCGGAGCTGTTCCTATTCGGCCATCTTGGCTCCTCCCTCCAATTCTTTTGGGTATATATCCAGCAGTGGGATTGCTGGATCACATGGTAATTTTTAATTTTTTGAAGAATCATCATACTGTTTTCCACGGCAGCAGCACCATTTTATGTTCCCACCAACAGTTCATTCTAGTTTCTCCACATCCTTGCCAACACTTGCTATTTTCTCTTTTTGACAGTACCCATCCTAATGAGTGTGAGGTCCTGTCTCATTGTGGTTTTGATTCTTGAGGCTTTTTAAAGCTTTTTGTTTCATTATAATTTTTATTGGATTACAAAAGGAACACAGGTAATTTTATTTGGAAACTATGAAAAATAATAAAAATTATCTTCTCAGAAAATGATTCTTGTTAACATTTAAGCTCAGTTAAGCTCTCTCACTTTCTCTCCCTTCTCTCTCTTTGTACAACTTTTAAAAAATATAGTAGGGGTGAGACTATATGTATCTATACTATAGTAGGGGTGAGACTATATGTATCCTTCCTTTTTCACTTAATCTCATGCCTTGAGTAGCTTTCCACTTTATTAAAAATGTGATGCCATTCAATTGTATAGTAAATACATATATGTAAGCAAAACACTGAAAACTCTTATTCTGGGTTCCAGCAAGCCATACCTGGAATGGTGTAAGCAGGTAGTTTGCTTGGTGTGAACGTGTTGTTGAGGCAGCTGCCATTGTGTTGTGAGTGGGCCACACGAACTTGTTCTGTTGTGTGTAGACAGTGTGTGCTGATCCTATTAGGAACAGCCAACGCTTTGTGTGAGCCACACACGGTTCTAAGTGCTTTGCTTCTGTTAACTCAGTGAATCCTCACAACTCCATGACGGAATGCTCTAATTATCCCCATTTTATAGATGGGGCAACTGAGGTCCAAGAGACTACATAATTTCCCGAAGTTCACACAGGTAGCAGATGGCAGAGCCGGGTCAGGAGTCCACCATCTTACCACGCAGACTGTTTTAGCCAGAGACTCTCCGGATCTGCTGTAGGGGACAGAATACAGCTTTATCGCCGCACCTGTCCACCAAGATGGCCGTAGCCACAGAGCTTGGTTGGGTAACGTCCTCTTTATGTGACAGGAACGTTGCTGATGGGGTTTCTGAAGGTACTTCCTGCTCTTTGTCTCCTGGAAGACTGTGTCTTCAGGAATGTCTCTGACCCTGCCCAGAGTTGAACGGATGCTGGGAACCCAGCACCTGCACACGGCCTTCCCTCCAGGACTCTGCGCACCTCTGTGCTCCACAGGAGACATGCAGGTGCTTTCTCTCATGAGCTCAGGCTCCTGGGCTGACAGCTCTCCGAAGCTCGTGGTGAGGCTCGGTCTCTAACTGTGCCACTTGCCGATGGCCTCTGTTCACAAGGCTTCCCCTGCTCTTCGATCTTGCATCACCCCTTGAATTTGAAATCCAGAGCAGCCCACTCAGAGACCAGTGTGAGGAATTAGTGTCCAGGCCACAGATCCAGGGACTGGGCACAAACATCTGCCTGTTGAGTAGGAACTGAGCTGTGGCCATTGGCAAAAAAGGAGGGGTGAGCATGGCTGTTTCTTGGGGAGCTAACATTCACTATCTTGTCTCCTCCCTCAGGATGTGGGGCAATCAAGTTGGGGATGAAGGAGCAAAAGCCTTCGCAGAGGCTCTGCGGAACCACCCCAGCTTGACCACCCTGAGGTAACTGTGGCCCTGCTGTCTCCAGGGGCCAACCTGGTCCCTCCCAGCTGCTCTAGGTTTGCTGGGGAAGGGTGATTCGTGCTCCTAATAGAAGAGGAATTTGCATGTGTGATTTTCCTTACTCTTGTCAAACCTTTCTTTGATGCATAAGAGGCCATCTAGTAAAGCACATTCTTCTCTTTTTTTAACTTTAAGTTCTGGGATACATGTAGAAGATGTGCAGGTTTGTTACATAGGCAAATGCATGCCATGGTGATTTGCTGCACCTATCAACCTGTCATCTAGGTTTTAAGCCCTGCATGCATTAGGTATTTGTCCTAATGCTTGCCCTCCCCTTGCCCCCCACCCCCAACAGGCCCTGGTGTGTGTTGTTCCCCTCCATGTGTCCATGTGTTCTCATTGTTCAACTCCCACTTACGAGTGAGAACATGCAGTGTTTGGTTTTTTGTTCCTGTGTTAGTTTGCTGAGAATGATGGTTTCCAGCTTCATCCATGTGCCAGCAAAGGACATGATCTCATTTTTTTTTATGGTTGCATAGTATTCCATAGTGTGTATGTGCCACATTTTCTTTATCCAGTCTATCACTGATGGGCATTTGGGTTGGTTCCAAGTCTTTGCTATTGTAAATAGTGCTACAATAAACATACATGTGCTTGTGTCTTTATAGCAGAATGATTTATAATCCTTTGGGTAAATACCCAGTAATGGGATTGCTGGGTCAAATGGTATTTCTGGTTCTAGATCCCTGAGGAATCACCTTAAGTGTTTATTCAGCTCAGTGAATTCTGCATGTGTCCCACACCAGCCAACCACCACCCCCATCAAGACAGAGGACATTTCCAGCCCCTCAGCCATCCCTGCATGTCCCTTGCTGGTAGAGGGAGGGTTTCCTAAGTGCAGATGAAACTTAATAAGATGCTGGCCAGCAGATTCCTGCCCCTTCCTTGTCCTCAGGATGATGCTGGAAAAGAGGGACTCTTCCTCTCTATAAATGGGGATGCACCTACCCAGCCCCCGCTTAGGCTGCTGGCCAAATCTTGGGACCTTGGTATGTCCACGGCTCTGCTGCTGTTCTTCCTACCACTGAAAAAGAGTCCAAGAAGGTGGGGACAGTAGCAGAAGAGACTTTGCCAGGTCTTGCAGATGGGGTACCTTGATGGGGCCAGCCTTTAGAAGGACAGCTTGCCAGGCCTCGCCAGCCTCCTGCCCATGTGCAGAAACCTGAGGTGCCGACCCCAGCCCACTGTTGTGTGAGCAGGCTGTGCTGATGACCCATTTCCCGTCCAGCCTGCCCTTGTGCTCTGTGTGTGGGCTCTGGGGCAGCAGCGCCTGGGCACTACTGCTGCAGCTGAACACTTCTGCATCCTGCCCCGAGTGAGCCTGGGCTGGGGCCACAGCCAGGCAGAGGCTTCCCAGCTGTTCTGATGTTGAAGCTAAGATTGAATGTAGATGTGTCTTTAATAATTCACCCCAAGTGTGTTCCTTCCTAGTCTTGCGTCCAACGGCATCTCCACAGAAGGAGGAAAGAGCCTTGCGAGGGCCCTGCAGCAGAACACGTCTCTAGAAATACTGTGGTAATAGCTCGAGTCATTTCATTTGTTTGTTTGTTTTTCTGTGATAGGGTCTTGCTTTGTCGTCCAGGCTTGAGTGCATTGGTGTGATCTCAGCTCACTGCAGCCTCCACCTCCCAGGCTCATTCGAACCTCCCGCCTTGGCCTTCCGAGTCCTGAGACTATAGGCATGCACCACCACACCCAGTTAATTTTAAAATTTTTTGTAGAGATGGGGTTTTGCTATGTTACCCAGGCTGGTCTTGAACTCCTGGGCTCAAGCAGTTCTCCTGCCCTGGCTTCTCAAAGCCCTGGGATTGCAGGTGTGAGCCACTGCACCTGGCACAGAGTCATTTTGGAGGGTTTAGGTCCCAGGAATTATCCCAGGGGCTGCACATGGCCTGGAATCTTAACAGAAAAGGTGTCTCCCAATTGGAAAGGCTCTAGGCCTTTCAGTTAAGTTGATAATTTCCTCCTAGAGAAGAGAATAGCCACTTCTACAAGCATAAACAGGTACAGGAGGAGGAAGTGGGCTCCGGGAGCCTGGATCTGAGGCCTTGGCCTTCTAGGCCCCAGGAGAACTAGAACGCTGGCCATGCAAGCTATCCAGGTATCCTTGGATACCTTCAGATGTGCTTAGCAGAGGCCAACTTCCACACACTTGGCTCAAAATTTTCTCCCTTCCTCCTCTTCATCTGCCTTCCCCCAGGCAGCCTCCTCCTTCCCCAGGTCTTCACATCAGGGTTTGGCCTTTATGCTCCATCCAGCTCATCTGTCACTTGTCACCTGAAGCCCACAGTCCTCGCTCCCTCTCTGCACTCTAGGGCACTTACTAAGTGGATGTGGCCTCCTGAGAGTGTTTTTTGTTGGTGTTCCCTTTTTTATGGCCACTTAATGTTTTATTTTGCTTTATTTGTATTTACATCTCTGTATCATAAATTCCATACAGGTGGCTGGGAGCAGTGACTCACATCTGTAATCCCAGTACTTTGGAAGGCTGAGGTGGGAGGATCGCTTGAGGCCAAGAGTTCGAGACTAGCCTGGGCAATATAGCGAGACCCTCTATCTACAAAAAAAAAAAACATTCCTTACAGGTTAAGTGAGGGAGTTGTATTACAACCCTCCCTATCATCTACTCAGAGCCCAGTGCTCATTTGATCTTGCTAAATTAGTTACTGAGAATAATGACAATATCCTCTTCATGAGAGAGTTTTGACATTAGGCCTGCTGTCCAGTAAGTGCATTTTAAATTCTTTCCCCTCAACAAATCATTTAACATTTTGAAAAGTAGTTTATGTTTTTTGGAAAAAATGTAAGACACTAAAGGAGGACATGAAAGTACCTCCTAAAGTTCCTGCTAAAAGGAGGAAGTGAAAGTACCTCCCTTTGTGTTTTCCAAAATAACCTTTCCTTTCTAGCCTTTTGTTCTATGTATGTTCAAAGATATGCAAAACAGAATAGCATTCAAGCAGTGGCTCTAAAAATATTGTAATCACATACTTTACATGTCTCCTTTAGGGTTTCTCCATCTTGATGCTGTTGACATTTTGGTCCAAGTGATTCTTTATTATGGTAGGGCTGTCCTGTGCATCATAGACGGTTTAGCCGCATCTCTGCCCTGTACCTCCCAGTGGTGAGGATCAAAAATGCCTCCGGACATGGCCAGGTGCCCCATGGAGAGTGAAATCACATGGATAGTAGTAATGTCAACACCTAGAAGCCCTCAAGTGCTGACTGCATGCCATGTGTTATTCTACACTTTTTCCCTGTGTTAACTCACTCAGCCTCACAACCACTCTATACGATCTCTACTGTTAACGTTCACCAGTGAGAAAACTCAGACCCAAAGAACTTAAGCCTGTTGCCCGAGGTCACCCTGCTGGTGGGTGATACAAACCTGCCCAGGCTGAGTCCGGAGTAGATGTCAATGCTGTGTTCTTCTCCCTCCTCATTCTACCTCATTCTCCCTACAAGCTGCACAACATCTCGAATAGATATCACAATATATTTCATCAGTTGTTTCTGATCTAAATTTGTTCAGATTTTACATTAGGATAATACCACAATGCATGCTGCAATGTATAAAGCTTTGTGTGTATATCCTTGCACACTGTAGGGTAAATTTCTAGAAGTCTGATTGTCTTAAAATGAAGCACATTAAAAATTTGGGCAGGCACATCCAAACTGCCCTTCAAGGAATTTTTTTTTTTAAATGTTCTTTCTGTTCTATTCTTCTTCCTAATGATTCTTTCGTCCACTGGCACAAGTGGGTCCTACCCTGTTTACACCAAGGAGCTTTGGTGCTTTATCCAGACCACTTCTGGTTCTAAGGACCATTGAGAGACTTCCTGAACTTTCAGTCACTTAACTTGGGTCCCTCACAAGTTAACTGAGAGCAAAGTACTGAACACATTTTAATGTGCAGTCAGTGACTGTTTCAGGTCTTCAAACTAACTTGGATAACACACTGTCAGTGGTGTTCAAGGGACCCTGGGACTAGAGGAGAACTGAGAAGCAGGCATTGGCCCTTTGTTTTCCGTGGGCCCCCATCTTCCATGAAATCTGAGGGCTCAGCAAAGGTGGGGAGGGAGGGTGGGCTCCTCTACAGGTAGCTGGGCTAAGAAATAGGAGCCCAGGTACAGGATTTGCATTAAAAATGAGTCCCATTGACCTTCTGTGGGGCTGACAGGCTGGGCTTGGAGCCTGGCTGTTTTCTGGGTTCTCAGCAAGTGATCATCTGCATAGCTGGAGAGCCTTGGGCTGAGCTCCCGCTCCTGTGAACTCTAAAACAATGTCTGCCAAGTAGGCTCTCTTGAGTAAATACTTCCTTTTTTTTCCTTAGGCTGACCCAAAATGAACTCAACGATGAAGTGGCAGAGAGTTTGGCAGAAATGTTGAAAGTCAACCAGACGTTAAAGCATTTATGGTAACTCAGAGAGCCTTACAATTTCAGACTGTGCTACTTTTCAAAAGTATTTTTTGAGATAAAATTTACATACTGTAAAATTCACTCTCTTAAAGTATACAATTCAGAGGTTTTTAGTGCAACCATCACCACCTAATTCTAGAACATTTTCACTCCTCCTCCCCACTCCAAAAAGCCCTGGTATCCATTAAGCAGTCACTCCCTGTCCTCCTCCCCAGACCCTGGCAACCACTAATCCGCTTTCTGTCTCTATGGATTTGCCTACTCTGGGCATTTCATATAAATGGAATCAAGCAATATGTGACCTTTTGTCTCTGTGTTCTAGCATGTTTCATTCCTTTTTATGGCTAAATGATAATTCACTCTAAGGAAATTTTGCAGTTTATTAATCAGTTGATGGGACATTTGGGTTGTTTCTACTTTTTGACTATTATGCGTAATGCTACTGTGAACACTCCTGTTCATGCTTTTGGGTGAACATATGTTTTCATCTCTTTTGGGAATATACCTGGGAATAGAATTTCTGGGTCATATGGCAATTCTGTAACTTTTTGAGGAGCCACCAAACTGTTTTCTAAAGTGGATGTACTATTTTACATTCTCGCCAGCAATGTATGTGGATTCCAATTTCTCCACATCCTCACCAACACTTATTATTGTCCATCTTTTAAAATCTAGTTATACTAGTGGATGTGAAGTAATATTGTGGTTTTGATTTGCATTTCCCTGATGACAACAATGTTGAATGTCTTTTTATGTGCCTACTGGGAGTCTGTATAGCTTCTTTGGAGAAATGTCTCCATATCCTTTGCCCATTTTAAAATTGGGTTTGTCTTCTAATGCTGAGTTATAGGGGTTCTCTATATATTCTGGGTGCTAGACCTTTACTAGATACAGGTTTTGCAAGTATTTTCTTTCTTTCTGTGGAGTTTTTCCTCTTTCTTGATAGTGACCTTTAAAGGACAACAGTTTTTAATTTTTGTTTTTTTTGAGATGGAGTCTTGCTCTTGTCACCCAGACAGGAGTGCAGTGGCATGATCTCAGCTCTCTGCAACCTCCACCTCCTGGGTTCAAGCGATTCTTCTGCCTCAGCCTCCTGAGTAGTTGGGATTACAGGCATCAGCCACCATGCCTGTCTCATTTTGTATTTTTAATAGAGATGGGGTTTCACCATTTAGGCCCAGGCTGGTCTTGAACTCCTGACCTCAGGTGATCCACCTGCCTCAGCCTCCCAAAGTGCTGGGATTACAGGCGAAAAGCCACTGCACCTGGCCAATAGTTTTTAATTTTGATGAAGTCCAATTTATCTATTTTTTTCTTTGGTTGCTTGTGCTTTCAGTGTCTTATCTAAGAAATGATTGCCTAATCCAAGATCACAAAGAACTCCACCTAAGTTTTCTGTTAAGCGTTATAGTTGTTTCCCCTCACATATAGGTCTGCAATCCATTTTGAGTTAATTTTTGTATAGTGTAAAGTGAGGGTTAACCTCATTCTCTTGCACGTGGATATCCAGCTGTCCCGGCAGCACCACGTGTTGAACAGATTATCTTTTCCTATTGAATGGCCTTGACACCCTTGTCAAAAATCAATTGACCATAAATGTATGGGTTTATTTCTGAATTCTCTGTTCTGGTCCATTGATTTATATGTCTCTCCTATGCCAGGACCATTGCTGTAGCTTTGTGTAGTACATTTTGAAATCAGGAGGTGTGAGTTCTACTTTGTTCTTCTTTCTCAAGATTGTTTAGACCATTCTGGGTTCTTTGCATTTCTTATGAATTCAGACTCACCTTGTCAATTTCTGCAAAAAGACTAGACTCTGCTACATATTGTTTTTTCTTTCCTTTTTAGCCTGCAGAATTATTTGATCCCATTCCCTAAGTGCAGGCCAGCCTCTCCAGGGAGAGCAGAGCTAGGACAGGGTCAGAAAGAGAGTCTTGGCTGCTTTGTGCATTCCCAACCTGCACTGGCCCTAGTGAAGGCAGCCCGAGTGGGTGGATGTGCCTGGACACTGCAGGCTTTTTAGGGGCATTAGGTGCTCTCCTTCCTGGCCTCCTGCCACATCTTGGTTGGAGGCTGCCTTCCCTGCCTTCAAAAAAGCCTAAGTGGTGACTAGAAAACAGCAGAGTGTAACTGAATACAGAACTTGGTGCCCACTTCCTGGTTCTATTTTTGTCCCTTTTGAAAGGGAAGGTCATTACCTCTGCCATTGAACCCAGGGGCCCTAGCCCTTGTGGGGTATGGCTGGGAGCACCAGATCCTGGCTGCAGCCCAGCCACCAGTGGTCCTGTGTGCTTGGGCAGTAACAGTGACAAGAGCTCCCTTCCCCCTGGACACTGTGCCTAATACCCTCCTCTTGAAATCTCACACACCCAGTGGATGGGGGGCACTCTTATAGTTATTCTCAGTTTACAGATGACACAACTGAGGCACAGACAGATGCGTTTATTTCTTCAAGGTTCTGTAGCTGAACAGTGGGGAGGGAGGGTTTAAGAGGAGCTGCACCCGCTCTGCAATACTGCCTCTCACGAGGGAGTCCTCTTCATTCATGACAGCATAGGGCCCTCGTCTTCCTGGTAAGGGCTTCCTTCTTGGGTCAGTGCCAGGATTTCTAAGGGTCATGTTTAGCAGGAGCCTATTCTACAAACAGCCAGGAGCAGGGAATGACTCTGTGATGAAGCGGAGACACTACAGCCTCTTGATGCATTTATTTCCTGGTTGGGTTAGAAGCGTAGCTGCCCAAGGGAGCATTTCAGGAGAGGCCTGGCTTCCTAGCGATAGCTGAAAACTTTGTTTCATTTGAATCACTGCTACCCAGAACAATGGGGTGCATTCTCAGAGTCCCCATTATTAAAGCTTTTCCACTGAGCCCCATGAGAACTATTCATGAGAACTATTTCATGGCAGCATAACTGTTTCTCCTCCCTCCCTCTTGCATGTTGGTAGCCTCTTAACTTTAAAACCTGCCTTGCCTTTCCCTAGCTACCTGGAAGGAGACGTCAGACTTCCTGTCCCATGGTGTGTTTCTTACAATTTGTTGTTCAGATTGGTGGTCTCCCAAATATATATAAAAATATAAATGGAGTCTCACTCTGTCACCCAGGCTGGAGTGCAGTGGCACGATCTTGGCTCACTGCAACCTCCACCTCCCAGTTCAAGCAATTCTCCTACCTCAGTCTCCCGAGTAGCTGGGAGTACAGGTGCACACCACCATGCCCAGCTAATTTTTTTGTATTTTTAATAGAGACAGGTTGGCCAGGATGGTATCGATCTCCTGAGCTCGTGATCCACCCACCTCGGCCTCCCAAAGTGCTGGGATTACAGGTGTGAGCCACTGCACCCGGCCCCAAATATTTTGATTATGCACCTCTGCAGTGAAAAATGCAAACACACACATCAGTTCATGTATTACATTATGTTCACTATAAAAACAAACAGAAAATTTAAAAAATATCAAGCTATCCTTTACTCTAGTGGATCTTACCTGGACACTTTTAGCCAGATACAAAGTCACATGGACTCAGTTCTTCCCCTGACCAACTTGTCTCTTATCCCAAAACACCCTTGCAACTCCCTTACGAAGGGGTCAAATTTGATCCAGTATTATGGATTTTATACAAGTTATGTTCTTCTTTCAGGCTTATCCAGAATCAGATCACAGCTAAGGGGACTGCCCAGCTGGCAGATGCGTTACAGAGCAACACTGGCATAACAGAGATTTGGTAAGATCCCAGCGTTTGTCACAGTAATAACACCAGTGACTGTTTACTCACCACCACTGACTGTGCAAGGCACAACGCAGGGTGGTTTCTGTTTATTCCTCCAGCAACCCTGCACAGTAATGGTATTACCTCTGTTTTACAGAGGTAGACAGAGGCCCAGACCAGTGAAATAAGGTTGCCCAAGGTCACTACGAGAGAAGCTAGAATTCAGCCCAGAATGCCTGATTCCATATTCTGTGCTCTCCTGCCCTGGGCCCCCGCCCTCATCTACCTTCATTGGGTGGGATGGGGGAAGTGGCCAGTGAAATGATTTCCTAGTGGAAGTAAATCCCCCTGGGACTCAGCAATTGAGAGATGACTGTGTTGGCCAGGAGTTTGGAGCTCATTCTTCCCCTTTTCTGGGTTCCGTAAGACATTTCCAGGCTGACTTGAACTGACCTGTGCTCTTTGTCTACTTCTTTTTTCTGCTTTGAGAACTTCCTTATGCTAATAGAAGAAAAAAAGTTTGCTTTACTGTGACATTGAGCGCCATGCCACTTCTTTCTTGCCTCCCATAAGGCACAGACACTCCCCACTCAGCAGCTCCCTTAACAACTTAATTGCCTGGGTGACGTGGGACTGGGTGGATGCTGGGAGAGGGGCCTTATTAACTATGTCCTCCTTTCATGACTGGGGAGAATTTCATAGCCAATTAAAAAAAAACAAAAAACAGCTCCTTGGCCAACACAGGCTCCTCATACAGTGTTTTTTAAACTTTGCTTTAGAACTTGTTTGGAACTTGTCATAAAATCGATCAGTTTGGTGAATTGCAACCAACAATATTTAAAAAGAAAACAGAACAGAACAAAATATCAGGATGCAATGTGCATGGTATGAAAGTATCATTTCATTCATCTTAGTTCATGCTTGCATGTGAGTGGGTGTGTGTTTGCATAAGTGTTGGTTCACAACATAAAATGTAATTCTTATTTAGGGTTGTAGACAAAAGGTTTTTTTTTAAAAAAAACACTGTTGGCTAGGCATGGTGGCTCATGCCTGTAATACCAGCACTTTGGGAGGCCAAGATGGGCAGATCTCTTGAGCACAGGAGTTTGAGACCAGCCTGGGCAACATGCGAAACCCCGTCACTACAAAAATTAGCCCGACATGGTGCTATGTGCCTGTAGTCCCAGCTACTCAGGAAGCTGATGTGGGAGGATGGATGCATGGGAGATCAAGGCTGCAGTGAGCCAGGATCATGCCACTGCAATCCAGCCTGGGTGCCAGAGACCCTGTCTCAAAAAACAAAAAAGAAAAAAAGAAAAACACCATCATAGAGAATAGAGCCCAGATCTAAACAGACACCTGTGGCCTGTGTGCCTGCGAAGCCCAGCCTGCCCAGCAGCCTGGGAAGCACTGGAGGGCACTGGAACTGTTTGCATGGGTGTTTGCCCTCAGGCCACTCCGTTTCTGCTGATTCTTAAGTTTTGAGGACAGCAGGCAGAGGGGGAGAGGAAGGAGACTGCCAGACTACAGAACAGTTTGCAGAGCACAGTTGGCTTCCACTTTTCTCTGTAGCTGGTCAGGCGGGTAGTAAAGACCTACAGTTGCTTTAATTCTGTCAAGTTTCAAAATCTGCATTGCTTCCCTCTTGAGGGTCACCATTCCTACACAAGGAACCATTTTAGTAGGGCCAGGAGACTTCAGCTTCAAGGCCTGCACTTGTGTCAGGGTGGAGAGGGGAACTGGCCACCAATTCAGAGAGGGCAGGACAGGCGGCATGGGTGCTGGTCTTGGGAGTGTCTTCACTTAGGTCCCTGGCTTGTTCTGGGAGCCTCCAGAGCATGCTCCTCTGTGTGTGACTTCATGGGACTGGGCTCTGAGAAGGCTGTGGCTTTGTTGGCCCTGCCAGGGACTGCCACACCAGGCCACAGGGTTGTGGTTGAGCTGGCCGGGGAGCCACGTTCAGGGAGCAGCTCTGCTTGGAGCCAACACTTACAGAGTAAGCCTTCTCCTTGGACTTGTTAACTGTACTGACACTTATTTCTACCTCATTCCTTTCTGAAAATAACTTGGAAGTCTGAAGTCCCTTGATGAGTTCTGTCTTTAAGAACAGAAATTAGAGGTGAACAATGAACACTGTAAATTACAGAAATGTATCCCACTCCAGTATAACAGCTTTCTGTGAGGCTATCTCCTCCAGACTGTGGCTCTGGGAGGGTGGGGCCTGAGTCAAGGTCCTAGGGACTAGTGCTGTGTCTTCATTTATTCCTTGAATAACGAAACGCTTGAGCATCAGGGACTGTGCTAGCACCAAAAATCCAGTGGTGAACAACATGGCTTCATGGGTTCACTGTCTAGAAAGGGAGAAGCACATTAAAGAAAAAATCATTTGCGTAATTATTTAATTACAACTGTGATGGGTACTATCACAAAGGGGAAGGCCAAGAGGGAACCTGATTTAGATGAGGTTGCAGGGAAGGCCTCTCTGAGGAAGCAGCACTTACACTAAGCCATGAAGGATGAATAGGAGCTAGTCAGCTGAGGTGAGTATTCTGCGTAGGGAACAGCATGTGCAAAGGGTCTGGGGCAGGAGGGAGTGTGGTGTCCTGGAAGAACTGCCAGAAGCTGCTGTGCCCCAGGGTTCAGACAGTGTGGAAGAGGGGACTACAGGAGGCTGAGGAGATAGGCAGGGACTGGACCATAAAAGATCTGTGGGTCATGATGTGCATTTTGGTCTTTATCCTAAAAGTGATGGAAAGTCAGTGAACAGTTTGAAGCAGGAGAGGCATGTGATCAGATCTGCAATGCAAAAAGACCAATTCTTGGCTCTTCTAGGAAACTGAATTGGAGAAGGCCAGAGTACGTGGAAATGACCTGTCAGTAGGACATTGTACTGATGCAGGGAAGAGATGATGGGTGCTCAGACCAAGATGGCCGGCCAAAGACATAGAGGTTCCAGGGAGGCATTCTAGATTCTTAGGAATTAGGGGAGAACTTTGTGATACAAGGAACATGGGGATGAGAAGGAAGGTGTCCAGGTTGACCCCCAGGTTACTAACCTGCTCAGCAGGATGAGAGTGGTCCATTCACTAAGCCAGGGGACCCTAGGAGGTGTGGCTACTTTGAGGTGTGGGGGAGAGGTCCAAGTGAGGATGCCAAGCAGGTAACTGCCTCCACGGACATACAAACAAGGCCGTGGCATTGATGAGATCGGGTGGGGAAAAGGGCTTAGCCCCAAACCTGGAGGAAATCTCAGATGTAGAGGTCACATGGAGGAGAATATAGGAAAGGAAATTGAAGTAGAGTGCTCAGATGCAGGAGAAAAATCAGCGCATATAACCAAGCCAAGGGGAGGGAGTGCCTCAAGAAGGAGGGAGAGGAGAGGTCAGGACAGCCAAAATCCTGAGGGCCAAGAAAGACAAGACCTGGAAAATGTCATTAAATTCAGGCTTATGGAGGCTACAGGTGACCTTAGTGAGACCCAGTGAACAGAGGGATGGCAGCTGGAGAGGATCCATGCTAATATGAAGGAACTATCTGCAAAGGGTATGTTCCTTAATTTCAGGGATACATGTGTATTGTGTGATACACGAGTGTGTGCTATGAACACACCTTGGGAAGGAGTGTGCGAGGATCCTTAACATTTTACCTGTGTACTTTTGTCTTCCTCCTTTTCAACAGCCTAAATGGAAACCTGATAAAACCAGAGGAGGCCAAAGTCTATGAAGATGAGAAGCGGATTATCTGTTTCTGAGAGGATGCTTTCCTGTTCATGGGGTTTTTGCCCTGGAGCCTCAGCAGCAAATGCCACTCTGGGCAGTCTTTTGTGTCAGTGTCTTAAAGGGGCCTGCGCAGGCGGGACTATCAGGAGTCCACTGCCTCCATGATGCAAGCCAGCTTCCTGTGCAGAAGGTCTGGTCGGCAAACTCCCTAAGTACCCGCTACAATTCTGCAGAAAAAGAATGTGTCTTGCGAGCTGTTGTAGTTACAGTAAATACACTGTGAAGAGACTTTATTGCCTATTATAATTATTTTTATCTGAAGCTAGAGGAATAAAGCTGTGAGCAAACAGAGGAGGCCAGCCTCACCTCATTCCAACACCTGCCATAGGGACCAACGGGAGCGAGTTGGTCACCGCTCTTTTCATTGAAGAGTTGAGGATGTGGCACAAAGTTGGTGCCAAGCTTCTTGAATAAAACGTGTTTGATGGATTAGTATTATACCTGAAATATTTTCTTCCTTCTCAGCACTTTCCCATGTATTGATACTGGTCCCACTTCACAGCTGGAGACACCGGAGTATGTGCAGTGTGGGATTTGACTCCTCCAAGGTTTTGTGGAAAGTTAATGTCAAGGAAAGGATGCACCACGGGCTTTTAATTTTAATCCTGGAGTCTCACTGTCTGCTGGCAAAGATAGAGAATGCCCTCAGCTCTTAGCTGGTCTAAGAATGACGATGCCTTCAAAATGCTGCTTCCACTCAGGGCTTCTCCTCTGCTAGGCTACCCTCCTCTAGAAGGCTGAGTACCATGGGCTACAGTGTCTGGCCTTGGGAAGAAGTGATTCTGTCCCTCCAAAGAAATAGGGCATGGCTTGCCCCTGTGGCCCTGGCATCCAAATGGCTGCTTTTGTCTCCCTTACCTCGTGAAGAGGGGAAGTCTCTTCCTGCCTCCCAAGCAGCTGAAGGGTGACTAAACGGGCGCCAAGACTCAGGGGATCGGCTGGGAACTGGGCCAGCAGAGCATGTTGGACACCCCCCACCATGGTGGGCTTGTGGTGGCTGCTCCATGAGGGTGGGGGTGATACTACTAGATCACTTGTCCTCTTGCCAGCTCATTTGTTAATAAAATACTGAAAACACTCTTACGGGTTGAGTCTGGAGTTTTTGAAGGGACTTGGCTTGGTAAGCACTCATTGACTCCTGAGCCCCATCCTGATTCACTCCACAGTGGGGAAGGGGCTCTGGGGTGATGTGCTATGAGGAGAGCCTGATGAAGGCCAGGGGTGTCACCAGTTTGATCCTTCACAGGCCTCTCTGCCTACCAAGGGACAGGAAGCGGCTGTGGCAGCCTCTGAGGTCTCTCCATCTGGCCTCTGAATCTCTTCAGGTGGCTTCTCAGAGGAAATAACTTGTGAGTAGGGGGTGGCTGGTGCCAGGACAGGCCAAGTGGGCCAAAGTTCATGCCTTCATCACCATGCCATGGTAGAGCCCACGGGCCAGGTTCGACGTCCACTACCTTCCTCGGCTGTTCACTGCTGAGTGGCGGATCCAGGTAGGCCCATGGCAAGAAGCACCGAGCTGCCAGGGGCAGCACGTGACAGAGGAAGGCATGCAGGGCCTCCAACGGTCCACCTCTGAGTTCTTATGAGTCCAAGCCTGGCTTTGTAGAGCAGCCTGTTAGGAAGGGGACCGTTGCGGGGGAAATCCTGTACAGTTAAGCAACTACAAGGCGGCAGTTCCTTAAAGGCTCGATTTTGGTGGTTCCTACGAGGTCCCTCCCAACCCCAGACCTGAGTATTCACCTAATAATCACCCCAAGGCAGCCACTCTCTCCTTACTGCAGAATCTGGGCAGCAAATATGCCCAGAAAGAAGAAAGAAGGGAATGAGCATGGCCCACTGAAGGCCAAAGGGGGAGTACCACAGACCTCAGACTCGCCAAGTCTTACCACAAAGTTCACTTCTCAGCAGACAAAATTCACATTTTATTAAACTGCTAAAACTAAACCCTTGAGAGTCTAAAATTTACTCAGAAACTACCAAATGTTATTGCTTTTAGAGACTATCAAAATTAAAACTGCTGCTTCTAGGGAATTAGAATTTGTGTGGTATTGACTTAAATTCTATTTGGAAATACTTTGATCTTCCAGATGGCAAGTGGTAGATTTTCTATTCCTCCTGTAAAACTGAGACCAGGCTCCTAATTTGATGGAAAGGTTCTCTTATTAGAAACAGGTGAGCTTCTGAGCAGAAACATGGAGACTTTTCCTAATCAAGAAAAAGACAATTGAAAAAAAAAATTCTGTAAACGAGGGCTATATCTCTTTCTTTCCACAGGACATCTTGATTGATTTTGGGAAAGAAGCTACAGCTCCCATATTTCACACCTGCACTTGTGTCATGTCCATGCTGACATGGAACTTCTTTAAAAAGCCATGTGGAGCCACTGTGTGGCCATGTGGTATTAGCTCTCTGGAGCGCCCTAGCTGTGTGGCTTTGGAGCACTCTTAAGACGGCCAGAATCTTGATTTCCTCCTTGGAAAAACTGAGAGAATCTGACTCAAAAGGTTGTTGAGAGGATTAAATGAGTCATGGAAAGTAGCTGGCACAAAGCCTGGCACAGAGTCCTGCTCAACGTATGGCAGTTAGTTACTATCAAGCCAGCGGGTCTCATTTCCGCTCACCGTGGGACTCCCAAGTTGTCCCCTTCTCACTCATAGGCTCAGGGAACTTTCCAACAAGGTCCAATACAGGACTAGGAGTTCTCAAAGTAAAACCCCAAAGTATTCAACATCAAGCTTCCTGCAATATCCTACCTTTGTCAGTGAAAAGCATAGCTGTTAGTTTTCATTATTATTACCAAAGACCATACTGCCATTTAAGTGTCAAGTCACTGAACATAGGGGGCACCTGTGTCTTCACAGCACAAAAGAACAGGGCAGGAGCTGGCACCACCCTATGGAGCCAGGCCCATGAGCCTTTGCCAAGCGGGAAAGCGCTTTCTGCTCATCCATATTTTGGTTCACTTCCAGGTGGACCACAGGTCTGTTTCCAGTAACCAACTGCTTACTTACAAGAAAAAAACCTTGCTCTAGAGCTGAAAGGCAAAACCATGACCATTAACCCAGGATCATGAAGAAGAATTTTAATGAAAGTAGAATGGCATTATGAGGAGGCTGAGACTCATTTTACCAGAGGACATCCCAACACTACTCTCTCAACCTTAAAATGGAATGAACTGCACCCAAGACCAGCTTAAGACTCTTAGAGACATTAAGTACTGAAAAGGTTATAGGCCCCTCTGGATCTATAATGAAAATATTTAAATACTAAATTATAAAGTAAGTGCAAAGATGTTAAACAAGTTTCTAATCTTTCCCATGACTACTTGGGTGTTTTTTCAGACCAATAACAAATATTAAAGTGTCTCAATTTTTTCCTGGACTTTTTTCTGTTATAAAGTGCATTTATTTTTGTTGTCAAAGTAATGTTGTTACCCAGTGTAACGTCTGTGTGACCTAAGTAAATTTCTTCCCCACCTTAACTCTGGTTATCTTTAGGAAACGGGATGTCTGTGGTCAAAAGCTCCCCATCATGACACCAAACCAGCTAAGAGTGGTGGGAACCAAGATGGCAGCTCACTTGACCTCTGAAGAACCTCTAACTTCATTATAATCTAATTTCCATGCTAAATGACCCTCCCCCCAGTGCCAAGACAGCTGACAATCACCATGACAACGACCAGAAGAAACCATAAAAGGACAAAAAAGGGGGACAAAAACTCTGGTTCTGAGAAGTTATCTACCTAATTCCCAGAAAAGACATGAATACTTTTCCCCTTGCTTTTAATTCCCCAACCCCTTCATTAAAGATGCTCCATATCTGTGACTTCCTGGCTCTCATGGGGAATGTCCTATATTTGTGATTTCTTGGCTGTCATAGGGGGATGCCCTATCCCTCATGGGCTGAGAAGTTGATTTGTGAGCCAGGCTCCCACATCTCAGTTCTATGGGCATCAAATAAAGCCTGCACTGCTAGATGCACACTTTCAATTTTGTGTATTGGCTTTGTGGCACCAAATAGGAAAATACTCCATTTTAGGGGGGATTAGCCTTGTCAGTAATGTCATAAAGGGAAAAATTTAATGTTTATAGTAACACAACACTAACACAGCTATTTTAATTTTTGTATGTAATCTTCCATGCTCTGCCTACTTTGAGACATCTTTTTACATAATTATAATCACAGAGTACATTAGCAGTTCTTTTTGTCATTTTCCCACACTGTTAGTCTCTATTATTTATTAATATATTCTACCAGTTTGAGAATTTGCTTAATAATATTCCAGACGTTCAGGTTAGACCTTCAAGTTTCCAGATTGACTGTGGTGGTGGTCACTATAGACAATATTTCTATGGAATTAAAAAATTCTTTATAGTTATTTCTTTGGAATGAGATTATCAAGGCAAAGATTCTTGCTATTAATTAGCCAGGTATAGTGATGTATAACTGTGGTCCCAGCTACTCCAGAGGCTGAGGTGGGAGGACCGCTTGAGCCCAGGAGGTCTAGCCTGTAAGTGAGCCTGGGTGACACAGTGAGACCCTATCTCAAAACAAAAACAAAACCAAAAACAAACAAAAAAACCCAGACCGTTGCTATGAAATATTATTTTTTAACCTATGTCAAGGGTGTAGTAAGTTTGGAAGCAAGTGAAAATTAGAGACCAATGTAATGTGAAGCCAGCAGTGTCTCTTTTGAATAGAATAAAACTCCCTGCCCTAACCTTCACACCAGACCAGTGTTCAGGCACCGCCCATACACATACGTGTGCTATGCCAATGACTGGCTGCAGGGAAGAATAAATGAACACATCAGCATCTGTTTTAAAGTGGCACTGTTGAAGATAACCACTTACTAGTGGGCAAGTGTCACAATCTTTAAAATCAGTTTTCCTTCATGTAAAACCTTTTTATTTATAAATATGTGTATGTGTCCTTCCTTTGCCTAAACAAACCCAGCCTGGCTAAACCCATGAACATCAGGCCAAATAAAAACTTCCTCCCAATGACCCTGTGAAGTAGAATTATTTCCTGAATGAGGAAACTGAGGACTAATAATATGAATATGTATCTTACTAATCAGGATTTGTATAAAAATTAAAAAAAAGCGGAGGAGCCAAGATGGCCGAATAGGAACAGCTCCGGTCTACAGCTCCCAGCGTGAGCGATGCAGAAGACGGGTGATTTCTGCATTTCCATCTGAGGTACCGGGTTCATCTCACTAGGGAGGGCCAGACAGTGGGCGCAGGTCAGTGGGTGCGCGCACCGTGCGCCAGCCAAAGCAGGGCAAGGCATTGCCTCACTTGGGAAGCGCAAGGGGTCAGGGAGTTCCCTTTCCGAGTCAAAGAAAGGGGTGACGGACGCACCTGGAAAATCGGGTCACTCCCACCCAAATATTGCGCTTTTTGGACCGGCTTAAAAAACGGCGCACCACGAGATTATATCCTGCACCTGGCTCGGAGGGTCCTACGCCCACGGAGTCTCGCTGATTGCTAGCACAGCAGTCTGAGATCAAACTGCAAGGCGGCAGCGAGGCTGGGGGAGGGGCGCCCGCCATTGCCCAGGCTTGATTAGGTAAACAAAGCAGCTGGGAAGCTCGAACTGGGTGGAGCCCACCACAGGTCAAGGAGGCCTGCCTGCCTCTGTAGGCTCCACCTCTGGGGGCAGGGCACAGACAAACAAAAAGACAGCAGTAACCTCTGCAGACTTAAATGTCCCTGTCTGACAGCTTTGAAGAGAGCAGTGGTTCTCCCAGCACGCAGCTGGAGATCTGAGAACGGGCAGACTGCCTCCTCAAGTGGGTCCCTGACCCCTGACCCCCGAGCAGCCTAACTGGGAGGCACCCCCCAGCAGGGGCACACTGACACCTCACACGGCAGGGTACTCCAACAGACCTGCAGGTGAGGGTCCTGTCTGTTAGAAGGAAAACTAACAAACAGAAAGGACATCCACACCAAAAACCCATCTGTACATCATCATCATCAAAGACCCAAAGTAGATAAAACCACAAAGGTGGGAAAAAACAGAACAGAAAAACTGGAAACTCTAAAACGCAGAGCGCCTCTCCTCCTCCAAAGGAACGCAGTTCCTCACCAGCAACAGAACAAAGCTGGATGGAGAATGACTTTGACAAGCTGAGAGAAGAAGGCTTTAGATGATCAAATTACTCTGAGCTACGGGAGGACATTCAAACCAAAGGCAAAGAAGTTGAAAACTTTGAAAACAACTTAGAAGAATGTATAACTAGAATAACCAATACAGAGAAGTGCTTAAAGGAGCTGATAGAGCTGAAAACCAAGGCTCGAGAACTACGTGAAGAATGCAGAAGCCTCAGGAGCCGATGCGATCAACTGGAAGAAAGGGTATCAGCAATGGAAGATGAAATGAATGAAATGAAGCGAGAAGGGAAGTTTAGAGAAAAAAGAATAAAAAGAAACGAGCAAAGCCTCCAAGAAATATGGGACTATGTGAAAAGACCAAATCTACGTCTGATTGGTGTACCTGAAAGTGATGGGGAGAATGGAACCAAGCTGGAAAACACTCTGCAGGATATTATCCAGGAGAACTTCCCCAATCTAGCAAGGCAGGCCAACGTTCAGATTCAGGAAATACAGAGAATGCCACAAAGATACTCCTCGAGAAGAGCAACTCCAAGACACATAATTGTCAGATTCACCAAAGTTGAAATGAAGGAAAAAATGTTAAGGGCAGCCAGAGAGAAAGGTCAGGCTACCCACAAAGGGAAGCCCATCGGACTAACAGCGGATCTCTCAGCAGAAACCCCACAAGCCAGAAGAGAGTGGGGGCCAATATTCAACATTCTTAAAGAAAAGAATTTTCAACCCAGAATTTCATATCCAGCCAAGCTAAGCTTCATAAGTGAAGGATAAATAAAATACTTTACAGACAAGCAAATGCTGAGAGATTTCATCACCACCAGGCCTGCCCTAAAAGAGCTCCTGAAGGAAGCGCTAAACATGGAAAGGAACAACCGGTACCAGCTGCTGCAAAATCATGCCAAAATGTAAAGACCATCGAGACTAGGAAGAAACTGCATCAACTAATGAGCAAAATCACCAGCTAACATCATAATGACAGGATCAAATTCACACATAACAATATTAACTTTAAATGTAAATGGACTAAATGCTCCAATTAAAAGACACAGACTGGCAAATTGGATAAAGAGTCAAGACCCATCAGTGTGCTGTAGTCAGGAAACCCATCTCACATACAGAGACACACATAGGCTCAAAATAAAAGGATGGAGGAAGATCTACCAAGCAAATGGAAAACAAAAAAAGGCAGGGTTTGCAATCCTAGTCTCTGATAAAACAGACTTTAAACCAACAAAGATCAAAAGAGACAAAGAAGGCCATTACATAATGGTAAAGGGATCAATTCAACAAGAAGAGCTAACTATCCTAAATATATATGCACCCAATACAGGAGCACCCAGATTCATAAAGCAAGTCCTGAGTGACCTACACAGAGACTCAGACTCCCACACATTAATAATGGGAGACTTTAACACCCCACTATCAACATTAGACAGATCAACGAGACAGAAAGTCAAAAAGGATACCCAGGAATTGAACTCAGCTCTGCACCAAGCAGACCTAATAGACATCTACAGAACTCTCCACCCCAAATCAACAGAATATACATTTTTTTCAGCACACCACACCACACCTATTCCAAAATTGACCACATACTTGGAAGTAAAGCTCTCCTCAGCAAATGTAAAAGAACAGAGATTATAACAAACTATCTCTCAGACCACAGTGCAATCAAACTAGAACTCAGGATTAAGAATCTCACTCAAAACCGCTCAACTACATGGAAACTGAACAACCTGCTCCTGAATGACTACTGGATACACAACGAAATGAAGGCAGAAATAAAGATGTTCTTTGAAACCAACGAGAACAAAGACACAACATACCAGAATCTCTGGGATGCATTCAAAGCAGTGTGTAGAGGGAAATTTATAGCACTAAATGCCCACAAGAGAAAGCAGGAAAGATGCAAAATTGACACCCTAACATCACAATTAAAAGAACTAGAAAAGCAAGAGCAAACACATTCAAAAGCTAGCAGAAGGCAAGAAATAACTAAAATCAGAGCAGAACTGAAGGAAATAGAGACACAAAAAACCCTTCAAAAAATTAATGAATCCAGGAGCTGGTTTTTTGAAAGGATCAACAAAACTGATAGATCACTAGCAAGACTAATAAAGAAAAAAAGAGAGAAGAATCAAATAGACACAATAAAAAATGATAAAGGGGATATTACCACCGATCCCACAGAAATACAAACTACCATCAGAGAATAGTACAAACACCTCTACGCAAATAAACTAGAAAATCTAGAAGAAATGGATAAATTCCTGGACACATACACTCTCCCAAGACTAAACCAGGAAGAAGTTGAATCTCTGAAGAGACCAATAACAGGAGCTGAAATTGTGGCAATAATCAATAGTTTACCAACCAAAAAGAGTCCAGGACCAGATGGATTCACAGCCGAATTCTACCAGAGGTACAAGGAGGAACTGGTACCATTCCTTCTGAAACTATTCCAATCAATAGAAAAAGAGGGAATCCTCCCTAACTCATTTTATGAGGCCAGCATCATTCTGATACCAAAGCCGGGCAGAGACACAACCAAAAAAGAGAATTTTAGACCAATGTCCTTGATGAACATTGATGCAAAAATCCTCAATAAAATACTGGCAAAACGAATCCAGCAGCACATCAAAAAGCTTATCCACCATGATCAAGTGGGCTTCATCCCTGGGATGCAAGGCTGGTTCAATATACACAAATCAATAAATGTAATCCAGCATATAAACAGAGCCAAAGACAAAAACCACATGATTATCTCAATAGATGCAGAAAAAGCCTTTGACAAAATTCAACAACCCTTCATGCTAAAAACTCTCAATAAATTAGGTATTGATGGGACGTATTTCAAAATAATAAGAGCTATCTATGACAAACCCACAGCCAATATCATACTGAATGGGCAAAAACTGGAAGCATTCCCTTTGAAAACTGGCACAAGACAGGGATGCCCTCTCTCACCACTCCTATTCAACATAGTGTTGGAAGTTTTGGCCAGGGCAATTAGGCAGGAGAAGGAAATAAAGGGTATTCAATTAGGAAAAGAGGAAGTCAAATTGTCCCTGTTTGCAGACGACATGATTGTATATCTAGAAAACCCCGTTGTCTCAGCCCAAAATCTCCTTAAGCTGATAAGCAACTTCAGCAAAGTCTCAGGATACAAAATCAATGTACAAAAATCACAAGCATTCTTATACACCAACAACAGACAAACAGAGAGCCAAATCATGAGTGAACTCCCATTCACAATTGCTTCAAAGAGAATAAAATACCTAGGAATCTAACTTACAAGGGATGTGAAGGACCTCTTCAAGGAGAACTACAAACCACTGCTCAAGGAAATAAAAGGATACAAACAAATGGAAGAACATTCCATGCTCACGGGTAGGAAGAATCAATATCGTGAAAATGGCCATACTGCCCAAGGTAATTTACAGATTCAATGCCATCCCCATCAAGCTACCAATGACTTTCTTCACAGAATTGGAAAAAACTACTTTAAAGTTCATATGGAACCAAAAAAGAGCCTGCATCGCCAAGGCGATCCTAAGCCAAAAGAACAAAGCTGGAGGCATCACACTACCTGACTTCAAACTATACTACAAGGCTACAGTAACCAAAACAGCATGGTACTGGTACCAAAACAGAGATATAGATCAATGGAACAGAACAGAGCCCTCAGAAATAACGCCACATATCTACAACTATCTGATCTTTGACAAACCTGAGAAAAACAAGCAATGGGGAAAGGATTCCCTATTTAATAAATGGTGCTGGGAAAACTGGCTAGCCATACGTAGAAAGCTGAAACTGGATCCCTTCCTTACACCTTATACAAAAATCAATTCAAGATGGATTAAAGACTTAAACGTTAGACCTAAAACCATAAAAACCCTAGAAGAAAACCTAGGCATTACCATTCAGGACATAGGCATGGGCAAGGACTTCATGTCCAAAACACCAAAAGCAATGGCAACAAAAGACAAAATTGACAAATGGGATCTAATTAAACTAAAGAGCTTCTGCACAGCAAAAGAAACTACCATCTGAGTGAACAGGCAACCTACAAAATGGTAGAAAATTTTCGCAACCTACTCATCTGACAAAGGGCTAATATCCAGAATCTACAATGAACTCCAACAAATTTACAAGAAAAAAACAAACAACCCCATCAAAAAGTGGGTGAAGGACATGAACAGACACTTCTCAAAAGAAGACATTTATGCAGCCAAAAAACACGTGAAAAAATGCTCATCATCACTGGCCATCAGAGAAATGCAAATCAAAACCACAATGAGATACCATCTCACACCAGTTAGAATGGCAATCATGAAAAAGTCAGGAAACAACAGGTGCTGGAGAGGATGTGGAGAAATAGGAACACTTTTACACTGTTGGTGGGACTGTAAACTAGTTCAACCATTGTGGAAGTCAGTGTGGCGATTCCTCAGGGATCTAGAACTAGAAATACCATTTGACCCAGCCATCCCATTACTGGCTATATACCCAAAGGACTATAAATCATGCTGCTATGAAGACACATGCACACGTATGTTTACTGCGGCATTATTCACAATAGCAAAGACTTGGCACCAACCCAAATGTCCAACAATGATAGACTGGATTAAGAAAATGTGGCACATATACACCATGGAATACTATGCAGCCATAAAAAATGATGAGTTCATCTCCTTTGTAGGGACATGGATGAAACTGGAAATCATCATTCTCAGTAAACTATCGCAAGAACAAAAAACCAAACACCGCATATTCTCACTCATAGGTGGGAACTGAACAATGAGATCACATGGACACAGGAAGGGGAATATCACACTCTGGGGACTGTGGTGGGGTGGGGGCAGGGGGGAGGGATAGCATTGGGAGATATACCTAATGCTAGATGACGAGTTAGTGGGTGCAGCGCACCAGCATGGCACATGTATACATATGTAACTAACCTGCACAATGTGCACATGTACCCTAAAACTTAAAGTATAAAAAATAAAATAAAATAAAATAAAGCAAAACAAAACTATCAAATCTATTCAGGGAAGGGATCTAGGCAAATGCAGAATGTTTTTCCTGGCAGTATCTAAGATTTCAATCTCCTCATTCTCCCAGTGAGGAAACTGGTGTCAGAGAGCAAAAGATACTCACTCAAGGTCACTTTAACTACTGGTAGAACAAGAACAGGGCTTCTGTCTGGTTTTATTTTCCCTCTGTTCTGATAGGGTTTGTGACCTTCAGTTCACTCTGCAACTGACCATCTTTCTGCCAAGTCTATCACCTGGTGACACAGGATTTTTTTCTTGGCCACTTTGTAAGCCAGGGACCTCTGGCCAGCGACGCCCCACCTGGGCCTTGCTCAGCCATGCTACCCTGCTGCAGGAGACAGCCTGCCCGGGACAAGTCTGGCTTGTGCACTGGTTCCCGGGTGCTTGTCCCGCACCCAAGAAGAATGAGGATATGTTGACAATCGAAGAGTGAGCAAGGCAAGGAGTCTGAGTGATGAAACAGCTTTCAGCGGAGAGGGGATACAGGGGTGGTCCCCCTACCTGAAGGTGGGAAAGTCCCCCCACTGTGGCTGAGTCTGGGGCTTTTATGGGCTGAGAATGGGAAAGGGGCAGGTCATAGGTAGTATTGGAAAAGGCAACATTCGATTGGTTAAAAGGCATTATTCAGAAAGAATCAATCAGGAAAGGGCGGGCAAACAGAAACAGAAGTTCTCACTCTAGGTCGCGGGTTTCATCAGGGACCAGCAATCCGGCCTTTCACCCCTCAGGCTGTTTTTTGGCTTTAAGGTGGGGTTTCACCTGGGACCTGTCCCATTTACCTAGGCATTTGGCTGCCTTCTGTCACTATCACTGGTTCCAATCTGCTAGGGCAAGTTATGCAAAATAGAGCTCTTTCCCCAAGGACACAGATGGGGTCTCTTTAATGTTCCTAGGATTTCTTCAGGAAGCCTGGTCTTTTCTCCTATATTCAGTTGCTACAAGTTGCAGGACTCTGGGGTCATGTCTCATGGCTGGAGTCACAGGCTGGGAGCACCCTGCAGAATGGCAAGTGACATCTTGACTCTACAGAGCCAACAGCCCGGGAGCACCACACAGAATGGCAGGTGACATCTTGGCTCTACAGAGCCAACAGCTTCGTCACTGGCTACAGATCCTCCATCCCCCAACCATGAGACTGGAACAAAGGAAGTAACTGGGTACATTCCAGAGAAGTGGAGAAGGTTGCAATTGAGTGACTTTCATCACAAGAGGGCAGCATGTGTCCAGTAATTAATCCATTATGTAAGTGGCCAAAGGATTCAACCGTGCATGGGGTCTGGTGACTGGCACATTGTTCTATTTAAATAAGGCTCAAACCAAAGTACATTGTGTTAAAAACAATTTTAAGCCCATTCATCCATGAGTTCAAAGATATCAATAAGTGCAAGAGTTGGCTGAGGGCACCTTAAAAGAACACTATTGTGGCAAGTTCTCTGGAGACTGAGGATCTGGGTTCAAATCCCGGTACTACCAGAAGCTGTGTGAGCTTGGACAAATGACTTAGCATTTCTGTACCTGAGCTCCCCATCCATAAGAGTTTTATAAAACAGTGCTCCCCTTGCAGAATTGTCTGGTTGTGAGTAAATGAATTAATAGGTGTAAAGCACTTTAAACGGTACCCAGTAGCAACTCCTGTTACCTAATGAGAACTTTTTCCTCTAGCACTGCCTTAATGAGCATCAGGGATAGGGCAAGAGAAGAAAAGAGACTCTGCCAGGCCATCCTTCCTAACATTAAGAGCCCCTCTACGACACTGCCATTTTCAAACTGATAGCAAAGTCCAGTCTTTTAAGCCCAGAGACTGGAACCCATTTCCAAGGCTGAATACCTGTGGGATTGGAACTAACTATTGTCTATACTTGAAATTGTCTTCAGTCTTATTCTGTCAAGAAGCCACATGTCCCAGTGAACACATATCCAGAAACATAGATCAGGAAAGCCAAAAACCAATTTGCATTTTGATTTGATTTCACAGATGTTAGAGTGTATCATCTGGCTTTCCACACTAAAATCATATGATTGAAGGTTCTTTGATGTCAGCATTTGGTTCTCTTTCCAGCACTCCTTTCATTCACTGATGAACATTGCTCCTGATTCCCCTGCCTGCAGCAAAAATGAATGAGTGAGCCGGAGAGGAGAGTAGGAAGGAAGGAGATGAGAACAGAATAGAACAGCAAGGAAGGACGTGGGTGGGCTAATTCCTGGAATCTTAACTTCCACCCTCTATTGCCACCATCCTATTGATGTGTCCAGGGAGGACTGGCCTGGTGCCTAAGGCCATCAGCTGCATCCTAAGCACACTGACGTTTCCTGGAGCCAGTAAGCTCATCACCTGCTGAACAGCTGTGGGGACAGCTCACCTGCCCACTGCTGCTTTCAGATTCCCAACTGGATATTCACTAGGTGATGTGTAAGATCTTCCTTCTGCTGAGAAAATGCACTTAGCTTGTTTCCAATTCACTTTCCCAGGAGAACTCACGGGTGATGAAGACTCTTCCACTTGAATCCTCTAGTCCATTGCTTCTCATTATCACCCCTGTAAGGAGACATTTTAGATATTTTCCCCAATCTCTCTCCCATCTTGAAATTTTAATACCACTGATATACTGTGTTTCTGTTTATGTACAACTGCAACCCTCTGAAGGCCACAAACCATCGAATAACTAAGTTCCTTTTTGTCTCCCAAGAATTAATTTTGCCCCTGTGGGGATGATAAAGCTCTTACTGAAAATCTCATCAAACCCTAGATAAGTCTTCTCATGCTTGTTGTCTCCAAGAACCCTTCTATCACCCTCTCTTTCTGTGTAGAGCGATTTGCTTTCTGCACATTATTCAACTTTCAATACATCTTAATAGTTATAAATTTAACATTCTTATTCTCTTTTCACTCTATCCTAAAGACAGTTTTATCTATGTGCAAGAACTGTGCTTATATTAGGAAAAGCAGTGCTGTTTGTGAAAGGGGAACAGGCCCTCCTAGCAGGGACAGTTGTTGCCTGAAGCCTTCTGGTCCCAGTTGCTTCAGAGATGAATTTCTGCAACATGTCCCGAATTACTGCCACCTGGCCTTTGGGGAGAACTTGAGGCTAACTTTGGCTTTGCTGCTGTGCAAACTTCCCTTTCTCACTTTCCAGTTCCCCCTCCCTAACTCCCCCTCTAAGAGACCCAGTGATACCCAGAATTCCCTTTTAAAATAGAACCCAGGCCTCTGCCACTCCGGGCTGCCTACTTCCCACATCAGCCCACCCCATGCATCATTGCTGAGCTTCGCTAGGTGTTGGGGACATCAGACTCATTCAGGCAATTCAGAATAAAACGCAACTGTCTCACAGGACTACCCATGTCAGATAGTTTAATATCAGAAGAGGAGCTGGCTGATCCAAAAACTCTACTTAGAAACACAAAGGATGAGAAACTTCAGGTCAAGATAATCTTCATTTCTCCTCAATTGTCTTCCCCACAGTTCCAGAATCATTCCAGGGTATGGTTGGCATTTCTGAAAGGGTTTGATCCCTGCAACACCTTAAGCAGAGCTCAAAGTCCATCTACTTTCTATCTATCCAACCATCCATTTGTTTCACAAATAAATACTGAACATCTGCTTTAGGCCAGGTACTGTGCTGGCTGATAGGAAATGGTTAGTGTCATGTCTGGACTTTTTACCCTACTTGCAAGTTAGTAAGTTAGACTGTTACTGTTTTGTGGATGCTGGCACAGGACGCAAGCCTCCTGGGTCAGAAGCACAGGACTTTATGATCGACAGAACAGTAGACAACATGAGCACGAGCATGTCTGCATCAGCCCCTGTGCCCCGTAGCCCACGAAGACAGTGTGCTGGGGCACAGGTGGATGCTACACATACAGTGGCTTTGCATGGCAGCTGAAGAACACTGAGCTTGAGGAGCCTGCCATTTTATAGCAAGCAGTAGCAAGTCTGCTCTCCGAACTGGAGGGAGCTACTACTTTATCCTCAAGGTTGTCTGCTGCGAACATAATGTCTGCTGAGAAGCAGTCTGAGTAGAGTGGTCAGGGCCTCGCCTTGTGTGCTTACCCAGCAAGAATGTGCTGGATGCTCAGGACTCAGGGCAGATCACCTCTCTCAACAGTGAACTAAAAACACGCAGAGAGCCTACACTCGCAGCACATACGGTCTAGTGGGGAAGATGGATATATTTATTCAAACCACCAAGTGGGTAACTGCCAAACTGCAACCATGATGAGTGCCCAAGGAAAGGTGCAAGGGCTTTCAGGGCCTATCATAGGCGTACCGTTCTCCCTTGAAATCAAGGACACAATCTGCAGGGAGGACAGTGAGGTTCAGTAAATGAACAGCATGGGCCAAGGCCCCATGGCTCCGAGGAGCCTGGCCATGAAAACTGGATCATAGAACTCAAGGAGGAGCACAGCACAGGTGGAGCTGGGAAATACAAGGTAAGGGCCCACCCCAAGACAGGCCAGTGTTTCTTAAACTGTATACTGTGACCTGCTAGGAGGTTGTGAAAGCAATGGGGTGTACGCCCAACCTCTGTTTTTAAAAAATGAAACAGAATAGAATATCAGAGTCCACCACAGAGTAGCACCAAGAAGCAGTGAAAAGCACGGGTCTGGACCCAGACTGCCACTCATTAACTGTACAACCTCAGACAAGCAACTGAACCTCTCTGTGCCCAAGTGGCTTCAGCTTTAAAGTGGTCATAAGAACATGTGCATCGCATGGGTTCTTACAGGGACTAGATGAGTTACTATTCACAGCACAGCAAGAACAGTGTCTGGCAATCAGTAACTGCCATGCAAGTATTTGTTAATCAAATAAAGGGTAAGTATTGTCTTGTGACACTTTTATAAAATATACATCAAGTGTACTGAGTTTCAATATAAACTGTCTTTATTGCGAGTAAAGGTCAAAAAAGTTTAAGAATTTTGGTCTTTCACAGAAATCTGAAGCCCCTGAAAGATTTCATCAGAGAGGAGTGGCACCAACAGGTTTACATTCCGAAAAGATGGCTTTGGCTGCAGTATGAAGTTGAGGACCTTATGAGACAACCAGCTGGGAGGCTCTCGCAGAAGTTGAGGCAGAGATGATGGTGGCTCATGGGCAGCACTAAGAAATAGCCACAGGGACCCATAGGCACTGATATTGCATGCAGAGATCTTGAGAGCTGTTTTGTGCATTCTGTGGCTAGGTCGCCGATTAGTGGAGAAAATTTTGTGATGGCATCTGAATCTACCTGGAACATCAGTGCCTATATTGGTCACAGCTTCTCTGGTGGCAAATAACAACATCCTTCTCTGGGTATCTTAAGCAAATGGGGGCATTTATAGGATAAATCCACTGGGGGCTAGCACACCAGCATGGAAAATGTGGTGGGGGGGGCAGGAACCAAGATAGTTCTGGAAGGCTAAGAAATACAGGAAGCAGGATCAACACCACCAGTACTCCACTGATACATTCATGAATGACTTCTAATAGTACCGTCTTGGTTTTACTCTTAATATTCAAAGTTCTTGGCAGACACAGCCAATCAACCAAGGTCAGGTCACAGGCAATGCCTTAGCTGACAGGAGACAGAGAGAGGGAGGATGTTAGCCCCTTTGTCTTTCATAGTGGGAGCTGGGGCAGTCACCCACCCAGATGACTCACAGTGGGAGATTTTCCCAGAATAGAAAGGGGCACCACCGGAATGGGTGAAGGATGGCACAGGGGGCACTGATGGTACAGGGAGTCAAGAATGATTCACGGGCTTTTGGATTGTGGGGTCATTTTGAAACTACTAGAAAAGAACTGGATTTTGTTTGGAGGGAAGGGTGAATGAGGAGGAAGCACAGGGCCGGTGTGGACATAAATTGAGTTTGAGGTGCATGTGAGATAAACAACTGGAGATACACAGGGCTGGGGCATAACAGAGGCCTGAGGTAGAGAAACAAGTTTGGGACTCAACAGGATATAGATAGTATTGAAGACATGGTCAAAGATGAGGCCAACCTAGGGCAAGAGTAGAGTGAGAAAAGACCAAGCACGAAGTCTTGAGGAATTCTGTCACTTAAAGACAAGGTAAAGGAGGATGAGTCTTCAAAGGAAACTAAGACAAGGCCAGAAAGGTTGAAGGAAAAGCAGACGGATGGTGGCGTGGTGTTGAGAAGAAGTCAACCACCAGTAAGAAAGTTTCATGCTCATGGATTTAGTGACAGGAAGGTCATGGGTCACCCTCATAAGAGCTGTTTTCATAAATTAATGCAAGGAAGCCAGACTGAAAAGGATTGAGAAATAACTGGAAGATGAGGATATCCTTCAAGAAATACAATGTGGGCTGGGGCACAGTGGCTTATGTCTGTAATCCTGGCACTTTGCGGGGCTGAGGCCCGTGGATCACCTGAGGTCAGGAGCTTGACACCAGCAAGACCAACACAGTGAAACCCCGTCTCTACTAAAAATATAAAAATTGGCCAGGTGTGGTTGTGGATGCCTGTAATCCCAGCTACTCAGGAGGCTGAGGCAGGAGAATCGCTTGAACCTGGGAGGCAGAGGTTGCAGTGACCAAGATCACGCTATTGCACTCCAGCCTGGGTGACAGAGCAAGACTCCATCTCAAAAAAAAAAAAAAAAAAAAAGGAAAGAAAGAAATATGATATGGAAGGGACAGGATATGACAGTAGCTCAAGAGGGTTATGGAGTCTAGGGAGGGTTACTGCAACTGCATCTGACTTAAAACAAAGGGAGCTCAATGTTAATGGCAAAGATGAAACTGGGTTCATTTCTTTAATTCCCAATTCTACTAACCTAAATGTATGATGTATTGGTAATTATTTTATTCTCATATATAGACCTGAAAAGTAAAAAATAAACGATTACATTATTAAATAGAACTTGATTCAGGGATTATGAAAACAGTCTCAGAGTGGGACTCTGGTATTAAATATGTGACTAATATGTTGTATATACGTAAATGATTTGCCTAACTCTTGTACATATGGCAGATTTTTGCAGTAAATAGTCCCCAATAAATCATACTCCCCTCTACGCAGGTGACTCACTAAATAATGGCACATCGGCAAACACGATGCAAGCAGGAGCTTGAGACATACTTGCAGATTGGGGCTTGCCCTCTCTTGCTGCTGGGAACACTTCCACCAACATGTGAAAAATCTCAGGCAGGCCTGCTGGAGACACACAGTCCAGCCAGCACCTATTTCCAGACATGTGAGTGAGGCAATGCTGGACCAACTAGCCCCCAGCTTCCCACCTGCTCACTGTAGCCGCATGAACAAGTAGGGGCAAGAGCCCAAATTTCTGACTCACAGAATCATGAGTTAATTTAAGACTGTGGTTTTAAGTCGCTAAATGTTGGGGGTAGTTTGTTACCCAGTAAAAGATAATTGAAACAGTACATAAAAGTTAAGGAAGGCTAACTGCTGTAATAATAAATAGAATGCTAAATATACAACGGCTTAAATACAATAGAAGTTTATCTCTTGCTCATGTGAACAGTCCAAAGAGGTTTCAGATTGGTGGCAGGCGGCTCTGTCCCATACAGTCACTCAGAGACTCAGGATGTCCGTCTGTCATCGCCAATGTGTGGTTCCCAAGGTCACCTTGGGCATCATCAGCCAGACGGCAAAAGCAGAGAGAGCAAAAAGGACAGCAAATGGGAAGTTTTATTGGGCCCAGCCAAGAAACATGACATGTCTCCTACTCATATTCCATAGGCTAGAACCCAATCACGGGACCAAGGCTAAGTGCCATGAAGGAGTAGTTGCGCGCCTAGGAAGATGAGGAAACAATATGATGAACAGCAGGCACCACAGAATTGTACTGGCTTTTTTAGAAAATAAAAATCACGTTTGTCAGATGCAGCATGGCATAGTGGGAACAGGCTGAGGGCCAGAAAGATCTGCGTGAGATTTTGGTTCCACACTTGTTAAGTGTTTAACCTGGGAATATTACCTAATCCAGTTAGACCTTCATTTCTTTATCTACAAGATAGGGAAATACTTTTTTCATTGGGTTGTTGTGAAATTGGTGTAGTTTAATCTCTACACGTGGTAGAGTGCCGGGTACATGATCGGTGTTCGATAAACGGTAGCTACTGGCATTAACTAAATTGAATGGTATGATAAACAAATCAAAAAATATGGAGGGAAGAGTAACACTAAGCTGTCCAGATAGCAGTAGTATTAGCCATGATGCTTCCAAATTAAAATTACTGAAGTCCAATTAGCCAGGCTTGGTGGCGGGCACCTATAGTCCCAGCTACTTGGGAGGCTGAGGCAGGAGAATGGCATGAACCCAGGAGGCAGAGCTTGCAGTGAGCCGAGATCGTGCCACTGCACTCCAGCCTGGGCGACAGAGCAAGACTGTCTCAAAAAAAATTACTGAAGTCCAACTCAGTGTAATACAAAAAGAAGGGATTAGAATGATACAAAGAGATGAGGTGACTCTCAACATCAAAGGGAGACCTGTGGACTGGAACCCCTTTCAGGACTTCAGAGACTCAGTCTTTTGTTTTGTTTTTCGTGTTCTATGTCCACTTATATTCTTTGCTTCATTCTCCCCAGTTATAGACACACCTTTTGCCTCCACAACTGCTAATTTTAAAATGTGCGATAATGGTATTGTAGTTATGTTTTTAAAGAGTCCCTTTCTTGAAATACACATTGAAGCAGTTATGGATGAAATGATATCAAGGTTTTGCTTTAAATACATTTTAATATATTTGGGGATGCAGATGACATCCCCAAATATATTAAATTTGGGGATGAGTGCAGATGACAAGATTGGCCATGGGTTGGTCATTGCTGAAGTTAGGGGATGGGTGGGGCATTTCACTACATAGCCCTCTGTAGGGTTCTGCATCTGCGGATTCAAATCAGATCAAAAGTGTAGTTAGGTCTATGATGGTTGTGTCTGTACTGAGCATGTACAGATTTTTTTTTCTTGTCATTATTCCTTAAACAACACAGTATGACAACTATTTACATAGCATTTACATTGTATTAGGTACTACAAGTAATCTAGAGATGATTTAAAGTATGTGGGAGGATGTGCATGGGTTATATGCAAATACTGTGCCATTTTATAGCAGGGACTTAAGTGTCGGCAGGCTTTGGTATTCACAGGGGGTCCTCAGACCAATCCCTCACAGATACTGAGGAATGACTGAACCATCCTCTCTACTTTCATATATATTTGAAATTACCCATTAAAAAATAAAAACAAAGGCCCAACACTCATCTCGTCTTGGCTTAGCAATTCAAGAAAAGAAACAAATCGGGTTGGTCCATCTTATGTTAATTTTTTAGCTGTGATTTTCTGCCTTGGTGAAAGCTTTATGTAGTTAAAAGGAAGAGTGATCAGCATTTTCATCCATTTGGGTATGAACTTTCTGGACTTTAAGAGAAATGGGTAAAATGATATACATAAATCAGGACTTGACAGGGTTGAACTCACTACAATCTTTTCATGACCACTTTGCTAGAACACTTTTCCCATTTTTCTTACATCACCTTATGAGAGGCAGAGCTATTCTGGCAGTGTTTTCCTCAAGCACCATTGTATTTAATAGAGTCTCAGGAGAGACAAGTTCAGAGAAAAAGGCACAAGGACTGCAAAAGTTATGGATCTATTTTCTAGTGATGTAGATAATAAGCTTTCAGAATAGTCATGTGTATACTGAAGGTATCTAGTCAGAATGCCCAATACATCAGAGATCTTCTGGCCAGCGGCGCAAAAGAAAAGGATAAAGAGGTTGAGAACTAGTTACTATTGTTTTCTCATGTGATATATTTTCTAAAGAGAAAAAAGCTCTGTTTCTCTTTATTACACTCAAGGTGTGCATAGGTTTTGTAATCGTGTTGCTTGAACTGGTTGATCTCATGTATTATGTTGATCACATAAAAAATAAGGATCAAGGGGAAGAAGGTATTGATAACCTTAGAAATAAAGCCTAGGGGCTGGGTACGGTGTCTCACGCCTGTAATCCCAGCACTTTGGGAGGCCAAGGCAGGCAGATCATGAGGTCAGAAGTTCAAGACCAGTCTGGGCAACATAGTGAAACCCCATCTCTACTAAAAATACAAAAAATTAGCCAGGTGTGGTGGTGTGCGCTTGTAATCCCAGCTACTCAGGAGGCTGAGACAGGAGAATCGCATGAACCTAGGAGGTGAAGGTTGCAGTGAGCCGAGACAGTGCCACTGCACCTGGGTGACACAGCGAGACTCCATCTCAGAAAAGAAATAAAAATAAAAATAAAAAAAGCCTAGGGATATAGGGAGCCAGAATTCCTTGGCTATAACCTAGTCTTTGGTCTTTGGCAAAAAAAAAAAGTATATTTGGAATTTAACTTTAACTTTTATAATTAGACATCTTTGCTAATCAGTCTCATTTGTTATATCCAAATCAGACTTTTAATTTTCACAGATATGCCAAATTGTCTGTTCCAAAGATGGGCATCACAATACATCCCATTCCATGTGCTTCTCTTGCTATGTAACACTGACACTCCTTCCAACAGGTGGTAGAAGTCTGTCTTCTCCCCGTGCTCCTAGGAAGACCTTCATGTCCTCCTTGACCAACAGGGGATGGTGGAAGTGACTCTGTGTGACTTGTGAGACAAGATTCTAAAAGTCATGCACTTCTGCCTTGTTCTCTTGGGATAACTGCTCTTGGAACCCAGCCATTGCAGTGAGGAAGTCAAATAGCTCCATGGACATGCCATGTGTAGGTGTTCTGGCAAACAGCCCCAGGTGAGGTTCCAACTGACAGCCAACGTCAACCACCTGACGAGAATGAGTCTTCCAGCCTTGATCTGCTGAGTCATCGCCAACTCCAGCCAATACTGTAAGGAGCAAAGATGAGCTGTTCTGCCAATTGTAGCCCAAATTGCAGATTTTTGAATAAAATAAATGACTGTTATCATTGTAAGCCACTAAGTTAGGAGTGCTTTGTTATGCAGCAAAAAATAATTAGAAGAACAAATATGACATTATTAAATTAGTAATGCTTTTGACTTTTAGTACACGGGGGAATAGATAAGTAAAATGTTGAATAAATATGAATAAAGTGGAATATTTCTGAAGCAGTCAGAGGGATGAATTAGCCATACATGCAGCAACATAAGTCAATCTTAATACACAGTGAAGAACTAATCATCAGAATGCTATACAGACAATATATTAGGCCGATTTTGCACTGCTATAAAAAAATACCTGAGACTGAGAAAAAAAAAAAAAACCTGAGAAGAGGTTTAATTGGCTCACAGTTCTGCAGGTTGTACAGGAAGCATGGTGCTGGCATCTGCTTAGCTTCTGGAGAGGCGTCAGGGAACTTTTACTCATGGCAGCAGGCAAAGCAGGAGCAGGCATGTCACATGGTGAAAACAGGAGCAACAGAGGGCGAGGGGAAAGATGCCTCACACCTTTAAACAGCCAGATCTTGCTAGAAGTACCGCAAAGACAGCGCCAAGGGGATAATGCTAAACCATCCAAGAGAACTCTGCTCCCATGATCCAGTCACCTCCCATTAGGCTCTACCTCCAACAAAGGGAATTACAATTCAACATGAGGTTTAGAGGATACAACATCCAAACTATATCAGACAATAACCATTTATAAACATGTAAAAAAAAACTAAAAGAAATCTTAGGTATTTTTGAAAGATTCATAAAAATCTAATTCAATGTACAGAAGGTAGATCAGAAGGACATATATTAAATACACTAGGGTATGTAGTTAAATAACTATAGGATTGGGAATGGGAATAAAGGGAGAAAATTTTAAAAAAGTCAAAAACAAGAGAGTGTTATGTAATTTCCAGACTTGATTCCCATTTCCTTCTAAGTCACACAGCTAAAATCTATTTCCCAGCCTTCTGTGCAGTTAGGTGTGGCCATATGATTTAGCTCTAACTATTGGAATGTGGGCAAAAGAGATGTAAGTTATCTCTAAGCCAAGCCCCTCAGCAAGGAAAAAATGGCCTTGGCAACTAATAAATAGATACCAAGATGGACCACATCCTATCCTGGGTCATGTAAAACAAACCTTCACAAATTTAAAAGGACTGAAATCATAAAAAATATATTATCTGTTCATAATGAATCTAACTAGAAATCAATAATAACAGAAAGATACCAGGAAAATCACAAAACAATTAGAAATTAAACAACCCACTTTTAAATACTCCAATGGTCAAAGAGAAAGTCTCAAAGGAAATGTAAAAATACACTGAAGGGAATGAAAATACAACATATAAAAATCTTTGGGATGCAGTTAAAGCAGTTTCACTTTTAGAGAAATTTATAAATTTAACACTAAATGCTTATATTGGAAGATGGTCTCAGATCCAAAACAAAGCTTCCACCTCAAGAAACTACAAGCGGAAGAGCAAAATAAACCCAAAGCAAGTAGGAGGAAGGAATAAACGTAAGAGTAAAAAGTCAATGAAATTGAAAACAGAAAAACAATAGAGAAAAATGAAAGCAAAAGTTTATTCTTTGAAAAGATCAATAACATTGATCAACCTCAAGCAAGGCTGACAAAAGGTGGGGAGAAGAAGAGAAGAGGGAAGGAGAGAGGAGAGGAGAGGAGGGGAGACAGGAAGTTAAGAAGGGGGAAAGTGCAAGAAAGACATAAATGATCAATATTGGTAATGAAAGAAGGAATACTATTACAGACCCAGCAGACATTACAGGATAATAAAGGAATACAACAAACAACTCTATGCACATAAATTTGACAATTTAGATGATATGGACCAATTCCAAACTATAAAAACACCCAAGATAACAGATAACTTGAATAGTCTCATAACTACTAAAAAAATTGAATTAACAGTTTAAAACCTTTTGATAAAGAAATCTCCAGGCCCAGATGGTATCACTGCTGAACTGTAACAAACATTAAAAGAATAAGTAACAGTAACTTTATACCATCTCTTCTGGGAAACAGGGAAGGGAACAACTAATAAGTGAGTTAGCAGGGTTGCAGGATACAAAGTTCACACACACACATACACACAAATGGAACTTATTTCTATACACTAGCAACAAATGTATTGAAACTGAAATTAGAAACACAAAACCCTTTATACAGCTGCTCCAAAAAAATAACTTCAATCTAAATTGAACAAACTATGCATAGGATTTGTACGGAGAAAATTACACAACTCTCATGAAGAAAATCTTAAAAAGACCTAAGTCAATACAGAAACAAACTGTGCTTATGGATTGAAAGATGATTCAACATATTGAAGATGTCAATTCCCCTCAAGTTGATCCAGAGGCTTAATACCACTTTCATCAAAACCTCAGAAGGAGTTTTTGTAGATATGAGAAAATTTTCAAATTTACATGAAAGCATAAAAAACACAAAAGAAAGTAAAGCTGGTGGAATCACAATATTCAGTCTTCTAATACTATACAGTGATAGCAGTTAAGGCAATGAAGTCCTGGTGGAGGGACAGATATGCAGATCAAAGGAACAGAATAGTGTGTCCAGAAATAGACCCATGCAACTGTGGCCAACTGATTTTAACAAAAGGGCAAATCCAATTCAAAGGAGAAAAGATTTTTTCAACAAATGGTGTTAGAGTAACTGCACATTCTTGGTCATAAAAACAAACCTAAACCTAAACCTCACACCTAATACGAACATTAACTCAAGATGGATCACAGATCCAAATGTGAAGAGTGAAACCATAAATCTTTTAATAGGCTAGGATTAGGTGGAGTTCTTAGACATGATGCTAAAATCATGACCATAAAAGAAAAACATCAATAAAGTAGACTTTATCAAAACCAAATCCTTTTGCTCTGAGAAGGGCCACGTTAAGAGGATGAAAATACAAGGTATAGACTGGGAGAAAATATTTCCAATTCGCAGTTCGGACAAGGACCTTATATCCAGAATATATAAATAACTCTAAATACAACAGTAAGAAAACAAAAAATCCAATTAGAAAATGTACAAAACCAGACACTTTACTAAAGAGGATATTCAAATGGCATGTGGTATTCAATGTTAAACACAGATGTTTAACATTGTAGCTACTAAAAAATGCAAATTAAAGTCATGGTGATATACCACTATACACCTATTAGAATAATATGTATAAATAATGCCCAAAACTCCACAATGCTGTTAGTGAGGATGTAGAACAACTAGAACTCTCATATCCTGATGGTGGGAATATAAAACGCTACTCTGAAAAAGATTTTGGCAGTTTCTTATAAAGTTAAACACAGACTTGCCATAAGTCTGCTGGGTATTTATCCTACAGAAATAAAAACACATTTCCATACAAAAATCTACACAAATGGTTATAGCAACTTTATTTATAATAGCTGAAAGCTAGAAATAACCACAATGTCCTACAATAAGTGAATGGATAAGCAGTGGTTCGTCCACACAATGGAATACTACTCAGCAATAAAAAAGAAGAAACTACTGATGCATGTGACAAGCTGAAGGACTCTCAAGGATACTTGCTGAGTACAAAAAAAAAAAAGCCAATTTTAAAAGGCTATGTACTGCATGATGCCATTTACCTAACACTATTGAAATGGCCAAATGATAGTGACGGAGAACACATCAGTGGTTGCTGGGGGTCACATCTGTGAAGGTATGATTATAAAACTGTAGCATAAGAGACTTTGTGGTGATAGGATATTCTGTATACTGATTATGGCAGTAGTTACCATGCATCTATAACATAACTAAATTTCATATAAATATACACTGGAAAAAGACATGTAACAAAATTCGAATAAAGTCTGCAGTGTAGTTAACAGCATTAATCAATGCCCATTACTTAGTACTGATAATGTATCAAGGTTACCTAAGATCTTGTCATTGGGGCATCTGGGGAATCCTGGGTGAAGACACACAGGAATTGGTGGTATTGGCTTTTGCAATTCTTCATGAGTATAAAATTTATTTTAAAATACAGCTTAAAAAATTGGTATGAAGAGGCTTCTAAATATAATCCAGACTTTTACCCTTCCCTAGAAGACTGCATTTAGGCCAATAAAATAAGAAATACTTAAAATCTGCCTCACTTGCTGATCCACCCAAATACTGTTCCACACTTTTCTGTTTGTATCTCTCGTCTTCCCTCCTCCTCCTCCAGCCTCTGAAATATACAGTCTAACTCAAAGTCCCTTAAAATGGCAGTCTCCATACGAAGAAGACCCAAATACTTCCCAATATGTCCATGTCTAACGCAGGCTGTATTCAGAACTTTGTGCCACTGCTAAGGATTCCCGAATCCTGTCCCAGCCCACCCACTCCACAACCTTCTTGACCTCTGTCAAGCAGCTCATCTTTTTGTGGGTCTAGGATACAAAAACTTCATATTGTGAATTTAAAAAGTCACTGGAAAATGGTTCCATTCTAGTCAAGAAGAGAAAGAACCAGAAGCCTCTGAGTGATTATAAAAGGGGTCACCAAACGGGTACTGTAGCATCCAAATTCCAACGATCCACTTAGCCCAAGAAGATAAGTATCTTTAATAGTAGGACAGAAACAAACTCTTCAAATTGACATGGGTAATACTATAAATCCCACAATTGTATTTAAAAGATTCAATTTTTCAGAACTGTAACATTTTCAGGTGGTAGGTTAGCTTTTGCCCTGTCTGACCTTCCCATAGCTGGCTCTCATTTTCTGCCTTCTACTTCTCTGTCTCCTGCTCTTAGAAAAACATGTGAATTAATAAAAAAGTATTATGATGTTATTTACATACTCATACAGTCCAGATAAAATTCAAACGAGTTTTTAAAAATTGTCAAGTTTTACTGGCACTGGTTCTTTAAATTTTTCTTCCTAAAACTAATATAGGAGAAAAAAGTTAACTGTTAGTTTGAATAATGGTCTTGGTTACTAGGTTGGAAGATACAAAAAGCAGGAAACTTAAAACCTTTTGACATGATTTAAAATTTTGGTTTATGAATACATAGTTTCATCATGTATCAAAATTAGAATGAATTCTATTAAAAGAGTTCATGTAACATTTATGATCATATCCCTTTGGACAAATTGAAATGATTTTAGTTTAAAAAACAGCTCTATATTGTCTTATTGACTTTATCATCATGTAAAAATGTTAGTACAAAGTGCTAGTTTGTATGAGAATTGGATTTAATGTTTTTAGGATTTAAAATCTCTAAAATTCTTGCACTGGTTTATGGGTCAAATAGATTTAATCATGTGAAATTCTTATTAATGCTGCAAACCATAAAGACTTAATATGAGCTTTAGTTTCCAGATCCACAGTTAACTTTACAAGTTTAGACTAATATTAAATAGAGTTAATAAACAATGTTTAGATACTTTGACAATTTCTAAGTAAGAAAAATATACAAAACTGGTCAGGAAACCTGGTTTTATACTTGTCCCCTTTATTTTAAAGGATGAGTAAAGAGAAACCAAGTGCAATTGCCTTTGGATAATATTAATTTATTTTTACTATCTTAAGATTTATAAGATGTAAAATGTATACTAATGGAGAAAAAAACTAGTTTTTGGTGTATGTATTCCAGTTCTCTGTGTTTAGAGGAAATGAGTTATTTTCATTGAGGTAGTAACTGACAAAACAGTTAAGATAATAACATAGTTATAAAATAATACATGAGATATGTATCTCATGAGATAACAAACGTGGCTTATCTGTTTATTAGAGAAACAATTTGATTAAGATGGTAAATTCAGTAATATATATTGTTTTACTTAATATGTTCATAAAGGTAATTGTATTTTAAACCTGAATTAAGACTTCAAATTTATTACATATTTAAATATTACATTAAACAAATATTTAGGAAGGTACATTCATGGAAGAAAAATCCTTCAGAGCAAATCATTATTTGGATGATAGAACAAAACAGTCAAATTCAAATTAGTATACTCTTCCTGTAAAATGACCAATCTCATTCTATCCCCAAAGAGTTTCTTTTCAAAAATAAAAGTGTGAAATCTCTAGCACACTCTTCAATCATTTTAACATAAAGTTTTTTTGAAAAAATTAAATTTCTTATCACCATCATTCTTACTGTTGCTATGTGTTCATGATATTGTAAAAATTTTCTGCAGTTAGTACTTCTTACTTATGTTCATATTTTGTCTGCTTGTTAACTCTTATTTTGCCTTTTCCAACTTGAGAATAATAAAATTGCCAATGTGTGGTTTACAACTAAATGTTCTTCAGGTATCCTAGAATGGCCACAAGGCAACCCTGAGATTTGCCTCTTGATAGCCTTGGGTGTGATGGCATATATGAAAACAGTCTTCAATTATTACTACTCTATTTAGCTAACCTCAACTTTTCTAAGACTTTTTTTTTTTAAATAATCATAACACACTTCTCAGACTTTTCTGTGAAAATAAACAAACATACCAGAAGCCATTTTTTATACAGAGGGTGGGGGGGTGTGGGGTGGGGAGGAAGCTACGAAATAATTAGGTTTTTTTTTGGCATTTCCAAATTTTAATTACCTTAAAACTTATGAAAAAAGTCTTTTTAGTTGTCTAAACATAGAATAATAAAATCTGAGAAATCACATGAGAAATTTTAAACAATCATTTAATATCAGAAAATAAAAACCCCTTTGAGTCTTGATGAAATGGACCTTTTCAGGAGATCTGAAGCTCTTGAGTCTTAAAAATCTCTGGGAGGAGATGATCAGATAGATGAAGGCCGCTATAACCCAAGACCCTCAGATTGAAGAGATGGTGACACAAAGTAGTTGGCGTCTACCCAACACGGAAGAACAAGATTACTTTTCTGATAGCTCTGCTTTTCTTTATTTTTCCCACCTTATTGCTGATCTTTATGTTATTGTACTGTGGTGCCCCCTAGCAAGCACCGAAAGGCCTCGCAGATTGTGTTTACATGTTCTCACTGTTATAATTTGATTCTCCCATGATCCTTCTACGCCATGTAAAAAAGGCAAATTCTCGTTTGTTCTTCTCAGTCTATAGCTCCTGCTCTACAAATCTAAATCAATTGTTGCTGGATTTTTTGATTGTTTGTTTGTTTGTTTTAAGACAGAGTCTTGCTCTGTCACCCAGGCTGGAGTGCATTAGCACAATCTCGGCTCGCTGCAACCTTTGCCTCCTGGGTTCAAGTGATTCTCCTGCCTCAGCCTCCCGAGTAGCTGGTATTACAGGTGCCCGCCACCACGCCCAGCTAATTTTTGTATTTTTAGTAGAGATGGGGTTTCGCCATGTTGCCCAGGCTGGTCTCAAACTCTGACCTAAGGTGATCCGCCTGCCTCTGCCTCCCAAAGTGCTGGGATTACAGGTGTTGGATTGTTTTTATCTCTAAACTGACCTCACTGATAAAAATTAACAGCTGTTACTTTAAATAACTTAGATGGCTGATTTTCTTCTACAGGTCCCTTCCCATATTCGAAGCTTCCTCACATTTGTTAGCCCCAACCTTCAGAACTTTTAAAACTTGGAATCTAACCTTAAGTCAACAAAATACTTCTGCTGAAATGATTTTAGCACAGCTTACTAGGAGTGGAAACAAATACTGGGGCTAGCCTTGTGGCCATGGTCAGTTGGTTCTCTTCAGATTCTCCAGACTGATTTGCGAGAACTGTTTACATTCACTCAGGAAATCTGCCCACCTCAAGGCACAAGTAGTTGGCTCATACCTACTGTGATGTATGTTACTGTATTAATCTGTTCTCGTACTGCTAATAAAGACATACCCAAGCGTGGGTAATTTACAAATGAAAGAGGCTTAATGGACTCACAGTTCCAAATGGCTGGGGAGGCCTCACAATCAATGGCAGAAGGCAAGAAGGAGCAAAGTCACCTCTTACATGGTGGCAGGCAAGACAGCGTGTACAGAACTCCACTTTATAAAACCATCAGATCTCATGAGACTTCTTCACTATCACAAGAATAGCACGGGAAAGACTCGCCCCCATGAATGAATTACCTCCTACTGGGTCCCTCTCACGACACGTGGGGATTATTACAATTCAAGGTGAGATTTGGGTGGGAACACAGACCCAAACCATATCATTTGCACTCCCAATACAGATGACCCCACATTCCTACATGGCTTCTTTTCAACCAACAAATCAAAATTTGAGAGATGCAGCTAAAGCAGTACAACAGATTGCAGAGGAAATTATAGCATTCTATACAAACTCTTTCAGAAAATGAAAGGGGAGAGAACACTTCTCAACTTTCTTAATGAGCCCTCCATTACCCTGACACCAAAACCAAAGATACTGCAAGAAAACAACAGACCATGTCCTTCACAGACATACATATAAAAAGTCTTCAACCACATTTTAGCAAATTGAATCCATAAATACATAAAAAGTTGGGTCAACATTCAAAAATTAATCAAGGAAGTCATCCTATCAGCTGATTAGAAAAATCATATGATTTCATTTGATGGGGAAAAAAATTGCCAAAATTCAATATCCAGTCATAATAAATCCTCTTAGCAAAAGACTGAATGCTTTCCCTTTAAGTTCAAGAACACGCAAGGCTCTCGGCTGTTAGTAGTGAGATCTATTCATATTAGCCAATGTAATAAGGGAGGAGTGAGAGAGGGAAGGGGAGAGAAGGGACAGAGGTGGAAAGTGACACATGAAGGGAAGGAGGAGCAAACAATAAAAAGAGAAAAAAAGAAAAGAAAAGGCGTACAGATTAGAAAGGAATAAATGGTTTCGATCTGTGGACAACATAATTGTCTATGCAGAAAATTCCAGAGAATCTACAAAAAAAAAAAAAAAAGCTACTAGAACAAGTAAGTGAGTTTAGGAAGATCACAGGATACAAAAGGAAATATAGAAAAATCAGTCAGTTTCATATAACAGCAATGAACTGAATATTAAAAACTTTAAAACAGTATTATTTACAATTTACAATAGCACTAAAAATCATGAATACTCAAGTATAAACCTATCAAATTATGTAAAAGATTTGTATATTGAAAACCATAAAACGCTGATGAAAGACACTTTAAAATACTGAAATAGGCTGGGTGTGGTGGCTCACGACTGTAATCCCAGCACTTTGGGAAGCTGAGGCTGGCAGATCACGAGGTCAGGAGTTTGAGACCAGCCCAACCAACATGGTGAAACCCCATCTCGACTAAAAATACAAAAATTATCCGGGCGTGGTAGCACGTGCCTGTAATCCCAGCTACTCAGGAGGCTGAGGCAGGAGAATCACTTGAACCCAGGAAGTGGAGGTTGCAGTGAGCCAAGATTGCACCACTGCACTCCAGCCTGGGTGACAGAGAGAGACTCTGTCTCAAAAAAAACAAAAACAAACAAACAAAAAACTGAAATAAATGGTGAGATATATTACATTCACTGGTAACAGGACTCAATATTGTTAAGATGTCAAAATTGATCTATAGGTTCAATGCAATCCCAATCAAAATCCCAGTAGGAAGTCTGGTAGTAATTAATAGGCTGATTCCAAAATTTATATGGAGGGGCAAAGGAGCTATAAAAACTAAAACATTTGAGGAAAAAAAAAATAAAGCTGGAGGACTCACACTACCCAATTTCAAAACTTACTACAAAGCCACAGTAATTAAGACAGTATAGTCATAAAGAAGGGGCAGACACAGATGCAGAAAAGAAAATTCAGAAATAAATCCACACCCATGAATAACTGATTTTAAACAAGGTGTAAAGATAATACAGTGGATAAAGAACAGTCTTTTTAACAAATAATGCTAGAATAAGTGTATATACATACACAAAAACAAAAACAAAACTCTCCACCCATTGCTTGCACCACATAAAAAAAGTAACTAGAAATGGATCATACCTTAACTGCAATACCTAAATCTTCTACAACAAGAGTTAGCAAACTAAGGCTCATGGGCCAAATCTTTATCTGTTTTTGTAAAAACAGTTTTACTGAACACCTATTCATTTATGTATTTTATGGCTGCTTACATGCTACAACAGTGACTATGACCTGTAAAGCCTAAAATATTTTCTATTTGGCCCTTTACAGAAAAAGTTTGCTCACCTCTTTTCTAGAAGACAGATCTTTGTAACTTTGGGTTTACCAAACATTTCTTAGATTTGACACCAAAAGCACAATTCAAAAAAGAAAAAGACCCAATAAATTGAACTTCCATCAAAATTTTAAATGTCTGCTCTTCAAAAGACATTGCTAAGAAAACAAAAGAACAAGCCAGACTGGGAGAAAATAGAAAATACTTGCAAGTCATATATATATGTATATATATATGACATATATATATATGTATATATATATGACATATATATATGTCGTATATATATATGACATATATATATGTGTATATATATGACATATATATGTATATATGACATATATATGTATATATGACATATATATGTATATATATGACATATATATGTATATATATGACATATATGTGTATATATATGACATATATATGTATATATGACATATATGTATATATATGCCATATATATGTATATATATGCCATATATATGTATATATGCCATATATGTATATATGTCATATATATGTATATATATGTGACATATATATGTATATATATGACATATATATGTGTATATGACATATATATGTATATATATATGACATATATATGTATATATATGACATATATATGTTATATATATGACATATATATGTATATATATACATATATATGTATATATGACATATATATGTATATATTTGACATATATATTTGACATATATATATTTGACATATATATATATTTGACATATATATATATATATTTGACATATATATATATATATATATAATTTTTTTTTTTTTAAAGACAGGGTGTCACTCTGTCTCCCAGGCTGAAGTGCAGCAGCACAATCATGGCTCACTACAGCCACAACCGCCCAGGTAGCTGGGACAAAAGGCGTGTGCCACCACCATGCCTGGCTAATTTTTTGTATTTTTTGTACTTTTTTTTTTTTTTGTAGAGATGGGGTTTCACCATGCTGCCCAGGCTTGTCTCGAACTCCTGGGCTCAAGCAATTTGCCCACCTTGGCCTCCCAAAGTGCTGGGATTACAAGCGTGAGCCACCACACCTGGCCAAAACCATATTTTTGATAAAGGATTTGTATCAAGAATATACAAAGAATTCTCAAGATTCAGTAAGAAAACATACAATCCAGTTTTTCAAAAATGTGCCAAAGGGTTGAATAGACACTTCACTAAAGAAAATATACCTGTAGCAAAGAAGAATATGAAAAAATACACAACATCATTTGCATTGGGAGAATGAAAATGAAAAACACAATGAAATGCACCGTATACCCAAGTCAAAACAAAAAAATAGCAAAAACATCAAAACTGCAGACAATATCAAATTCTGGTGAGGATGCCAATCACCTGGAATTTTCATACATTTTTGGTGGGAATGCAAAGTGGCACCACCAGTTTGCAAACCTGTTTGGCAATTTCCTACTAAGTATATATACATATTTATCATATAACTAGCTATCCCACTCCTAGGAATGTACTCAAGAGAAACAAAATCTTTGATTCACATAAAAACTTCTAGGTGAGGCCGGGCGCAGTGGCTGACGCCTGTAATCCCAGCACTTTGCGGGACAGAGGCAGGCGGATCATGAGGTCAAGAGATCAAGACCATCCTGGCCAACATGGTGAAACCCAGTCTCTACTAAAAATGCAAAAATTAGCTGGGCGTGGTGGCATGTGCCTGTAATCCCAGCTACTAGGGAGGCTGAGGCAGGAGAATCACTTGAACCTGGGAGGCGGAGGTTGCAGTGAGCCAAGATCGGACCACTGCACTCCAGCCTGGCGACAGAGCGAGACTCTGTCTCAAAAACAAAACAAAACAAAACAAAAAAACTTCTAGGTGAATGTTAACAGCAGCTTAACCACTGTCACTAAAAACTGGAACCAACACAAATCTTCCACTAGTAAATGGATGAGTAAACTATGGATTGCCACTCAGCAATTAAAAGGACCAAGCTGCTGAATACACATGACAACATGGATGACTCAAATGATTATGCTAAGTGGAAGAAGCTGGGCTTCTGTGATTTTCTATTCTCATTCATATTCAAGTTGCTTGGGTAACTTGTAATCTTTATCGCTTGCCACACATTATTCTTGAATAAGTATTTAACGGGAGTCTCCTGACGCTTGAGATGAGCCCTCTTCCAGAGAGATCTTGCTGTGCTTCTGCCGAATTCAGATTTTGAGAATCCTTGGCCCAACCAGCTATGTATATTTGAGAAGCTAATCTTCAGGGAAGCAGATATGCACAGGCCTTCCAGGGAAATTGTATTTTCTATTTCTTTTCCTCCCTGCTCCAAGAGCACCAAGGTAGCCACAGTTCATTACAACTGCTGGGAAGAGGGCACTGGGTTCAGCTCTGACTCCTCCTTACCTTTAGCTCCTTGTTATCCGATTCCTGTTGGTAGGGTCTCCTGCAAGCACACTGTCTTGCGTGGGCTCTGTGCTTTAACATGTTTTCTTGGCTCAGCCAGGCCACAGAAACAGCAGACAAGTGTTTGTGGTATCAGCAACTGCTGTCTCAGCACAGGCAGCTTTTTGTTCCAGTATTCCATTTCCCTCCCTGGTTATAGACTTTTATCCAAAAACTGGCCTGGAAGTTCAATGTTTTTTTAGTTCTTCACTTAAAAAAAGCCATTATTTTGTTTCTTCAAGTTTTCATAACCAGCCATCACCAGAAACTGGAAGTCCAAACATGCTCTTATTATTTAAGTAATTGGTGTACATGGTATAAATTCACGTCTTACAGAAAGATGCACAATGAAAAAAAGCAGCCTCTCCATGGCCCCTCCTCCCAATTCCAGTCCCACCCACTCCAAGTAAAGCAAAAAGTGCTTTAGTTGTATTTCTAAACGTTCCTACAACAGATATCTATTATTTTGCAATGGGAAAAATTTTACTTTAAAACATCCCCGGAACTTCTAATCTTCTGATACTTATAACCTCCATATCTCCAAGTAACATCTTTCTCTGTCTCTTGGTTCACAAACTCCTATGTCCAATATCTCCCACCTAAAAATGATGCCCTTTATAATCCCCTTGAAAAAGTGGAGTATACTTACCTCCTTGCCACAATCCCAATATGTTAGTCTTATTATTTCTTAGCTTACTGAGTGCCAACTATGTGCCAGGCAGTGCTTTAGAACCCATGGATACAATAGTGATCAAAACTAACAAAGTCCTTGACTTCACAGTGCTTACATTCTGGAAGAAGAGTGACAATAAACAAACATAAGATTTGTCAGGTAAATGTTATAGAAAAATAGAACAAGGTAAAGGAAACAGGGAATGTAGGGGTGAGGGCAGATTCATGAACTTATTTTGTATTGTATAGTTAAGGAAGGGCACTCAGATAAGGCGATATCTGAGCCAACGCAACAAAGGAAGTGAAAGAGGAAGCCTGTGGATACTTGGAGGAATTGTTATAGGCAGAAGGAAGAAGTGCCAAGGCCCTGACACAGGGGCTTGCTTGCCTGGTGTATTCCAGGAATAGCTTCAGGGGAACAAGTCAGGGGTGAGCAGGAGAAGATGAGCTAGAGAGGCAGGAGTGAGTGGCATGTACATGTCTGTGTGTATGCATACATGCACACTCCGGATGGCTGAGGGTATTTTAGGTCATGGTAAAGACCTTAGCTTTGGCTCTGAGTAAGATGGGAGCCAAGGGGGATTTTCAGCAGAGTAGTACCATGATCTGACGCTGTATTTGTTAACTTATAATGACCCCTATATTCCTTGATCCATCAACTTTAGACCAAAATGTTCATCGAAACATTTTTTGTAACAGTAAAATATTGGGGGAAATTATTTGACCACAAGCATTGTCTAAAGATATTATGGTACAACTACGAAATGGAATACTATGCAAATACAAAACATGATAAATGGAATGTTAGAAATGTGGTTCTAAAATACCACATATAATGTTATCCTGTGAATATATATGCATTGAAGAGTATGGAAAGACATATGCCAACAAATAAGGAGAAAAAAGTCTCTGGGGAGATGGGAAAAGGAGAAATATGAAGGTATTTTTTCCTTTGTGCCTTGTGTTTCCAAAAGTTCCTACAACACATATCTATTATTTTGCAGTGGGGAAAATTTTACTTTAAAACATCCAAGGCCAGGCGTGGTGGCTCACGCCTGTAATCCCAGCACTTTGGGAGGCCGAGGGGGGTGGATCACCTGAGGTCAGGAGTTCAAAACCAGCCTGGCCAATGTGGTGAAACCCTGTCTCTTCTAAAAATACAAAAATTAGCCTGGTGTGGTGGCGGGCGCCTGTAATCCCAGCTACTCAGGAGGCTGAGGATGGAGAATCGCTTGAACCCGGGAGGTGGAGGTTGCAGTAAGCCGAGATCGCGCCACTGCATTCCAGCCTGGGCGACAAAAGTGAAACACCGTCTAAAAAAAAAAAAAAAAATCCAAAAGATTAGAACCATAAACTAATCATTTTCTTTGTTTTAAGCTCAAAACAATTATATACAGCTCCTATGAGAATAATCAATACTGAATATCAACAAACTGACACGCATGTGGCTACCAAGTCTCTAGAATGACCCACTGAAATTCAGTAAAAGCTTAGAGAGCACAGGGTTAACTGCCATGCTGCACTATTTCCCCTCTTACTTGAACAAAGTAACACTTGCTGATGTAACTGTGCTTGCCAAGTTTTTGATAGTAAGTCCATCATGTCTCGTAACTTCAAAGAGTCTCAAAAGTGTCAAGATCCTAAGACAGGAAACTTCTGGTAGCTGACAATGTCTGGTTAATAGGGGGTTTGGTGAAAGCACAGGCAATGGGCACAGTAGAGAAGCAAGCAGCAAACAATGGAGATGTCCAGGACCATCCTGGCACGTGTTCTCCAGCGTTTCTAGGAAAGGTCTCTGGTCTAGTTATCAACCGCTGTGTAACAAACCATCCCAAACTTAGTGAGATGAAACAACAATCATATATCATCTTCTCTCACAATTCTGGGGATTGACTGGACTCAGCTAGGCAGCTCTCCCTCAGGTCTCTCATCCAGCTCTAGCCAGATGGTGGTTAGGGTGGAATCATCTAGAAGGCTTCCTCACTCACATGTTTGGTGGTTGACGTGGCCAGGGCTTTCTCACACAGCATAGAACCTTGGTTCCACGGAGAACCTTCCTGAGAGAAAGCCAGTTAGAAGCTGTATTACCTATTCTAACTAAGCCCTGGAAGTCATACAGCATCACTTCTGTTGCATTCTGTTAGTTAGAAACAAGTTACTAGGGCCAGTTCATACTCAAGATGAGTGAAATTCAGATTTTGCTTCTTTTTTTTTTTTTTTTTTTTTTTTTTTTTTTTTTTTTTTTGCAGATGGAGTCTCACTCTGTCCCAGGTTGCAGTACAGTGGCATCATCTCCGCTCACTGCAAACTCTGCCTCCCAGGTTCAAGCGATTCTGCTGCCCCAGCCTCCTGAGTAGCTGGGATTACAGGTGTGCACCACCACACCCAGCTAATTTTTGTATTTTTAGTAGAGACGGGGTTTTGCCATGCTGGCCAGGCTGGTCTCGAACTCCTGACCTCAGATAAGTGCTCCAAAGTGAGAGCCATCACTATTATTTGCATAATCTCATTTACACAAACTTGATAAAAGCATAGTATCAAAAGGCTGATGTGAACTGCTTCATTAATAGTCTTATTTTCATCATCATTAGGTGCGGTCCACCTATGTCCCTGGCATTAGATGACTCCACAAAGTTTTATTTTATATTGAATTATATTCGCCTACTGCCTTTTTTTCGAGACAAGATCTTCCTCTGCTGCCCAGGCTGGAGTGCAGTGGCGCAATCATGACTCACTGCAGCCTCAACCTCCTGGGTTCAAGTGATCCTCCCATCTCAGCCTCCAGAATAGCTGGGACTACAGGCATGCCCCACCAATGCCTGGCTAATTTTTAAATTTTTTATAGGGATGGGGTCTCACTATGTTGCTCAGGCTGCTTTTGCACTCCTGGGCTCAAGTGATCCTCCTACCTCCCAAAGTACTGAGATTACAGGCATGAGCCACTGCGCCCAGCCTATTGCCTTCTTTTTAATTCATAATTTCAGAGATACTAATGGATGTCTTTCACACAACACTTCAAAAGAAGTTAACACTCTGAAAAAATACCACAATAATTTTCTAAATATTCAGTCATTGACTTAAATATTTATAGATGACTATTTTGTGTCAGAATCTTTTCTGGGTTCTGGGATACTGCAATGAACAAGACAGAAAAAAATCTCGCTTTCATCGAGTCCTCATTCTAGTGGGAGAAGGGAGATAAGATAAACAAGGAAACAAACATGATGAGGTAGGCAGTGCTAAGTGCTAAGAAGTTTAACAGGGAACAGGATGCAGAACAATGGGGGTGGTCTTCTTCTTTAGACAGAATGATCAGAGAGAGGCTATTTTATAAAGATGGGGTGGCCACAGGCGGCCTTTCTGAGGTGTGAGATTTATGCAGAGGTCTGAACAAAGAAAGAGCCAGCCAAATGAAGATGTGGAGGAAGAGCATAAATATTATAATACAAAAAACTGTATCTCACTATTAGTTCTTATTCCAGCACTAGTTCAATGGGACTTTAAAGCAAAAATCCACTTGCTAAGACACAAATCTCTCAAACATATTGGGCAGAATAAAAAGTTCTGCAGTTTTAAAAAGCTGCTGTTATAATGGATGGATTAAATGTTTTTAAATATGAACCACATATAAAAGTACCAGGAGAAAATACAAGTGAAAGTTTATGTAAACTTGAGATGGGTAAAATCCTTCTAAGCATGACCACAAAGTTCAAAAACATACAGCAAAGATTGAAAAGTGTGATTACTTTTATAAGAAGGCAAAAATATTGGACAGCAACAAAATACCCAAAAACACCACAAGAAAATACACTGCCATGAAGATTCCAAGATAAATGGCAAACTGAGAAACACATTTGCAACATATATTAACAGTCTAACACTAAAAATATATAAAAATAAATCACTAAGGAAAAAAAGAACAGGCAATAGTCATAAGCAAGTAATTCACTAGGAAATACACATGGCCAGGACACTAATGAAAGACATTCAACTACAGTCATCATAAAAGAAATGCAACAGAAACTTATTTTTTGCTTATAGTATAGCAAAGATGGTAAAAGGGTGACAAAACTCTGTTTTGCCTCAAGTATGAGGAAACTTTAATTCACGTTCTGTTGGTGAGAGTATAAACTAGAAACAACTTAAAATTTCAATAGTAAAAAACTATTAATGAAATTATATGAAATAGTATAGTTCAATAGTGGTTTAATGCTGTCATCAAAATAATGAAGTAGACCCACATTTAATGACAAATATATTAATGATGTTCTCTTGAGGGCGCAGGTTGAAAGACAGCACGTATGGTATGACAGCATTTACGTAAAATTGCATTTGCATAGACCACTAAGTGAAAGCACATTCATCAAATATTAACAGTGGTTATCCATATACAGTAGGATTTCAGGTAGTAGTATTTTTCTTTGCATTTGTAGGTACTTATATTTTTGCTTTTGTAGTTGTCCCAAAGAAAGGTTTTTCAAACAGCTACTGGCTTGACTGTCAACTAACAATTCAAATACTTACCAGCAAAAATCAACACGGTTTGAGTTCTCAGTTGGTCAGTCAAGGGAAAGCACAGTATAGTTAATGAAAATTCTTTAAAGCCAAGATGGTGATCAACTCCTATTAAAGAATGCCCAACTGAGGTCTTTCCTGTCATTGATATTATCACCATCATTTACTATATGTAAAAATATAAAGCTGCATTGCTACGGTTTGGTTTGTCTCCCCAAACCTGATATTAAAATATGATCCCCCAATGTTGTAGGTGGGGGCCTAATGGGAGGTGGGTTTGGGTCATGAAGGTGGATCCCTCATAAATAGATCAATACCTTCCTTCAGGGGTGAGTTCTTCCTGTATTATTAGGTGCTGTAAGAGCTGGCTGTTTAAAAGAGCCTGACACACACCCTCTCCTTGCTTCCTCTCTCACCCTGTGATACCTGCACACATAGGCTACCCTTCACCTTCCACCACGAGCGGAAGCCGCTTGAGACCTCACTAGTTGCAGAGGCTGGTGCGCCATGCTTCTTGTACAGCCTGTAGAAACATGAGCCAAATTAACCTTGCTCTCTTTCTCCCCCTTCTTTTTTTTTTTTTTTTGAGATGGAGTCTTGCTCTGTCGCCCAGGCTGGAGTGCAGTGGCGCGATCTCGGCTCACTGCAACCTCCACCTCCTGGGTTCAAGCGATTCTCCTGCCTCTGCCTCCCAAGTAGCTGGAACTACAGGCACGTGCCAGCACACCCGGCTAAGTTTATGTATTTTTAGTAGAGACAGGGTTTCACCGTGTTAGCCAGGATGGTCTCGATCTCCTGACCTCGTGATCCGCCCATCTCGGCCTCCCAAAGTGCTGGGATTACAGGCATCAGCCACCGCGGCCTGGCTTTATTTTTTTTTTTTTAAATAAACTACCCAGCCTCAGGTATTCCTTTATTGCAATACAAAACTGACTAAGACATATACAAATACTTATGAACTGGAATGATCTAATCTCAAGGTCAAACACCATGGAAAATTCTTACATTTCTCAGCCCAAGAACACTTTCCAATCTCAAAACATATTACAAAGATGCAGTCATCAAGACTGTATGGTACTAGCATAATAGATATAGCTCAATGGAATAAAATTAACAGTTCTGAAGTAAATCCATACATTTACAGTCAACTGATTTTCAACAACAGAGGCAAGACGACAGTTCATGAGGAAAGAATAGTTTTTTCAACAAATGGTGCTGGAACAACTGGACATCCATGTGCAAAAGATTAAAGTGGGACACCCCTCCCCCGTCCCACTTCGTACCATACATAAAAATTCACAGCAGATGTATCAGAGACCTAAATAAGAGCCAATGTTATAAAATCATTAGAAGAAAACAAAGGTGCAAATCCTAATGACCTTCGATTAGGCTATGGTTCCTAGATGACACTGAAAGCATAAGCAGCCAAATGAAAGTTAGATACATTTGACTTCATCAAAATGAGAATTTGTGCTGCAAAGGTCGCTATTAAAAAAGTAAAAAGACAACCCACACAATCAAAATATTTGCAAATCACATATATGATAAGGGTCTAGATACAACTTTGTCTAGTCCACCTTATTTTGTTGTTATTGTTCTGTTTTGTTTTGTTTTTAGAGTTTAGCAGCCTGAAGCCATGGTTTTTAGTTTCTGTCTCTAGTGATAAGCAGAAAAGAGGGATGAGGAAGGGGCTTTACTGACCCAACCAGACACAGAAACTAACAACACGACTGTATTCTCTCCCTTGGACACCCCCGGTGACTCTAGAACATATAAAGAACTCTTAAAATGCTACAGTAGAATTTTTAGATGAGCAAATTTGAATAGACATTTCTCCAAAGAGATATATAAATGGCCAATAAGCATGAAAATATGCTCAACATAGTCACTAGAATATGTAAATTAAAGCCATGAGATGCAACCTGATAGCTGTTTTATTATAGGATGGCTATAATAAAAAAGATGGACAATAACAAGTGTTGGCAAAGATGTGGAGAAACTGGAACCCTGATAATGACATTGCTGTTGGGAATGTAAAATGGTGGAGTCAAAAGTTTGGCAGTTGTCAGGAAGTTAAACACAGAGTTACCATGACCCAGCAAATCTACTCCTAGGTATATGCCCAAGGGAATTGAAAACACATTCACACCAAGACCTATACACTAATGCTCATGGTAGCATTATTCATAACAGCCAAAGAGTGAAAACAGTCCCAATTTCCATAAACAAAATGTGGTATATACAATGGAATATGATTCAACCATGAAAAAAAAAAAAAGTACGAACATGGGTTACAACATGAGGGAACCTTGAAAACATTATGCTGAATGAAAGAAATCGACACAAAAGGCCATCTGTTATATGATTCCCTTTAATAAAATGTCCAGAATTGACAGATCCATAGAGACAGAAAGTAGGTTAGTTATTTTGGGGCAAAGAGGGAAGGGGGAAATGGAGAGCGACCACTAATGAGCATAGGATTTCTTTTTAAAGTGATGTAAATGTTCTGGAATCCATGGTGATGGTGGTACAATCTTGTGAATATGCTAAAAAAACACTGAATTGTACACTTCAAAATGGTGAATTTTATGGCATATAAATATATTAAACATGTCAAAAAAAGGATAATGGCAAACTTCTTGTCTGAAGCTATACTTAAGACAAAAGAGTAGCACAACTTTAAAGTGCTGAAAGAAAACACAGCAAAAACAAAAGACAATCTAGAATTCTAGGCCTAACAAAAATTTCTTTCAAAACTGAAGGTGATTATTTCAGGATTTACTGTAATTCTACAGTAATCAAGGTAGTGTTATATTAACATAGACATATAAATTAATGGAATAGAATAGAGCTCAGCAACAGGTCTACACATAGAAGGTTATCTGATTTGCAACAAAGATGGAAAGTTTATTCAATAGGGAAAAGGTATTCATTTTACCAAATGACCTGGAACAAACCGGAGAGTGATATGGTTAAGCATGAACCTCAGCCCTTATCCTCACAATAGACAATAATTAACTCAAATTCTACCACAGATCTGAATCTAAGAGCCATAGAGAAAATCTTTTGTGACTTTGTATTAGGCAACAATTTCTTAGGACAAAAAAGGCAAGAAAACAGGAAAGAATAAACTAATACATTTGACATCAAAATTTAAAACTTTTGCTCTTTCAAAGGCACTATTAAGAAAATGGAAAGGCAAGCACAGATTGAGAATGCATTCGCAAATTACGTATCTAAGACTTGTATAAAAAACAAAGAACTCTTACAACTCATTAATAAGATATACAACTGCAACTTCAGCAAAGTCTCAGGATACAAAATCAATGTGCAAAATTCACAAGCATTCCTATACACCAATAATAGAGAGCCACATCATGAGTGAACTCCCCTTCACAATTGCTACAAAGAGAATAAAACGCCTAGGAATACAACTCACAAGGGATATGAAGGACCTCTTCAAAATAAGAGAGGGCACAAACAAATGGAAAAACATTCCATGCTCATGGATAGGAGGAATCAATATTGTGAAAATGGCCATAGAGCCCAAAGTAATTTATAGATTCAATGCTAATCTCAACAAGCTACCACTGATTTTCTTCACAGAATTGGAAAAAACTACTTTAAATTTCATACAGAACCAAAAAAGAGCCCGTATAGCCAAGACAATCCTAAGCAAAAAGAACAAAGCTGGAAGCATCACGCTACCTGACTTTAAACTATACTACAAGGCTATGGTAACCAAAACAGCATGGTACTGGTACGAAACAGATATACAGACCAATGGAACAGAATGGAGGCCTCGGAAATAATCCCACACATCTGCAACCAACTGATCTTTGACAAACCTGACAAAAACAAGCAATGGGGAAGGGATTCCCTATTTAATAAATGGTGTTGGGAAAACTGGCTAGCCATATGCAGAAAACTGAAACTGGTCCCCTTCCTTATACCTTATACAAAAATTAACTCAAGACAGATTAAAGAATTAAACATAAGACCTAAAACCATAAAACCCTAGAAGAAAACCTAGGCAATACCATTCAGGACATAGGCATGGGCAAAGACTTCATGACTAAAACACCAAAAGCAATGGCAACAAAAGCCAAAATTGACAAATGGATCTAATTAAACTAAAGGGCTTCTACATAGCAAAAGAAACTATCATCACAGTGAACAGGCACCTACAGAATGGGAGAAAATTTTTGCAATCTATCCATCTGAAAAGGGCTAATATCGAGAATCTACAAGGAACCTAAACAAATTTACAAGAAAAAAACAAGCAGCCCCATCAAAAAGTGGGCAAAGAATATGAACAGACACTTCTCAAAAGAAGACATTTATGTGGCCAGCAAACTTATGGGGAAAAAACTCATCATCGCTGGTCATTAGAGAAATGCAAATCAAAACCACAATGTTATACCATTCTCATGCCAGTTAGAATGGCGATCATTAAAAAGTCAGGAAACAACGGATGCTGGAGAGGATGTGGAGAAATAGGAACAATTTTACACTGTTGGTGGGACTGTAAATTAGTTCAACTATTGTGGAAGACAGTGTGGCGATTCCTCAAGGATCTAGAACTAGAAATACCATTTGACCCAGCAATCCCATTATTGGGTATATACCCAAAGTATTATTAAATCATTCTGCTATAAAGGCACATGCACACGTGTAGCACCATTCACAACAGCAAAGACTTGGAACCAACCCAAACGCCCATCAGTGATAGACTGGATAAAGAAAATGTGGCACATACACACCATGGAATACTATGCAGCCATAAAAAAGGATAAGTTCGTGTCCTTTGCAGGGACATGGATGAAACTGGAAACCATCATTCTCAGCAAACTAACATAGAAACAGAAAACCAAACACCACATGTTCTCATTCATAAGTGGGAGCTGAACAATGAGAACACATGGACACAGGGAGGGGAACATCACACACTGGGGCCTGTCGGGGGGTGGGGGGCTAGGGGAGACATAGCATTAGGAAAAATACCTAATGTAGATGACGGGTTGATGGGTGCAGCAAACCATCATGGCACGTGTATAACTATGTAACAAACCTGCATGTTCTCCACATGTATCCCAGAACTTAAAGCATAATTAAAAAAAAAAAAAAAAAAAAAAAAAAAAAGCATCCCAATGAGATTTCAGGAATGTCTAAGTAATGAGTTTGGCAAATTTTCTCCCAAAAAAGCAATGATAAAACTTGACAAAACTGTGAAAATACTCATTTCAGAATTCTGAGAACTCACTAATGCATGCAACAAGCTGAGAAACATTTACTCAAGAAAACCTACTGAACCTTGGTTAGAACAGTGAGAGTCTGTGGCATTATAGTCTGAGGCTGCCCCCGTCTCACTCTCCCCCAGTCCTTCAAGTTCTGTGGCACTATAGTTCTACCAGGGTGGGCAGGCTGTCAAGGTCTGCAGCCTCCCTGCTGGAGGAGGCTAAACTGATATGGAGCAGAATCTGGGAAAAATACACATGCAGGAGTGTTGTCGAAAACAATACCTAACTGGACAGCAAACAGGGAAGGCCAACATTATACCTAGATTGAGATAATGGCTGGGGCAAGCCACAGATGGGCAAAACAGCCAGGAATTTAACAGACCTAGGGAATGAGATAACAGTGAGCATGGTGTGTAAAGCTGCACACATACGACCCAGCAATTGTACTTCTAAATACTTACCCAAAACAAATGAAAACATATGTCCAAACAAAAAACTGAAGGCAAACGTTCATACAGGCATTATTCATAAAAGCCCCCAAAGTGGAGACGATACAATCCATCAACTGGCAAGTGGAGAAACAAACGTGGTATAGCTATACAATAGAATGAGTTTTTAAAAATTATTTTTGCTATTCAGCAAAAAATAAAGGAAGAATTATACATGCTAAACATGGGTGATCTTCAGAAATAATTATGTTAGGTGAAGCCAAATGCAAATGACTCTATTTTGTATCATACCATTTATATACAATATCTAGTCAATGGAGACAGAAAGCTGATTAGTGGTTGCCTAGGTCTAGAGGAGGGGAAAATTGAGGGTGATTGCTAATGAGTATAAGGTATCTTTAGGGTGATATAAATATTCCAAAACTGATTATGCTAAGGACCGTACAACTCCAAAAATATATGAAAAACCATTTAATTGTATACTTTTAGTAGGTAGATTTTTATGGTATGTAAATTAAACCTCAATAAACCTGTTAAAAATAATGGTATAAAGAACTGAACAGACCTTTCACCAAAGAAGCTACAGGAATGGCAAATGAGTATATAAAAAGATGATTAATGTCATTAGTGGTTAAGTAGATTGCAACTAAAACCACGAGATACCACTACATACCCACTATAATGGCCAAAATTAAAAAGATGGACACCAACATGTGTTGGCAATAATGTGGTAAAATTGCAACCCTCATACATTGCTGGTGGAAATGTAACATGGCACGGCTACTTTGGAAAACAGTTTGGCAGTATCTTACAAAGTTAAACAAATACTTACCACATGACTCGGCAGTTTCATCCCTAGGAATTTATTGAAGAGAAATGAAATCACATGTTCACACAAAGATTTATATTCAAACGTTCATAGTCACTTTATTCATAGGGGTAGCCCCAAACCAGAAAGAGCCCAGGTACCCACCAATAGGAGAATAACAAACCGTAGCATATTCATTTAATGGAACACTACTACTGATTCAAGCGATGTCTTGCGATGATTCAGGCAACATCATTGCATCTGTGATGTTTCTCAGACACTATGCTGAGCAAAACAAATTTACACAAATAAAGTACATACTGAATGATTTTATCTAATCCACAGTGACACAGAGCAGATCAATGAAGAGCAGATCAATGACTGCCTAGGGCTGTGGGTTGATGGGTGGGAACCCAGTATTAAGAGACTTGAATAACTTTTGAGGGGTGATGAAAATATTCTCATTTTGGTTGTGGTGATAGTCACACAGGTGCATATGTCTTGTCCAAATTAATCAGACTGTACATGCATAATGTTTTTGTTGCACGTAAATTGTAACTTAATAAAGTTGCCTTTACGGAGGTTGCAGTGAGCTAAGATCTCGCCACTGCACTCCAACCCAGGCAACAGAGCGAGACTCTGTCTCAAAAAAATATTAATTAATTAATTTAAAAAAAAAAGTTGCCTTTACAAAGCAATGAAGAGAAAGCTGATTAGGAACATAATACTGTTCTTACTGAAGAAATAGCCCTCTAAAAATGTAAACAAGTTAGGAAATCTGTGTCTGGCTGGCTCTACCTCAATCCTAGTGTTTGAAGTACTTTCACCTACTTTCTCCTTTGTTTCAGTAGCACTGACACACAGGAAGGTCTGGTACAAGGTATAAAAGTCTTACCGGATGTAGAGTCAAATAAAGGGTTTTCCAATGACCTTAATAACCTCATACCTTATAAGAACTGACACAAATACTTATTCAAGAACTAGGTTTCAAACAGCCTGTTATTTATAGATTTGTGATACTCTAAATAATTAAGCCCCATTAGGGCAGGCACTATTCATTTTCCCCATCAATGTATATGTAGTGTCTCACACAGTGTCTTTCATCTATCAAACGTTCAATACGTGCTAAATGAATGAACCAACACAACCAACCACATGTGCTAAATGAATGAATGCTAAATGAATGAATGATAGTGACTGCATTCTAGTTCAAGTAACTCCTATACACATTCTTCTTCAGGGAGATAAGACTTCTGAAGATTACCAGGTAACTGTAAGAATGAAAATCAGACTAGTTATATATTTAGGCTTCAGTAGCTTTCTAGTGATTGATATGAGTGTAGCAGAAGACTATTTTTGAACATTTTTCATTCCTAGTTTGTGTTCCTAGTTGCTTATGGCATTTTATTCAATGACTCATTGATGGTCACTGCTTCGGAAGGGAGAGAAAATGAGGACAAATCAGATATTATTTTGAATGTCAAAGTCAAGTTCTTTAAATCCAAAGGAAGAGAAGTGTCTGGAAGCCAAATGCTTTTGATTTGTCAGAGCCATTCTGGAGGTAAAAAGAGCTTTTGGGAATCTACAAATTCTTTTGTGAAAATTAAGGATCGGAGCCTGGCTGAATTAGGCATTGTCCTATAAACCAGATTTGGGGAGAATGCATAATGATGCCAGAGCAGTTTTCTCATCCAAAAAGAGTCAAGAGTTTGATCAAGCAGGAAAGAAAATTGAAAGGAATATAGCTACAGCTGAGTTACAGAGGTCTGAGACATTCTTGGCACCCTTTAACCCCTATTTTTGAGGTGTATGAGAAAACCTTTGATAGGTTGTACACTGGCTATACAACAGAATCACACTAGATTAACTCAGAATATCTGGGGTGAGGTCAAGACCTTAATATATTTAAAGAGATGCCTCTATACGTCCTTCCTACCTCCTGAGTTGACCTAATGTTAAGCCAAGTATTGAGAACCACTGGCTTACAGGGATCCCAAAGAAGACGAATGTAATGTCTATCTTCCCATGGTGTATGCCAAACTTATAGACAACCTCCCTGCCAACCCTTGCCTGCTGACTCCATTCAAGATGGCATTTGAGCACAGAATCTCTAGGCAAACTAGGGAACATCTTACTGAAGACAGTTTAGACTTGACTACTGGTGCCTCTTATGCGGGATTTTGAAGACTCAGCTTTATGAATTGAGGGTTTGGTGGACAAGTTTGACAGTTTAAGCACTGACGTGGGCAGGAAGCCAACTATTAGCTGGAAGGTCTGAAACCCATGAAAATGCCGCCATAGAACTCAACACAAGGGACAAATCTGACTACAGCTATTATTCACCAGCATCACTCACAATTCCTGATGATTATTTGGCCAAAGTGTCACAAACTGCAATTCCTAACTATATCACTGACCAGGTATTAAAAGCCCATGTGCCCTCACCAAAAACCATAATCACAATGAAAGCCAATGCTATCTATGAATGTACATGAAGATGATTCATTAGACCCTCAACCTTTTAAAGGTATTTCCAGCTCTTTCATTTAAAAATGAGGAAACTGGGACAGGCACGGTGGCCCACGCCTGTAATCCTAGCACTTTGGGAGGCCGAGGCGGGTGGATCACGAGGTCAGGAGATTGAGACCATCCTGGCTAACACAGTGAAACCCCGTCTCTACTGAAAATACAAAAAAAAAAAAAAAAAAAAAAAAAAAAAAAATTAGCCAGGCGAGGTGGCAGGCGCCTGTAGTCCCAGCTACTCGGGAGGCTGAGGCAGGAGAATGGCGTGAATCCGGGAGGCGTAGCTTGCAGTGAGCCGACATCGCGCCACTGCACTCCAGCCTGGGCGACAGAGCGAGACTCTGTCTCTAAAAAATAAATAAATAAATAAATATGAGGAAACTGCCTCAATTTTAGTAATAATTTAGGACAAGTTCTGCTCAAGTGCAGCAGTTAAATAAACTTTGAAAGAGACCCAAGAGTCTTCACAAAGTTGGAATTAGAAGGCCTTCAGAAATATTCAGGTAAGGAGAGATAGGAGTAGAAGTGTCTCCCAGAGTCATCTAGACCTGTGCTGCCAGCACAGTGGCCACTGGTCACATATGACTCTTGATAACTTAAAATGTGGCTATAGTCCTGAATAGAGATGGGCTGTAAGTGTAAAATACACACCAGATTTCAAAGAATAAATATATGCTAAAACAATAGTTTGGATATTAAATACCTTTGGCCTTTGCAACATTTGAATTCCAACAACGGATGAACTTTATATACCATTTGATGAATATCATCTATTTGGATAATATCCTTAGTATTTACAGATTTAATATTCCAAGTGTTAATGTACTACCTTGAAAGGCAGGCACACAGGCTCTGATATTAGTTATTTGATATTTTTCTGAAATATAAATTCATATTTGCTAACACTGTAGAGTCTATGTTCAGTTACCCAACTAGTTATCTTGCCATCAAATGATCAAGCCAATTAGAAAGCATTAAATCTCAAGGTGACTTTGTTGGAAAGATATTTTTTAATTACATACTCTTTAAATCTCTTAATACACATTAAATTAGAAGGTTCATAGAAAACATTACTATAAAAATAAGGCACTACATGGCAGAATTTTAAAACCCTGCTTCATAATTACAGCATCATTAAGGTACTGCAGAAAAATCATTGTTATTTTTACTCATTTTATGTGAGAAGTCAAATCTTAAACCATGTGGTAATATTTATAAAAACAGGTACTTTGGCATCTTTGAATATCTCCCTGTCGGATATTAAGTTTACAATATTTTCACAGGCCTTGCGTGGTAGGAATTCTTGGTCTAGGAAGTCTTAAGTTAACTTTAAGAGAAACTTGTGAAAACTTGGATTGGTGTTTCCATGAGTATGTTGTTATCAAATCAGGGAATCCGTGAGGAGAGTTGCCTCCTTGACCCACAAGGATATCCCAAGGTTTCTGCTGCTCTTCCAAGAAATGTAAGTGTACCAGTATTCGTTTCCTGACTTCTGCTAAACAAAAAAGATTATGATGGGGCCAGCAGCAACTCATAGCCTTCCAAGAAATCATAAATCTCTTCTGGTCCTCCTCTTACCTAGGCCAACCCAACCTATCTCAACAACAGCATCCATCAGGAGAGCAGGCTCTATCTTTCCCATATGTCTACATCTACAAGACCTTGCTTCCAACAGATTTACTTGTGTTGTGAAGATCTGAGAAGACTGGTATAACGGAGAGAGTATGGGACAAATGAACCAAAGGGAAAACCTCAAGAATGCTTCAGAGTGCATCTCAGCATTTCCTAAGTAAACCCAGGAAAGCACGGCTGCATTCCAATAAGCAGCTAGAGCTAAGCAGGGAGGTGACACGAGGAAAAGTCCAACCCAACCAACCTAGACATCGTTAAACTAGCTCAACTATCCCACTTATCACATACTTACCGACATTTGGGTAGAGACACCTCCTGCAGCCTAATAGACACTGCTATGATTTGAATGTTTGCCCCCACTGAAACTTGTGCTAAACTTGATCCCCAATGTATCAGTACGAAGAGGTAGGGCCTTTAAGTGGTGATTGGGTCATGAAGGCTATCTATGTCCCCATAAATGGATTAATCTATGCATGGATTAATGGTTATTATCAAGGGACTGGGTTAGTTACCACAAATGGGTCTGTTATAAAAGCTAGTTTGGTTCTCCCTTGTGAACTCCCTCACCAAATGATGCACTGTGCTGCCTCTGGACTCTGCAGCACTGGCAATAGAATGGACAACTAGAACTTGTCCCAGCTGGGTCAGTGCTGCTCTCTAAATCTTTAAGTTTTGTTCTTCTGTACTTGCTTTCCCTATTTTCATTGCTTTAGTTCTGCCCTTCATCATCTTGCCTGAATTAGTATAAATTTTCTAACAGGTCTCTCTGCCTCCAGTATCATACCTCTCTAATCTTAAGTATAAATGTGATTATCTTTTTCCTGTTTGAAATCCTTCAATTACAGTTTCAGACACAAATCTCTTCATGATTTATCACCTGTTTACCTCTTCAGACATAGCAACTTTTTTTTTTTGGAGACAGAGTCTCATTCTATTGCCCAGGTTAGAGTGCAGTGGCACAATCTCAGCTCACTGCAACCTCCGCCTCCTGTGCTCATGCCTCAGCCTTCCAAGTACCTGGGACTACAGGCGCACACTACCATGCCCAGCTAATTTTTCTATTTTTAGTAGAGATGGGGTTTCATCATGTTGGCCAGGCTGGTCTCAAACTCCTGGCCTCAGGTGGTGATCCACCCTGCCTCGGTCTCCCAAAGTGCTAGGATTACAGGCGTGAGCCACCGTGCCTGGCCAACTTTTTTTTTTTTTTTTTTTTTTTTTTTTTTTTTTTTGAGACAAGAGTCTCGCTCTGTTGCCAGGTTGGAGTACAGTGGCACAATCTCAGTTCACTGCAACCTCTGCCTCCTGGGTTCAAGCAATTCTCCTGCCTCGGCCTCCTGAGTAGCTGGAACTACAGGCGCGCACCACGCCCAGCTAATTTTTGTATTTTTAGTAGAGACAGGGTTTCACTGTGTCGGCCAGGATGGTCTCAATCTCTTGATCTCGTGATCCGCCCGCCTCCACCTCCCAAAGCATAGCAACTCTTTAAGAGTGTCTCGCTTTCCTCCTATGTTTGTATGTGCTAAGCTTTTTGCCTTGGGAATACTCTTCCCAAACTTTCCACTTTGTATGTTCCACATCCCCTAGAGCTATGATCTATTTGTTCTTCAATACTTAAGTTTAATCACTCTCTTGCCTAGTCTGAATAACTTTCCTTTGTACCTCTACAACACCTTGTACATATGTCTATCAGAGCTTTTATTGTTCTCTATTACATGCTTGCTTGCTTTACTCACTAAAAATTCAGTTCGTAGAGATCAGCTGTCTCATATCTACATTCTTGGTCCATACAATCTACAGAGTCAAGTAGTGCTTTATACTTGCTGATATAGTAAAGTCACTGGCTTTTAGTGAGAGTGGAAATCAGCACCCATAATGTTCTCTGTTATACCTAGGTTTCTTTAAACATTTCAGTTAAGGTCTTAGATATTACTACTACACCTCATGACTGGAGCGAATACTAAAATTATTCATAAATGGGCACAAATATGTTTACTGTTTATACTAGCCACTAACATTATTAAGTGCTTACTATGTGTCTGGTGCTTACATACATGTACTCTTCTAATTAATCCTCACACCAACCCTGATGTAGGCAGTATTATCTCCTTTTACAAACAAAGTTGGTGGGGGGGGGAGGGGTGGAGGCCTCTATCTTGCCCAGTGTCCCTAAGACTGTTTCCAGAATTCATGTTCTTACACTAGGAAACTCAATACCTTTTACATCATGAAAATTGTGCTTCAAAAGATTTTTTACTTTTTTTCAAAACACAATGAAATGTTACTAAATACAAGCTAAATGTTAAAAGTTATTGATTATACACTAGCAGATCATCCCTCCCCAAAACTTTTTTTTTTTTTTTTTTTTGCTTGTCCCACTGAGTTTTATTGTAGGGATACACACAAAGGATGTGCCCTCAATTCCATAGTTTCTTGATGGACATGTTTTTCCTCACTGTCCTTTGGCATGAGATAGGACTTTGGACTACCTCAAAGTCCTTCTGAGTGACATGGACTCGCTACTCAGGGCATACATGCCGGTTTCTGTGCACATGCCCTTCACTTCAGCCTGATGCTCCTGGCATAAGCTCAGCAATTTTTCTCAGGTTGATCCCCTGGGTCAGGTTCATTTCTGAGAATGAATCTTCAAAGTGACCAGCCAGGCCTACTCATTGCAGGTTGGGAATTCAATTTTTCTGTCAATGTGCCCTGGGCAAAGCAGTGCCGAGTCCAGGATATCAATCGTATTAGCAGCCGTGATAAACCGTGATACTCTTGGTGGCCTCAAAGCCACCCTCGAAGCATCATCTGCTGCACTTCACTGTTCCCTCCAGCATCCCCCTCCAGCTCTGAGGAGCCAAAAGAGTCAATTTCATCCATGAAGATGACAGATGAGCATTTTCTCTGCCATCACAGAAATTCCCCAATGAATTTCTGTACCAATTCAGAGCCAGAGACATGAATAAAGGTACACAGTCCCTATGATGAGCCAGAGCCCAGGCCAACAGTCTCTTCCAAGCAGCATTCCCTTGGGCTGTGCAATGCCCAGTGCTTTGAAGAGCTCGGGATGCTTAGCAGGCAGGTCGATCACTTCTTTGATCTTCTTGATCTGCCTATCCAGTCTACCAATCATTTCATAAGCTGAATCTGGTACTTTCTTCACCATCATCAGTGACACCAATGAGTCCACCTTGTTGGGTAGGATCTTGTGCAAAGTGTAGCTGTCATTTCTTAGAACCACCAAGGAACTGGGTGTCACATCACTGATGCTGATATTTTTGTCCACATCTATGACAAACTTGTCCTTGAGATGCACCTTGACCAACACTTTCTTCTTACCCATGGCCTGGACTACTTCCCTGACACAGGAGTCCTATTCCTGCAGCAGCTGTAGCTCCTCCTGTAATAGGCACACTTTAACATTTAGTTCATTCCCGTGCACCTGCCGCCTCCAGAGGTTTTGGGTCTTATCATTCAAAATCAGCTGCAAATGCACCTGGAGTTCAGAACTGTTCCTTGTGGCTTTCCCCCATCCAATTTATATTGCAGTTGACCCTGGAGTTCTTCAATCTTGGACAGATAATACTGGCAGAGTCCACTGCCTGCCTTTTCCTCCTCCAGCTCCATCTGCTGTGGTCCGTCAAGCGCCATCTTGTCTTTTCAGCAGAGAACGCTGGCATCTGCTTCCCTCCCCAAAACTTAACAGCTGTCCAATCATATTTAAATTACAATATTTACATATAGGTTTTACATCAGAAATGTCAAAGTACATCTTTTACTAACGGTTAATGTAACAAAGAAAGACTTCTTTACCCATTACTAATACAAGCATTATTACTTAATATAGAATTTTCATTAATAATCTTAAATTCAATTTTGTGGGAATGGATATACAAAAATAAAGAAGCCATAACATTAATTCATGGTATTTTTCAGCATTCAGTTATTTCTTAGTTTTATTGCAATTCATTGTCAACTTCTAGATAGAAGGGAGAATATGACAAATTTCCTTGAAAGCACTCTTCTCTTATTTTCTACTTCTAAATAGTGGGATAATTTAGCAAGATCATTTGGGAGTTTTATTTATTAAAATATGAATAATGAGTTTTTCCATTTCAGTTTAGAATATACTAATACAAGTTTTTCCTAATACGTTTTCTCTGTCTTGTGATTGATGCTTTTGATATCTTATTTAACAGGAAAATACCTAAGAGAGAAAATTAAGGTGTTACAAAAAGAGTTGTGGAAACCATGAATAAAGCAATAGAGCCACGATTTTCAATGAAACTCACATAAACAGTTATTATAAAGAAAGAAAATGTAATAGGCTAGTGTAATAAACAACAGTATCACCAGATTCCAAAATCTCTTTTGACTCTGTAAGGGTCTGCTAACTGTATTATATGCACCTAGGTACTCAAAATGCTACTAATAATCAAACCGTTTGAAATTTTGGTACCAGAATTACCAGTAACAGGATATCAGCAGAACTTAAGTTTATCAAACATAAATCATTAGTACCTACCAATTTCAATCTACTAAGTCAGAAAAGGAAGGCATGAGAATTTAGTAATAGGAGAACTTTGTCATTTCCAGTGCCAAGACTAGGGGTCCTGACAGGTACCTCACTGTACAGGTCAGAGCTAAGAAACACAATGTTGGTTCATGTACAACACTGGTTCATAGAAAACACAATTTTATCACTTAAAACTTTTCATTTATTTCTGGGATGTTTGTTTATGCCATGCTGTTCTTTGTCTCTCCATAAATGAGCAACCAAAAATCTCTCTTATTATTAGCCATTGGTCTAAAATTAATGATAGCTTAAATATCTAAAAATAAACCAAGCCCCTTCTAAGTACAGTAATGTTGCACTTTCAACCAAAACTAAGTATTAATGTATCTGGTTTCCTTCAATGCCTTTCATTTTCCACAGAGAATCAGGTGACTTTGGAGACTGTGTGTTTCACATTTAATACAGGAATTATATGATTTAAAAAGAATATTCAGTTTCCCAGTTTAAGCAAGTCATTCACAAAATATGATACTCAAAGTATTGTTTGGATAAGTTACTACCTAGAAAGATTTACCAGCTATTTTTTTAATATGAATCACTACTACAAGTATACCATGTAGCAATTTCCTCTAAAGAAAACCAAGCAATTTAATTTTAGAATGAAATGATCTGGGAAGAAAAGAAAAGTAGATAGTAAAACAGAGAATTTAGCTACTGTTATTTACAACATAGCAAAGAAAAAATCAGAAGTTACACACTTCAGAAAAAAAGGAATAGGCCAAAGACAAATGTTGGCATGCTAGAATTTTTTTTTTAAACTAAGAAAATACCTGTACAAGAACAAGGGACACTGAACAAGGGCACTTCACATTTAACCACCCATTGCCAACAGATATTGAGTTCACCTCAGGGTAAGAAAATGGTCCAAATGAACTAGAAGACTTCCAGCAAGTAACAAACTATACTCATATTTAATAAGCACCATTTACCTCTATGTAGTTTTATATAGTTCTCAGCAATGTGATTTATATGAGCGCTTCCTCTATGGAAGAATAAGATGATTTGGATATTACTATCAATGCACAGTACGGATGCCAATTAGATGGTAAATTCAATTATTCTTAAATTTTAAAACAACAAGTTTCATGCTTTGTTCAAATACAGCTTATTTTTTGAAAAATTCCCCTCTTCCACTCTCCTAACTTGGTACATAAAGTTAGGTAATATTTACATTGAATTTACAGTCTTTTTCATTTAAAACAGTATCAGTATATCTTGCTGTAAGATATTAATTTAAGTGATTGTTGTTAACTTCACTATACCCAAACTTAGCAATATGGCTGTGAGTCAAATAAACTTTGAAAAGGAACCTGCCATTTTCATTAACTCATTCTGACTGTAATCTTTGAAATACATATGGCAGATACGCTGAGGCTGGCCCGTCATTTTGGGGCTACATTTTAGTAAAGTAGCTAGTGAGTGAAAACTGAAATAATTATACAACATTTAAGAGAAATATAAGTCTTGCACTAAGAAACCAAAACCTACATATTATGTAACATAACCTTTTTAATGTTGTTTTTGCTAACACAAAAAAAGTTATACCATTATTTATATTTCAATCACAACATTGCTCTAAAACACAATCTATAATCCGTCTTGTAACCAGATCTGAAAAACACATATTCAGACTATTCTTAGTTTGTATCTCTGGCAAAAAGCCAAAGTAAAACGGAATAATTTTACTTTCTCCTAAACATTCTGGCAAGGGGGGGAAAAAAAAGCCAGATCAAAGTAAGATGAGGATTCAAAATTGGCAATAAATCCATTATGGACAAACAGTGGCACTAAAGTGAAATTTCAGAACATATTGCTTTCTATATATGCACGTGTGATCTTATTTGAACGTGAGTATTTACAAAGATTCTAGAAAGCTAAAACCAACTTGGTAACCTAGGCTTTCAATCTTTATTGTGTCCCCCATAATAATTAGTTGTCAGAAGTTTCAGCTTAGTATTTAAATATCTATTGTGATTTTATATCTTACTTATACTATTCAGTGTTTGCAAAATAGATTTACGAATATTTTAAGTGACATTATATAGAACATTACTTGTATTTTCCAGAATAACGACTTTGACTTTGAATAAAAACTGGAGCATTTGGGCTTTAAAAACATTTTTCCCCCAATTTCTAAGTTGCTCTTTTTAGGAAGTCACTGATAGAGATGGAATTTAAAGTAAAAATGCCAACTTTGTAAATTTTGTCAAAAAAGGGATTGCTATAAACAGACTTAAGTGAATACTGTTCCAGACAAATATAATCATCAAGTAGCACTTGACACTGACAAAACACTGAACTTTCTTTAAAACCATAGGAGCTTCTATTGTAGCAAATGCAGCACAGAACCTTATGACAAAGAGGGGCTAAAAAGTGAATTTAAGCCAATATAGGTTAAAAAGTAAACAAGTGAACTATTAAATTGGCGCAAAAGTAATAGCAGTTTTTGCAATGACTTTTGCATTAACCTATCAGAAAATCAACTTCCAGGAGAATACAGTTAATCCCCACAGCTGTAATAAATCTCTTCCTTTAAGAATGGAAGACAACAAAATAATTCTCATCACAAGAGTATACCAGCAATAGAAAATGAACCAATTATTCACATTCTAAGAGGTTTTACTTGAGGGGGTTGAGCAGGAGGGTATGAAAGCTTACAAAATCAAAAATGTGAAATAAAATGAAATCAAATTAAGACTTCATGGTAACAGAAAAAAACAGAAAAAGAATCGTTTCCTTAAGGGACGAATATTTTTCATAACTAGTAAAAAAGCACCTATTAAACTGTGCCTTCAGCTGTCACAATGGAGGTTTTGGATTCCTTTAGCAATTGCAGCATAACAAAAGGCATTTCACAGCATAACTTCAGGGAAAATGTTATCTGAGCTGGAATCATACAGAAAGCAATTAAAAACTCTTTAATTATTTATAATACACACATTTTTCTGGGTAGCAGCAGTTGCTCCTGTACTTGCCCTTTTAAAAAATGTGAAACAGAAGCAAGAAAGTAGGGGGAAAAATTTAGAGAAGATTAAGAGTAGCAGCGTTAAATAAAACAGCAAATTCTTAAATACATTATGAGTAAAGAAAGATTAAAATAAGGAAACAGTACTTACTGTGCAACTTTAAATTATACCAAGTAAAGTACACCACCTATTCACTGATAACATTTTCCCTACGTTGAAAACACAAAACCTACTTATCGATATTTTTGATATTAAAAAAAAGGACATTCACTATTGTAGCCCTGACAACTCTTCCAGTATTTTTAACCATTCAGATGTATTATGTGGGAATATTTATTAACATAATTTTGTTTAACACATTTCTTTCTACACAAACTGAATTTAAAAGTGTCTATAACATTTTCAATTACAGTAATAACACATGAATAAATTATAAATTAACAAAATCTTCATATCTACTTTAAAAAATCATTTATCAAATGCTAACCTCCAGATTATCTGGAAAATTAAAGTTGCAAATTGCTATAAACCTGGCATCCCAATTAAATTACAGTTTTTAAAGGTATATAAAATCTCCCTCAAATTCCAAGTTCCTCTCCAGAAAATTTTATTTTACCCTTTTCTTAAGTTTACAGCCTGCTAAACATTTTACCCAAATGTGAGAGAACTGCCTGGAGATGCAAAGCACAATAAAATAATTAAGTGAAAAGAACAAACAAAAGATACCCGTTAAAACAGTTATTTTAGCTGGCAGCACTTGAAATTGGTAATCTGTATTTTTTTTAAATTGCATAGCTGCAAGATGATTCACTGCTGATTAACTGTTGAGCAGTTTTATTTAAGAGGATAAGAATATTTAATAAATTGCAATTCAGTAGAATATTCTATATTTAATTAAAATGTAATTATGTAATATGATTTGCTCTTTGGACTGCATTCTGATATTAAACCTTTAATTTAAAAATATTAACATATTTTAGCTTTCCTATGTAGAAGTCTATTTTCCACTCGTGGGGGAGAAAATGGAAGAACTTGAGATCATGGTCTACATTCAGATGTTTTTACTGCTTGATTACATTTCTTGGTTTCACATTTAAGACTTCAATTTATAAGAAGTAAATTATATGTTTTTCAATTTAAGAACAGATGAATGCAGAAACATTATGAACATTATGTTGGGGAAAACAAAGAGACCCCAAATTAAAAAACAAAACAAATCAAAACATAACTAGTTGTGCAGCTCTGGAGAACTTAATAAAAAGTAAATCAACTTTTAAATCAGTTAACTTTGGCGTCTGAATACAAAATGTTTATCAGTATTACCTATGTAGATGACTATTAAGGGATGTGCAGCATTTTCAAAATCCCTGTGTGTCCTTTGTATGCATGTTTGGTACACTGAGTTCTGTGGTCACTGTCCTCTCTTCAGCAGGGTTTTTTTACCCCAGTACGATTGTCCATCTCTGTATTACCAAGTCTCACAAAACTCAGATTTCTGGCTGAGTATGCCTGCGTCTTTGTTTCTCCAGAGACAGATTTTCATATCCTCTTGGTTTTTCAAGCATCTTGTCAAGACAAGAAAACCTGTGTAAAAATAGATTTCCCCATGAACATTGCTTTAGTTACTGTAAGTCTTCATACCCTTACTTACTATTCTGAAAACTCATAAAATCAGTGATCTGGAGAAGAACAGATTAAGAAACAGAAGGATCAATTAAAGTTTAGTCACAAAAAATACATAACAAAGTCATCCCCCTTTCACAATAAGGACTACACGCAAGTAAAGAATGCACACACACGGAGATTTAAAATATTTCTCCCAAATAACTAAAAACCCCAAAATAAGTACAGCAATTTTCTAACTAATCAAGACCACAAATATTCATGTCTCTCTATTTTGGGTTGATTATTAAATTCTTATGCTGAAGGATATCAGAAACGTTGAGCTTTATGGCTACACAGTGCCTTACAAAATGTTTTAACAACACTGAATCCTCCTCAAACCCATATACCTTTAATCTAGGACTATTAAAAGGTATACAAGAATTTATCACTTGATAAATAAGAACAGTCAGGACAGAAGCAAAAATGTACAAGTCAAGATATTCCATGTCTATAAACTCTTAAAAATGACTCTTCAAGACCCACAGAAGCAGACTCCATTGGTTCAGATTTCTGTAGACACCTGATTAACAGAGTTCACCCTGCCCATGTAGTAGGCTAGTTTCAAATTCAGGTTCTATATTCGAAAACAAACAAATAAGCAAATATAACACTCATATGTAACATAAGAAAATGGAAATGTTGTTGAAGACCAACAGACATATGCATTTCAGCTATGAGATGAGATGTATGCTCCACATATCCCATAAGCTCACTGTGACACTAAAGGAAAAATTTAGCTGATGAAAGAAAAAAAATTTATACAATATAATTCCACCTCACCAAAAAAAAAAAAAAAAAAAAAAAAAGCTTATCAGCTCTATGGTCTAAATGTTTGTGTACTCCCAAAATTGCTATGTTAAAACCTAATCTGCAGTGCTATAGTATTAAGAGGTGGGGCCTTTGGGACATGATTAGGTGATGAGGGCTCTGACCACATGAATGCAGTTAGTATCCTTATAGAAGCTTGAGGGAGTCTGTTATCCCACCACGTGAGGACACACAGAAGGTGCCATAAATGAGCAATGAGCCCTCATCAGACACCAGATCTACTGGCTGGAACCTTGATCTTAGACTTCCCAGCTTCCAGAACTGTGAGCACTAAATTTCTGTCATGTATAAATTACTCATCTAAGGTATTTTGTTATAGCAGCCCAAAATGCACTAAGAAAGACTAAAAAGACAAATTTTATCTATAGATGAAGGATTTAGATGTATTACTTTGGCATGTAAAATACTAAGACAAAAATTTCATTTTGTTAGCATCAGTTTCAGTACTTCCCTTAAAATGCTTCTATAATTTTAGCCACAGTTTCGTTTTGTCTCAAACATAAGGTGACAATGAAGGCATTCCAAACCTTTTCTATGGTGAAATAAAAACATATGTGCACATATATTCAAAATACCACTCCACCACTATACTTCTCTTACCTAGCATTCTTACTTCCATTCACATTTTATTTATTTATTTATTTAGACAGGGACTTGCTAAGTCACCCAGGCAGGAGTGCACTGGTGTGTTCATAGCTCACTGCAGCCTCAAACTCCTTATCTCAAGCAATTAGTGTTCAGCCTCAATTCATATTTTAAATGTGTCAAGGCATGATCTAAGTAAGTTCACAGGAAAGGTTAAAATTGGCAGTCTTTTAGTACTCTGCAGTCTACCAAGGCTTCCACATTTCACATGCACATGCGTAGTCTTATGACACTCAACTGCAGTTCTCATTTCAGGTGCTATTGCTGCTATTATCTCAAATCTTCTCTGTCAATATTCTAATCTGCTACTCTTAAATCATCTTCCACCAATACAGCAACAGAATTCCTTGAGGGTGTTTATTACCTCAACACTTTTATTCTCAAATTTAAGAGAAGTTATTGAAATAAAAGGAAATGGTACCACACAGGACTAGACCTCTGGACGTCATCTGGTCTAGTTCCTTGCCATCAGTCTCAGCCTCCTAGAAAAGCCGGCTGTTACTGTCTTGAGTCCCTGAACAAAGAGACTCTCACTCCTGAAACAATTCTAGGATTAGCTAAAATGCTCTGCCTTGATATAACAATCCAATGCTTTATATCATCTCTCCAAGTCTTTTCATAAAAGCTTTTCATATATTTGAAGATAGCAATTAAGTTAACCTTTATTTTTTCAAAGCTAAATGATGTCAATTTAATGCACTTGTGAAATGTGAAAAAAAAAAGCCCTATGAAAATACCCAATTGAGGTCAGCATTCAATTCACTAAACATTTTCAGATAATGCAGAACCATGAAAAACTTAAATCAGTAGAACAAAACTAGTTTTTTTTTCAGTCGTAAAATGCAACTTTATTTTTTGCCTACTATATAGACAGGCACTGTATTACATGCTAAAGATATAAAAGTGAATGATTAAATTGAATGAATAAATTTATGATGCGACTGTTTGAAGAAAATGTTCCTACCTAAAAAGAGCAAAATTGCTAAGAACAGTCTTTGGAACCAGAATACCTGGGTTCAAATTTCATCCCCACCAACAAACTAGTTATCTGAACTTGAAAAGTCAAGTTTCTTAACCTCTCTATACTTAATTTCTTCATCTGCGTAATAGGAACAGTAATGGTACTGAGCTCAAAACGGTTATTGTAACAATTAGACAAGTTACTAATAGATGTAAAATGCTTACAACAACACCTGGCACATGATAATACTAAATGATTAGAATTATTATTTTTTGGTTTGGTTGTTTTTGAGACAGTCTTGCTCTGTCACCCAGGCTGGAGTGCAGTGGCATGATCTCGGCTCACTGCAACCTCCACTTCCTGGGTTCAAGTGATTCTCTTTTGTTTTTTGTTTTTTTTGAGAAGGAGACTCGCTCTGTCGCCCAGGCTAGAGTGCAGTGGCACGATCTCAGCTCACCGCCAACTCCACCTCCTGGGTTCACACCATTCTCCTGCCTCAGCCTCCCAAGCAGCTGGGACTACAGGCACCCGCCACCAGGCCTGGCTAATTTTTTTTTGTATTTTCAGTAGAGACGGGGTTTCACCGTGTTAGCCAGGGATGGTCTCAATCTCCTGACCTCGTGACCCGCCCGCCTCGGCTTCCCAAAGTGCTGGGATTACAGGTGTGAGCCACCATGCCCAGCCTCAAGTGATTCTTGTACCTCAGCCTCCCGAGTAGCTCGGATTACAGGTGTGCACCACCAAGCCTGGCTAATTTTTGTATTTTTAGTAGAGACAGAGTTTCACCATGTTGGCCAGGCTGGTCTTGAACTTTTGGCCTCAAGTGATCCACCTGCCTGAGGCCTCCCAAAGTGCTGGGATTACAGGCGCGAGCCAGCATACCCAGCCAACAATTAGAATTATACAATATTTTTAATGTAAGTTTTCTATGCAGTAGCCTAAGTGTCTGAAACATACACATACACACTCATGCACCTCAATGAGTAAATGAATAAATAAAAATTATAGTTTAGAATGTATAATTTGGGCTAACGCTTTAAAAAGTAATTACAAAAAAAATTACCTATAAAACAGGAAGCTGACGCTTAATCTGAAGGGTGCTCAGGGCAAGATCTATTTACTTCAAACCATTCATCTATGCAGCTAGAAAGGAACAAAACCAGAAAAATTGAGATACTTATACTAATTATTTATATAATGAGAGCCACAGTAAAAATACTTGACTTTAATATATTTTTTACAGAAAAAAATGAGCATTTTAAATTATATTTGGCATACATAAGCAACAGATAAGAATGTTTATTATATTTTGATTCTAAGCGATTAAGAAAAAAACCTTTGCAAAATTATGCTATAAAGTACTTTAAAGTTCAAACAGAACTACTTCCAAAAGATAATCTGAACTACCACTTTACCAATATTCAAAACTGAATAACAAATTTGCATAATTTTTCTTTTCAAAACAGTTATTCATTTATGCACATTATCAACCTGTTCATGTCACCTATAAATGTATTAAAAAACGGCTTTTAAATTTTAATCCTTGCCAATATTTCATTTTTAAAGCTATATTTATATGTGATTATTGAATATTTAAATCCTATCCCACCATGTAATACATATACATACACAAATAAATATACATTAATCATTTGTATTTAGGAAGTATTTTATGATCTTATTTTATTAGAAGCTAAATATTAGGGTGCATATGATCATCGTCATTGTGGATCTGCACTGTCCAACAGAGTAGACAAGAGCCACACACTGGTTATTTAAGATTTATTGAAATAAAATAAAAAAATCCAGTTCCTCAGTCACACTAGCCACATTTCAAGCACTCAACAGCAACATGGCTCACGACTACTCTAGGGGACAGCATAGATATAGAACATTTCCATTATGGTAGAAAGTTCTATTTCACAGTACCATGATAGGTGAAAAAATCAAGGTCTACTAACTAGCTATTACTTGCCTAACAGCTAGCAAGTTATCCAAGCAGGATTCAACCTGTTCAACATTTTCATTGGTGACATATTTCAAATTTGCATATGCCGCAAAGCTACAAGACTTGGTTAATATACTGAAGGGCAAAATTAACATTTATCATCCTCATGTCCAGATAGGTTGGTTTGGTAGGTAAAAGTGATAAGATGAAACTAAAAAGAAAAAAGGTAGAGTACCACATCAACAGGTTCTTTCAAATATCTGAATTTCAGCTGCCATTAAGACTTTTGTTCTCGAAATATATAGCCAGTTTGGCTTAAGACATTGTTTTCAGCCTGCTCTCTACCACTTGGCCCTGGAAGTTCCACTGTGTCTACCAGAAAACCTCTTAAAACAAAATTCTGAGCATCAAATAAAATACTCCAGATGTGTTAATTCATAATATATCTGAATAGTATCTATTTGCGAGCTAACATGAGTACTCCTTATTTTACAACCAGGTAACTCTGGCTCATCATGAGAAAGTAATCATTTAAAACTCCAGGTCCTCTTCACATAAACGTCTGTCAATCTACATATGTTCCATTCTAGGCTATATTCATTTGTTATTTACATGATTATATTCCCTTCTCTCAGACCTAGCAGGAAAGCACTATTCTCAATTTGGTATTTTTCATTTCTAGGCATCTTCTTACTCTATATAACTATATATGTGTATATTCTAAAACAACATATAGTACTGCTTCCATGTTTAAAATTTTATATAAATGCTACCATAAAACAGCATTATGCTTTTTGTAACTTGCTTTTTTTGCTCAATTTGAGATTTGCAATTGTTAGTAAGTCTCTTGCTTTTACATTTTCGCTTTTTGTTTTTTGAGACGGAGTCTTGCTCTGTCGCCCAGCCTGAAGTGCAGTGGCAACATCTCAATTCACTGCAAACTCTGCCGCCTCCCGGGTTCAAGCAATTCTCCTGCCTCAGCCTCCTGGGTAGCTGGGATTACAGGCGCCACCTGCCACAAACCCAGCTAATTTTTTTTTTTTTCCAGTAGAGACAAGGTTTCACCATGTTGGTCAGGCTGGTCTTGAACTCAGGTGATCCACCCACCTCAGCCTCCCAAAGTGTTGGGATTATAGGTGTCAGCCACTGCGCCTGGCCTGTTTTTACATTTTCATTGTGTACAACATTCCATTATATAAATATAAACAATTTACATATACATTCTTTCACTGATGGACATTTTCAATGATGCTATGAACATTCTTTGAGATAAGGAGTTTGCGCCCAAATACAAGTTAATTTCCTCACTAATCACACTGTTTCAAATGACTTTAAAAAATCACAGCAAGGCTTTCTCAATGAAAGAAGCATAGTGTTGATTTAACTGGCAGAAACTCTTTATTGCCTTCTGGACTTGTACTTTGAATAGTAGCACTGTCTTAGAGCAAAAGATCAAGAGTTTCTCTAGGGCATATATGTAGAGGTGGAATTACTGAGTTGTAGAATATGTACTCCACACAGCTATTACAGGGTTATCTACCAAATATGCCTATTTGTATTATTTATTGGCCAATTGAGGGTCCTTTTTTCTGAATTAACTGATAGTTTTCTAGGAAACTATTATCCAGGTATTTCAGTTATAATATACAGGCTTTTGATAAACACTGCTTTCCACAAAACTTTAAGCTAAAGTAACAGGGCTTGTGGGAAAAGTCAGGTTAAAGGCAGACTACTCAAATAACACAGTTTTATCACCAGAACAAAGACATGCTCATTCCTAATAAATAGAACACGACTGTAAATACGTTTTTTTAAAATGGTGAAGTTAGCCTTACAGAAAGAGGATTAAGGTAGGATTGAGACTGCTGAGTTATGAAGAAAAAAGCTAATGCACAAATTGTGAGAACTGTGAAATATTAGGACTCCACAGCAAAGCCCATGGTCTAATTAAACTAAGAGTAAGAACATGGGGAGATGGGTATACTGTATTCTTATATAGCTCGTTGTTAGCATATACTTTCATCTGCTGTTATCTGATGAAGCAGAACATTAATGTGCTGGAAAATCTTATGTAGAACCAGTAAGATCCTGTTATTATATTGTCTTCACTCTCCCATTTACCAAATGCAATGAGTTCACTGCATTACAGAAAGTCATAGAGGGAGAACGCTATTTCCAATACCAAACCTCTTTTATTATGTGTGTTGAAAAACAATCCTAGTATAAAGTCTAGTTTTTTACTTTTTTGCTGGGTCATGATACAAATAAGTTTTAAATTTTAATATAGCCAAATTTATCAATCTTGAAATTATTTTTTGGGGAGAAGTGTATCCCAGACAAAAAATAATTCTCTACCAAGAAGTCAAAAACATTTCCACGATTTTCTTTCCTCACCACTTTAGATTTTGGTTCCAGAGGCAGGTATTTAGTCAACCTGGAATTGACTTTTATTTCAAATGCAAGATAAGGACTCAACTGTTTTTCCATATCAATAACCAATTGATCCCAGCACCATTTATTGAATAGTTCATTCTTTCTCTCCTATACTGTAATTTCGTCTCTGGCAAATCAATTTTTTTCATTTATTCAACATTTATATAGCATCTATTATGTATGTGCCAGCACTTGTTTATACCCTTATACTCTATGAAGTTGTTTCTATTGTCTTCATCTTATGAATCGAGAGAGAAAAAAACTAACTTGAGAGAAAAAAACAACTTGACCAAGATCACACAGAGAATCAGTGGAGGAGCTGGGATTCAAATGCTGAGTGTCTTGACTTCAAAGTCCATGCTCTTAACTCTCATGCTATGCTGTCTCTCCAGATAGGCACAAGTGTTTATGGACTCCATTCCGTTCCACTGGCTCACCTGTGCCATTTCCATACTGTCTTAATTAATATGGTCTTATAATAAATCTGTACAGGACAAGTCCCACCAACATGGTGTTCTTCTTCATGAGTGTCTTAACTGTTCTTGGCCCTTCACTCATTGGTTCCCATGCAGTTTTGGCAGCAACTTGTCAAGTTACATGAACTAACCAGTTGAGATTTGACTAAGGTAGTATTAACTATATAGATCAATCTGAGGTAAAATGACATCATTATGACACTGAGTCTTTCTATCCACAATATGGTAGATGTCCAGATTAATTTCAGATTACCTATATCTTTCAATAAAGTTTTCAAATTTTATCTAAAGTCTTACATATCTTTTATAAAATTTAATCCTTATAAGCCTTATAGTCCTTTTAGTCTCTGTTGACATTAATGTTATAGTTTAAGAGATATTTCCTTTTTTCTTGTTGCAATATGAATGCAACTTATTTCCATAGGTTGATCTCATATCTGGCAACCCTGCTGAACTCTCACAAATTTTAATAATTTATCCAATATTTATTGTTAGCTTTTATTTTTAAATCATTAATATGCAAGGATAGAATTTTACTGAAAGCTTTCTCACATTTATTGAGTTAATGTTTCTTTCCTTTGTTAATGTAGTAAATTACATCTATACATTTTCTGTCTTACAGTTTCTTTGCATTCCCTAGCATAAATGCAACTTGGTCATGAGGCATTATTTTAGATATATATTGTTAGATACTTATTGTTGAGTTGGGTTTGTTGATATGTTTTTGGACTGTTATATCTATGTTCATGAGACTGTTTTCTAATTTTCTTTCCTGTACTGTCCTTATCTGAGTTTGTATCAAGTTTATACTTTTCTCATAAAATAAATGGGAGAACCTTCCATCTTTTTCTACTTCTTGGAAGAATCTAAGGTTGTTAGCATGGTGTTCTTTGGATATCTGGTAGAACTCATTGTTACATTGTCTCTATAGGCCTGTTTTTTCTCATTATTTTTAATTTCTTCTGTGTCTGAATTCACATTCCTCATTTTTTCAGAACAATCCTGTTCTGAACCAACTGGTGGTCTGTGGGTCTCTAGTGTGTCATTTTAAAATTTATTTTCTTCTCTGATCTTCACTATTTTTTTCTATTTTCTTTGTGTTTATTCTCCTGTTACTTTTCTGATTTCTTAAGTAAGAAACTTGGCTTATTGGGTTTTCAGCCTTTCTTTCTACTGTAACATGAACCTTGTGAGGATCACTCTAGGTACTTGCCAAAAACATCACTGTTATTCAGTTCTGAGTATTTCCTTCATTCCATGATGATTTTTTCTTTGATCCACAAGTTACTCAAAAGTATGTATGAGGGTTATTTATCTTTTTATTAGTGACATCTAATAGTAGTCAGTGTACAGCATCCTATATGGTACCAATTCTTTGTACTTTGCTGCGATTTGCTTTATGTTCTAGGACATGATCAATTTCTATAATACTTCATGTGTGGTTGAAAAATATGTATTCTCTAATCAATTGATGGGCACAGATACAAATACATATACACATCAGTTAGATCAAACTTAACTGCATTGCTCTATTTTTCTAGGTCTTGATTCATTTTTTGTGTATGTGGCTTGACTCAATGAAAGGCGTAGTGAAATGTTCCATTATGATGATAAATTTGTCAGTTTCGTCTGAGGGTTTTATAAATATTTTGAGATGTTATTAGATACATAAAAATAGAATGTTATTCCCAGCACTTTGGGAGGCCAAGGCGGGCACATCATGCGGTCAGGAGATCAAGACCATCCTGGCTAACACGGTGAAACCCCGTTTCTACTAAAAATATAAAAAATTAGCCGGGCATGGTGGCAGGCGCCTGTAGTCCCAGCTACTCGGGAGGCTGAGGCAGGAGAATGGCGTGAACCCAGGAGGCGGAGCTTGCAGTGAGCCGAGATCACGTCACTGCCCTCCAGCCTGGGCAACAGAGCGAGACTCCGTCTCAAAAAAAAAAAAAAAAAAAAAAAATACAATGTTATATACTTTTTGTCATTCTATAGGAATTCTATCCCTAATAATGCTTTTTGCTGTAAAGTTTGCTTTGTCTAATACTAGTTTAGCTTTGTAGTTTCTTTTAGTTAATATTTGCCTGGATATAGTTTTCTATCCTTTTACTTTCAAATGTTATGTATACTTATGTTCAAATGTGTTGTTTATCAACTACCTATCCCAACCTTTCAATCTGTTTTTCAACCAGTGGGTTTGTTCTATGTGTATTTATTATAACTGATATATTTGGATATATTTTTGTATCCATATTTTGTTTTATTTCCTCTGTTTTCTCTAAGTTTTCCCCCACCTCATCTTAACTTAAGTACTGTATTTTCATCAGGTTGAAAGTTATAGTTTTCTTTTTGTGGTTACCTTAAACTTTTTTTTTTTTAACCCCAAATTTTTCCTGTATCACTCTAAAAGCAAGAAGACCATATGAGAAAGCAGACAGGTTTTGGAGTCAAGCAGATTCCAAATCTACTGGAATCTCAACTCTGCCATTTACTAGCCTTGTAACCTTGGGGCAATTCCATACTGTCCCTTAGCTTATTTTCTCAATTGTAAAATGCAATGGTTACAAGGCTTACATGAGATAATTTATTCAAGAAGCTATGGACAACAGCTGGGTCATAGCAAATGCTTTAAAAATAGTAGCCTTTTGGATACAAACAGATGTGGGTTCAAGTCTTAGTTCAAATAGAGAAAAAAGATCATTAAGTTTTAAGAAGTGTGTGTGAGACAGGGAGGGGGTGGTTTCAACGAAGATTCCTTTTCAGCCCTAATTACAATGTCTGAAACTGTGAGAACAATCTTTTACTCTAATACCAACTTGGTGAACTTACCCTTTATGATATATGCATAGACAAGGCAGTCGTGCTATAGTATCTCCCTGCTGCAATTCTTCAAGGCATATTGCACATTCCCCAGCATCTTTACTCAGTACATCCTCTGAAGAAAGAGAAAATGAATTCAGGACAATAAAATTATCCATCAAATTGAAAAAAGAATTACGTGAATGCTAACTGATAAAAAGTTGTGATTCCACCTTACTTGGCATATCTTTTCGCCAGAAATACATAAAACTCAGCACGTGTATTTGAAATACTATTCATAAATGACTGAATAATGTTTACCTTTACTTCCATTGTCTCACGTTTTCATTTCTATTTTATTGAAGCATTACAGTAAGCAAAAACAGTACAGAATCACCCAAATTGGGCAGATTTTGCTCTATAACTTTATCAATAAGCTAGTTATTTGTACCATGAATTTATTTTCCTTTAGTGTGACCAAGATAGTTCAAAGAATTTTACAGTGTAATGTGGCTAAAAAGACATGAAAATAAAATTATAATTTTAAAAATTATAAAATAATAAAATTGGGTAAGTTCAAGAAATCACCCCAAATGTGGGACTTTTAAAAAGTTGCTTAACTCAAGAAAATGCAAAGGAATATCAAAACTTTTGTATAGATTCTGAAAGAGACTTTTGGAAATCTGAGGATTTCAGAACTGGATGCAGCAATTCTTCATAATCTTTTTCCATGACAATGGCAAGCCTACTCCAGGCATTAATTAGAGTGGCTTCCAAAAGGATCTGCAGGGTATTTAAAAACAAACAAACAAAAAACTCTATGGTGTGCTTAAAATCTTCAAGGGTAAATCTCTTTATAATGCAAATGTTCCTTTTGAAAAAATGTTAAGGTTCTCTCAATCCATGTTTTATACTGAAAATTTAAATTATATTCTAATGCTAAATTTTAATTTTTAAAAGCAGTTTGCTTAAAATAGAGTATGTAAGCCAGATTTACTTTGTGACTGTTTTTTAAATGCAGAATAAAACATGCCATTACTGAAGAACATGGACAAACTGCTCCAGAGTATATGTTCTTCGTTTACAGAATGGAAAGCTAAAGCAGGAACATGCAATATGAATTTATATTATAAATAAACAAATTACTGCTTTTCAAAATAAAAAATCAAATATGCTAAACGGTAAAGACTGCATCAATCTCTACGTAAATTCTGAAAGAAACAGAAAGGCAGGGACATTTTCTAAAGTTAAGTATTTGTTTGATATGCCCATTCCTCCTATAAAAACCAACCAACAAATTTGATTGTGTACATTATCTGTAAGAGTACCCTGCAGAAAAATTCATTCTATAAGAAGTGGTTCTTCCCTTTAATTATTCATTTGAGACTGCACATTAAGAAGGAACACAGACTCTATTTGGTCTACATAAGAGAAGATACCAGGAGATGATTTACTCAGAATGCTGGAGGAGGTAACAGGGCACCTTCTGCAGAATAAGCAAAGGCCTCAGCAAGAAGGGTTTATATCAGCTGAATGGACTGAATACGTTAGGAGTGATTTGAGCTAACTACTGGGCAGCTCACAAGCTAATATATTACAGTCAGAAACTTAAGCAGGTAAAGATTTCTGGACAAGCAAAGCTGGATAAACGGAAAATGTTATTACCACTTCCCTGAAGTGCCCTCCCTTTCCCCATTTTTTTTTCTCTTGGCCCTAGAGATCCTACCCACTACTCCTACCCCATCCTGCACCCCATGCCTTTTCTCATTCTCTTGATCTCCATTTTTCTCTTATTGTTCTAGTATCTTTCAATAGGAGATTCAGATAGGGAACAAGTTTAACGTGAAGCATCTAACTGATAGCAGTGAGAACAAAAAGAAAAAGGATCTAAAGGAGACACTAAAAAAACCTGGTAAAGGTCTATAATTCCAAGTAATATGGTATATTCTCACCACTTACGTATTTTTTCATCACAAAGGTATACCATTCTTATCAAAGAATTATGTGAGTGTAAGTTTCACAACCACCTTCAAAAAGTTAACCACCACTTTTTATCAAACCTAAAACATCAATGGTCATAATATGCACCATTAGCTTTATATACCACCAAGTAAAAAAAAAATGCTTCCACCAAACTATGATGCAACATCGATTTTAGACGCATCTCATTTTCAGAGCTCTTCAAAGTCTTTGAGATGAGAATATTTTAAAAGGTCTACATTTTATCCTATTTATAAGAAAATTTATAGTACAACAAAGACAAATCCAACCTGCCTATAATTAACAGAATGATACATATTTTAAGAACACAATGCTATTTTAAAATTGACAGGGGCGAGACTTATCCCTCAGATGCTTTGCAGGTACTAAGTTTAAACAATCTTTTTAGTGTAATTCAGAATGCTGGGTTAAAGTCATTTAAAAAATAAGCTCCCTTAAACCCTAGCAATAAAAAATAATCAGAACTGTACTTCAGAATTGTATTTTCTGTTCAAGAAAAGTATACCTGTATACAAAAACATCCCGAACACACTGATTTCAGTGCAGAAACAGCCTAATATCCACTAAAAATAGCTTCTAGTGACATAATCTCTGCTCAGAAAATTAAAAGCTAATGTTAACATATTGTAGCCACTGATCAGTTGCATTTTGATAAGCAACTCTGAGTTAGAAGATAGTTCACTCTGACTTCAAAACCTCATGATTACAGCTTCACATAGCAAATGCTTAATTTTCACATTTTAAAGTCTTGTTTCCACTAGAATGTGTCTTTGTATGTTTAAAAATATTTTCAGTTTTGAAAATTCACTGTGGAATGTGATTAATTTTTGCCTACCTGGGGGTTTGCTAGAGTAGTCCCCTCTCTCACCCCTATAATGACACTTTCATTCAGAGGAAAGTTTTGAGCTTTTGCCTTCACATAGGTAACTACATTTCACAATTGTGAAAGACTTGTTAGTAATGTGATACATTCATACTTAAAAACAGGACCTGGAAATACCACTAAACCCAGGATACTAAAGCATCTTCAAGACAGTTGGGAAAAGATTAAAAATCTAAAGATCAGTTGAAAACATTTATGAAGATAACACCCACAGGGATTAAGGAGTCAACACTTCAGAACTGGAATATCTTGGGGTAGACTACTAACTAGCCAAAACTCATTAAAGAAGCAGAGAAGGGAACACTCACAGATTTAACTACCATAGTTGGCTAGTCTGGATTCCTCCTCCACAAGCTATGATCAATGGAGACACAAGAGATTGTCAACAGGGAACTAAACATGTTGCTTTTTAAAAAGTGTTATTGCTCATACCTCAACATCTAGAGTAGTAAAAGTTAAATGAGCGCATTGCTTATCAGTTTAATGCCTTGTCTTATTCATGTAATCTATGCATTAATTTAGATGTACTGATTACAGGAAAAGAAAAGTTAAAAGACTGGAAAAGAGCAATGATTACGATTTTTAACCAGAAGTGGGCACTAGAATCACTTCAATGGGTGCATTTTCAACATATACCAAAAAATTATATGTACCTGAGTCCCACCCCTGGAGATTCTGAAATATATGCCTGCCTCACAAATGCGACTGCTATCAAAGAATAGCTTGTTTAAGTAGAAAGAGCCTAAGATTTAAAGTTGAAAACTTAATATGAATTTCCATTCTCACGAACAAAAATGTTCGTCAACCTCAAGTTTCCTTTTATTCTTCTGTTAAAAGTACTCAAAATATTAGAGATGAAATTTTAAAGAATTGTGTGAAAAAACTTTATAAGTTATAAAAAAACACTATACAAAATGTTAGTTATTATCAGATAGTACTTCATGCACCTCTCCAAAAACAAAGTCAGTCATCTTCCTATTTCTTTTTCTCTCCATCTTGGTATTCCACTTGTTTCAAACCTGAACAATGTCATCAAATAACTCCATGAAGACCAGGAACTTAGGCGCCTATTATAACTGCCAGGCTGGGAACAACTCCAAGCATATGACACTGTCTAATTAATTTATGTTTTGGCTTCATTCTATATTTTAAAAGGATTAAAAACGTGTACTTTTTAATGTGCTTTTGACATATTTAAGTCACATGTTAATCCTATGAAGTAACTATTGTTACCTTCATTTTACACATAAGGAAACTGAGGCTCAAAGAAGTAAAGTAACTTACCAGAAGTTACTAAACTACTAAGTCCTGAGGTCAGGATTCAAATTTAGACTAAGTCCTTGGCATTTTTCCTACTTCATGAATTCTGCTACAAGAAACAATTTCACTTTAAAGCAACGTAAATACCAAAGCAACTGGACTGTTTTAAACAACTAAGTTTTAAATACTCAAGCTACATATTTAGAGGAAGTACTCTCAAGACTGGTCACACGCTTTATCTTCTGGATAAAATAACTGAAACGACCTTACAATTAACTGCTTACACAATTTAAAACAGCTCTGTCCAATAGAACTATGGACGGTGATGAAAAAACATCTTTTATCTGTGCTGTCCACAATGGTAACCACTAGCCACATATGGCCTGAAAACAGCACTTGAAATGTGGCCTGTGCAACTGAGAAACTGAATTTTTAATTTAATTTTGGTAAAATATGAAACCTTAAAATATATAATAGGTAATGAATATACATTTATAAACTAGTTACAAACTTCTGTTACTTGATATTTCACTTACAGCTTCTCAAGCTCTTAAAATTTGCATTGTCCAAAGAAATTACTTAAAATTCAAGCAGCCAAATATGCAAAATTAAAATACTTAGCAGGTCCAAGCACATATCCATATAGTTATTGCAGATCAAGACGACATGGAAAAAAAAAAAAGCAAACAGCCAAAATTCTTTAAAAAAAAAAACAAAAAACCAAACCAACAAATAAGACTGAATTTGTTAGGCAGCCAAGGAAACTTCATGCGAAAATTTCATAATCATCACAACTTTATTTTCAGATCAAGCATCCAAACAGGTATATGATCTTTTCAGCAAAATACAACGCCAAGCGCTATTATGGATCAGGCATTTTACCTGAAGACTTATTTTTTGTTCTTGAACCCTCAATGATAGCAGTAGAAAACAAAAGCAGCTGAAATGTGAAATAATCCCTAGAAAAATCAAGAATTAAAAAAATTTACAACATTAGTGAAAAGCAATTACTCAAAGAACAAAAAGTTGGGGCTCACAAGTTTTAATAATAAATACTTTCAGATATTAAGTTATCTCTTATACGTATAAAAGAACGTAACATTAACTAATTCTTTCAATTACAGATCCATGAGCTATTACTGTACTCAAATATAAATAGGCTTAGAAATGATATTTAACAAAGGGAAGTTGCCATTTTCACTGTAAGATAAATATATCAGTAAAAATATGGGAATAACGTTTATTAATCTGGGCTTCTCTGCCTAGATGCCACTGAAAATTACTTTTTCAATGCCTCTCTAGTTTAAATGTAACTAAGAATTGATCGTTAAACATGTAGCTACTCTTCATCTGCACTGTTAGAAACTTAATGCAAAATTAAGACTATTCTTTAGGAGGAAATAAAATTTGTTACTCTTTTGATGATGACTTTTTAAAAAAAGTTTATACTCTTGGGAATATTCTGGAAATCGAAATTCGGTGAATTCGCCAAGAAAATGTAACTAAAATAAAATGGAACACAAATCACAAACTCTAAAAGCTACAATATACAAAAGGAGCACTAATTCCACACCTAGACATAGCTTTCTTGGGCCTTTTTGCTCCTAACTTACCTTAAAAAGCTAACTCAGGATTAAGTATTTTATAAGTATTGAGTATTTACCTAACAAGCCACAAGTAGTCACACAAGTTGTCTAGGAAATTATTAGATTACCAAGTTATTTCCCAACCATGAAATCAAACTAAGATAATTTTCCTATGCCCTCTCATTGTCACAAATCAACAATAAACTAAAACTTAAAATCAATTACACTGATTTGTTAAAACCTAAACAAATATTTTCCTAAATGAGTTGTCTACATGAACAAGAAAAAAAATGGAACTATTGAATACAGACCAAAATAGAATAAAGTATACTTTGAAGTAAAATTTCAGGTTCATTTCTATTCAATCACTAGGAGAGAAAAGCACCAGTCCTGAAAACACAACAAAGCTAATATCTTTATCTGATTTTCAAGCTTATTACTGTATACTTTTAAAATTAGACAAATGTTTAAATTTTAATGTATGTAGGCTCATAGTGGCAATAAAAGAGTCCAGCAATCTGGGTAATACGTAGCAATTTTTTTTTTTTTAATTTACAGTTTAGTTTCAAACTCCAACTCTTCCAATTTATTATGGAATATAACAGGATAACAGTACCTACCTCACAGGGTAGTGGTAGAAATAAATAATACCTCTCAAATGCCTAGTGAGATACCTGGAACAGAGCAGGTATGTTCTGAACACTAGCTACGTGATTATTCGCAAGAAGGGAGTCTGAGTTTGTTTTCTGCAATCTTAAGTGGTAATAATGATAAAACCTGCTTGACCTGTCTCTTAGGATCCTTGTGAAGATCTTAGGAGATAATGCAAATGAAGGCAGTCTCATGGAAAAAGAACAGGCTTGAGCTTTGGACAAGTCACAAACCTCTTTGAGCCTCATTTTCATAAAATAAATTGCAAGTGATAATACCTACATCTCACATGGTCTTTAATACGGATGATTAAAAATAAATCTAATGAATGTGAAAATGTGTAAAAGGCACTAAATGTTAGCTGATTGTAAACAAAATTTTACTACAGCAATATTGAAATAAGCTGGAAAATGCCAATTCACACAGCTATGACAACATACAACAATAAATATCAAATGTTACATCAGAACTATCATTACATTTATAAATCTGGATTCGATATCATTTTGTTAGAATGAATTTGAGGAGTAGTATTACAATGTGCATATCTACTACTGTTTTTGTTGAAAGTGAAGTATGTAAGTAAGGCTTTTTCTCTTCTGCTTCTTCTAGAGGCTATGAGATAATTAGCAGGCTGACTATAATCAGTATGCATGGGTCACAAACTCAGATGCCTAAAGATGCAGCTCATCTTAACTATTTTATAAGAAAAAAGAATAGTACAATTGTAACAATAAATGCCTGTTGAATTTGGTCTTGGTTTCAGGGATTTTTAGAGAATGGAAGCAAACCGGTACATGTAGTCCTATCAAAAAGGGGCAGCTGCTTTTACGAGTAGAATGCCATGGGAAAATAAAGGCCCAGGGTGGCCAGATGTATATTAAAGCAGGTGGAAATATAGGTATTCAGATGAATATTCTCATTTGTGAATGCTCAAAAAACATTTCTGATGCTGTGTAAGCAAAATAAAACATGGCTGTGAGTCAGATGTGGCCAATCCTTTGCCACCTCTGTATTAAAGAAACAGGGTAAATTCTATGAGGGCAGGGGACCTTGTAGATTTAGCTTATCCCAGCATGCAGCATAGTGTTTTGCACATTCTAAGTGCTCAATAAATATTTTTTGAACAACTAATGAAGCAACCGATCTCAGAAGACTAAGGAAAACACCAAGCAACAAGTGAAGAGCCAATGAACAGAGAAAATGCCCCAAAGCAATGGGTTGTTGTTGCCACTGACTTGAGCACTTTGACTGCTTGTGGTTTTGGTGACTCAGCTGAAGTCAGATCTTTTTTTTTTTTTTTTTTTTAACATTTTTAAGTGTATTGACTTCTTTATACAGGAAGTGCGTGTCAGCCACTCAACCAAAAAGTACTGAATATATAAATGTGCCAAGTTTACCAATAAATGCTTGCATGTTTATTAGTATATGTGGGTGAAGTATTAAAAGTATGTATGAACAGGAAAAATATTTAAAATGTCCATTCCTGAGATATTAAGGCAAAACATAAAATTCTAACATATTTAGAAAAATCAAGTATCTAAGAACCAGCAGCTCTGGCTAAATTAGAACTTATGCAACATGAACAACTGAGAAATCTTTCTTGATCCCCTTTACCTTGCTCCTAAACTACTAAAATAACTGTGACTAATTGCTGGATCCTGGAGAATATAAATCTAGATTCATCTGAAACCTCAGGTAATGTAACCAACCATGTGAAAATCAAGAAACAGCAAGTGTGAAGTTATTTTGTTTTATTTTATTTTTTTTGAGACAGAGTCTTGCTCTGTTACTTGGGCTGGAGTGCAGTGGTACAATCTCAGCTCACTGCAGCCTCTGCCTCCTGGGCTCAAGCGATTCTCCTGCCTCAGCCTCCAGAGTAGATGAGACTACAAGCATGTACCACCATGGATTTTTTTTTCTTTTTAATTGTTCTAAGGAAAGGGTGAAAAACACATTGATTTGGGAAAAGGTTTATTTCTTTTCACTGGACTTGGTCAATGTCCTCTAATCCTTAAACTGCCCAAGCAGTCAGCAGTACCTAAGTGAATCTAACAGAGCAGGGAGGAAGGCTGCTCTCACTGACACTGAAAGCACCAGAAAGAAGCCAGAGTTGGGATGAAAATGAAAACTCTCCCTGCTCCAAGGAACAATTTCCAAATTCAAACAAAAATTCTTCGTGTGACAGGCTACTGACCAACAGGCTCACAAAAGAGAAATAACTTTCATTCTATTTTTTTCTATTTGAGAAAAAAGATAACAGTATGACCGACATAGGTAATGAGAGATTCTGTAACTCGTAACATTATATAACTGAGAAAGATCATTAACTATGTAAGTATATGCAGGAATGGATGAGGGGGAATCACACCAAAAAATTTAAATAGGCACCTACTATAGGGACAGAATAAATGAGGGAAGACAGGAAGGAAGGAGGCAACAATGATGACAACTTTACCAGTAAAAATTCCTAGAATGAAAAAACCCGTAATTTTTCAATTTAATATTTCAGAGGCAGTGAAAAAGTCACTGAAAATAACAAATTAGTAGTCTAGAATAAATATCATGTAAGTAACTCCAAAGAAACCAAAAATCATTAATAAAACTGTAAGAAGACAAATCTAAAAACTCTAATATTAAAATTACAGAAGTCACAGGAAGAATAAAAGGAACAAACAAAAAACAATCAAAGAAATACTAGAAGAAAGTAATCCCTAGGCTAAATAAGACTTGATTTTAGACTGAAAGGGCTCATGAAGTCTCAAGCAGGATGAATTAGAGATAGGAATAGAGTGAAAAAACACTTAAATAGATGCAGGATTAATTAGAGATGGGAGTACGGTGAAAAAACAAAAAAATTCTGGCTTTCAAAAATAGAAATTATGTTGTAAGCTTCCAAATGGAAAGACTAGGTTATTAAAATTAAAAAAAAATAGTGAGACAAAGCCAGACTTCTTATCTACAATACTGCAAGTTAAAAAGTAGAATAACTTTGGCCAGGCACAGTGGCTCATGCCTATAATCCTAGCACTTTGGGAGACCGAGGCAGGCGGATCACCTGAGGAGTTGGAAAACAGCCTGGCCAACATGGTGAAATGCTGTCTCTACTAAAAATACAAAAATTAGCCAGGCGTGGTGGCAGGCACTTGTAATCCTAGCTACTCAGGAGGCTGAGGCAGGAGAATTGCTTGAACCTAGGAGGCAGACGTTGCAGTGAGCCAAGATCGTGCCACTGCATTGCAGCCTGGGCAACAAGAGCAAAATGCCACCACACGCACAAAAAAAAAAAAAAAAAAAAAAAAAAAAAAAAAATCAGACTTAACAGAAAAAAAAAAACACTGAAATTAAAAATCCTATATACACCCAAGATAGCATTCATATGTAAAGGCAAATGAAAAAATATTTTGGGCGTCTAATAGCTCAGAAACTATACTACCCATTAAGACTGTCCAACGAAAATTACTCATGGAAGAGCTCCTAACAAACAAAAATTATAGTAAGAATGAAGATCTCAGTAACAGAAAAATAAAGAGTGTAAACAACAGCAGAGAGCAAGAAAACATGTATAAGCGAAATTAAATCTAAATAGATAATGCTGTATCTGGAACTGTAACGCAACTATGGGTTTTTGAAACAAAAGCAATATTCTGCCAGTAAAAACTTAATGTGAAGTCTAAATTATCTCCTAATAACTAGGACTTGAAGAGAGAGGCAGTGGAGGGTGGGGGAAGTGAACAAGTGTATCAGGGGAAGAACTCAGAGACAATCCCTCATTCTGACAGAATAAAATAACCATGTTTAATGATATACACTAAAGTAAGGTAACCACTAAAAGAACAAAAAGGTGCATAATAGAAGTTCTAAATTAATCTGGAGGAAAGGAAAGCAACTTGATCCAGAAAAGGCTAGGAAGAACAAAGTAAATAATAAATAATTTAAAAAAAAAAGAGAAGGACCACCACCAAATTTACTAGTTAAAATACAAATGTGTAGGTTCTGAATGGTATAACAGAACACTATATATCCACTATCTAGCCTCAATAAATCAACATATTTACCATGAATACTAAAGAAAATAAGGAAGCAACTGTCCAAAAGCACATACAAGGATGAGATCACAAATGAGGATGAAACCTGAAGGGAAGGGGAAAAAAAAGCTATTACAAAAATGAAGGTAAAACTAGAAGAAGCACTAGAAGAAATCACAGGAACATCAAGGGGTAGAAATGAGAAAAATAAATAGAAAATGAAGAGTTAAGAATTAGAGGGAAAAAAATGTTCTCTACAGAGAACGAGAAAAGGAAATGCAGTAATGCCTATCTGTAGTCAAAAATAATATTCAAGAAAACATTACAGAAATAAAAGTAGATCTAGATCTACATATTGAAAGGGCACACCAAGTCCTAAAAACTGACCCAGAAAAAATCAACACAATTTCAACCCTAGTTGATACCGGTCATAAAAAAGAGTTCTTTGGGCATTCTGGCAAAAAGACTAAGTCAATTTTAAAAGGAGGACAAATCAGGTGGTTTCAGACTTCTCCACAGAAACACATTATTATACTTGTAAGACCAGAAGAATGCTTAAAATGTCCTCAAGTAGAGAAGGTATAACCCAAAGATTTCATACCCAGTTAAACTGTTATTCAAAAAACAAAAAGACACATAGATAAGCAGTCTGTGTTAAACATGCAAGAAATCTAGGTAATTATTTCCCATGAGCCCATGTGAAAGGATTTCTATGAGGATGAACTTCAGCTAGCCAAGAGACATCTGAAAAAACTAAAGCAAAAGGATTAGCAGTGGCAGCTGAATCTACGTAATGGTAAGATTAAAACAAAAGTGGGAACATTGATTAGATAATGTATAAAGTATCTACCTAGCAAAAATTAAAAGAGGTGAGGATGGATGGGGGGAAGATGATATAAATAACTAGGTGTCAAAAAGTATTATTTAAAGCTAACAAAGCAAAGAGAAGTACAAAAAAAACTTAATAGTATAAAAGCAAACATTAGGTAATGTAACAACTAAAATTAGAACACGGGAAGGAAGGAGAAAAATAGGAAATACACTAATTTCATTATTGCTCATAGAAAAAAACAGTATCTAAAAATAAGAGGTATTCTATAAAATTATAAAAGTAATCACTAAACACAGAAATACAGTTATAAGAAATACAATTAGAAACACCACAGTTATTTCTAATCAAAAGAAACAACACAGTTATTTCTAATTAAAAAAAAAAAAAGAAACAAGAGCTGGGGCCGGGCGCAGTGGCTCACGCCTGTAATCCCAGCACTCTGGGAGGCCAAGGCAGGCAGATCACCTGAGGTCAGGAGTTCGAGACCAGCCTCGCCAACATGCTGAAACCCCGTCTCTACTAAAAATACAAAAATTAGCTGGGTGTATGATGGCAGGCGCCTGTAATCCCAGCTATTCGGGAGGCTGAGGCAGGGGAATCGCTTGAACCTGGGAGGCAGAGGTTGCAGTGAGCCGAGATCGCGCCACTGCACTCCAGCCTGAGTGACAGAGCAAGACTCGGTCTATTAAAAAAAAAAAAAAAAAAAAAAAAGCTGGCCACCCAGTGAAACATTTTTAAAAAGTCATGAAACCAGAAAGTATAATGACAGAATTAGCACTGACCATATTAAGAAATATAAATGGGCTAAACCAACAAAAACAAACAAACAAAAAACAAAGATTAGATTGGATTGCAAACAAAATCTAACCCTGTACTGTGTATACAAAAAGCATATAAGAAACAAAAAATATTCAGGAAATGAAAATGAAAAAAAAAACTTATCAGGCAAATACAAACTAAAAGAAAGAATGAATTACAATCTTACTATTGACAAGGTTGAACATAAGGCATAAACATTAAAGGAGACAGAGGAGCTTTTATAATATTAAAAAATGCAATTTGCACCCAAGTTATAATAGTTATGTTTATACCCATATAACAGCAGCAACATTTGTAAAGGAAAAAAAATATGCAATATAGAGAAAAACAGAAACATGAGTAGTAGCACACCTTAATTCACCTTAGTCCATGACGATCAAGTGAATTTAAAAAAAGATGAATATTAAAGACCTTTTTTTGAAACAGGGTCTCTGTCATCTAGGATGAAGTGCAGTAGCATTAAATTTTATCTATGTCTTTTTGTTTTTTCAGAGACAGTCTTGCTCTGTCATCCAGGCTGAGGTGTAGTGGTGCGATTATAGCTCACTGCAGCCTCCAATTCCTGGGCTCAAGTGATCCTCCCACCTCAGCCTCCCCAGTAGCTGCGACTATTGGCATGCACCACCACGCTTGGTTGACTTTCCTATTTTTTAAATAGAGATACGGTCTCACTATGTTGCCCAGGCTGGTCGGGTCTTGAACTCCTGGGGTCTCAAGTGATCCTCCTGCTTTGTCCTCCCAAAGGACCTTTTAAATTACACATGAATAGGAAACATTCGCCAAAAGTGACCTTACATTAAACCACAAAGAAAACAGTAATAAATTTTGAAAATATAAAACTAGTACAGACAACATCCTCTGATCACAATGCGGCAAAACTAGGAAACAAATAGCAAAACCAGGGGGAAAAAAGTCCTCTACACTTGGATAAAGATACTCTCAAATAACTTTTGAGTTAAAAAAGACACCCCCAAAATACAAAGTACCTCATCTAAAAAAAACCACTACTTATCGGAACCTTTGAAACAGAGCTAAAACATCTTCAGAGAAAAATTCATAGGCTTGTATACTTCTGCTGAAAAACAAGAAAGAAAAATTAATACCCCCAACACAATAAACTCAGAAAACGCATACCTAAGGAAAGCACAATAAATAATATAAACAAAAGTCTAAATTAATGAATTAGAAAACAGAAAAATGATAGACTAACAATGGATCTCTCTGCAGAAACCCTACAAGCCAGAAGACAGTGGGGGCCAATATTCAACATTCTTAAAGAATTTCAACCCAGAATTTCGTATCCAGTCAAGCTACGCTTCACAAATGAAGGAGAAATAATATCCTTTACAGACAAGCAAATGCTGAGAGATTCTGTCATCACCACGCCTGTCTTACAAGAGCTCCTGAAGGAAGCACTAAATATGGAAAGGAAAAACCAGTACCAGCCACTACAAAAACATAACAAACTGTAATCACCATCAACACTATGAAGAAATTGCATCAACTAACAGGGAAAATAACCAGCTAGCATCATAACGACAGGATCAAACTCACGCATAACAATATTAATTTTAAATGTAAATGGGCTAAATGCCCCAATTAAAAGACACAGACTGGCAAATTGGATAAAGAGTCAAGACCCATCAGTGTACTGTATTCAGGAGATCTATCTCACATGCAAAGACACACATAGGCTCAAAATAAAGAAATGGAGGAATATTTACCAAGCAAATGGAAAGCAAAAAAAAAAAAAAAGCAGGGGTTGAAATCCTTGTCTCTGATAAAACAGACTTTAAACCAACAAAGATCAAAAAAGACAAAGAAGCGCATTACATAATGGTAAGCGGATTGATGCAACAAGAAGAGCTAACTATCCTAAATATATATGCACCCAATACAGGAGCACCCAGATTTTCATAAAGTAAGTTCTTAGAGACCTACAGAGACTTAGACTCCCACACAATAATAGTGGGAGATTTTAACACCCCACTGTCAGTATTATACAGATCAACGAGATAGAAAATTAACAAGGATATTCAGGACTTGAACTCAGCTCTGGACCAAGCTGACGTAAGAGACATCCACAGAATTCTCCACCCCAAATCAACAGAATATATATTCTTCTTAGCACCACATCGCATCTATTCTAAAATTGACCACATAATTGGAAGTAAAACACTCCTCAGCAAATGCAAAAGAATGGAAATCATAACAAACAGTTTCTCAGACCACAGGGCAATCAAATTAGAACTCAGGATTAAGCACAACTACATGGAAACTGAACAACCTGCTCCTCAATGACTACTGGGTAAATAACAAAATTAAGGCAGAAATAAATAAGTTCTTTGAAATAAATGAGAACAAAAACACAACGTACTGGAATCTCTGGGACCCAGCCAAAGCAGTGTTTAGAGGGAAATTTATAGCACTAAAATGCCCACAGGAGAAAGCGGGAAAGATCTAAAATCGACACCCTAACATCAAAATTAAAAGAACTAGAGAAACAAGAGCAAACAAATTCAAAAGCTAGCAGAAGACAATAAATAAATAAACTCAGAGCAGAACTGAAGGAGATAAGAGACACAAAAAACGCTTCCAAAAAAAATCAATGAATCCAAGAGCTGTTATTTTGAAAAGATTAACAAAATAGGTAGACCCCTAGCCAGACAAAGAAGAGAGAATAATCAAATTGACACAATAAAAAATGACAAAGGGGATATCACCACTGATCCCGCAGAAATACAGACTACCATCAGAGAATACTATAAAAACTTCTATGCAAATAAACTAGAAAATCTAGAAGAAATGGATAAATTCCTGGACACAGATACCTTCCCAAAACTAAACCAGGAAGAAGCAGAATCCCTGAATAGACCATAACAAGTTCTGAAATTGAGGCAGTAATTAATAGCCTATCAACCAAAAAAAGCCCAGGACCAGAAGGATTTACAGCCAAACTCTACCGGAGGTACAAAGAGGAGCTGGTACCATTCCTTCTGAAACTATTCCAAACAATAGAAAAAGAGAGACTCCTCCCTAACTCAATTTATGAGGCCAGCATCATCCTGATACCAAAACCTGGCAGAGACACAACAAAAAAAAAAGAAAATTTCAGGCCAATATCCCTGATGAACATCGATGCGAAAATCCTCAATAAAATACTGGAAAACTGAATCCAGCAGCACATCAAAAAGCTTATCCACTACCATCAAGTTGGCTTCATCCCTGGGATGCAAGGCTGGTTCAACATACACAAATCAATAAATGTACACATCAACAGAACCAATGACAAAAACCACATGATTATCTCAACAGATGCAGAAAGGGCTTTGATAAAATTCAACACCCCTTCATGCTAAAAACTCTCAATAAACTAGGTATTGATGAAATGTATCTCAAAATAATAACTATTTATGACAAACCCACAGCTAATATCATAATGAATTGGCAAAAGCTGGAAGCATTCCCTTTGAAAACCGGCACAAGACAAGGATGCTCTCTCTCACCACTCCTATTCAACATAGTATTGGAAGTTCTGGCCAAGGCAATCAGGCAAGAGAAAGAAATAAAGGGTATTCAAACAGGGAGAGAGGAAGTCAAATTGTCTCTGCTTGCAGATGACATGATTGTATATTTAGAAACCCCATCGTCTCAGCCCAAAATCTCCTTAAGCTGATAAGCAACTTCAGCAAAGTCTCAGGATACAAAATCAATGTGCAAAAATCACAAGCTTTCCTATACAACAATAACAGCCAAATCATGAATTAACTCCCATTCAGAATTGCTACAAAGAGAATAAAATACCTAGGAATACAACTTACAAGAGATGTGAAGGACCTCTTCAAGAACTACAAACACTGCTCAAGGACATAAGAGAGGACACAAACAAATGGAAAAACATTCCATGCTCAATGGTAGGAAGAATCAATATTGTGAAAATGGTCATACTACCCAAAGTAATTTATAGAGTCAATGCTATCCCCATTAAGCTACCAATGACTTTCTTCACAGAATTAGACAAAACTATTTTAAATTTCATAGGGAACCAAAAAAGAGCCCATAGAGCCAAGACAATCGTAAGCAAAAACAACAAAGCTGGAGGCATCACACTACCTGACTTCAAACTGTACTATGAGGCTACAGTAACCAAAGCAGCATAGTACTGGTACCAAAACAGATATATAGAGCAATGGAACAGAACAAAGGCCTCAGAAATAACACCACACATCTACAACCATCTGATCTTTGACAAACCTGACAAAAACAAGCAATGGGGAAAGGATTCCCTATTTAATGATGCTGGGAAAACTGGCTAGCCATATGCAGAAAAGTGAAACTGGACCCCTTCCTTACACCTTATATAAAAATTAACTCAAGATGGATTAAAGACTTAAACGTAAGACCTAAAACCATAAAAACCCTAGAAGAAAATCTAGGCAATACCATTCAGAACATCGGCATGGGCAAAAACTTCATGACTAAAACACCAAAAGCAACGGCAACAAAAGCCAAAATTGACAAATGGGATCTAATTAAACTAAAGAGCTTCTGCACAGCAAAAGAAACTATCATCAGAGTGAACAGGCAACCTATAGAATGGGAGAAAATTTTTGCAGTCTATCCATCTGACAAAGGGCCAATATCCAGATCTATAAACAACTTAAATTTACAAGAAAAAAACAAGCAACCCCATCAAAAAGAGGGCAAAGGATATGAACAGACACTTCTCAAAAAAAGACATTTATGTGGCCAAGAAACATATGAAAGAAAGCTCATCATCACTGGTCATAAGAGAAATGCAAATCAAAACCACAGTGAAATACAATCTCATGTCAGTTAGAATGGCGATCATTAAAATGTCAAGAAACAATACTGGAGAGGATGTGGAGAAATGGGAACACTTTTGCACTGTTGGTGGGAGTGTAAATTAGTTCAACCACTGTGGAAGACAGTGTGGCGATTCCTCAAGGATCTAGAACCAGAAATACCATTTGACACAGCAATCCCATTACTTGGTATATACCCAAAGGAGTATAAATCATTCTACTATAAAGACACATTCACAGGTATGTTTATTGCAGCACTGTTCACAATAGCAAAGACTTGGAACCAACCCAAATGCCATCAATGAAAGACTGGATAAAGAAAATGTGGCACATATACACCCATGGAATACTATGGAGCCATAAAAAAGGATGACTTCATGTCCTTTGCAGGGACATGGATGAAGCTGGAAACCATCATTCTCAGCAAACTAACACAGGAACAGAAAACCAAACACCACATGTTCTCACTCATAAGTGGGAGTTGAACAATGAGAACACATGGACACAGGGAGGGGAATATCACACACTGGGGCCTGTTGGGGGGTGGGGGGGGGCTAGGGGAGGGACAGCATTAGGAGATACACCTACTATAGATGAAGGGTTGATGGGTGCAGCAAACCATCATGGCACATGTATACCTATGTAACAAACCTGTGTGTTCTGCACATGTATCCCAGAACTTAAATTAAAAAAAAAAAAAATGGGCACAGCATCTTTGGACAGGAATCTGGCAAATAATTACCAAAAATAGAAATGTACATAATCCCTGATTAATAAGGAAGGCTTCAAGGATTACAATCCACAGACATACTCATACACACACAAAATACCAGGAACAGTTTAAATATCCATCTATGGACACAAGACTGGTTAATATATTGCAGTTTATCCACCTATGAAATATAAGGCAATTGTAAAGAATGATGAAGGTCGTCTGGAATAACCGCTAGCACATATTACAAATGTTCAGAATTGTGTACAGCAGGGTATCACAGTGTAAAGTGTACTGTGGGAAGAATATATGTATCTTTGCATATACATTAAATATCTCTGGAAGATCACAAGAAACTGGTAGTACTGGCTACCTCTCTGTTAAGGTGATTCAGGTGAGAGGGAGAGTTTTCACTGGGCATACTTTGTATCTCTTTGCATAGGAACCATGCAAACATATTACCTGTTCAAAAATAAAATTTAAATTAATTTAAAATAGAGAAAATTAATTATTTTATTAATTTATTTATAATAAAGAAGCAAAGATAGCAAGCAAATGCAAATAAAAAAATTGGGGAAGACAATTCTCCATGGGTGTCTCATGTTTCTGCAGGTTTTAGACTATATTTTCAAACATGTTTGTACGAACGAATAGCCCTGGAAAACAGAGACAATGTCAACTCCAGAGAAAAGAACAGACATGCCTACTTCCCAAGATAAAAGATCTAGTTTCCCAAATCTCAGGGGTTCCCTCTTCCACAATGCAACTCACTGAGTATGGAGATGTCACCTGGCCCTCTTGGGCCTTAAGGAACTGATACAAAAAAATGCTAATATTCTGGCTATTGCTATGAGTAATAAAGTTCTGTGATTTTGATTAAGGAGTCTCATATATTCTGTAGGAATCCAAAAAAATGTAGCCAGGCTAACTTGCTGGCTGGCAAGTGGCTATAATCTCAGACCCTTCACAGTTACTAACAAGCATAAGAAAAAAAAATTAGATAAAGTGAATATAAGGCTAAAAGCCTTACATGGGATAGAGATGAATACTTTATAACATAAAAAGATTCAATCCGAAAAGAACATAAGTCATAAATATCTGTGCAAACAACATAGTTATGAAATACATAAAACCAGAAAACACTGCTGCAAGGCAAATATTACCAAAACAAGTAAGAGACTTTAAAAATGAGAAAAAATTGATAAAACCACAGCCACAGTAGGGATGCTTTAATAAACTTTTTAAATTTGTCAGACTATGTAGATCAAACAGAATAAAGGATACAAAATATTTCAATAATACAACCAAATTCAATTTATGGGAATTACACCCACATACACGCATGTTTTCTAATACATACATATATACACACATACATGTCCATGTATGTGTCAGAAAAATGCAGATTTTACACTCTACAGAAGAAAATATATATGCTTCTCTTATATTCACAATTTCCAGAACTCAATGATGTACTTGGCCACACAGAAAACATCAAAACATTTTTAAAATATAGAGAAGTATGGACAGCTTTCTCTAATATCGAGATCAAAATGACTTCCCACTACACATCTTCCTGCTCCCCTAAATTTTCTCTGCATTATAATGTATCTTTTCTACATAATCTCTGAATCAAAGAAAAAGTTAAAAATTAAATGAGAAACTACCTAGAAATTAACAAAAAAATTAAAATCTCAGATAACTAAAGCTATAAGAAAAACATCTCTATGCCTACAATACTTTCATTATTAATACTTTCATTATTTTCCTTTATTATTTTCATGTTACCTTAAAATACTTAAAATATTAAGAATTAAATATAGTTCCCCCCAAGACGGAGCCACTGTGTTAATATTGCCCTCCCTGAAACCAAACTACTCAGTGGCTGAGAAGATACCAAACTACTCAGTGGCTGAGAAGATACCAAACTACTCAGTGGCTGAGAAGATACTTATGGCCACTTCTGAGGCAAATCCAAGGCAGTGCTACGGATAATCAGGGCAATGTTTACTTAAGGTGGGAGGGGGAGCACTTTTAAAAGTTTTATACAAGTAATATGTAGTCATTGGAAAAATATTCACAAGCCATTTCTTTACCAATCTTCTCTAAAATGTTTGCTGAACTCAACAAAATATTCAAGCATCCTTTGTAATATCTTTACTCCTTTCTTTAGAAAAATCATAATCATATTTTATAATTTTCACATTTGCCAAGATCAACACCTCTGGCATATGGTTTACAGCAGCTAGGTACTCTCAAAATCTCTTTACCCCTGAATTGAGTCACTCCACTGCTAACCTTCAAGTCGTTTCCAGCACTCACTAAACACAGCTCACTCTTTATGATGCCTCTGACATTTGCCTCTTTCCCCCCTTCCAACACATCACCTACACCCTGAACATGGAAAGTAATGAACCAATCTCCGAACTAGTCTTTAAACAAATTCTTTTCCTTACAAATACTTTTGCATACTAATATAAGATAAATATTCCAAGTTCCAAATAGTTCATAAAAGAATTTCATCACACAGCTATAATTTATCTTTCTGCCTTCAATTTTCCTTTAGCATTCTCTCTTGCCCCCAACCACACCCTGCCTAGTTATCTCTAAACGTGGCCTCCCTTTCTCTCAAATCTTCTTCATCCTTTCAAGAATGAAGAACTAATTTATTTTTACTGTATGTATACATATGAATACGTATATATATATGTATATAATAATTTTGTAAAAGGGTAAAACTGCGGACAGATGTGGGCTGAGTCATAGCTATGCTCCTTAATAAAGGAAACACAAAAATGAGATAAATTTGAGAAAGTATTTTATTCCTTTAAAATCAGATTTCACCAATACCACATCTTAACGAAAATAAAAACTATGACCAGGAGAATAAAAGCTTTTAAAGTTTGAGGACAGCTATGCTGTTTCACTTGGTCTCTTGTACTGTTTTCTCTCTTCTTTCCTTTTAAACTCAAGAAAGGGTTCTTGGAATGTTGGAATGATACAAAAGTCAACCTTATGAAAGTGACAGAAGGAAAACGAGAACCCTCCCAAAAGGCAGGGCTAATATAAAGATTTATGAAATGATGAGGTAAATTAAGAATCAGTAAATAAAGAAAACAGATGTCATAGTCCTCAAACGTTATTAATGAAATCAGAAATAGAACCTCAATCCTACTTCAGGCTTTCTAGATTGATCAGGACTTCCTTCTCATCAAACTAATTATTTTTATTTTCTCTTCTATGCATTTCTTTTAAAATAACCCATAAAGAAAAAAAAAGTACCTCAACATAAATACATTTATCCATGTACTTTTATAGCATTTCTATTTCTATACAGACTATAAAAGGTTCTATGCTTCTAAAAAGATTAATTTCTGCTACAATCCTAGTAAGCAATCTGTCTGTTATCAAATCTAAACTTTGTATGTCAGCTGTGTAGGCCACCACATTGCTTATAAAAAGTAGAAATATTATATATTTTTCCATTAAACTGTAGCTTTAAGTTGCCACATATGATAGCAGTAGTTTTCTAATTAACCTCCCACTCCCTACACCCTTACATATTATAGGATTCATACTGTCATGCAAGACTTATAGACTTCTAACTTGGAATTAAATAACTATCAGATTTTTAAATAAAATATCGAAAGAAAAATTTTAGATTTGTTAGCATGTTAGATAATAGAGTCCTCTCCCAAAGCAATCTACACATTCAATGCAATTCTATCAAAGTACTGTCATTTTTCACAGAATCCAAAAAATCCATTCTCAAATTCATATGGAACCAAAAGAAATAGCCAAAGCAAACCTAAGCAAAGAGAACAATGCCAGAGGCATCACATTACCTGACTTCAAACTATACTACAAGGCTATAGGAACCGAAACATCATGGTGCTGGTACAAAAATAGACACAAAGACCAATGGAAAAGACTAGAGACCTCTGAAATAAAGCCACATACTTATAACCAACTGATCTTCCACAAAGTCAACAAAAATAAACAACAGGGAAAGGACACCCTGTTCAATAAAGGGTGCTGGAAAAACTGCCTAGCCATATGCAGAAGAATGAAACTGAACCCCTACCTTTTATTATATAACAAAATTCACGCAAGATGAACTAAAGACTTCCATGTCAGACTTCAAACTATAAAAATCCTAGGAAAAAAACTAGGAAAAACTCTTCTGGACACTGGCCTAGACAAAAAAAACTTATAGTAAGACATCAAAGGCAAACGCAACAAAAATAAAATTGACATTTGGGACTTAATTAAACTGAAGAGCTTCTTCACAGCAAAAGGAATTCCAACAGAGTAAAAAGACCACCTACAGAATGGGAGAAAATATTTGCAAGCTGTGCATCGACAAAGGACTAATATCCTGAATCTATAAGGAACTTGAATCAACAAGCAAAACCAACCCCCTTAAGAAGTGGGCAAAGGCATGAACAGATACTTCTCAAAAGATGACATACAAGCAGCCAACAAACATATGAAAAAATGTTTATCACCACTAATCATCAGATAAATCCAAATCAAAACCACAATGAGATACCACCTCACGCAAGTCAGAATGACTACTATTAAAAAGTCAAAATATGGGCTGGGTGCGATGGCTAATGCCTGTAATCCCAACACTTTGGGAGCCTGAGGCGGAAGGATCACAAGGTCAGGAGTTCAAGACCAGCCTGGCCAACATGGTGAAACCCTGCCTCTACTAAAAATACAAAAATTAGCCAGGCGTAGTGGTGGGCACCTGTAATCCCAGCTACTTGGAAGGCTGGGGCAGGATAATTGCTTGAACCTGGGATGCGGAGGTTGCAGTGAAGTGAGATGGCGCCACTGCACTCCAGCCTGGGCAACAAGAATGAAACTCTGTCTCAGGGAGGAAAAAAAAAAAAAAAAGTCAAAATATGGCCAGGCGCAGTGGCTCATGCCTGTAATCCCAGCCTTTTGGGAGGCCATGGTGGGCGGATCACCTGAGGTCAGGAGTTCGAGACCAGCCTGGCCAACATGGCGAAACTCCATCTCTACTAAAACTACAAAAATTAGCCGAGTGTGGTGGCAGGCGCCTGTAATCCCATCTACTCAGGAGGCTGAGGCAGGAGAACTGCTTGAACCTGGGAGGCAGAGGTTGCAATGAGCCAAGATCAAGCCACTGCACTCCAGCCTGGGCAACAGAGTGAGACTCCATCTCAAAAAAAAAAAAAAAAAGTCAAAATATAACAGAGGTTGGTGAGGATATGGAGCAAAGGCAACACTTACACACTGTTGGTGGGAATGTAAATTAGTTCAGCCCCTGTGGAAAGCAGTATGAAGATCTCTCAAAAAACTAAAACCAGTACTACCATTCAACCCAGCAATCAATCCTACTATTGGGTATCTACCCAAAGGAAAAGAAATCATTCAACCAAAAAGACACCTGCACTCGTATGTTTACTGCAGCACTATTCACAACAGCAAAGTCATGGAATCAACCTAAGTGCCCATCAATGGTGGACTGGATAAAGAAAAAGTGGTACATATACACCATGGAATACTACACAGCCATAAAAAAAGAATGAAACAATATCATTTGCAGCAATATGGATGCAGCTAGAGGCCATTATACTAAGTAAATTAACGCAGAAACAGAAAATCAAATACAGCCATGTTCTCACTTATAAATGTGAGCTAAACAATGGGTACACACAGACATAAAGATAGAAACAACAGACACAGGGAACTCCAAAAGTGGGAAGAGAGGGAGGGGGACAAGGGTTGAAAAACTACCTATTAGGTACTATGTTTGCTACTTGGGGAATGGGTTTACTAGAAGCCCAAATCCCAGCATTACACAATAGATCAATGTAATAAACCTGCACATGTACCCCACCTCCTCAACCGAAATTTTTTTTTAAAAGGTAACAGGGCATCTACAGCATGTTTACCTCTCAAAGTCAAGAGTAATATTTCTTAGTAATAGCAACAGGTCTTGTTAACTTAGCACTCATTACCTGTGAAGTTCTTCTGTGAAGAACTATGCGTGATTTCTCATTTGATTTTCACAGTAACTCTATGAAGACAGGTACTATTTCTAGTCTCATTTTTTTACAAGAGAGAAAACCAAGACTAAGATTACACTCCTATTAAGTGACAGAATTAGAATCTGGACTCAACAAGCTGAATTTAAAGTGTGTACAAAGTACTGCTATACTTTGTAACAATTTAAACACAAATTGGTGCTACTTTTGGGCAGCTATGTGTATTTACAGAAGGGAAGTAAAACTGAATTTAGTGCCTTATAAAATGGGCTTACAATTTTGGTAACTGGATGAGACTGTAACTACTGTCAAATTTCTTATATGACCATTTCTGATCCATTATCTTTATAAAGTAAACATCTGCTAAATTTCAAATTACTCCATAAAACAAGAAGCATTTTAGAAATGTTAACACAAATGGAACACGGTAAAATATTATTTTTTGGGTTACAATAACATTTTTCTCTTTTTGTTTGGTATTTGTGGTTTATAGTGTCTCTAGATATGGATTTATTTTTATTTATGGCAGTTAAGATCACTGCGCTCTTTCAATCTGAGAATTTCTAGCTTTCAGCAATTCTATAAGGTTCTCCAGCATTTCCCTTCAAATACTGCCTCTCCACAATTCCATCTCTTTTTCTGCGATTTTTATATGTATGGTGTATGCTCTCATTCCAGGCTCCATGCCAGGTACTCTCTCATATTTTCCATGCTTCTCTCTCTGTTACACTCTGTGTAATTTCCTCAGAACTACCTTATACTTGACTAATTCTCCTTGCAGCTCTATCTAATCTGCCACTTAACCTATCTATTCAGCCAGACTCTAATTTCAGTGATTAATGTCTAGTTAAATCTGAATATTTTTCAAAACTTTCTGTTCTTTATTTACAGTGTCTTATTTTTTCCCATATTTCCTATTCATCTGTTTATAATTTTAACTATTTGAAAATAAAGCTGTTAATTTTAAAAGTTCTTAGGGGTAATAATTCTCATATCTGCTTACTCTCACTCCTTATTTGTCATTTTTCATCACAAGTTCACCGTTAATAGAGACTGTATGTTAGTACAGGAATCCTGTATGGGTTTATGAACAGTTTTGGATTTGTTTCTGCCAGGCTCTTCTGGGATATCACCAACTTTGAGATTTCTGTAAGGCAGTAGAAGAGATTTGACATTTCCCATTGCCTTTAACATCACTCCATGGAGAACAGTCAGTTTGTAGTATCAAAAATAGCTCTTCAATTCTGCCTTACAATGTAAGCTGTATCAAGTTACTTAAGACTACAATTAGGGATCCACATTTAAGTTAAAACTCAACCACAGAAACCACCAATGTACATAAATGAACAGAGACGTCAAATCAGAGAACAGAAACCTGCCACAGAAGGCGAAGTTCACACATGCTCAAGCAGCGATAACTTAGACTTTCTTATTTAAAATTCTGCTTAGTAGCTGGCAAGTTTTCTTTTTTTTTTTAACTTCAGTTAAAAAAAAATGCCAATTTCAGAAAGCATCCTGAATTCAGAAAGATTAAAATGTGTTTTGAGGGGAGAATCTTAAAACCAAGAAAATGTAGTATATAAGGCAGAAGATAGGCTTATAACTTATAATAGTACCTCAACTCCCTGGAAGACCAGATTATATCTACAGTGGGAAAAAATATGCTCTTTCCTGCAAACATGTTAGACAGGAACCCAGATGATTAGCAGGCTGTATATGCAAACTGGAATCAAGGTGCTGACAGCCTGATACAATCACCTGCAATATTTGTGTGAGCCTGACAAAATAGATTCTCCCACAGACAGTGTAGCAATTGGCAGCTTTTTTCATCATTTTTATTACAGAACAAATTGCCTTCCAACTGGCTCAATCTTTCTTCAAACATGTTTACTTTAACAGGGTAATAGTCACATCTTGCTCTGTCCATAGAGTTGTTCTTCTTTCTGATGATTCTGAATAGCTCTGTTTTGATTCACAAGTTTATAATTTAACTCCCAGAAGACAACTTTATTTCAAGTTGTACCTCTTCTAAGTACACATGCACAAACATAGTACCAACCACAAGTAAAACAAAGATTCCTTAAATATAAATAAATCTTACTGCCTTGAATCACAGAAGTCTAAAGTAAAAACTGAACTTTATATGGTATAAAGTATACCATAATCAGGTATAGTTTAAAGACCAATACAATCAAGACTAAGAATTTGCTACATCAAAGCTACAATAAGATATGATCTTATTGTTAAAACAGCTTTTATCAAAAAGACAGGCAATAACAGATGCTGGCAAGGCTGTGGAGAAAGGGGAACCCTTGTACACTGTTGGTGGGAATGTAAATTAGTACAGCCATTATGGAGAACAGTACAGAGGTTCCTCAAAAAACGAAAAAGAGAACTACCATATGATCCAGCAATCCTGTTACTGGATATATATCCAAAAGAAATGAAATCAGTATTTCGAAGAAATATCTGCACTCCCATGTTTACTGCAGCACTATTCACGATAACCAAGATATGGATTCAACCTAAGTATCCATCAACAGATGAATGGATACAGAAAACGTGGTATCTATAAACAATAGAATATTATTCAGCCATGCAAATGAATGAAATCTGTCATTTTCAACAACATGGATGGAACTGGAGGACATTATGTTAAGTGAAATAAGCCAGGCACAGAAAGACAACTATAGCATATTTTCACTCATTATGTGGGAGCTTAAAAAACAAAACAAAACAAAACTGATCTCATGGAGACAGAGAGAAGAATGATGGTTACCAGAGGCTGGGAAGGGTACTGGGGAAGGGGGATATAAAGAGGGTTTGATTAATGGGTACAAAAATACCTTCAGATAAAAGGAATAAGACCTAGTGCTTGGAAGCACAACAGGACAACTATAGTTAACAATAATTTATTGTGTATTTCAAAATAACTAGAAAAGCAGAACTGGTATGTACCTAATACAAAGAAATTATAAATGCTTGAAGTGATGGATGTCCCAATTATCCTGATTTGATCATTACACATTGTACATTTGTATCTGAATATCACATGGACCCCTATAAATGTACTATTATGTACACATAATAAAATTTTTTAAAAAAACTAAGAATTTGCTAATAATATTTAATTTGTTGGCTTGTCTGAAATATCCTAGAAGGAGCAAGGAAATGAAGAGAGCCTCTATACTCATAAAATTTGTATTAGATTCATAGACTATACAAGGAATTATTAGGTCCATAAACTCAACAATGAAGCACATGAAAGAGGGAAAAGTATATGAAACAGGCAGTCCTTCACATGAAGGTAATCTATGTTGTTGAATACTCACTGTGGCATTCTTAATTTTTTCAAGCTGCCAAAATACCATCTGCAATAGATAATACCACCCACATCATTCAAAATCCTTCCCTGCCCTGACAGCCTTGGGCGTCCCATTGGGATCTCTGCCGAGCCAGCTGCCCAATCCCTGAGAGTTTCTACCTAGTCAGCCAATTTCTTCTTCAGGTACCAGGATGTGGGTGTTCAGATATATTGTGCATTTAAAAAAATAAGAAGGTTTTGGTGAGCTAGTCTGAAAAACCAATATTTCAAATATCATCTCTGTGACAAAGAGTCTGAAACTCTAAATCATCAACTTATATTTGAATTTCTGGAACTCATCCAATTCAGGAGCTTATCTATATAAATATATCCAGTCTGAAGAAAACAAGCCCCACTATTCTTGTGTTATAACTATGAATGTTTATAGACAGTTAACATTCACTTAACAAATAAATTTCAAAATTTCAGATCTAGCTACTTTGGAAAAGGCTGCAAAAGTGTAAGTTAAATGAACAGTATGCTGAAAAAAATGTTCTTGTTTGAGCACTAACACAATTCAGAGGCCCAATGTATCTGATGTATCTCTCTATGGAATCAACATGTAGGAATTCAAATATAAAATTGTGAGGAATCCAGTTGACTAAAAAGATTCAGTTTTAGAGATTCTCTGGCTTTACCTTGTTCTACTTTATAATAATCCTAGATGGTTTGCTTATGAGGTATTAAAGGAGCCAATTTCCATTTGGACTCATCACCTGTGACAGACATTTTGGGGGGGGTCTGACTTTAAAACCAGGTGGCATTAGAATTCCCCTTGCCTATGATAGGAAAGTACATTATTAACCTGCCACCTCTCTGTAACCCTCCAAATCAGTCCAGGCAAAGCTCCTTTCTCCTTCACTTACTCATAACTGGCCACTGTCCAAGAGCTAGTTTTAAAACCTCAAAAACTATACACGGTTTTTATTAAGAAGCTGTATTTGCTTCTTGCTGTGAATGTTTATACAATTAATACATACTTTGAATTTTTTATCTCTACAAAATAAAAAATAAAAGCCAGGCATGGTGGCATGCACCTGTAGTCCTAGCTACTTAGGAGGCTGAGGTAGGAGGATCACTTGTGCCCAGGAGTTTGAGGCTGTCGTGTGCCATGACTGTGCCTATAGATAGCCACTGAGCTCCAGCCCGGGCAACACAGCAAGATCCTGACTCTAAAAACAAAAATATATATATTTTTATTTTTTAAAGCTTTCAGTCAGCAACTTTAAGAATGCCTACAAGTTTATTTACTTATTGCATGAAATTTATTAATTTCTAGATTGAAATACTGTTAAATATTTAAAATTCGAAATATTTGGTTGTTATAGTATCCCCAAGCAGAAGGTTATATATTAGTTCTTAAGACACCAAACAAGTGATCTAGCAGAACAGTTTAATGACTTAGGCATAGTTAAATCAGGAAATTAAGAACTGTCAAATATCCAAACCTGACCAAAAACAAGCAATGGGGAAAGGATTCCCTATTCAATAAATGGTGCTGGGATAACTAGCTAGCCATATGCAGAAGATTGAAACTGGACCCCTACCCCACGCCAACCTCCTTAAACCACATACAAAAATTAAGTCCAGATGAATTAAAGACTTAAATGTAAAATCCAAAACTATAAAAACCCTGGAAGACAACTTATGCAATACCATTATAGACATAAGAACAGGCAAAGATTTCATGACAAAGGCACCAAAAGCAATTGCAACAAAACCAAAAATTGACAAATGGGATCTAATTAAACTAAAGAGCTTCTGCACAGCAAAGGAAACTATCAACAAAGTGAACAGACAACCTACAGAATGGGAGAAAATTTTTGCAAACGAAGCATCTGACAAAGGTTTAATATCCAGCATATATAAGGAACTTAAACAAATTTACAAGAAAAAAGCAAACAACCCCATGAAAAAATGTGCAAAGGAGATGAACACTTTTCAAAAGAAGACATAAATGTGGCCAAGAATCATATGAAAAAAAGCTCAACATCACTGATCATTAGAGAAATGCAAATCAAAACCACAAGGAGATACCATTTCAAGCGTCAGAATGCGTATTATTAAAAAGTCAAAAAAAAATACATGTTGGAGAGGCTGCAGAGAAAAAGGAACACTTAACACACTGTTGGTGGGAGTGTAAATTAGTTCAACCATTGTGGAAGACAGTATGGCAATTCCTCAAAGACCTAAAAACAGAAATACCATTTGACCCATCAATCCCACTACTGGGTATACACCTAAAGGAATATAAATCCTTGTGTTATAAGACACATGCATGCATATGTTCACTGCAGCACTGTTCACAAGAGCAAAGACATGGAATCAACCTAAATGCCCATCAAATGATAGACTGGATAAAGAAAATGTGGGTCCATATATACCGTGTGAATACTACACAGCCATAAAAAAGAAGATCATGTCCTCTGTGGAAACATGGATGGAGCTGGAGGCCATTATCCTCAGCAAACTCACACAGGAACAGAAAAGCAAATTCCGCACGTTCTCACTTGTAAGTGGGAGCTAAATGATGAGAGCACATGGACACAAAGAGGGGAACAATACACATTGGAGCCTACCAGAGGGTGGAGAGTAGGAGGAAGGAGAGGATCAGAAAAAATAACTAATGAGTACTAGGCTTAATACCTGAGTAACAAAATATCTGTAGAACAAACCCCCATGACACAAGTTTACCTATATAACAAACCTGCACATGTACCCCTCAACTTAAAAGTTAAAAAAATTGTTAAATATCACAATACACAAGAAGACTGTATTCTAGATATATTACACAAAAAGTAAACATACAGAATACTAAGACTGTGTGTAAATATATTATTATATGGTCAAATATATTTGTGATTTTCAAATTGAAAGCCAGAAGCTTTAAGATTTATGGATATTTAAAGGCACTCATATTAAACATAAACAATTATAGAATATAAGATAGTGGAGCAGGTATGAAAAACAAACCCATATACTTTTAGTCACAAATTTTGAATGAGAACACTTTCTATTTCTTAAATAACTAAACTTGAAGTAGATAATGCAAAGTAGCCAATTCAATTTCATAATGCAAAAAGGTTAGGATATAATCAACAAATACATTTATTATGCCAAGTAACTGCTTAAAACCACTTTCACATTTCATCAGCAAATGAATGGCAAAAAGTGCTCTATTGTCAACCCTGTAATAGGGTGGCTGAAGCACCACCATACTAGAAAAAGTGAAGGAAAGGGAAGAATTGAGAGACTGATTCTTAGATCAACTTGCAAAACACTACCAAAAGTAATATGCTCATTTCAATGTTAAATTCTACCCCTCCCAACATTTTTGTTACCTGAGGAGAAAGCTCAGATAAGTGCTGCTATATCTACTAAGTTTTTCATAGAACCTTTTTATTTAACCAATAATTCTTAGCTCAAAGAAATCAGTGACTATTACTATTAGTAGGCTGTAAGCTCCATTTCTGTTCATTCACTGCTATATCTCTAATTCCTAACACAGTACCTCGCACATAATTGATGCTCAAAATATATGTTGAATTTAGCCAATCTTTCAATTGGCTATAGTGTTTACTGGTACCCTTTCTACACATTTTATTTCAGGCCAAAATTTATATTTAAAAAAAATGAAATTTCTCTTAAGCTTTTGAAGTCTGTTTCTTTATAAAATTTTGAAAACAACTTTCATTTTTCCTTCATTTTATTCTATTCATTGGTTAGGACAGAACTACTTGATTTTTCCCCCCCAAGTCTATTCCAAAGTATGCCAAGGCTACATTTAAAATCTTTCCTAGGTTTTGGAATATCTAGAGATTTTGGTCAGGAAAGAATGGTACAGTCTAAAACACCAGACCTAAAAAAATACCAGTTCGCTCCAGAGCTCACAGACTAAATTTGTATATGGGAGGAAAGACAGAGACACATATGCACTGCATAGGTAGAGTTTTGGGTTTCTCTTAATGACTTTTTTCTCCCATTAGGCATCTATTTACTATTGAATAAACTTTTATTCTCCCTACTCCTCATATATGTTCCCTTCATTTACTCTATACTCTTAAACAAAAAGAAAAAAGTTGCAATTTCAACCATGCTTACTTACTTTTGAAAATGGCCATTATGAACATTACATTTTACTTAGGCTTAACCCAAAAGATTTTATTTCAATGCAGCAGTTCTCAAACTGTGGTCCAAAGAATCTTGTACAGTAGGAGAAGTGGAAGAGCCTTTGAAATCCTTTTAGATTAACAAAGTAAAAACTATTTTCATGGTAACACTAAGTATCTGTTTTTTTGTTTGTTTGTTTTTGTTTTTTTTTCTTTTTTTTTTTGAGACAGAGTCTCACTCTGTCTCCAAGGCTGGAGTGCAGTGGCACAATCTCGGCTCACTACAACTTTCGCCTCCTGGGTTCAAGCGATTCTCCTGCCTCAGCCTCCCGAGTAGCTAGGATTTCAGGTGTGCACCACCACACCCAGCTAATTTTTTTTTTTCTTTTTTTTTTTCTTTTAGTAGAGATGGGGTTTCACCATGTTGGCCAGGCTGGTCTCAAACTTGGGATCTCAGGTGATCTGCCTACCTCGGCCTCCCAAAGTGCTGGGATTACAGGTGTGAGCCACTGTGCCTGGCCATATCTGCCTTTTTCATTCCCATTCTCTCCAGTATAGCAGCAGAGTTTTCCAGAGGACACAAGACGTGCCATATCACAATAAACTGAATGAAGAAGCAGATGTGAGAATTCCTTGTCATGAAGCCTGATATTAAAGAGTTTGTAAAAATCCTGAAAATGCCACTCTTGTCACTAAATATTTTGTCTTAGAAAATTTACTTTTCATTTAAAAGTTGTCAACATAATTATATTTATGTTTAACAAAATAAATTAAAAATTATAAATTCTGTTTTAATTTATGACAAATATGGATAGATATAACCCAAGTAAAGAAAAACTCTTTGAAGTCCTCAGTAATTTTTTGAAGTGTAAAGAAGTCTTGAGATCACAGAATTTGAGAACCACTGCATTAATGCACTAGTAAAAATAGAGAAAACAATGTCCTTCCCTCCTTTTAAATTATACTTGAAACATGAAATTCATAAAATGTAAGTTAATTCTAACTTAAAATATTATTTTAAACCATTGGACTTACCATTATAGGTTATTCGTGGCTTTGTTAAACACATTACAAGATGCAAATCCATTTCATCTGAGGATACAAATTTTGAGCATACAGGGCACTTAAATCCTAAAAAACAAAAGAAACTCAAGTTACTTAACTATTCTGAATATCCAGCTATGGCTTTTAAAAAGCATGGAAAATCAAAAAGCGTTTGAAACTTCAATATTACACTTACTGCATTACACTGTTTATGTGCAACTCAAGTCAGGAAAATTTTGTGATTATAATATCTGACTTTTGTATCAGTTTATGAAGATGATCTCCTCATCAAACAAAACAAGTTAAAATGAGAGGGATGCAGTCCACTACAAACTCCTGTATCTCTCTCTGATGTACTGGTCCAGGTATTCTCGTTTTTAATTTTTTACATTAACCTGTACTCATGATTTCATGTTATTACAAGCTTTGTAATCTGACTACTCTTGTGGAAATTACCTTTACCAACTTGGTATAGTACACTGTGAGTCACAAGTTTTATAGCTAAACAGCACCTTAGACACTATTCTACCTCAATAACCTTAAAATTTTATCTGATGCAGAACGTGAAGCCTTTCAGAACAGCAAAAACAGGTCTAGAATCTAAGACTCCTGACTTCTACTTTAATGGTCTTTCTGCCACACCATGGCACTGAAGTCATAATGAAAACAGAAACTAGCATCAGATCGGGGTACAGGTTTTTGCAGTCAATTTTTGACACTTAAAAATTAGCTAGTTTCCTACATTATTCAATCTGCACTACTAAGTATTTGCCTGAAGTACTCCATTAAAAATAAACTAGCATAATAAAATAGGGACTATTTGATGTATTCAGCTCTGTTCTGCCCCCTCACTTACCAAGGTGAAGTGTCCCATCCCTGCCTTCTTGCTGCTAAGACAGTCCTCAGATATACCATGTTCCCCTGCTGTCCTACTGCTCCCTCCCCTGACACCACTAAGCTGTTTGGAAACCTGAACCCAGATAGCCAACTTATAGTTTGGCTAGGCACAAATCAGAAGTGGAACAAAAAGATGGCATAGGCCAATCAATTTTTTTTTTTTTTGGAAATATGATTAAGAAACAGTGAGAGACTATATTGGCCAGCAGTAAAGAGCTTAAGCAGAAAGGTCAAAAGTAAGTAAAAGAGAGACAGTGGTGTCCATGACGGCTCAGGTGTAAGCTGAACTTACGAGAGAACAGAAACTATAGGCAAGCACAAGAAAGAAGGCCACATGAAGCTAGAGTGTAGACAGGAACAGAAGCACTGTGAGAGACAACTAATAAGATGGGTGGTGAAAGAGACGTTTTGGCAGCTCTCTAGTTCCAACACATGTGTTCTCACAGGAACTGTCCTCCCTTCACTGTGATGTGAAACTCACTGCAACCAAATGAGTGAGGCTAGAATTATACCTCATGCCGAACTTTATAAGGATTGGGAAAAAGATTTTGGCACAGCTAATCCTCCAGGTATTCAATTTCCTAAATGAAATATATGATTTTGTACAATGTTTTTCAAACTGTAGTACATGCATTTTAAAAGAAAGGAATAAAGGTATGTTTACTTCAACTTCTTGAAAACCACCAAAAAGAGAAAGAAAAAAAACAGGAAGGAGGATTCGATTAAAACAAGTTTGTCCAACGCATGGCCTAATGTGGCCCAACACAAATTCATAAACTTCCTTAAAACATTATGAGATTTTTTGCAGTTTTTTTTTTTAGCTGATCAGCTATTGTTAGTGTATTTTATGTGTGGCCCACAGAAGCCAAAAGATTAGACACCCCTAAAAATGAAACTATAAAAAATGTGGCCCAAGGAAGCCAAAAGATTAGACACCCCTAAAAATGAAACTACAAAAAAACTATAATGGCCAAACACAGGCTACATCGAATACTGTGAAACTGATCAACCATGGGGAGAAAGCAGAGATCCTAAAACTGCAACCAGATTTTAAGCATCAACTAAAGAATTCTTGCCTTGAAACTTAAAAAATTTGCTTCCCTGAAGTTAAACTTAGCATAAACGAGGGCAAGAGGCAACTGATTTGAAACATCAGAATCATCTGGGTACTGGCAAACAAACTTAAACAAAAGTGCAATACTGTGAACCTAAAAAGCCTCACTTGAGAGCCATCCAACTGCCTACAAAGTAGAGCCTAAGGGGAAAAACAGTACGTACAAAGAACCACCTGGATTTCTAGTTAAATACAGTGAATTAAACACATGTTTCTCTCTCCTCCCCTCCAAAACCTACTAAAATGAAAATAAATAATATTTAATAAAAATGAGTTAAAGAACTTGAGAGAAGTCGGCAGCAAATGAGAAAAAAAAAATAGATGAAAGCATCAACGGCACGGAGCAAACACAGATCCTGAGTGTCTGCACAAGTAAGCCAATTCTCACTAAATAATTCCCAAAGGACTCAGGCATCTGGAGCTCCATGACTTCCCAACACAGTAGTGATACATGAGGCTAAAATCTAGACTGACTGAAAGACTGAATAAAAAACAGATCCCGAGGTCCCCAATCCATTACATACAGCCAAGCAAATACCATACCCCCACTAGAGCATGAGAATGGAGATTTACTGTGGGGAAAACAACAACAACAACAACAAAGAATATTCGGAATTGAGAATACCAGGCACGGCAACGGGCAGGGAAGAAAATAGAAGAATAAAGATCTCCGAACTGAAAAAGGCCCCACTCCATAGCCTCCATCTCTACTAAGAAATTGGTAGATTCTTCTCTTAAATCAAAAGGTCTCACAGAATGATACATCAAAATCCTTGACTATTAATAAGCCTTATCTTTGCACATAAAGCTTCCAATCAGTTTTTTAAGGCAGCTCTAAGGCATTATGCAACAAAAGAAAAAAAATGTATCATGGTTAAACACATCAGAAGCAAATTCCAAAGACAAATAATGAATTTAAAATATTTGCAATGTATATCAAAAACAAAAGGACAATATCCTTAATATACAAATGCTCCTTGACTTAGGATGGTAAATTGAAAATATCTTCAGTTGAAAATGCATACACCTAAACTACCAAACATCGTAGCTTAGGCTAGCCTACCTTAAATGTGCTCAGAACCCTTTCAATACCGTATTCAATAAATTACATGAGATATTTGGCTCAGCACCACCGAGTTTCATTATGAATATTGCTAGCCCTGAAAAATATTGAAATTCAAAGTATAGTTTCTACAGAATGCATATCACCTCCACACCATTATAAAGTCAAAAATCCTAAGTTAAACATCTATGTAAAGCACTCTTAAAACTGTATACATATATATGATATGCATGTGGGTACTACTAGTATGTATTTACATATTTACTTAACCACAGCCTGTCCATTTCTAAATTCTTTGTTTTGATTCATCCTTGATTCATCTCTCTCTGTATAGTTATCTTTCTATATACCTGAGTAGATTTATTTATAAATGTATGTATCGATAAATTATTTATATAGAGAAATTTCTCTATGTATATATAGAAAGATCTGTATAGAGATCTACATATATAACATATATAGATAATTATTTGGGACACATGGCAGAGGGGTCTTCAGAGCTCTTGGAAAAAAATGGGACTCAAGAAGTGTATTATCTTTAAATACTCAGACTCAGGACTCAACCAACAGATGAATCAAAACAAAGAATTCGTGGTTAAATAAATATATAAACTCACGGACACACAGGTAGTACACACATGCACGATTCTATTTAAAAATAAAAATATGTGTAAACAACTATAGGAATTATCTCTACAAAACAGTACTAAATATTACAAATGTAAACAGTGTGAAAATGATCAAACTAACAAAAACTGGGATGGGAACAGCAGGATCATCTTGGTGTATAAAAGGCCAAGAGAGACTGTGATGAAGAGAGTCAACAGTAGAGATGAACCAGATCATTCTGCTCTTGTTAAACAGAGAAGAAAACATATAGACAATGAATCACTAGTGTCATTAATCCTTCTCTTCTACCCAAAGAACTTTTAGATGGTCACCAGTATCCTACTAAGGTGTCATCTTTCTCCAGGAATCTTTCTCTAAGTGCTCTACCCCAAGGTCAACTTGATCATTCCCTCCCTTTGTATTTCTTCCATACCTGGACAATACTTCAATGCAGCACATGGCCCTGTGTTTATTTACATGTCAATCTCCTTATTATCCTTAATAGTCAGGTGAAAATACAGAAATGTGAGGCCCAATAGACCTGGTAAAAATCCTGTTTCTATTACATACAGACTAGGTGACCCAGGGAAGGCACTTCAGCCCTCCAGGCCTGACTTCTTCCCTGTAAACACTGATACTACTACTTACACATTAGAAATTTGGTGAGAATTAAAGATTATAATGTATATATAATGCCTGCAACATAGTAAGTATTCAGTAAACAGTGGCTATCATTTATTGAAATTTTCCCCTCTACACTTTTCAGACAACTCTTATTCTTTGTAAATTCTTAAAACAGTACAGTTCTTGCCCAGGAGTTTGAGGCTGCAGTGAACTATGATCCTACCACTGCACTACAGCCCGGGCAACAGGGTAAGACTCTGTCTCTAAAAATAAAGAGTACAGTTCTAAAACGACATTTTTTTTTTTTTTTGAGACGGAGTTTCGCTCTTTCACCCAGGCTGGAGTGAAGTGGCGCAATCTTGGCTCACTGCAACCTCCACCCCCTGGGTTCAAGTGATTCTCTTGCCTCAGCCTCCCGAGTAGCTGGGATTACAGGCACGCACCACCACACCCAGCTAATTTTTGTATTTTTAGTAGAGATGGGGTTTTGCCATGTTGGCCAGGTTCGTCTTGAACTCCTGACCTCAGGTGATCCGTCCGCCTCAGCCTCCCAAAGTGCTGGGATTGCAGGCGTGAGCCAACACACCCAGCCTCTATAATGACATTCTTTAATAATAAAATCCAGATTCCTATTAAGAAAAACTTTCTGTAACTACTCAATGACACATACTGCTGCATCAAAGTTACTTTACCAAATGCTTTTCCATTGTTGATGACTAAGGCAAAAAGATTTTTCTTTGTATCTCCAGTGGCCCAACCCTACTTTTAACTCAGTATTTGTACATTGTTTCCTCCTAGAAACCAACCACAAACAAAAAGGGACTGATCCTAAACCTGAGACTGGTGAATACACCAATTGGCAGGAAAAATACAGGTGAGATTTTTGGGTTTTTTGTTGGTAGAAAAATTACTCCAACCACCAAGTCAGATCTGTTAGGCATGACAGAAGATGAAGGCCCTATTATGAGATTTACATACCAAATCATTATTCTACAACTGCAAACAGGTCATCTAAATGCAACTTTCTTAGTTATGAGAGTTCCCAATAACCACAAACAAAATAAAGACACCAGCAAAAATCACCCAGAAGAACTGATCCTCTCAATCACTATATCCAAAGAGAAATAAAGGTAACCAGGGACTACATTAGAGACAGATGAGATGCCAGATGTTTGGACTCTTCTATTTTAACCTTTATAATAATCCAAATATTCTGCCCCTCCCCCAGATGTCATGAACCTCCCTCCTATGTCATCGACCTCACTGGCTATAAATGTTCTCTATCCAAAGCCGGCACTCCAAGTTTCCCCAAAATCAAAACCATTCCTTTATACTGTCCCTAAAACAAAGCTCCACTCCATCTGATCTCAATTAGGTAATCTGACTAATTTATTTCCAGAAGGCAATAATCAATAGGCTTAACACTCCCCTACGTAGAAATGCAATGAATATGACAAACAATGGAATGAATCAGTGACAGAGGAATGGGTTCAGGAGATTTTTACAGCAAGTAACCTCCATCTGCTACACCAGGCCATACAAAGCTCTTCAGGTAATACAAAACAGAAGCTGTCATTCCATCTCTGATAACAGAACTAAAGAATATTAACCATAAGGAACCTACACTCTCTCTGTTTAAACTGCTCACTTAAAGAGAATATAGGTCTAAGTGGAAAGACATCAAAAGTGCCAGAACTCAGCTCTTCTGATTCCTAGGCTTTGAGCTTTCTGTCACAGCATCCTGGCTGTTGGCCCTCTTTTGCATTACTGAATGCATGCAAGCAACCCCATGCCACCATTCCCTGTACAAGGCTTTCCCACTATTTCCCACTATGAGCCTAATACAAATTTGGTGTTGCCATTTAATTATTTTCCTCCAATAGAACATACCCATTACATCTCCATGCCTTTGCTCTTGATTAAGCCAATATTTTCATCCTACTTTACTAAAAATTTACTCCCATCCCTTCAAGCCCAGATCAAGTCTCACCATCTCAATGAAATCTTTTAGAGAACTCAAAAGCAAAATGTCCTTCTCTGTCCTACTGAATTCCTTTTACTGATAACACTCATTTGACATATCATGTGTAATACTACTTCTGTGTAGATCTTATCTCCCAAATTTGATACCTGTGGGGCAGAAATTGCATATTATTCTGCGTGTTACATCTGATCACTCTGTCCAAGCACCCAGCTAGACCTACAGTCAACACTTAATAAATATCCAAATAAATACGGAAATGAACTATACAGTTGGCCTCAGTTCTAGAGGCAAGAATGGCACAATTAAAGGCAGATTAGGAAATTCTAATTACTGGTGATTATAACCACAATTATAAGCACTGCTTGCAGGAATGCACTGCATTTTTTTTCAAATTCCGTTCAAAGGTAAAATTGTTTTAAACATGCCAGTAAAAAAAAGGGGGGGCAAATAAATCAACTTCCATAAGCAAAGAACTTTAGACTATATAAAACATAAGCGCAGCAAAAGGCCTGGAGTCTAAACTGAAAAGATGAACTTATCTCATTTACTGGTAGGATCTGTTCTGAGTCTGGCAAATACAGAATTATCTGTTATGAAAAATTTCCCAGAAAATGCAAGCTAACTAACTTCTATAACCACAGGCAGGATCAGTTGCAGATGACCTAACTTCTCTCTAAATTATCACGGTTTTCTAATAGGTAAACTTTCTGCTATAAAGGAAAAGTTGCTCAAGAGGCCAAAGAGGAAACACCTAAGTAAAATCTATACACTTAAAAATGACAGCGACTTAATAAAGGACAAAAATATCTGAAATAAAATTAAAATAGCAGGACAGCAAATGTTCCAATAACACAATATAGCAGAATACATTCTGAAACAAGTTAGCAGGAAACGTTTTAACCTTGTTCAACAAGCGTTTTACCAGGCTAAATAGCTAAATGTCTAATTAATCCTCTGATAAATCCTCCAAAGCAATCCTTGATGAACCTATAAAACATCAGTATACAACAATTTGTATAACAGACATTCTTGAATAGCTTAGTTCACATCAGGACCATATATTCAGTCCACTAGGGAAAATCATTACTTCCTACTATCTACTGGTTTATGACAATTCTTTTTTTTTTTTTTTTTTTTTTTTTTTTTTTTGAGATGGAGTTTCGCTCTTGTTGCCCAGGCTGGAGTACAGTGGTGCAATCTTGACTCACCACAACCTCCGCTTCCCAGGTTCAAGCAGTTCTCCTGCCTCAGCATCCCAAGTAGCTGGGATTACAGGGATGCACCACCAAGCCCAGCTAATTTTGTATTTTTAGTAGAGATGGAGTTTCTCCATGTTGGTCAGGCTGGTCTCCAACTCCCAACCTCAGGTGATCTGCCCGCCTTGGCCTCCCAAAGTGCTGGGATTACAGGTGTGAGCCACAGCGCCTAGTCTGACAATTCTTTTACTTTATTTTTTTCATATATTCTCTTTGGAAAGAACATGAATGAAGCAATTTTAAGTGAAAATTATGATCTATTTTTTGTAGCCCCAAAGTCATTAGTGTGCCTCTCATGACACACACTATCACTCAAATATTTGAATGAATGAAAAGCTATCCAAAGCAGTTTTTTATGTTAGATATCAGTATGCTGTAATGACTCATTAAATGTCTTACAAGGATTCTTTAAGTATGCCCTGTAGGCGTCTTTATACCCAACCCCCCCCCCCCCGCCCCACCTTTTTCTTTAGTTAGGGACAAAAAACAAACTTAATTATGGGATCAGACATTTTTAAGTTTCACACTGTGTACCTAACAAATGCCCTCCGTGTTGTCCAAAAAGAGTTACACTTCTCCATGTTCACTGTAATTACTCCCAAGCCAGGTAGACTCAACTTTGTGAGAATGCAAATGCACTCTAAGGGAACATCCACTCTAATCTCCTTTTACAGGTAAGAAAACTCAGTGAGGTAAAAATTCTTGACAAAACTCATAAAACTAGTCAGGACTAGGGCCAGAACTAGGACTCTTTTCACTACACTCTGCAGTCCACTCATCTCTCTACCAGATCTCTCTCATAGCATTTATAACCAATTAAACGATTTACAATATCTTGTACATAAAAATGTTACAACCATGCAACAATCATAGGGGGTCTATTTTGAGATTTCCAAGGGATTATTTCGTGTGAATAGTGGCAAAAAACAAACAAATACCAAAATACCAAAACAAAACACCAATGGAATGAATGGCTAAGATAAGAACAGACACTTAGGTACCATGAGCAAATCAAAATCCATACTGGGACCAAGTCTTGGATATCTTAACAAATACACTTCCCATAGGCCAGGCGTGGTGGCTCACACCTGTAATCCCAGCACTTTGGGAGGCTGAGGTGGGCAGATCACAATGTCAGGAGATCGAGACCATCCTGGCTAACATGGTGAAACCCCATCTCTACTAAAAATACAAAAAATTAGCCAGACATGGTGGCAGGCGACTGTAGTCCCAGCTACTCAGGAGGCTGAGGCAGGAGAATGGTGTGAACCCAGGAGGCAGAGCTTGCAGTGAGCCAAGTTTGTGTCACTGCACTCCAGCCTGGGTGACAGAATGAGACTGTCTCCAAAAAAAAAAAATACATACATACATATATACATATATATATATATATTTCCCATATTTGGAAAACTATGCAGAAACCCAGAGCGATAAAGTACTTGAGATTTAATAATTCCCCCATAACAAGTGAAAAAATTGGACAGCTATTGTTGAAGTCATAAAATGCAAGAAAAGCAGGCACACATTTTTATGTCTTTGGCATATTCACACTCTTAAAAATAACACTGCAGAGATGCCCCCTTTTTTCCCTTTTTTGCTTTTATTACTGATACCCTTTTATTACCTTCTAGCCCATCAATCAACTTTCTGTCCATCTTTTTTGTCTCCTCCACCTCACTCCCAAAAATATCCCATTAGCTTTATTCTTCATGCTTTACTGTCTAGATCATTTTAAATACATATAACCTACAAATCTGATAGATTAAAATAACTATAAATATCTTAACAGTGGGCCACCACTGACAGAGGGTATTTTCCTGTCACTGTGATGCTATGTTGTACAATGTTATGTTATGTAATGTAATGTTACGTGTGCCCCATAAAATGTATAGAAAATAATTCTGACAGAGAAAATTACAACTTTATTAGAAAATAAAGGTCATCTTGAGCAACATGGGTATTTCCCTGGGAAAACAACCAAATAATATAATAAAAATTTCTCTTTTAAATTTGTTTGAATTAATAAATTAATCCATTTTACAGAATAATGTCAAACAGAGTACAACGTGATTGCTCTTATCAAACAGCTGATGAAGGGAAAGAACTAAACCACTATTCACAACGGTAGAAAAGTCAACTTAAACTATGGTAGCACAGGACAGGTCAGCTCTCATGGAAAACTAAATAAAATCCATGTGGCAATACAAACAAGGCATCCTTAATTTATAATATGAGAGAGTATGCCAATAACACAACAAGGACCTAGGGATCAGTGGTTTACCTAATACAAATGGACCTTGTAAAATCGAATATACCGAACATATTCTGCCACCAGGGAACCTCGAAATGGCCACACATCACCACTGGGGGAGGAAGGTAGTGAATGAGGGTACAGAATGATCACAAGACAGACACAGGGAGGTTAAGTAGTTTTTTATTCTTCACTGATGTGAAACAAGCTCACTACAGAATAGGAGGATGCCTCAGTGCCAACGGTAACTTAGTCCATATTCTCGGGGGCAATTCTAGAAATCTGACTAAGTATGCAAAGCACTTTTGGAACTGAGCATGAGCTTTAACAGTAGTTACAGTCTATTTGTTTGTTTTCATAAATATGACAACAGCCTCTGCTCTGGGAATTTTCTCTCAGTAGAAAGGCAGGGAGGGAGGAAGGATGGAGTAATGGCATTTGCTCTGGGAATTCACAAACTAGAGGGAGAAATGCATGTCTGAGCCACAGCTTCTTACCCGACACTAACTTCTCACATGTATAATGCCCACTAGCCTATGAGGCCACATGTAACATGAGCAATATGTTAGTTTCACCTGGGTCTTAGATTATATTGTGGAAGTCAAATGAAGAGAAAAAAGGTTTAAACAACTATGGGTTTCAGAATAATTACAACAATGAACTCTAGCCTCTATGGCTACTGTTTATACGCATTGGCTTAAAGCAAAACACTAGGAAAAACCTGTACCAGCCACAGCTAAAATTCTCAATTAAGCTCAATGTCCCAGAATAATGTTTCTAAACAAACACATTTCCAATTCCCTTCAGTTGCAGAAAACTTAAGACCAAAGAATGATAGTAAGCTCCAGAACCAAAGTAGCCACTTGGGTACAGCTCACATGGCTTCTACTTATCAAGTGTTTCGTTTTAGGTTCTGTCTGTAAGGTATACATATAATCCCTAAAATATTATAAGATATATAAATTATTCCTCTCCTACATTTGTTGTTTTATCATGTTTTAGCTATTCCCAAAGCTATTTACTAAATTTCAGTTGAATTTTACTGAAACTCTTACCTCTTTAAAATATAAACAAAAGAGAAATTACTGCTTTTAATGTATAGCAACCAGATAACAAATTCATTAGACTTAAAATTAATCCAAGAGCCACAGGTGTAGTTACAGTCTTAATGAAACTATCACTTAAATGTCTTTAGGACTTTCAAATAAAAACAGAAAATGTTTTAAATAATTATACTGAACTAAAAAACATAAGGAATAATTTTAAAACATACCTTCCTCATGTTTCACATCACAATATCTGTTTACTTCATAGAACTATGTCAACGCAGAGTGACATATATATTTATTGGGTGAATGAACAAATATATCCTCCCTCCAATATATGCTGCTTCTTGCCCAGATTTGAAGATGAAGTGGTTTTTTTCTGTCTTCACAATTTTCTCCTTAGTACTCAATTGAACAAAGACAGCTCTGAACAGCTAAAAGACATTTTTAAAGCATGGCTCACTACATTTATGTCTCACTTTCCACACACACATACATATGCACATGAACGCACAAACACAACAGGAGCACTTTACTATGCTGTCAACTATCAGGATGTAACCAGTATCAAATGCAACAAAATACCTATTTAAAAATCCTCAGAGGGCTGGCATAGTAGCTCGCGTCTGTAATCCCAACACTCTGAGAGACCAAGGAGGGAGGACTGCTTGAGTACAGGAATTCCAGACCACCCTGAGCAATGTAATGAGACCCTGTCTCTACGGAAAAAAAGTTTTTAAATTAGCCAGGCATGGTGGTGTGTGCCTGTAGTCCCAGCTACTCGAGAGGCTAAGGTGGGAGGATCGCTTGAGCAAATATAAAATGTACCTAACAAAATTTGATAGAATTATTTTAAATGACCTTTTAGCAACTGGGGCCTTAAAATCTTAAATATACTTGGCTAAAAGTATTTTTTGTTATTGTCAATAATCTAATTTTTTTTACAGCCACCATGGCAAATCAACAGGTAACAAGGAAGGCTAAATATACATTAACAGATTACTATCACAACTAAAATCTAATTTAAAGTATAGCAGTTGGGCACCTGACTGTAATCAGTAACGTTTACGTAGATAAAATTTTGCCGACTACTGTTTGCACTCAAATAATTGGACTCAGTGTTACCAGTATTTTCTAAAACAACGCATACATAATATAATCCTTAAGAATTATGTCAAAAATTAATTCAGAACTGAAGGGCTGGTTCTACAAGGATTTTCAAGCTTAGCAGGTAGCATGCCAACTCCTAAGTATTTAAGCCAAGTTTCCTACAACTACCCTAGAACCCAGCGCAACTTTCTTAACACATCTGCAGTTAGTCTGACAAAAGTCATTAACTTTCTTTCCCATTGGGGCTCACCTATGGAAACCACTTTTCATTGGTATGTGTTAGTTACCTTCTTAAAGATACTGCTCTTCATGAAATTCACTCTGCATTATATACTTCCTTAGCTATATTGGGTTTGCTGGTAGTTCGTTTCTACATCCCCCAAATTCACATATGGAAGAATCAAATATAGCATTACAGACTTAAGCATTTATGACTCTTTAGGAATGAAAGGAATTAACATCCTACAGCCTATTTACTATCTATCTTAAAAGTTACTCGTAAAGAAATTACACTCGGGGTAAAATTCTGGGGTTGGTAAAGTGCAGGTTCTTGTGCCGGACCCCTATTGACTCCAAGGGGAATGGCACCAAGTTCAAGAGGCCAAAAACAAGACCCAGAGCCAGCAAACAAAACACGGGGTTTTACTGGAGGCTTACATACAGCGCAGAGAGTACCGCAGCAGTAGACTGGTCAGAAGAATCACCTTACACACAGTCAAGGGGTGGCAGGCTGGACAGAAGAACCACAACAGCTTGGAAAAGGCATGTAGTTTATAAAGCATTTTCAGTTAGCATCCTCCCACTAACAACCTCCACCTGTCAACCTTCTTTCAACCCCAAACTTGGGACCTCGATCCCCTGTACAGCTCATGTTCCACAGGACAGGACAAGACAGGACAGGACAGGACAGGACAGGACAGGGGCTCAGATGTTTCTCCTTAGACAAGGAACGAATCTCCTAATTAGCCACTCTCAGATTCCCTAGCTTGGAACTCACATTCAGTCCTGTATGCCACACAGGGTCATCCTCAAGGTATGCTTAAGAAAATGGCTATCAGGTGCGTTTACCCCACATAGGTCTGCAGGCCAACTGTGGCCTACTGTCAATTTTTGTACAGCCCTTGAGTCAAGAACTTTTTACATTTTTTAATGGCTGAATAAAAATTTTTTAAAAAAGAAAATGCTATGGCATGTGAAAATTATAGGAAATTCAAATTTCAGTGCCCACTAACCAATTTTTATTGAACGTGGCCACACACATTCATTTATGTATTGTCTCTATGGCTTACCCAAACTACAAAAAGAGGGAACAGAGACCAAAAGATCTGCAAAGCCTGAAATATTTACTATCTGGCCCTTTACTAGACATTTGCCAACCCCTGGATTAAGTCTTTAAGAACTGTTCAAAATATCCAAATATTTGTTTCAAAAGAGGAAAGAAAACCATTCTGAAAAAGTTTCGTTATGACAAAAACTCATCTGTAAGCTGCCAGTAAGTTGCATTAAAAAGTTTAGTCTAACCAAAGGGCTAAGGAATAATGAAGATGTTCCAGTCAGGCCAGTGTTACCACTGTTTTCCTGCTGCCACACCTGTTTATTCTCAAGCCATCACCCACCTGGTAGATTTTACCTCCTGAGTATCTGTCAGATTCAACCAATTCTTTAGACATCTACACCACCCTCACAACGTAGCTACTGTTATTTTTTCCTGGACTATGGCAGTAACCTCTCTATGCATCTGCTCTTGACCTCACCCTTCCCCAAACTGTTGTCACAGGCTATCTTCAAAACACCAACCAGACCTGATCACTCCCTGGTTTAAAATACACATAAACAAATACCAACTTTTTATTCATATACAAAGCCATGTATCTTGTTTTCTTCCAACTCCAGCCTCATTTATCTTCCATACCCTAAAACTTTTTACAAATTTTTAATAAATTACATAACATTTTAAAATATATTACATGCTACATATCTATACTTTCCTGATCAGCAAAATTTAGCATTTAACTGAATCACAACAATGCAAAACAAAAATTACCGGGTACCTTTCTGTACTGCTTAATAACAGGTTAGTTTCCTGTACTTTCCTTCTTATCCAACAATTACCAAACATAGTACACACATTCAAAAAATACTCACTGCTTAATTCACTATAAACACTGACTTCCAATGCTCTTAATTCTATTGGAAGTTTAGACGGACATGTGCTGATTCAGGATAGTGAACTCTGCACAATACCACAGCAAAAGGTTGACAGATGTGAAAGTTTGTATGTCTGGGTTTTCAAAGAGTTGCTTCTAAGAGTAAAGAGTCAGGGTGTCTTTTAGCTGTCTACTCCAGTCTTTAACTAGGACATCATCATTATACATGCTGAGTTTTATCAGAGAAGTGATAAATTTCTGAGCACTCTAAACACATTCTTATCCTAAATAATGGTTAAATAATCCCTTTAAGAAATCTAAATTTGACTCTGATTGTTGAAACAGAAAATATTCAGTATAACTATTTGACTAAATACATTAGAAGAGTTCAGAGAATGTTCAAAGTCCCACTCATGATATCCAAATAAAAGCTTATATACTCTGCTTTGCCATTATTTTAGAATTTTTACATGTTTTAATACGAAGCCTATTCTAACTTTTTAAAGTAAAAAGGCCCTCAGTAATAAAGACAATGTCATCATGTAAAGAAAATGGTACATATTCTATATATGAATTTATTTATACAGGAGTGAAGACATCATATTTAGGACCTGTCTTTAAAATAATTCAGAGAAAAGAGATAAATGAAGCCAATACTGCAAAATATAATGAACACTGAATGTGGATGCTGAAGATATGAAGTTTTTAGTTCATTGTACTGTTTGCCTCTACTTCTATGATTTCTAATAATATTTTTAGAAAGTCTGTAGTAAATCTAAGTCAATTTTTTCAGTAAATCTGAAAAGCCAAAATTCAATTCTAATTAAAAGTAACTCAGAAAATACTCAAATTCTAATTTAAAAAAATAAAATATTGACAATACTAATTGTTACAGAGGATGTAAAGAAATACAAACTCTCAAACAACAGTGTAACTAAAAAGCAACATAACCACAGTGGAAAACACTATTAAGCTGAAGGTATACATAACCTATGACTCAGCAATTCCACTTCTAGGTATATATCCCAGAGCAGTGGTTCTCAAATTTTAATGTCCTTAAGAGTCATTCATGTGGAGAGCTTGTTTCGGTTTCCTAGACCCCATCCCCAGAGATTCTGATTGAGGGTGGAGCCCACAGATTTGCATTTCTCCCAAGCTCACACAGATGACACCACCAATGGTGCTCGTTCAAGGACCATATTTTAAGTAATACTGTCCTAAAGAAATCTGTGCACATATGCACCAGAATACATATTAACAAAAAATTCACAGTAGCAATGTTCATAATGGCAAAATGGAAACAAACACCCAACAATGGAATGGTTGAAAAAATTCTGGTGTATTTACAGAATGAAAAATGATAAACTTTAAACTACAGAATGATGAACTACACACAGTATAAATGAATCTTACAAACATAAAAGCAGCAAGACCCAAAAAAGAGTATGATTCCATTTATATCAAGCTGGCAAAATTAAACATATTCTTTACAAATGTATATATAAATTATAAAACAAAGAATGGCAAAGAAATGATTACAAATGTACGGATTATGATTATTCTAAGAGGAAAAAAGGGCTTCATTATCAGGAAAACAAAGGGGAGGATTTCTGGAGTGTTGGCACTGTTCTACTGCACATGGATGACAGGTGCATTGGTATTCATTTTCTAACTCTACTCTTCCATTTTCTGCATTTTTCTTATTTATATTTCACACACAAAAATTTTAAAGACATTTTCTTTGATGGTAAAATTTTATGAAAGTGGCTTTCCAAAGTCTACTATAAGTTTTAACACACTAAATCTGGCCTCATTCTTTTAATCAGTTAAATTATATTTCACAATCTAAGTTTAAGAGTGAAACATTATGCTCGGTGGTAAATAAAAATTTCATTAAATCAAAATACAAAGTCTTGAGGCAACAGGTTAACGGTTATTGCTATGAAAAATCCTAATATATTTATACCTTTAAAAAACACTTGAAAGGCTCAAATATCTTGAAATGTGAAACAAGAAATAACAACACAGAATTTGATAGCAAATTTAGCAGAATTAAGGGTCAATAAAAACAGTATCATTCAATGGACTTGGACTCAGTCTATAATTCTTCCCAAAGATACTAGTTATTATGCTTTTAATGTACACAGAACAAACATCTTACAGAGATCTACCTGGCAAAATTTGGGAGGATTCCAAATGCCATATAGAAAATAAAAGTAGTACAGATGTGAGAAAGACTTTTCTCCTTCCCACTCCAATACCCCTCCACCCCCAGCCAAAAAAAAAAAAAAAAAAAAAAAACAAAAAAAAACAGCAGAAAGAAGACAAAAAAGAGAATGCAAGCTCCAAGAAAAACATCACTATGAAACACACAAACAATGGATGCCATTTGACACAGCATGCAAGGACAGGAGAACCTCAGAACTAAAGTTTTATCAGTCTACACACAAACAAGGCAACAATGAAAACCTGGGAAACCACAGAGACCGTCTGAAGTCTACAAAGTTTTCACCAAGATAGGTGAGGGTAAAAAAATCCTCACTAGGTCAAAAACTTTGTAAATCTTATTTAAATACTTACCATTAAACTACTGGTTCCAGAAGGGATAGAGGTAGCAGAGTAGAAAAAAGAGGGAAAACCCAATCAATACTAAGGATAAAAAGTGTCAACATAATATTAAATCTATGCACCCAGAATAAAATAGCAAATAAATACAAAATAATGAGAGATTAGGCAGCCAACTTTCTAGTAGTATTGAGAGGTGGGTGATCAATGCTCCCTTCTGCCTCGTATTCCTGTTTTACTTATTATTTGGACACTGAGCTACTTAACAGCTATTTCAAAAAGTGGACTTGGGAAGGCAAAGAAAGTCTGTAATTTTAAGTACGGTCGACAGGCAAGTCAATGTGCAACTTAAACTACTAAAGGAACCAAGAATCCCTTTATTACCTAAATTCTATTTCACAGCAATTGGATTATCCAGTGTTTTAGGAAAATTATCTATGTTTATCCATAATGTATGTACACAACTAAAGCAGTGGTTTAGTATTTCAGTGACTGGAATAGGTGGTTTTATCATTTGCTGGTATGGTTGATACCTAACCATTATCCTAAACAAATGAACAGTGACGCTGCTTATTGTAGCTTGCTCATTTGCCATAAAAGATGGAATTTTATTCTTCCTGACTTTGTTTCAACAGCTTTTATTATTTTAAGTATTTTATGTAATGCTTTACTTACTTCTAGCTTTCATACCCACCATTTAAGGCAACTTGCAGATAGGAGAATTTATTATTTTGATAATAAGCCATAAAAGACTGAATTTTATTCTTCCTGACTTTGTTTCAATAGCTTTCATTATTTTAAGTATTTTATGTAATGCTTTACTTACTACTAGCTTTATACCCGCCATTTAAGGCAACTTGCAGATAGGAGAATTTATTATTTTGATAGTAAGAGTGTTAGCTCACATTTGCAGAGCACTTTAAGCCAAACACTTTGCTAAATGCTACATTATCTCATCTAATCTTTAAAACCACTATATGAAGTAGCTACTATTATTATTATTACTTTAATATTGAGGAAAGAGCGGCTTAGAGAGTTTAGATGACTGGGCCAAAGCCCCAAAGGCCCAGCTACAGATCCAAAAATCAAAACCACTACACTATACAAACAGTAATAAATAAGATACCCAGAATAATGTTTTCAATGTTTCAATCTTAATTTCATTGCCATAAGTGCTAGAAACATGTATGACAGATGAATGTAATAAGAATCACAAGTCTTATGAAAAATTTCCCAATTCACTGATTTACTAAAGTACCAGAGGATAAACTAAACAAACAAGTAGGAAATATGACACTTTAATCTTACAAGAAATCAAATGTTAGCCCTAACTAAAAATACTAGAGAAACAATATTTATTGCTGGTAACTGGTCAACCTCATCTACAACACTGCTATAAGAATTAAATCATACACACAAAAACATGTCCACATTAAAAACTGAAAAAGTGTACTCCTTGCTAAAATGAGTTCAAGAAATGAAACTAATGGCTTACAAGAAAGATAAATTCTGGGTGGTTATTTGTTATAAAGGTTTTTTAAGTATACTTTTTAAATGACAATGTTTTAAAAAACAAGGAGAACAAACTTACAAAAATACTATCTACATGAAAATAAAAGCTAAATAAAATAAGCCATATCTCCCTTGAAGCTTAAGATATCTTTTAAAACATGAGTAAAACTAGTATAGTTACCTATTTTCCTAAGAACAATAAAACTTTACGTAAGATTAGAATGCTCGAAGCTTCAGAAAATAAGTACATTTACAATGATGAAAGACAATCAGTATCTCAAACAGCAAAACTTTATACCCAGTGGTATTCGGGTAGATATTTAACAACTGTTCTCCAGGGGAAAAAAATCCTGATTTGTACTAGTTGCTGATTTCCATGGTATAAATAGTCTGTCCTATTTCAAGTCACCAAAGTGGTATCATTGAACACAGAATAGGAAAGAGATGTGCAACTGCACACTGACAGAATTTCCACCACACAGATACAACAGGTGTCAATAACCTCAAGAACACAGATAACAGTAAAATATAATAAAACTAGGACATAAGTTTTGAGTATTTCCTTTGTTTTAAATATAATTTAAATGCAATTTATATAATTTAATTTTAATGATGGTTATATTTAACATCTGGCTTGCCGAAGTCCTAATAATTTATCAACTCCAGGAAGAGCTAGTTCCAGCACACCAGGGGCACAGAGCTCCCTTTTTAACTCACCCTAGTCCTTTATTTCCCTCATTTTCCTATAACTTTTTGGTGGGTTAATGAGGAAGCAAGTCATGCTATTTTCATCAATCAGCTCTCTCAATGATTTACCCTAAGTCTATATGATGAATATCCCTTAAGTCCACCTATCCTTGCTGTTCAAACAAGACCCAACCCATGGCCCTAAACATAATAGACTGGTAACACCCATTCATACTTTTCGGTAGTTTTATCACAGAAAAATGAAGCAATGGCTAGTTGCACCTGCTGCAAATATACTTTCCTCCACCTATTCCCTCAACATCACAATGGTTTTTGCCTCACAAGCATTTTTAAGTTTCCTAAAAGACCAAAATAATTTGCATTTACACTAATATCATTTACAAGCCATATCACTTGCAACAGTATGTTACTACTTTATTTTCTGCCAGTCTGACAGGCATAAAGTGCTATCACATTACTACTTCAGTTTGCATTTCCCTAGAAAGCAATCTGGCAAAATCCATTAAATGTAATAATAGGGAATGCTAGTCCTGGAATATAGTGGAATAAGTACTTGGACCTGCCATCCTAATTAAAACAACTCAAAATCCAGCATTTTTTTTAATCTTAAAAAACATGAATGAGCTGGCAAGAAGCTATAGCTGCTTAGGCCAGAAAAGGAGAGGAGACTGGAAACCCAGAGAGATAAAGTGAACAGCAGCAGTTGGCTTTTGCCTTCAGCTAGGATACCCTCAAAGGGTTATGACTTCACTGCGAAGGTAAACTAATATTATTAGTAAGGAGAGTAAAATAATATTACTCTCCTTACCACCACTACCCAGGCAACTTTAAGTAAAATCTATTCAACAATGACACTGGGTGGGGAAGGGACAGAAAAATCACCAATGAGAATCTGGAACCACAAATAGAGTTCCTGCTGCTTTTACAGTCTGAATTTATAATTCCTAAGTGGTTTAAAACCACTAAGCTGTATTCCCACACTTTGGCAGGCATCAGAATCACCTGGAAGGTTTATTAGAACACAGATTGCTGGTACCCTTTCTGCCTCCAAGTTTTAAGTAAGTCTGGGGGAGGCCCAAAAATGTGTGTAACAAGTTCCCAGGAGATGCTGATGCTGCTGGTCTGGGACCAACTATAATGCTACAGTGGGTAATTCAGTTAATAAAGCACCCAGCCCATACTCTGTGATCAACACAATCATATCCTACTCTTAAAGATACCTTTTTCCAGTAGGAAAACACTAACATCACAGTTTATCATAGTCTATGAGCTTATACCTCAAGGCAAAATGGGACTTGGAAGACACAAAACAAAGGGTGAGTAGACATCAGCAACACCTGGAAACTTGTTAGAAATGCAAATTCTCATTCTTCACCCCAAAACTACTCAATCAGAAACTTGGAGTGGAGCCCAGCCCTCTGGGTGATTCTCAGGCCCACCAAAAGTTTGTTTGAGCCATAAAACATCTAAAAAATTAATGATTTTAAAAAGGGGTCAAATTACTATAAAATTAATTCGGGAGATACTGAATTAAAATGAGTTAACTAGTTTTCTTTTTCTTTTTCTTTTTTTTTTTTTTGAGACAGGATCTCATTTCCATCGCCCAAGCTGGAGTGCAGTGGTGTGAGCTGAAGCCAAGTTGAGTGATCCTCCCACCTCAGCCTCCTGATTAGCTGGGACTACAGGTGCGCACTACCACGCCCGGATAATTGTTTTCTATTTTTGGTAGAGACGGGGTTTTTCCATGTTGCCCAGGCTGGTTTCGAACTCCTGGGGTCAAGCTATCCACTCGCCTCAGCTTCCCAAAGTGTTAGGATTACAGGCATGAGCCACCACAACCAGCCTTAGACTTCTTTATTACAGAACTTTAATAGGTTACAAACTTGCTCCGTTACTGAAGTCTTCCTTCCAGGAGAATCTTATGAGACCAGTATTCTACAGGATAAACTTTCATTGATGCTGTCCAGAGTGCATTTTGCTCTGTGGGCCCTGACAGTTAACGGCACACACCTGGAGTCAGATAGACTGGAGTATGAATTTGAGCTCTGAAAGCATTAGTAGTGGTAGCATGGGAGAAGGAGCAATTAAAGAGTAGCAGTGATGATGATACCGCCACCAGTTCTTTTCTGTTTAAAAAATACATGTGTTACCATAGAAAATAAATGGCAATATACAAGAATAAAACAACAGCAATATTTCTACTAGTCCGAGATAACCAATTTTTAGTGTATGGATATTACCTTGTCTTTTTTATGTACATATATACACTAATTTGGTAACAAAATTACCAAAAAAAAAAAACATAGTACTTTAATTTATATCATAATCATTTGTTTCCAAGGCCCTGATGGATGGACACTAGAGACTATACATTTCTTAAAGACGGAGGTTTTTCTTCATCCTTCTGGTCATCTTCCTATGACCAGAAAGCCTCCCTAACCTATTGCAACATGCGCTGAATTATTTTTTGACTAAATGAATAAGTAAACAAAGAAAAATAAGATACAGAGACTATGCATGATATTAGAGAACATTTCCAGTTTCCTCTATGCTCAATTTTAAGCCAGCGAAAATACAAAAGAACATTTAAGCCATGTGCAGCTTGGGTTTACAGACCACTATCATATATTCACATATAGAATGAGGAGCACTTTTCTCTAGTCCTTGCTACATACAGTAATTTTTAAAAAGTAAGAGCTCTTTAAAATATTAAGTACATGGACACAGAGCAAAAGCAGGAATGTCAAAGGCATGCCAGACAATTTGGTCCTCAACAGACTTCAGTTTTCTGTGAAGTAAGCGTATCAGTGTTCTCAAATTCCTCTAGAGTTTCTGATTCCGAAAACTGCCTTGCGAACACCAGGGAGTGAAGCGGACAGAACTGGTTCACCACCCCTGTGGCAACAGTGAAGCAGCCTCCTTCCCTGAACAAGCAGCAGCATGCTCCTGTCCACGTCTCATCACAGTTCTTTTCAGTGCACTAGCCTACAAGAGGACCCTGCTCCAGGCTACTGACCTAATTGTCTGTTCTTATATTATACATTTAATTACCTTTTCGGAGATTGTTATAATGGGATTTTTGCCCGCTCTAGTATATTCAAATCTAAGACAAAGATAAGTTTTTTTTTTTTTTTTTTTTTTTAAAAAAAGCCTCATTATCCTGTAGTCCATTTTGGAAAGTAAAGCCCAAGAAAGCAAAAGATGAAGGTTCTAAAGCTAGTTTGACTGACCTCAGAGTACCATGCCCAGTGCCTCTTCCAAAAATATTTAATGTATCAAAAGTGAATGCAGCGAACCATGCCCCAGATTGCTTTTAGTAATTTAAGTCCCTTTTCTAGCTTTTATTTATTTATCTATTTTGAGACCCAGTCTCACTCTGTTGCCCAGGATGGAGTGCAGTGGCGTGATCTTGGCTCACTGCAACCTCCACCACCCGGGTTTAAGCGATTCTCCTGCCTCAGCCTCCCAAGTAGCTGGGATTACAGGTGTGTGCCACCACACCCAGCTGATTTTTATAATTTTAGTAGAGAAGGGGTTTCACCATGTTGGCCAGGCTGGTCCCGAGCTCCTGACCTCAAGTGATCCGCCCACCTCTGCCTCCCAAAGTGGTAGGATTACAGGCTTGAGCCACGGCACCTGGCCCCTTTCCTAGCTTTAAAAACACTCTCTTCCCATGGATACTAAAGGAATCCAGGATGAGGTTCTGTCATTCCAGTTGTTTTTCTCAATCCAGGCCACTTGATAAGAAAGGCTGTAAGAGCAGAGCAGCAGACTGCTCTCATCTTTGATAAATGCAGAGTCCTTATTTAAGACAGTACGGTCTGATTGTTGTAACAACTATAAGAACTCCCCAGGCTCCTCTTGCACAAGGCTGAAATTTTTTTAGCCCCAGCTGTAATTGTGGATTACAGTTAAATTGTTTGATTCATTTATACATCCTGGGCTTAAATATGAAAACAAAAAAGAAACATATAAGCAGAAAGAAAACTACATATATCTAGCCATTGTCTACCTAATATTTAAAGATTCAGCCTATAACAAAACATAATAAATTCCCAACTCACAATTTTCATTCAACCATTTCTCTGTATTCCTTGGACAGTGAAATTTCTCCCAAATTTGGAAACAATGATCCTAAAAATAAAGCTCTCTGAACGTTCTCCTTTTCCTGGGGATTTGGAATTTGCAAATGAATCAACCACTATATCCCACTTTGCTGTAGTGAATCCTATTTAAAACACTTAATATCATCCAAAAACTGCTAATCAGATAATGTAAAATTAAAGAATAGATAAAACAGGAAGTGTTAGATTCTAATTAAGTCTATCTTTTATTAGAGCTAACCACATACTCAGGCCTCACTTATCTATCATTAATTAAACATTTGGGGTATTCTGGCTGGGTGTGGTGGCTCATGCCTGCAATCCCAGCACTTTGGGAGGCCGAGGCGGGTGGATCACGAGGTCAAGAGACCAAGACCATCCTGGCCAACATGGTGAAACCCTGTCTCTACTAAACATACAGAAATTAGCCAGGCGTGGTGGCGTGCACCTGTTATCCCAGCTACTTGGGAGGCTGAGGCAAAAGAATTGCTTGAACCCACGAGACAGAGGTTGCAGTGAGCCAAGATTGTGCCACTGCACTCCAGCCTGACAAGAGAGTAAGACTCCGTCTCAAAAAAAAAAAAAAAAAAAGACTTGTATTCATGTTTTCCCATGAAAAAATCCTCTAAATATATGTTATGGAGAAAAAGCAGGTTTTACGGCCGGGATGGCTCACGCCTGTAATCCCTGCACTTTGGGAGGCCAAGGCGGGCACATCACGAGGTCAGGAGATCAAGACCATCCTGGCTAACACAGTGAAAACCCCGTCTCTATTAAAAATACACACAAAAAATTAGCCGGGTGTGGTGGCGGGCGCCTGTAGTCCCAGCTACTTGGGAGGCTGAGGCAGGAGAATGGCATGAACTTGGGAGGCAGAGCTCGTAGTGAGCCGAGACCATGCCACTGCACTCCAGCCTGGGCAACAGGGCGAGACTCTGTCTCCCAAAAAAAAAAAAAAAAAAAGCAGGTTTTAGAAGAACACAGTATGACCACATTCTTGCCAATAACAGCCTCCATCACAAAATCACATACAAAATGAAACTACTTTTTTCTATGTACTTAAAAGTATGTAAATGAATTAAAACAGAAGTATACGTATAAAAAATAACAGTTACATCTGGGAAGACAATGGGATCAGCAAAGGAAGACTGGAAGTGACTGTCATTTTATCTAACCTGATTTTTTGGGGTTGATTCCTATTTCTTTTGCAATTAAAAAAAGAGAACTTCCAATTAAAGAGGACTAATTGAACATGTTCATACCAGAGGACTGAAAGTGACTTTCACTTTTTTTGCATCATCTGATTTTTTTTTTTTTTTTGAGACATAGTTTCGCCCTTGTTGCCCAGGCTGGAGTGCCATGGCGCGATTTCAACTCACTGCAACCTCCGCCTCCCGGGTTCAAGCAATTCTCCTGCCTCAGCCTCCCGAGTCGCTGGGATTACAGGCATGCGTCACTACGCTCGGCTAATTTTTGTAGAGACAGTGTTTCACCATGTTAGTCCGGCTGGTCTCGAACTCCTGACCTCAGGTGATCCACCTGCCTCAGACTCCCAAAGTGCTGGGATTACAGGCGTGAGCCACCACGCCCAGGGGCATCATCCAAATTTTTATAGGAGTGAATTATTATTTCTTCTGCAATTAAAAAAAAACTAAGTAAAGATAACTAGTTGTACACATTCATTAGTTTCTGCTCAGTCCAAACATCCTACTAAAATGATAAAAATGTAATTTTTAAAGGGAATACACCTATAAAAAATCAAGAAGATGAAATAAAAAGCAGTACCTTTAGACTCTGGAAAGAAAATTAAAGAATAATAATTTTCACTGCAGAACTAGGAAAGCAGAGAAGCAAACTGATTTACAGCAGGCACAAGAACTGGCAAGCACAAGATATCCCTGGAAGCAGGGGTGAAGGCAGGCCTAAAAGAGAAAGATTCATCGCCAGTCTGCGTAAGGAGCTGTGAGATCTCCTAGTTGTCCTCCCTGACTTGCAGCAGCTAAGCAACCCCAACCCTGGCACTCTACTACAAGCTTGTTATTAGGAAAGGGAAAAGTTTCTAGACTTGCAGACAACAGGAATAGCTGAAGGCAGAGGTCCTGTATTGATACTAAATATTGAGATTAAATGAAAGTATCATTTTGAGTATTAAGACTCTCAATCTTCTTCTCACTCTGCTCCTAGATCACTAGCATAAACGATTGTGTATTCCAGGCAAGAAAAGCCATTTCTGGAAAATATGACCAGCCCAAGAGAAAAGACAGTAATATCCCTAAGAAAATGGCCCAGACAGAGGACACTACATGCACAGAGAGCTTCCAATTTGCTTTTTAGTGCCCCCCACTTTAAAAGTATCAGGAGTTAGCCAAAGATCACCAAACATTTAAAGAAAATATCTAACAAAAGAATGAAGCCAAACAAACAGAAAAAGCAAGTGGGAAGAAACCGAGTCATCAGGAAAGGGAACAAAGCATACACATACATATATATACATACACATACATATATACACAAACAGATGCACATGTAAATTCGTATCAGTAATATTCTTAGAAAAAGGTATTGTACCCACAAAACAAAAATGGAATATATGAAAAAAAACTATTTTTAAAGACCTCAGAAATTTTAAAAACATTAAAAATTAAGTTAAAAATTAAAATTACAGAAACAAATAAAAATTGACAAAAGAGTTATAAGATCACGTTTTTAAAAGTCCCTATGGTGGCATGCACCTGTGGTCCCAACTACTCAAGAGGCTGAGGCAGGAGGATCACTTGAGCCCAGGAGTTCAAGGCTGCAGTAAGCTAGGATCACACGACTACACTCCAACCTAGGTGACAGAGCCTCGAGACCTTGTCTTTAAATAAATAAATAAATCCCTCAAGAGAAAAAAAGAACAAAAACCAAAGACATACAAAAATTGAAGAGAAAAAAGAAAAAGCAAAGGATTACTCTAGGTGTACAACATCTAAGTCATCAAAGAAAAAAATGGCAAAAAAAAAAAATCACAGAAAGCAGCTGACTCAAAGAGCCTACCAAATATGCTGCACAATGAATGAAAACAGTTCCCTCCCAAGACATGTAATAATGAAATTTTCATACAAAGGATCAAAAACCATAATGACATCTATGTGCTCAACAGCAACACTAGAAGCCAGAAGGCAACAAGGCAACACATTTTAAATTCTCAGGGAAAATAACTTCAACCTAGAATTCTATATCAAGTCAAAGTACTAATCAAAAATGAGGGCAGAAATAAAATATTTTCAGGAATGGAAGCCTCAAAAAAATTTTACCTTACACATATTCTTTCTCAGTAGGAACTATGAAATTGTATCGGCTAAAAACAATGGAGAACATCAAGAAAGAAGACACATAAATTCAAGGAACCAGGAAACTGAACATAAGAGAGAGGCAGGCAAATACAATCTCCAAGATGATGAAAAAAGACAGATCTCATAGGATAATCAATTCGGAACAGGGTAGGTCAGAGGGTCTCAAAAGAGACTTTAACAAGAAAATGAAATTCAGGCAATACTCATCATATGAATAATCTGAGAGGAGATTTATACAAATGAGGGAGGGTTGTAAAACTAAACAATTTTTAAACTAACAAATTTTTAAAAGACAAAAGAGAAAACACAAAATTGTACAGGAAAAGAAAAGCAGCCAAGTGTGAAAAGGACTCTGAATTATTAAAAGCTAATTAGATTCTGTACACTTCACAACTAAAATACAGAATAACTCACACTTAAAATACTACAAGTGGTTGATCTAACTTCTAAGTCTCATCTCCAGATAACAGCTAAAGAAATTATCTACTCTACCACCGACTTCTTATGACATAGGCTCAAAAGAGACAGTGCTTATGAAGTAACTTTCCTAACACATACATTACTATATGAAAGTAACTATATTAGTTCAACATTTATAAAGACACTTAAAGTGGCCAATAATAATATTAAATATTCTTAATTTTAGTTATTTTGTTTTAAAGAAACTAATGGCAATCCTCCAAAGAACTCTGCGTACGGTAAGGTGGTAGGAAGAGTGGACAAAAGGAGTTATTAAGGAACTGAGATTTCAAGGTGACCAGATATGCTGTTTTTGAAGAAGTGCTATGATAGACAGGAAATCTGGAGAATTACAAATCAAGACTTCAGGGCTCTCAGACTGAAGGGTGTTGAAGCACCAGCAAAGCAGTGAATTGCTTTAGTAAATGCCAAGTCATCCAGGTTGCCTGAGATGTAGTAAATCATGTAACTAAAATAATCTAAGTTTTTCAGCCTCTGCCCTGAAGCAGCAGCACACACTTAATGAAAACACTGACCTACCTTATCAACCATCCTTCCAACCATCTCCAACCGCCCACAAAACACGCTCACATTGATAACACTTTGTAACACATTCAAATGATTATAAAAGAGCTATAAGCACAGTATAATTTTACTTCTAAGGCAATTTTATAACTGCCTCCATTTGTACAATCTATATTATACCTATTTGGTTCAAAAATTAATTTACCTATATTTACATTATACAAATAAAAACATAACCTACCACTTCTTTCTAGAGCAATACATTTCTATATATAATTTAAACATGACAATAATTTTGATAATAATCTTACCTTAAAACATAATAATGTAGTTATCAAATACATTTTGGGAAACATTCAATATTTACAAAGTTTTTACCATGTGTTTGGCATAGTAAATGTGCTGAAAAACTCAATTCAAATGTTCAGGGGAGAATTTTGTAAATATAAGGAAGACACATTATAAAAATAATGAAAACTGGATTGTTTTTGCAAAATCTGAGCAGTTGGGAAGAGAAAGGAATACGGTATCAGAGTAAAGCACATGGTCTTTCTGAGGAGGGTGAGACTGGAAGTGCGGCATAAATCTTGGATGTTTCAATTTTTTCATTCATTGAAGAGGTTCATTCAATAGTTAAAAGTACGGAGATATGAAGTATGTGGACTACTTTAACCCTCACAATACTACAAAAGCAGGTTTTTGTTTTGTTTTGAGACAGAGTCTCATTCCATCACCCAGGCTGGAGTGCAGTGGTGCAATCCTGGCTCACTGCAACTTCAGCCTCCTGGGTTCAAGCGATCCTCCTGCTTCAGCCTCTGGAGTAGCTGGGACTACAGGCACGCACCACCACACCTGGCTAATTTTTGTATTTTTGGTAGAACCTGGGTTTCACCATGTTGCCCAGGCTGGCCTCGAACTCCCGAGCTCAAGCGATCGCCCCCGTCCGTCTCCCAGAGTTCTGGGGGTTACAGGTGCAAGCCACTGTACCTGGCCTGATTCTAGAGATGAGAAAACGGAGGTACAGAGGAACTAAGCAACTTGCTTAAGGTCAGCCCAAGAAACATGACTTGAAGACTTAAACTCTTCCCCATAATAACAGAATACAGCCTGGACATAAAGTGCATCCCATCTCTGCTTTTGTAATTTATGGACAGATGCGGAACTCAAACTGAGCTAATCTGAGTCCTTTCTGCTGGAGGTAGAGAAAGGTACTCCCTTCAGGCCTGAAAGATCGCATGTAGTTGGAAGTACAGAGAGTCTCAAGGCCCCAGCTTAAAGAAGGCCCATACTGCCTGGGGGCAGTGGCTGACACCTGCAATCACACACACACACACACACACACACACACACACACACACACACACACACACTCTCTCTCTCTCTCTCTCTCTCTCTCTCTCTCTCTCCTTCCCTCCCTCTCTCTCTCTGTCCCCCTCCCTCTCTCTCTAAATTTCAGCTCCAGGGGCATTGGGTCCTGCCTTTGTTCCTTCAATTCTCTAAGTTACCCTAGGATCCTTTTCAATAATTTGAAACAATATACAGTTTTTCCACTTAATGCTATTTTGAGTTATGCTTCTATCCTTTACAACTGAAAGGCTTAAGATTCTCTGACCATGGTGCAATACTTTTTTTTTCTGAGATGGAGTCTTGCTCTGTCACCCAGGCTGGAGTACAGTGGTGTGATCTCGGCTCACTGCAACCTTCACCTCCCAGGTTCAAGCAATTCTCCTGCCTCAGCACCCCCTAGTAAGCTGGGATTACGGGCACCTGCCACCATGCCCGGCTGATTTTTGTATTTTTAGTAGAGATGGGGTTTCACCATGTTGTCCAGGCTGGTCTCGAACTCCTGACCTCAGATGATCCACCCACCTGGGCCTCCCAAAGTGCTAGGATTACAGGCATGAGCCACAGTGCCCAGCCACGGTGCAATATTTCTAAATTAACACTAGAAGTAACGAAAGGGTACTAGTAAGGACCACCACAATAAAGCCACACTTTAAAATAACTTCCAAGTAAAAGAAAATATCGAAATGCAGTTAACATGATTATTCCCCGATAGAACTGATTTTAAAAGAAACAAAAATGTGTACTCAATGATAATGAAAATGGTAAGTATCCAAAGCTTTGGGAAGTGACTATATGTAACAAGAAGTAAACACAGCCTTAAACGCTTTTATCATTAAAAAATAATAAATAAAAAATAAAAGAAGCTAAGAGAAAGAACAAAATTAACTTTACAAAATGAGAACGAACAGAATAGAGGTAACAGTAGAAAAAATTAAAAACCAACAAAAATAGCAAAATGTGTTGTTCAAACTGAGCACTGGCTCTCTGAAACATATTACACATAATCCTGCCTGGGCAATATAGCGAGACCCTGTTCTCCACAAAAAGGAAAGAAAAAAAAGACAATAAAAATAAAAATAAATAACCCATTATGTATGCATGGCTTCATTCTTCTTTTTTTCCTCAGCTCACATATAAATAGGTAAATTAAAGAACTATTACAGACTAATCACAATTCAAGCAAAAATTAGGATATTCCACATGGTCGGAACTTATGAAATTCAAATGACTGAATACATCTATAATTTTCTGACACACTAATATTTTCGTCGCTAAAAAAAGAGCCCTGAATGAAATAATGACTCTGATAGGTGACATTACTCGAAATATATCCACCAATCTGCACTTATAAATATCAAAAACCTCACAAGTTTTTATGGGTTAAAAAATTTTACGTAGTCCCAAAGATTATACCTTGCTAGAAGCTGTTTCCATCTCTAATGAGCAATTTGGCAATAAAGATCCAATGCCTTGAACAAAAGTGTATCTTTGTTTCTGGCAATCCCATGTCGCTGATAAATTTCTAAGAACTGGCCGGGCACTCAGGCCTGTAATCCCAGCACTTTGGGAGGCTGAGGTGGGCGAATCACTTGAGGCCAAGAGCTCAAGACTAGCCTGGCCAACATGGCAAAACCCAGTCTCTACTAAAAATACAAAAATTAGTGAGGCATGGTGGTGCACACCTGTAATCCCAGCTACTTGGGAGGCTGGGGCACAAGAATCACTTGAACCTGGGAGGCAGAGGTTGCAGTGAGCCAAGATCGCACTACTGCACTGTAGCCTGGGTGACAGAGCAAGACTCCATCCCAAAAAAAAAAAAAAAAAATGTAAAAATTTGCTTACCAGGGTGTTCATGGCAACAGTATTTTATTACATCTGTACCAAACAAACAAAATGCTCAACCATAAGGAACAACGAAATAAATCCTTGACTCTTCATTTTCTCTCATACCTCCACATCTAATCCAGGTGGCTCTATCTTCAAAACACGGGATATGCAGAATCTGGCCACTGCTTAGCACCTCCAGCACTGCCACCCAGTCCAAGCCACTGTTATCTTTCATCTGGATTTTTGCCTCCTTGCTGACTCTTGCCACCTCACACAATAGCCAGAGTAATCCTTTAAAACCCAAGTCAGATTATGTCAATCCTCTGCACAAAAATACTCCCCATCCCTCTTTAAAACAAAAGCCGCAAACCACAGGTCAGTGGTTATGAGGCAGTTTATGATTCTGTCCCAACCTCATGCCACCCCACTATGCTCTCATCTTCTACAGCCCTCTGCACTCCAGCTGTAAGTAAACCTACATATCAGGTACACTCATGCCTCAGGGCCTTTATAGTTACTGCTCCCTGTGCCTGAATATGTTTTTACCCCAGAGATCCTCATGACTTGCTCCTTCACTTTCTGCTTGAATTGTCACCTTGTCAGTGAGGTCATCCTTAAAACCCGATTTAAAATAGCAACTATAGATAGGCCTCCACCCCAGAATCTCTATCAGCCTTTGCACTCCATTTTTTTTCCATTACACTCAATGCCCTAACACACTATGTATTTTACTTGTCTGTTTACTATCTCTCCCAAATAGAATAATAAGGCCCCTAAAAGCAGGGATTTTTATCTTATTTCTTCACTGCTGTACCCCCAGAATAGTGTCCGGAAAAGCGCGTCCTCATTAAATATTTGAGTGATTTTTGGAATACTGGGTAATAATTAAAAATCATGTTATAAAAAATTTTAATGTGATGTTAGAAACTGGTGGAAATGGAAACAGCATGTTATCAAAGAATATGTAACCCATGGATCAAGAAGAAATCATATGGGAAATTAAAATACATTTTTCACTGAATGTTAACAAGAACACTTCAACATCAGTGGGATTCAGGTAAAGCAATTCTTGGAGGAAAATGTGTAGCTTTAAAACTTTGTATTAGAACATCAGAAAGGTTAAAATCAAAACAATATAAAAATGAATGTTCCAAATTTTGTGTCTAAAACAAATACATATATAAAAGACATTAACAGTTATTTCTGGTGGTAAAATTACAAGCAATTTGCGATTTTTATACCTGCTTTTCCGTATGTTAGTTTTTCTCTAGTGAACAGGTATTATTTTTATAATTAAAAAAAAACCCAGGTTTTTAAAAAACTTCCTTTCCCTCTGGTTGAATTCTAACTGCTGGCCTCTTCCTCTCCCTGTCTCTTAAAATACTTGCTCCTCTGGATTCCATCCTTGTCCTTCGTCAATCTATATTCATCCCTTAGTAATCTTATCCACTTTCTGGATTCATTTATAACTTGCAAATTGATTTCTCAGTTTTTTGTAATATCCTGAATTAGAGACTCATGTTTCCAACCACTTAAAGTATACTTCTATCCAGATGAAAATCCTGTAGCCACTCAAATTTAACAGGCCTGAAAGGAACTCATTATCATTTCCTAAAACTTGTTCTTTTCATCTTTAATACTGGTTAAAGACATCACTATGTACCCAGGTCAATTCTATCAGTTCTAGCTTAGAAATCTCAATCAAATCTAACTTTTCTTCTCCCTCACCAATGCCATGTTTTCAACATAGGCATCTTCTATCAGTTATATTTTAAAAGAATCCTAACTTATTCTCCTGCTATCACACTCTCCTCCTTAAGAACTGAATCCTGATCAGGGTTGCTGCATACAGCCTGAAGTCTGCACCACTAGAGAAGGTTGCCATCCATGTAAACTACGAGTGTTAATTGTGCCCAATGGCCTAATCATGATACTCCCCCTGCTTTCAAACTTCATTAGATAAAACAAACCTACAGCACTATAAAATCTTTCAACTGGCTCCACTTTCTATTTTTCTAGCTTCAGGTTCTCATCATTCCTCTATGCACCCTACAATCCAGACATATTTAACTTTTCAGTATGCCCTATCAAAACCCACACTTTTGTGGATTTTTCTTTAGTCTGTACTGCCCTCTCTCCGTACAACTTCTAAATCCTTCAAACTACAGTTCAAACGTACCCTCCTCTGTGAAGCATTTTTTGACCAGCCTAGACAAAGATACTTCACTAAGTGTTTTGTTAACAGTTCTATTACAGAATTTGTTGCATTGTATAATGATCACATATATCCATCTCTCAAATTCAATGGAGAGTTGAGCAGTGCATAAAGAAGCTCCATATTTGTACCCTCAGTATCTATAATGTCCAGCCCCTAAAAGGGGTTAAGTTCATGTTTATTAATGCTATACTTAACCATATGCATTAGTACAACTTTTTAAAAGTAAATTAAAATGAGTTTAAAAAAGAAGTTACATGTTCAGCTGTCAATCTATCTATAATCCATGTGGCAGAAAGAACTGATGTGACTATTCTTGATTCCTACACTTCCTGGTGTTTAAACCTTTGTATAATTCCCTCCCCTTGCACGTGAACTGGACCTATGACTTGCTTCTAATGAATGAAATACAGCAAAGGCAATGGGTTGTATGTGATTACATGTACACGATTATGTAAGAACATAGCACCAGTTCACCTTTCCTTTGCTTACTTTGAAGAAGCAAGCTGCTCTGAACCTAACAGACACAAGGAAATAAATTCAGCCAATAACCCAAGGAAGTCTGTGGGCAGACCTTTCCCCAGTTGAGTCACTAGATAACAACCCTGCCCTGACCTACACTTTGACTGCAGTCTTAAAGAGGACACAGCTAAGTTGTGCCCAGCCTCTTGACCCACAGAAATTGCAAGGCAATAAACGTGTTGCTTAGAACCACTAAATTTGCAGTCATTTGTGAATAAGCAGCTTAGAAAACGAATAAAATCAGAACCTAAGGTATTTCTGAACCCTTTGTTCACAAAAAGGCCTATGTTTTGTCCAATTTCTTAACAAATAAATGTCATGTACATGCAAAATTAAAACACAGACTAACATTTCAAATAACAGTTCTTAAGAATATTCACATAAAACTTAGGAAGTAATTTGCTACATAAAGCAGTTCCTACACTCTCTTTTAACACATTTGCCAATATACCCAATTATACATAATACTACATGTAATAAGTTTAATATTAGGGCAATTCTCCTTAAAACCCAAATAATAATAAATAGTTTAAAAGTTGATATCTCATTAATGATATTTGGTAATCAGAAGAACTTAGTTACTGGTCACCAGGCAAAGCGATCAAATTGGAGGAGAGCAAGAGACTTGTTGGAGATGTGCCTGAGGGAGTAAGACACTATCTTACAACAACAGGGCTCTTACTCCCTCAGGCACTGCACCAGCCAGCAAAGCATCAAAATACCAGGTTCTTAGGTCACGCTGCTCTCAGATCAGGTGATGCCCTGTGCAACTCACCAATCCTCCCCACCTTGCAGTCAAGAATAATTCCAAAAAATTCCCAAAGCAGAAACTTCCATGACACAGGCCACACTTACACACAGCAAAACATGTAACACGAAGGTATGAAATTACAAGTGAGGAACAATAACCACCAAAATTCTTATTACTTCAGGAGTGGCAGGGGTTGTGGTTAGAAGGCTCATTTTTCTTAGAAAGAGGCAAACATTCCTCTTCGGCCACTCCCCATAAAAGCCTTCAATGGCACAAAATAACATTCAGGAATAGGAAATAGATTAATTACAATATCCCAAATTCAAACATTTTGGCACTTGATATTGGTAAGAAGTGATAACTGAGACCGATTCCATAATGGTTAATTGATGAAGATAACCTAACACCATAAAACTTCACATCTGCCTTAAAAATTAAGAGAAATCTTCCTAGAAATACAGGTCTTATTCAACATATTCAGTTTTAAGAGATAACCCACACTCCTTCAATATAAGAAAACATGTTTCACAAGTAGCAAGGCACCTGAGTTACAATCAGACTACTGAAATACTCATGAGCAAGCCACACCCAAAAAAGCTCAAGAAAATCAGGAGGCCAAAAGCAACCCAGCACCACTGGTTGTCTTAGATTAAGTCATTTTACATTTTCACTTCTGGACTCAAGGATACATTATAGAAGTCCACACGATTTCTCTGGAAATAATCTCCATGTATTGGTATATTTCTATAGCCCAATTCATCTACCCCATCCTTGCTGCATCATTAAAGGCTATTTGACCACTCATATTATGCTCTTATGAACAACAGCTACTTGACAGTGGAAAAAAAAACGTAGACGTAAATTAAAGCCAAACAAACCCTAAAATACCATCAACATTTTTAAATATTAGGAAATACCCTTAAGACCTGTTTTAAAACAAAGGTGATGGACGACACTAGCAGTAGTCAAGAAAGCGTCTGTTCACTTTAACACTCCTCAGTCTGAAAAGAATAATAAGGACAAGATTTACTTCACCTAAAAACTCCTATATAAATATAATCACATTCTGATGTCTGGCAACTCAATTCTAGGAAATTTCTACACACTGAAATATCTGGATTAGGCATTTTTCTTCCAGTTCTCTAGAGAGAATAAGAGTGTATATAGCCAAAACAGATGTCCAAATGACATCAAAACATAAAACCAACACAGAAAACTTCCTCGTTCAATGTGGCAATTCATTATGAGAGAACTACTAACAATTCCACTTGCTAGACTCTTAAGTGTTAAAAATAAAAGGGGGGGACTGTTTTTCATTTTCTATAAATTACATGAGAGCTCACAAGAGAATAATTTTGAATCTTATTAGTACCACATTTTCTTATTAGGAGACGTTAATAATATAAACAACAATTAAAACAACAGTTTTACAAAAAACAATACGAACTTTCCACTAATTCTGAAATAATCCTTTTATCAATTTTCAGATGCAGTTATTTGTATATAACCATTTATACAATTTGTAACTGAATAAACACAATAATGTTATAATAGATACTAAAAAGTTAAGTAAATGTGAACTAGTCAAGTCTTTTTTAATTATAAGATTCTTCATTTAGCTCCCTAAATCTCAAGATGATGAGAAACATGCTTCTATTGTTTTCCTAATAACCCGTCCACTAAAATATAGGTAAAAATCTCAGTAAGGCAATGCCACTAAGATGGGTTTTTACGTAAATGTATTCCATCTCCCTGCCTCAACAGAGATTTCAGGATGTGGCACTTTCATCTGATCCTGTCATATAATAAGAACAGGTAATTTCTCTGATGTCTTTCCAGCAATTCTCAACTGAGGTTCCTCATCTGAATCACCAAACACAGGAAATTATTTCAGTGACTTTTCTCAATTGTTCCAAGAATGATACATAACTAAAACCGTTCTAAATGCACTGGAGCTAAAAGTTAAAATTCATTGCACACTACGGCACAATTGTCTCCAGAAAGCCGGGTGAGAAAGGCTGCTGTAAGTTCCTCAGAAAGTGTCACTGTACTACTAGGCCCCAGTCACCCAACCCCAACAGCACTAAAAGAACTATAATGAGTGCACAAATCTAGAACTTAGATAAGAAAAAAGATAAATGCTTTATCTCCAACTTTAAGCAACTAGGTATTTTTACTTACTAGGAATAGCATGGGGCTCAACTGTCTCTTGCTCTGAATAGAATGCATTTACTTAACAAAATAAACCCACAGAACTATAATGTTTCTCAAAGGGAATTATCAGCTCTTAGAAAATGAATTTTTAGAAATCAGCATATTAAATAAATATTAACTATTAACTTGACAAGGCTTTTCCTATTCACCCTTCTTTAGCAAACTTAAATATTCATCTTCTAATAATTGCTAAATGCAAATTTTCACTTTAAAAAGATAATGATAAACATTAAAAACCAGTTTGCCCTTCATTCTCGCACTAATCACCAATTCTCAGAAACTGCCTTTTATATTCTTCAGTGCGGACTACAGCAACTTCAACTGTTAGGTTAGTTGTGATCAAATCACTTTAAGGACACCAGTAGAGTTCTTTTACTCAAAATCAAAAGCAAATGACTTTTAAAAATAGCCCAATTTTAAGAGGGATGAATATTTTTAAGAAGCAAAAATTACTTTAAAACAAGGTAGCTAATTAAAAGTCAAGCGTCGTTCCAATTGAATTTGCAAAGCGTTACTAAAAAAATGGGAAAAATGAAACATGACATTCCTGTTTTTAATTTATGCTGGCGTGTGTGCTGATAGTACAGAACATGAGAACGGATAAATTACTACGTATTCCACTTTACTAAGTCTCCAAAGTTCCTACGTTTACAAATATATAAGTAAAAGCGGCACAAAAATGTAGGGGATCGTGTTTTCGCTGCTCATCTGTGCTCAGTTGCTAATTTTTCTAATACCAGATACATAATGCGATGAAATGGGAATGCTTATCTTCTATACTTCTATTTATTTTCATAAAGGGGAGAGGGGAGGTGGTCTTGATTCATTTACTATTAGCGTTTTGCAATAAAGTAGATCAGCATAAAACATAACTGAAGAAGTAGGATTCATTTTCCCCAGGACAACGCACACTTCCTCCTGTTTCTGTAGTAAAGTACATCACTTTGCTATTAAAAATGTCCATTTTTCACAACTGACTTTTCCTTAACTCTAGTCAACACTGCTCTTCAAAAGAACCTAGCCAATTATTGTACCTTGAAGACAGATGTGCAAAATTTTTACTTCCTTAAGAAACTTTTCCATTTTTTAAATGCTTTCCAAATTAAGCAGGACTCACATTAACTGTGATCTTAAGTAGCAGTTTAGTGAGGTTTAAAAACAAACTTTTCATTAACGCATTCATCCAATTAAAATGACATAGTAACTGGGACTACTGACACAGATTTCAGGATTACAGCTTTATACTAAAAGTCGGTCCAAACATGGTAACTCAGTGTTCATTTGAGACGCTTTGACTTTTGGCCTTTAAAAACTGTTCCCCACTCGAGTCCCCAGATAGAACTACATTTAGCAACTGGTCTCCTCCTGACTTCCTGGTACTAAAAACCACAACCACAAGGGCTGTTTCGTCGGTTTGTTGTAAAACAACATTTGCTCCAGTCATCTCACTGGAAAATAGACTTTCTCTACTGGGCAGCCGCTGAGGTGAGGGTGCTCAGGATGTTTAAAAACAAAACCACGCGTCTATGCGGTAGCGGCACCGCCGGTGTTAAGCGCCGGGTTTCTTCCAGGATGGAGACCGACGCGGGCTGGTCCGGGAGGCAGCCCCCGGCGCCCCGGCAGAAGGAGAAAAGGAGAAGGGTAAAAATAGCCGGCGGCCACGGCCCACGTGCAGCCGCGGGAGGACCGAGCGCGGGTGCGCGGAGAGGGGTCCGTACCTCCAAACATGTGCGGCGAGAGGTGAGCTGGTAAGGAGCCGATCACCAGGCGCGGCCCGCCGGGGCTCCCGCCCACCGGCCGGTCCCGGCCGCCGCCGCCGTCCTCAGGGCTGCTGTGCACCGAGTCCTGCGAGCCGTACGGGCCGCTGCTGCTGTTCGGGATGCTGAAGGGGGACTGCGCCGCGCGGGCCCCCGACGCCACGCTCCCCACGGCCCCGCCGAGGGAGCGGCTGCGCGGGGCCGCCGGGGCTGCCGGGGCCGCCGCGGCCGCCGCGGCGCCGCCGGAGGCGCTGGGCTGGTGCGCGCTGGGCACCTGAGCCGGGAACCTCCCCGCGGCGGCGGCCCGAGCGCCCCCGCCGCCGCCCGCGGTCCCATTGGCGCCTCCGCTGCTACTGGAAGGTAGATCCGAGCCCGAGTACGCGCGCGTGCGGCCGTTAGCGGCGGCCGGGCCGCTCTGTTTGGCGCCCATGTCCGCCCTGCCCCGGGCCGGGCCCGCGCGCTGCGCCCCGAGAGCCGGGAGGGCGGGAGCGAGCGCGGGAGCTAGAGGGCAGGGCCCAGGCGCCGCGGCCGGCCCAGAGAGGCCCCCGCACGTCCAGGGCCGCCGCCCGGCGTCCAGAGGGGCAGTCGGCGCCCGGCGCGCTCTTCTTGGGGCGGCGGGCGAGGCCGACGGCCTGACGCGGGCGCGGGAGACGAGGAGACGCGGAGAGGAAGGGGTCCCGGCTGCAGGCACCCCTCGCTGGCTCCAGCAGGAAGGGGCGGCTCAAGTGGCCGTGCGGCTGCCGCTGGTTTCGGTTCTGGTGCGCCACGACGGGCCGCTACCGCTCTCTGCTGCCGCGCTCGGCGCCCCCGATCTCGGCACCGCCTCCTCTCGGGCGGCCGCTGCTACCGCCGCCATCCTCCGGCTCCCACGGCGGCTGGCGGCTGAGTGGGAGGCGCCCGCCCAGACTCCGCCGGGGCCACCTTCCCTCCTCCCCCAGCCACCCAGCTGTTATTAACGGAGAAAGAGGAAAAACGGGTGGCGCGCGAGGGGAGAACGAAAAATGGGAGGGAGAGGTGGCGCGCGCTTCCCGGCAACCGTCGCCTCGCTCCCCCTGCGAAGGAGGGGCCGGGCTGGCGGGAGGATCTGGGCCGCGAAGGCGGGGGGTGCGCAGATGGGGAGGAGGTTCCCCGGCCCCGCGCCGGAAGGCCGCGGAGCGGCGCGGCTGCAGGGTGCGCCCGGCCCGTGTGTTTGGGTCGCGCGCGTTGACCCCGCCCCCGCCCCCTCGTGCCGCCAGGCCGATTGGCTCCCGCCGGCCTTGCTCCGCCTCCCCCTTCCGCGACCTGCCTGCCCCTGCTCCGCCTCGCCAAGGTACTGCGGTGTGGTAGGTGCTGCCACTCGTGGACTCGGTGATGGACAGGTCTCTGGCCACGCCCTCCCAGCCAGGGCGCGCCCTTGTCTTCCTCGCGGGGCCTACGCCGATAGGAGGAACGGACACCGGGCGCCAACCAGAAGGCGGCCCCTCCTCCCGCACGTGGCCCGCCGACGCTGTAGGAGCCTGTGTCAGCTGCAGCTTTTCCTGGCAGGGGGCGTGAATGGCTGTGTCCTCTGCCCAGAGCCGTTTGGTTTCGGTGGGTGTTGGTGTTACACACTGATTAAAAAAAAAAACAGAAGCTCAAAAGCCAGCTTGATCTCAGACTTACTCATGAAACACCAACCTGGGAGGAAGCGCAGAGTTGGAAGAACTCGGGATAATCCAGGTTGACCCTCTGTGGTAGGGCAAATACTGTGGTGCCAGGAACGCTGCACCTGACTCACAAAACCTAGAATCTAGGCCCAACACCAAACTAAATTATCTGTAGTGAGCAAATTATTTTACTTTTTTGGACTTTAGGTTTATTTTTGTTTTTGTTTTTGAGACGGAGTCTCGCTCAGTCACCCAGGCTGGAGTGCAATGGTGTGATCTCGGCTCACTGCAACCTCCGCCTCCCGAGTTCGAGCGATTCTCCTGCCTCATCCTCCAGAGTAGCTGGGATTACAGGCACGTGCCACCACGCCTGGCTAATTTTTGTATTTTTAGTAGAGACGGTCTTTCACCATGTTGGCCAGGCTAGTCTTGAACTCCTGTCCTCAAGTGATCCACCTGCCTCGGCCTTCCAAAGTGCTGGGATTACAGGCGTGACGTACCGCACCAGGCCGACTTTAGGTTTCTTACCTGAACTGTTTGTGTTAAATCCTAGGGCACCTGCCTCTTTAAAATCCTATAACTTCTCTAAAATGTAATAAAATTCTCCTCAGTGCCTTCCTCAGTGTTGGTGTGGTCTCTTCACGGCAGAGCAGGGTCTGGATACCCAGGGAACAGCCTGCTCTGAGACTCCCATTATGAAAATGTCTAGTCTCTACTTGAAAATAATAATAGCAAGTGGTGTTTTATAAAACTACAGAAATACTTTGTCATCTTTTCACTATTTGCAATAAGTCATTTATGTAATGATTTTCATCACTCTTAGGGTATGGGAATCAAGTTTTTAAACAAATGGAGAATATATGTATACATATAAAGACGTGTATCTGTGTACACAAACACACATATATACATGGAAAAACAAAGGTACCCAGTGCTTTATATGCAGTATCATGTTAAGATATGGTCATCATTTTGGTTAAGTGCCCTCTCCTTATAGATGTTTCCTGCCACCTCCTCCCCCATCCCAGCATCACAGACTGACTTCAGTGTTCCCACTCAGTGCTGTACAATACCTCCTTCATAGCTCTGATCATGTTATTATTATTATTAGATATCTTGCTTGTCACTACTCAATTGGCTCCATGATAAACTTCATGTCTGTACCTCCAGTGTTTAACACAGTGTCTGGTCTTGCCATGGTGCAATAAATGTTTTGTGAATGAATGAATGAATGAGTGAGTGAATACATGTATCCTCACCAGTTGTACTAAAACGATTCTTTCTTGAATGTCACTCATTAACTTATCATGTTCTTATTCTCCTTGACATTTCGCTTGTGGTGGGTGCCCCTTCCACCTCCTCTCTGGTGAGCCTTGTTTCTTTCCCCACGAAGGTTCTGGAGATAAAATGCTGGCCTTCTATGTTCTTTCCTTGGCCTTCTTTCCTCTCTCCTCACCCCTCTCATCTCTCTCCAGTCACCAGCATGAAGCTGTCAATGTGTGTTATTGTCAACCAAACAGTTCTGACTTCGTTGAAAATGTGTCGCTTATTTATTTATTTATTTATTTGAGACAGAGTCTCGCTCTGTCACCAGGCTGGAGTGCAGTGGTGCGATCTGGGCTCACTGCAACCTCTGCCTCCCAGGTTCAAGCAATTCTCCTGCCTCAGCCTCCAGAGTAGCTGGGTTACAGGCACGTGCCACCATGCCCAGCTCATTTTTTCGTACTTTTAGTAGAGACAGGGTTTCACCATGTTGGCCAGGATGGTCTCTAACTCCAGAACTTGTGATCCACCCGCCTCGGCTTCCCAAAATGCTGGGATTACAGGCGTGAGCCACCATGCCTGGCCATCACGTCTTTAGTATACCTACCAGTTCTTCAAAAATTAAAAGTGCTGCTTCATCCAAATGAGTACACACAGGTATACACACATGTAGAACTGCAACGGGTTTTTGAGATAATACCCATGCTACCTGAAATGCACTCTGCTTTCTATTTGACTTCACTTTTGTAAAATGCTGGTCACTGCTTATTGGATTGATTTTACACCCCCCTATGGGGATGTAATCTGCACTTTGATAAACAGTAGTCTAAATCAGTGCTTTGCAAACTTTAGCACACACAAGGATTACAGGAAAACCTTGTTAAAACAGGCTGTTGGGCCCCACCCTCAATGATTCTCATTCCATAGCTCAGGGTTGGGCCTGGAGAATTTGCATCCTAACAAGCTGCCCAGTGATGTTGCTGCCATCAGACTTCGGACTCTTGTTTGGAGAAGCACTGGTCTAAATGACGCTTTCCTCTACAATCAGAACTGTTGTTTTAATGCCTTCACCACTTATCAAGAGACCAGAGCCCCAGCTCTTTAAAATTTTTCAAATTTGAAGGTTTTAAAATACACTATATTCCTCCTGATGCAGTTCAATGATATTTTGACCAAAGGCTTTGGGGGTGCAAAATTAGTCTGAATGTATTGTTAAAGCACTTCACATTGACAAAATTATTGTCCACAAACTCACACTGGAACAGGTAAGCTACTTCTGGGCTTTCAATAAAAATGCCTGACCAATCAGTTTGTTGTTGTCTAGTTTGAAGTTTAGTTGGGGCAAGCCTCTTCCCTTTGTGTTCCCTTACTCTCCTTTGCATTCCTCTTTCCTCTCTTGGTTTCTCTTTTAAAACTCTGCTGGATCAGACCTTTGATGTGTGGGACAGCAAATTTGCATAGTGACACCCATTAGTCCTCTTGGTCGGGGACCACAGCCTCTCTACAGGGCTGTCCTGCAGCCAGCAGTAGCCCTACACATTTTGCTAAGGTTTTGCCATCCCACTTTTCCCCTTGTTATAGGATTTAAGAGATGGTTATGGCTTTGCTTTTTTTTTTTTTCAAGTAAGTGTTCATACACTACCTCATCTCTACCAAAATAGGACTATATGTATAATTGCCTATTTTTAAATAGGCCTATTTTCCTATTATTTTGCTTTTTAAAGAAACAAATGGACCATCTAAACATTAAAATGAATCTTAATACATCCTACATATGTGTTAATACATCCTACATACACTGTCCAAGATCTTAGTGGTGATTAGAAACTTACATCTTAAATTCAAAATCTTAGTTTGTAGTATTTAGGAGTCACATTGTTGGGTAATTGTTCAGAAAACATCAAAAGTTTATGTAATGTCTTTAACAAATTTTTATCCTCCCTCCCCTGTACTTGTATTAGTTTTTTAATGAGAAGCAAAAGACAAGAGCCAATCATGACAGGATTAAAAGTACATGCCGTGAAGTGGTTGAGCTCAAGCTGGGGTTAGGCCCTGGCTTTGTCTGACACTGGCTGTGGGATTTAGGGCAAGCCACTTAACCTGGCTAAACCTGTTCCTTCTGTAAAACATGGATGATCATATAGCAATACCAGTCTCACAGAGTGGCTATGATTCTCAAAAGATTCATTCTCTATTTGAGAGTACTTTCAAATGTGTTAATAGAGAAACAAATTTTAATCTCAATGTTATTATCCCTAGCAGATTGTAATAATTTCCATATCATCTCTAGCATGTTGTGACATTGTACAGTTTAATATATACTAATACTCAATGAAATTGATTTTACCATTTTGTGAAATTTTAATACATTATTGATGCATAAGGATGTATTGGTAATAATTCGTTAGTAGTAGTTTACTAATAAGTATTTACATCACTGCTATAATAATGATGATAGTATGATATGTCATGACACATCTATATCTTTCCACCATGGGATGGATGGATGTGTGTGTGTGTGTGTGTGTGTGTGTGTGTGTGTGTACATATACTCATAGATAGCTAGATAGATGAAATTTGAAAGGAAATTATCATTAAGATATCAGAGACTACCTATTTGAAATCTCCAATATTTAAACTCTTAAACATTTTTTTTCTTTTGATTCCACAGGGTAGTTAACACTTTGACTAAAGAGTCTTTGGGTCCTAAATAGACTTAAATGTGTCACAAAAGTATTTCATGTTAATTAATCAATGACTGGAGCCCTATGGCTATGTTTAACATAGATTCCAGAATCATTTTCCTTTCTAAAAACAGCTTGAGATATAATGTCAGCACCTGCTAATAAAAATAATTTTTGCTTGCCAAAATGGTATGTAGTATTACTAAGAGCTTAAATATTTATATTGTGTTCTATTCTCAATTAATTCACTTGGGCTTTCAAACGTTGTTTTTTTTTTTATCTGTAAGAGCCCTAATTTAAAAACCCTTAATACCAACCAACCACAACCCATGATGCTTTTACTCCATTATAAAGGAAACTCTCAGATTCCATACATAGTGTTTTGAAAGGAATCCAAGATCTTTACTGGGGACATACTGTTGAAAAGACATAAAATTTAGTGGAAAAATGTATCATGGGGTCGGTACCAAGGGGATTTTCCCAGCCTACGGAAGTGAAGACTAGCTTGGAGAAAAAATAGCCCTCTGCTACATAATGCATGTGGTCCCTCCTCCAGTGCAGATGCACCCTCCAAACTGCCTCCTGTCACTTGCTTAAATCATGAATACTGTACGTGAATGACTGTTGTACATGAATGATTAAAACGTATTATAAGACATTTTCCCTTACCACTTCCTCCCTCAAAGTTAGTCAAAAGCCCCCGTAAAGGCAAGCCCTACATTTTAGGACTAGATTGTTTAAGCCTCCCAAGTACAGGAACTCTATTTCTGCTTTATTTTTAACTCTCCAGAGTGCCTGCTTATAGAGAGCTCAAGGACAATCTATATGCAAGAGACTTTGAGTAACAGCTATGGCTCGCTAAGGACAGGCAGCAGTGATTAATGCATGTCCGGAATTACTACCAACTTAACAGACTGTCGTCACCACATTAAGTTTGTGTGTGAAGTTGGCTGCCTTCTACACTGTTCAGCCAGGGCAAGTTTGTGCATTAGGGGGCCAATTCCCTTTGAGTTGCTATTGAATGATCTACGCCCCCAAGTTAGGCCAGGTTGGAAAGGGTAAGGTCATAGTTGCAGAACTGCCTTTCTTCCACCATGAGAAGATAGAGCAACAAGAGCTCCTGGTCAATTTACCCCACCCTCTGTTTCCCAGAAGTTAGCTGGGCTCTGGCTGAACTCTAGGGATACAAGTCTAAACTGGGTAGGTTTTGGAACATAGCCCTGAGCTGGGTCATACCTGGTGCAGGGAAACATCGGAATAACTTAGGACCCCCAATGGAGATATTTTCATTCTTTAAACAGAGTAGCTGAGCATCTGGGGATGTAAAGTTAAACCAACTAAACACCATATAGCTTCAAAAACCTTATAGCTTCTAATCAAGGGACTTAGATAGAAATGAAGAGATGGTCAGAGTACCATGTGGTAAAGGCATACTGGAGCTGACTGAAGGGATGGGGATTGGTGAAGGACAAAGATGTAGTCTGAGAAGGGACGCTGGGCTGAGTCTTGAGAGACTTCTGGCTTCAGCACCCATAGGCATTCCAGGCTGAGGGAGCATGAAGCAAGGGAGAGCTTTGAGCAGCTGAAGAACTTCAAGCAGTTAATTATAGCTGGAATGAAGAGTAACAGGTGAGAGGGTGAGAGAATAGGCTGGAAAGCTGCATGTAACCGGCCTGGTGTGCTGAGCTAAGAAGTTGGAATTCATCCAGAAAGCAAAAGGGAACCACTTTCCCAAACAGGGAAGTAGCAGGATCGCATTTACAGTATGGAAAGACAACTCCAGCAGTATTTTGGAGAATGGATTGATGGGAGGGAGGAACGCACAGTGAAGTGGAAGACTAGTCCAGAGGCTAACGTAGTCATCCAGGCAAGAAGTGAAGAGAACCTGAATTAGAGTGGTGGTAGGGCAGATTCTAAAACTCTTGAGAGAGCAGCCACCGCAGGTCTTGGAGGCCAATTGGATGTCCTACGTGACCAAGAAGGAAGAGTCAAGGATGACAGAGTCAAGATGACCAGGGACAGATAGTCCCTGGTCCTAGCACTAAGTAGGACTATGGGGGAAAGAGCACATTTGAGGAGAGGGAGCTGAATTCAGCTTTACGTAGGCAGAACAAAACCAGCCTTGTAGTTATGGCAAGGCATGGGGTTAGGTTCTGTTGGCTTTAGGCCTCCAGCTGTATGTTGAATTTGCACAGGGGTATGCACAGGTTACCCTAGTCTGGTCCCTCAGCGCACCGGATTTCACTTTGCTCAGTGTTTCTTGGTGTGGGAATCACGTCTCCAGCTCTCTCTGTATGTGTTCACCCTGTGCCTGCTCAGTGCTGTTCTGGGGATGGACACCCTGAGCACAGGGGTCAACAAAGGAGTGGAGTTAGTGCTCAGTTCAGTTGGAAGGTGACCAAATATGAATGCTGGGTGTGGCAAATTAATTTTCATTGTTATCACTCCATGAGCGAGGGAAATGCAGCCCTTGTTATTTTCCAACATAGTCTCCAGTAGAAACAGTTGTTTGTGACACTGAATTAGTTTGTTAAAAAATTCATACCTGAAAAATTGCATCATATATTACTTTAAAAGTAATGACTGTAGTAGGCAGAAAAGTGCTGCCTCTGCCCACCCAAAAATGTCCATGTCCTCATCCCTGGAACCTCTGAATATGTTACCTTACTGAAGCAAGAGAGACGTTGTAGTTGTCAATAAATTCAGAATCTTGAGATAGGGAGCTAGACCTGGGTGGTCTCTGTGGTCCCAGGGTGCTTACAAGATTCCTTAAAAGTAAAAGGGGCAGGCAGGGTCAGAGTGGTTCAAAGAAACGCTCAAGGCTATTGTTGGTTTTGAAGCCTGAAGAGGGCCACCAGCCAAGGGATGCAGGTGGCCTCTAGAAGCTGGAAAAGACAAGGAGATGGATTCTCCCCGAGACTCCAAGAAGAACACAGCCCTCCTGACACCTCAATTTTAGGTGAGTCAACTTAAGTCCCATTTCAGACTTCTGACCTCTAGAACAGTAAGATAAATTTGTGTTGTTTTAAGCCACTGAATTTATGATAATTTGTTACATCAGCAATGGGAAAACTAATACAATGACTATTCTTTAAGGTTTCAGAAGGCAGCTGATTACAAACTACTTCGAAAAAAAATCTGATAAATATGGCCACTAAATCCCTATGTGGCTAATCACATATACTTTTCTTTTTTTTTCTTTTCTTTTTTTTTGAGATAGCGTCTTGCTCTGTCCCCCAGGCTGGAATGCAGTGGCCCGATCTCAGCTCACTGCAACCTCCTCCCCCCGGGTTTAAGCAATTCTCCTGCCTCAGCCTCCCGAGTAGCTGGGATTACAGGTGTGTGCCACCACGCCCGGCTAATTTTTGTATTTTTAATACAGACCGGGTTTTGCCATGTGGGCCACACTGGTCTCAAACTCCTGACCTCAGGTGATCCACCCGCCTCGGCCTCCTGTAGTGCTGGGATTACAGGCCTGAGCCACCACATCCGGCATTAATCACATACACTTCTTCTTGACTTCCTGCCCTCACTCCTGAGCCCTGGTAGTGTAGGGAGCCATGCTTTCTTGAAGCTAGGCCTGCAGGTATCTGGGCTAGCATGCTGCTGTCAAAAGAACCGCATGGAACTTTCCATTGCTGGCCTTGGAACATCCTTGTAAGCAGGCTTCCAAATGTAAGCATTGAGATTAGAAGGGCACAGCATTAAAAAGAACAACCTTTGGTTCAAAGTTTCTGTTTGTATTTTCTAGAACTCTTAAAAGTCAATATATGTAGGTGGACAAAATATTTGGTGAAATTACAGTTCTGAAAATAGCCTTATGTTTGCCAGGACTTGAGGAAGGCCCCCAAGTGATGTCTAGTCCACCTCCTGCAAAGGCAAGAAGGCGGAGGTTGGGAAAGTCCACACTGACATCTAGTGATACAAAACTGCACTGCCAAAGGCTCCAACTGAAGCTATTTGCAGCAGTGGGCTCCTCAATTCTGATGCATCTACTGCCCCCCAAGAGGGCTTGAAGACTCAGTGCACACCAGCCAATTTCAGCTGCCCTGGTGGGGGCCAAAGCAGTTCAGGCTTCTTTATGTTTCACTTACAAACTTAGTTTGGCCATCTAAGAGTTTTGCCTCTTAATTTTTGAAATGATCATTTCAGCACATTTTAAAGCTATAGAATTTACTGCTAAAAGCTTCTTTGTGCTTGCAGTGGCCAGACCCTTTAATGCCAAGTGAATTTTTTTATTTTCTATATGTTCTCAGAACAAATGCTTGGGCTGAAATGTCCTGAGCAAGGAATGATCTGCAGCAGGGGATGGAACCAGTACAGCAGGTACTTGTCCTTTTTAGGCCCTGAGAACACTGTCTGCATTTCATTTTCAGCAACTCAGAAGTCTAAGGTACAGAAGAAATGACAGAGAATGCTTCTTCTGTCTTTCCATTTTTCTTCTATACACCAATGAAAATAAGTCAGCAGAGATACGATTTCTAGTTCCTTCCTTAATGGCGGCACAGTTAGAAGCAAGACTGCATTTTTAAGGTTGTTGCAGTAACCCAGGTGAAAAAGAATGAGGAGGCTGCACAACAATATGAATGTACTTAATGCCACTAAACCACTTAAAATTGGTTAAAATGGTAAATTTTGTGTTACGTCTATTTTACCTCAATTAAAAAAATAATGAAGGCTGGACAGCATCAGTAACAGTAGGAATGGAAGAAGCTTTTGCAGGACTGATCAAATGATTGGATGCAGATACGTTTTCACATCGTTCTCATAGGCAAAATGTACACATGAACAAATACTAAACTGTTTAGAATACTAATGCCAAAAAACTTCTACAACCTCCACATCGAAACAAACAGACCTGAACATTAGGAAATAATCAGATTTTACAAGGAATGTGTTTTTTATACACTTTGGACATTTTCTTTCATAATATGTAAATATCAAAACCTTCAAGCAAATCATACAGACAAGAAAATAACATGTGCTGCATTAAAAACATACAGACTTAGCAAAGAAAGGACAAAAACAAAAAACCTCCTAAGGCAGTTTTGACTCTCAGAAATATACGAGAGAGCTAAAAACACTGACAGAATTCAGTTGCTTCTGTGAAGCAAGCGAAAAAGGGGAAAATAAATAACTTTTAGGAAGGCACTCCAGACCTGACCTGTACAAACAGCAAATTCAAAGGTTTTGAAAATGATGAGTTTTTACTTTTTAGAGTTTGTAATCAATTGAAATAGTGATTCATTGACATTCTGGGGAGGCATTAGAAATGACCTAGAATTTCTCTGGTAAAACATAGCATTTCAGTACGTTTAGAGGTACACGTAGCTGGTTTCTCCAGTACAGTTTTTAACAGGTGGCATACTAATAATAAATCTTGCTCTGTTTCTTAACACCACTTCCCCCAACTGCTAATGATGGGGTGAAAAAGTGAAAAATACTGTCTAGACCAATATTAATAAGGAGAATGACGGCTACAATTAGGATTTCATTTTAATACAGCAGGATTTTTATACTGAATTAAATGTTCATATATGTTTATTTGATAATAACTCATGAATTTCAGTGGCAAAAAAAAGTTTCTTCTGGAGCTCACAAACAGGATGAACAATTAAAAATAAATAAATAAGTCCCACCATGCAGAAAATTTACTTAGCTTGACACATATGAACTTGAGAGGAACGAGAGTTTTGGAAAGTGAGGCCAGCTTCTCTAGGACTTTGGCAAACTCAGTCATCATGCAGAGGAAAGAAGGAAGCAAGTGCCTGTTACCTTCAGTGCTCAATACTAGAATGATAGCCATCTATGGCCAAATTTGAAATGGTGATGCCTTGAGAAACTAAATAATAAGAACTGTCTTTTTTTTAGATTTAATGTAATCTAGCTAATGGCTTGTGTATAATTTTCCAGACAACTTAATGGATATTTTTATGATTTAAAATAATTGTCTTCCATGTCAGTCAAGACATAAAGAATACAAATTTCCGCATTGGAAGAATGAATAGCCTCAGGAAGAAGTTTATATCTGTTGGAGCAGTAATTCCAGGCACTGGTCTACAGACCAGCACCAGTCTGTAATAAGGTGCTCACAGTGAAATAAGAAAAATTAGGACAGTGCAGTAGCTTTGTTATCCATAAAAAGTTAAATGTATTTCATGCACAAGACTATCTTTAGTCTAAGATTAGATCCTTCCTACCCTATGATAGTTGTAGATGGCCATAGATTTGGGGAGTATTTGGTTTTTTGTTTCTTCCTTTTTAAATGTAGATTTCGTTTTTTGGGACAAAGAAATATTGGCACCCTGATGTTGATTCCTAAACTGTTTTTGAATTTTTACTGACCTGTGAAATCTAAAATGTTGGAAACTGTTGCTCAAGAGATCAGCAGTTCTCACCTTTGTTTTCCCTGCCTGCCCCAACATACTGGAGAGATAGGATATACCCCCATCAGCTCGAGCCTCAGTAAGACTTGTTATCAGCAGAAACTTAGGCTCTTGAAGAGGGAGGGTGCATATCAGAATGGCTGGAAGTCATATATGTACTAGACAAAGGCCCCAGGTGGTTCTAAGAGGGCCCAAACCCCAGCTAAACTGACAATTCTCACTCAGTAATACTGATATATCCAGTGGGCCTAGAAATGACCCAGATACCTCATTTATTAATTTATCATCTTGCCCTCTCTACAGGACTGTTATCTTTACTTCCCAGAAAAATGAGTAGGATTTCTCCGGAAGGCAAGTCCCTCTGAAGTATCCACCAACCAATGCCATACAGGTTTTTTTCGTCTCTAACACCAGTCCTTCACACTGTAATTCAGACACACTTTTCTTTACTCTTTCAGGCCATGCCATGTAGCTATTCTTGGTCATCGTTTCCTCAAGGAAACATTGAAGGGATAAGGTCCAGGTCTTTCAAACTGCCCACTGTGACCCGTTAGTGTAGTGGAAAATGAATCCAGCTAAACATGACCAGTATTTTTTTTTTCTAAAAGAGCATAGTATTGAAAGACTAGAAAATATCAAAGTAGGCTGGATGCAATGGCTCATGCTTATAATTCCAGTGCTTTGGGAGGCTGAGGTGGGAGGATGGCTCAAGGCCAAAAGTTGGAGACCAACCTGGCCAACATAGTAAGGCGTCATCTATACAAAATAAATAAATAAAAATATCAAAGTGCATGGAATTTAGTGAAGCTAAACATTGTTTTATGAAACTTTATATATATTCTGAGCTGAGACATAGAATATTTCTCCTAATATAGGTTATAGTTTTTAAAAAAGTTGGCTGTGTACGGTGGCTCACACCTGTAATCCCAGCACTTTGGGAGGCCGAGGCAGGCAGATCACCTGAGGTCAGGAGTTCAAGACCAGCCTGGCCCACCTGGTGAAACCCCGCCTCTACTAACAATACAAAAATTAGCCAGGCATGGTGGTACACACCTGTAATCTCAGCTACTCGGGAGGCTGAGACAGGAGAGTTTCTTGAACCCAGGAGACGGGTTGCAGTGAGCTGAGATGGTGCCACTGCACTCCAGCCTGGGCGACAGAATGAGACTCCGTCTCAAAAAAAAAAGAAAAAAAAAGTTTGAAAACCATTAGATTCATTCAACAATCTCTATAATCTATTACACCTTAAAATTCTATGAATTTCACTTTGGTAATGAGCATAGAACTCTCCCTTCTCCCACCCTGCTCAACATAGCCCTCAACAAATCCAAGAACTCCTCTTTATCCTTGAGCCTGAGGTCCCATCTGGTATCTCCAGGCAATCTGACTTGGCCTCAGGCCTTCCTCTGGGCTCCCCTGGCCTTTGGGATGGTGCTTAACATACTACTTATAATACTATATTGTAATCGTCCATCTCCCCAGCAAATTGTGCCAGAGTGCACTTGAATGAGTGAAGGAAGGAGGCAAGCAACAGTGTATTTGCTTAAGGGAGTGGTTCACAACCTGGCTTCACATCAGAATCCCCTGGGAAGCTTTTAAAAAGCCCAATACCCAAACCGTACCTGGACAATTAAAGCAGAAGCACTGTCAGTGGTGTCCAGGCATCAGATTCTTTTTTTTGGCAGGGGGTGTGGGGAAGGAGTCTCGCTCTGTACCCCAGGCTGGGGTACAGTGGTACAATCTCAACTCGCTGCAACCTCTGCCTCCCACGTTCAAGCGATTCTCCTGCCTCAGCCTCCCGAGTAGCTGGGACTTCAGGTGTATGCCACCACGCCCAGCTAATTTTTGTATTTTTAGTAGAGATAAGGTTTTGCCATGTTGCCCAGACCAGTCTCAAACTGCTGGTCTCAAATGATTCCCTGGCCTGGCCTCCCAAAGTGCTGGGATTACAGTCATGAGCTACCATGCCCAACCAGCATCAGATTCTTTAAAGCTCCGCAAGGGGAGTCCAATATGCAGATGAGATTGAAAGTGACTGATGTAGACCAGGTCCTGGGGATCTTGTGAAAATGCAGATACTGCCTCCCTAGACCTGGAGTAGGGGCACAAGATTCTTTCTAATGTGCTTCCAGGTGATGTTGATGCTGATGGTCTGCTGACCACATCTTGAGAAAGGAGGGAAGAGCCATCTGATGGATTCTCTGGCTACATAAAAAGAGCTGAGATAGCAAAGTCAGACAGACCTGGAGGAGAGCAAGGGTAGTGACCAGGCATATGATTACTGGAGTAAATTGCCTGGCACCCTTTCTTCCTAGTGATGTGACCTTGGGCTAGTTATTTAAAGTTGCCTTCATCTGATGATGGAGATATAACATAATATAATACATAGGGTGGGTGTGAGAACTGAGCAGAACACCACGGACACCGTGGTACGCATGTGTGAGTTATTAGCATTATTATTACGTATCCCAATTCCACCACTTACTAGCTTTGTGCTGTTGGTAAGTGTATTAGTCCATTCTCACACTGCTGTAAAGAACTACCTGAGACTGAGTAATTTATAAAAAGGACGGTTAATTGACTCACAGCTCTGCAAGCTATACAGGAGGCATGTCTGGGAAGGCCTCAGGAAACCTACAATCATGGCAGAAGGCGAAGTGGAAGCCAGCAAGTCTTATGTGGTAGGAGCAGGAGGAAGAGAGAGCAAAGGGGGAAGTGCTACGCACTTTCAAACAACCAGATCTTGTGAGAACTCACTCGCTATTGTGAGAAAAGCAAGGAGGAAATCCACCCCCATGATCCAATCACCTCTCACCAGGTCTCTCCCCCAACATTGGGGATCACAATTCAACATGAGATTTGGGTGGGAACACAGAGCCAAACTATATCAGCAAGTTGCTTAACCTCTCTGAGCTCCAGTTTCCTGCACTGTAAAATGGGGAATCATAATATCCATCAATCTCCTTATAAGATTGGAAAGATAAAGAAACTATATGTAAAATTCTTAGCACAATGTTCGATCCATGTGCATGCTCAATAAGTGGTTATTCCTCAAATTAGTTTCATTTGTATTGGGATAAATCATTGTTCCCTCCCATAGGTACATTTTCTATTTAACCAGTTGCCAGTTCTCAGAATCTTCTCCTGCCCCCCACACCACACAGGCTGCAGATTGTAGGGATAGATGACAGAGGATGGGAGGCTCATCTCACTCTCTATTTCAATACGTTCTACTTCAACAGCAGGGCTTGTTTTTATTACCTTATTGAGTTCACATGGGTAGCTTTTGGCAGCAGCAATTATTCTCCTTATTACTCTACAGATGAAGAAATAGATTTGGCTCTGATATGTTGGATTTTCTCAAGCAAGTCCCATATCGAAAATAAAAGCGTTTAATTCTAATCAGAGACAGCCGGGAAAAAAAGAAAAAAAAAAAAAACCTCCTGGCTTCCTGCCTCTTGAAAGCCTCTCCTTCAAAATGTTTTGAGGACCTGCAATGTGCCAGGTATTGTACCAGATTCAAAGTAGAATACGTGACAGAGAGTTGAACAAATCACTACAGGATCACTGGGGAGCAGGGGATGGAGAGGAGGCTCTTGACAGATGGGAATGGGGCAGACAGGATATGCTGTTTCACATAAGAGGTGCTACCTTGGCTGGGCAGTGAAGGTTAAGGAGGATTTGAGAAGTGGCAAATGGGGGAAAGGTGTTCAGGAAGAGAGAACAGCACGAACAATGACAGTGAGCTGGGAAACAGGCTGGCGTGTTTGGGGAATGGCAATTAAACAGGATGGAAGAAGATGGCACTAGAAAGTTAGCTTGGGGACAGATTGTATGCCAGGTGAAAGAGTTTGGATTTTAACCTGTCACTCTGTGATAGGCTGATCACATAATTCATCATCCAAATGCGCCACTTTTGAGAGTTAATGGGCATGCTACCCAGATAGAATAACCAAACACTCAGCAGAAAACAGCACTGTTCCAGGCCAACAGAGGCATACAGTCACCTAGCTTTGGGAAACCTCTAAGGACTAACACTCATCAAATTTGTTTATTGTAGAGGGAATTCTGGCAGCAATGTGGATTGGAAAAAAGAGGAAGTTCCTGCCGTCAAGGAGACAGCTAGGAAGGCAGTGGGAATGAAGAGGAGAGAGATAGACGATTGGTTTTGTAAGAAATAAGACAGACTGAACTTGGAGACAGACAGAGAGAGAGAATAGCTAATGATGACTCTGCACTTCCAGCCTGGGTGCCATGGGGCTGGGAAGACAAGAAGAGAAACAGGTTTTAGGGAAACAGTTTGTATAATTTGAGGCATGTTGAGCTGGAGATATTTGCTAAATATGTATGTCAGCATCCAGTAGGCAATTAGAACAGGAGGCGTAGAGCTCACAGGTGTGGATTGAACATGTAGATTAGGTCGTTAGGATACTAGGTGGAAGTTGCTCCAAATACTGAAGGAGAGATGGTAAAGAGGGAGACAATATGAAACCTAGGATGGACTTAGAGGAAATGGCAAGGAGCTGGTGGAGGAAGAGGAGCCAGGGAAGGAAGAGGTGGAGTCAGAGTTGTAGGAGGAAAAATAGAGGAGAGGTATCCCAGAGGGTGAAAGAAGGGGAAAGTTTTTGGGATGAAGGTCATTCATTCAACGATGTCAAAAGTAGCAAACAGGTAGGGAATGGTGAAGATTGGCATCATTCTTGAGCACAGCATCCATCAGTGTTGATCTTTTTTGAGTGGTGGAGATGGAAGACAGGCCACTGCATGTTGCAGACTGCATGGGAATGAGTACTAGATAGCAATTACAGGCCACTCTTTCCAGAGGTTAATAGTGACAGGCAGGAGAGGGAGTTATAGCAACTTGATGGGGAGGCAAGGTTTCCCTGCTTGATTTTCCTCATGCTGTTTACTGCTACGTCTTGTGTGAACACGTGGTTGGAAAATTAGAGAAAAGGCAGCTGAATCCACCGCGGGTCCCCTGGGTTCTGCTTTCATAGTCTTGAGAGCTGAACTTGAAGTGCTTTTCACAGTCATGAGAGTTGAATCCAAGTGATGATGGCTTTAAGAAATTACACTGAGAGTGAGTTTTCCAGCCCCAAATCTTGATGTCTTGGTTTGTATTCAGACATAACTTGGCGACGGCCCAGTTAGGACATTTCAGTGTATAGAGCTTTTTACACATTGCTGTTGTAGGCTGCTATAGCTTAGAATTTGATGATCACAGCTATTATACATTGTGAAAAGATTGATTAAAAGAATTTTACATAATGAATACTCATGATTCTGTGTGTAAGACCAAAGATGACTAAATCAGTACCCTCAGAGCCTGCAGAAAATATGGCTTTCCAAAAATAAAGGCAGTGTGTGGCTCTCCGGGATTCTCTAGTCCTTCACTAACCTTGGCCTAAAGATATGCAGGTCACCAATCTGATCCTCATGGTGGGTCATCTCCAGCAACAGGGACTTGTGGTCCCTAACGTGATGTAAACTCAGAGATAAAACAGGTAATATAAACTCAGAGAAAGGAGACTCCCTTAAAGAATGAAGAGAGGCTGGGTGTGGTGGCTCACACCTGTAACCCCAGCATTTTGGAAGGCCGAGATGGGAGGATCACTTAAGCCCAGGAGTTTGGGACCAGTCTGGCAATGTAGTGAGACCCTGTCTCTACAAAATGTAAAAAAAAAAAAAAAAAAAAAATTAGTCAGGCATGGTGGTACACACCTGTAATCCTAGCTACTCAGGAGGCTGAGGTGGGAGGATCACTTGAACTGTGGAGATCAAGGCTGCAGTGAGCCGAGATCATGCCACTGCACTCCAGCTTGGGCAACAGAATGAGACCCTGTCTCAAAAGAAAAAAAAAGATGAACAAGAATGAAGACAGAGGGTGAACGACAAGAAGATGCATCTATCGAGGGCTGCAGTTCTTACCTTCACCTCCTGATGCATGGAGAGATAAGTAAAAATAGTTTGTTGGCACTAAAGTTTTTCTACTGGTAGGCCATATTCATTTAATTGACAACAATCCTCCCTATTGGTAGACCACATTAGTTAATTTGACAACAATTCTCCCTTCTTGGTATAAGATATCTATTTACATATCATAATTCTCTTTTAAAATGTACTGGTCCTCTTCAGTCTTCAGAATATCTCTGCCACTGTTTTCCATACTGGCTATGCATGTGACAACATTCATTTCCCAGCACTGACACTGCCATCATCCATCAATCTCAGGTCACTCCTGCAGTCAGGGAGGACTTAGACACCTGGTTCAGTCTCCTTCTCCCCTCAAATAGTATCCTGGTCCTGGAGGATTTCAGCCTCCATGTGGACACCCTCCCATCAGTCTGGCCTGAACATCCATTGCCTGCCCCCTCCCGCAGCAGTGACCTTCGCTTGCACTCCATTCCAGGTGTCCATTCCCCTGGCCTTACCCTGGGCCCTGTCATCACTTGAAACGACTCCACCTCTAACAGTAACTCCAGCACTGCTTTCTCACACAACTCACTCTCTTTCCCCATTAACACTTCATTGGGATATTGTTGGCAAAAATGTAAGTATCTCCAAAACTTCTCTCCTCTAGGAAAGCAGTGAGAAAACCAGCAAAAATAATGAGACTCAACTTTTTCAGAACTCTGTAAATTAACCCAAGGCTTGCAGCAATCCAGGGAGTGTTTATTCCAGAAAAATGGTTGAATCTCAGTAAGTGCAGCAAGCTTAACTTGCCCTGTTCCCATCACCCACCTCCTCCAGCTCTGTGGTAGCCTTGAAAATCAACAGCCCACAATCACAGTGAAAGCCAATAGCCTGGCAGCCACTGGAGGAGGCACAGTAGTATTAGAGTTCCTTCAAAACCTCATTCCCACAGATCTGTCAGGATTTGCCCTCTCTGGGAGTTCCCAGGAAGACTTTAATTGCAAGACTTTAATTGCAGATTTACTTGATCTGAAGATCACCCGGTGCAAAAACCCTTTTCCCTGGGGACATTTATTCAAAACATTTGGAGGCAACCATTTAATTTCAAGGGTGCCTGAAGTAGTGGATACTAGTTGGCAAACAATAGGCTAACCAAAAAGCTTTCAAGGAAAAGCCAGGGAATGAGATGGCTGTAGGAACTTGACATATTCCTGAAAGCTAGAAGGCCACATGCCTGCAGAGGGCTGTGCATGAGCCCAGGGTTGTGTGGATGCTTAGGAAAGACCTGAGAAGGCCCTAAGTTCTCACCTCTGTGCAACATATCCTTGAAGCTGTGTGCAGGCAGGCTGTGAAGGCTCAAACAGAATTGTCAAGGCCCTGGCTGAGTGTTGAAGGCTAGCCCCAATTTACTCACAGAACCCCTTTGCAAAAACTGGGAAGCTCATTAGTCCCTGATATTTAAGGAAATCTGTATCCAATCATTACCTGACCACTAAACTAACTGTACAGAGACTTCAGCAGCCAAACATGACAAAGAATACAGACTTTACAGACTATTTCAGAAAAGTCACTAAACAAACAATAACTAAGAGCAACAATGACAAGCCCTGAGGAAGGCTGAGAATCTAATTTCCACAGTTGCCACATTATAGCATTTTAAATATGCAATTTTCAACAAAAAATTACAAGACATTCAAAGAAACAAAAGAGTATGGCCAATACACAGGAAAAAAGCAATTAATAGAAACTGTCTCTGTGGAAGCCCAGGACTTAAGATGTTCCCTCACATATACCCACAATAGTGTTTGACCAAACAGCTAGCCACCCCATGGCTCAGTCAAGATGACACAATTGACCATCACACCTTTTACGAAAAATATGAGGCCGGGCACGGTGGCTCATGCCTGTAATCCCCACACTTTGGGAGGCTGAGGTGGGCAGATCACGAGGTCAGAAGATCGAGACCATTCTGGCCAACAAGGTGAAACCCTGTCTCTACTAAAATATAAAAAATTAGCCAGGCGTGGTGGTGTGTGCCTGTAGTCCCAGCTATTCAGAAGCCTGAGGCAGGGGAATCACTTGAACCCAGGAGGCAGAGATTGCAGTAAGCCGAGATCTCGCCACTGAACTCCAGCCAGGCAACAGAGTGAGACTCCGTCTCAGGAAGAGAAAAAAATGAAACTCATATGGCTATAATAAAAAAAATCAAAAAATAATAGATGCTGGCATGGATGTGCTAACAAGGGAACACTTTAACATTGTTGGTGGGAACGTAAACTACTACAACCACTATGGAAAACAGTGTGGAATTTCCTTTAAAAACTAAAAATAGATCTACCATTTGATCCAGCAATCCCACTACTGGCTATCTACCCAGAGGAAAAGAAGTAATTATACAAAAAAGATACTTGCACACATATGTTTATAGCAGCACAATTCACAATTGCAAAAATATGGAACCAGCCCAAATGCCCACCAATCAACAAGTGAATAAAGAAAATGTGATACACACACACACACCGTGGAATACTACTCAGCCATAAAAAGGAATGAAATGATGGCATTTGCAGCAACCTGGATCCTGGATGAAATTGGAGACCTTTTTTTTTTTTTTTTTTTTTTAGACAGAGTCTTGCTCTGTCACCAGGCTGGAGTGCAGTGGTGTGATCTCAGCTCACTGCAACCTCCGCCTCCCAGATTCAAGCGATTCCCCCGCCTCAGCCTCACAAGTAGCTGGGATTACAGGCACGTGCCACCACACCTGGCTAATTTTTTGCATTTTAGTAGAGATGGGGTTTCACCATGCTGGCCAAGATGGTCTCGATCTCCTGACCTCGTGATCCACCCACCTCAGCCTCCCAAAGTGCTGGGATTACAGGTGTGAGCCACCGTGCCTGGAGAACATTATTCTGAGTGAAGTAACTCAAGAATGGAAAACCAAACATTGTATGTTCTCACTCATAAGTGCGAGCCAAGCTATGATGATGCACAGGCATAAGAATGATAAAATGGACTTTGGGGACTTGGAGAAAAAGGGGGGTAAGGGATAAAAAATGAGATTCACACCCATTAGGGTAACTATTTTTTTAAAAAAAGGATTGATGATGATGGGTAGAAATTAGGACCCTGGTCCATTGCTGGTGGGAATGTAAAATGGTGCAGCTGCTATGGAAAACAGTATGGTGTTTCCTCAAAAAGTTAAACATAGATAAACCATAGAATCTAGCAATTTCTCTTCTAGGTATATGCCCAAAAGAATTAAAAGCAGGGATTCAAACAGATACTCCTACACCCATTTCATAGCAGCACTATTGTCAATAGCTAAAGGGTGGTAACAACCCAACCAACAAGTGCATGGATTTTTAAAATGTAGTATATACATAAAATTGGGTATCATTCAGCCTTTAAAAGGAACGAAAATTCTTTTACATAAATAAAGGATGTATGTGATTTTAATATATATCACAACATTGGTGAACATTGAAGACATTGTGCTTGGTGAAATAAACCAGACACTGAAGAGCAAATATTGCATAACGCAGCTTATAGAATAGACAAATCCATAGAGACAGAAAGTAGAATCGAGGTTGTAAGGCACTTGGGGAGGGAGGAATGGGGAGTTATTATTTCATGGATACAGAGTTTCTGTTTGGGATGATGAAAATGGATAGTGGTGACTATTGCACAACATTGTGAATATACTTAATGTCACTGAATTGTAGACGTAAAAATAGTTGAGGCTGGGTGCAGTGGCTCATGCCTATAATCTCAACACTTTGGGAGGCCAGGGCGGGAGGAGTGCTTGGGTCCAGGAGGTTGAGACCAGCCTAGGCAACATAGTGAGACTCCACCTCTGTTAAAAACAAACAACTAACTAAAAATAGTTAAAATGGTAAAGCGTATGTTATTTTACCACAATAAAAAGGGGAGAAAAGATCTGCGATCTGAAAATCATATATACATATATATGTGTATATATATGAAATTCATGCTTCTTATTAAAAGTTAAAATAGTTGGTAAGTAACATATTCACTGTTAACAGTTTAAACTGCTAGTCAATGTGTGCATGCTTAGTTTGTTGTTGCTATTATTTTGGGGTTTTGCAAATGAGATCAATAGCATGTCCTGATATCTCTCTGTTCCTGTACATATGTAGCTATAAGGTTTAGTACTAGAATACTTAGAGAAAGAAAATCTTATTTTTTTTTCTTTCTGTGTTTAGGAATATTACAGCAAATGAGTCTTCTTTGGTGGTCCAGCCACACCAGCCCTTATACTTCACAGCGTGAGTGGTATGTTAATTGGTGATAAACCCAGAATGATAGTCACGGTAGCAAAGGAGTTGTGGAAGTTAAAGCAGATGTCCCAACCTTCTCCTGAGGATACCTTTAGTGTAGTGTAAAGTGGTGATAGTTTGAGTTGGGAAAGAAAGACCCAGGAGTGGTAGGGGAGGGGAGACGTAAAGAGAAGGGAAGGGAAGGTGAGGCTGGCACTGAAGAGAAACTACTTCTGTTTCTCTCCTTCATTGAGAATTCTGTCTCCAGCCAGGAAGTCAGAGCACAGATGGGAGGTGGGGCATGGAAGCAGTGTTTGTCTTGGATGATAAAGAGGTAAGTTTTGGGTTAACAATTTGCTCAAAGTTGATCCATTAGCTAACATTTGCTATCTCCGGGCAAGGGAACTAGATGGCTGGATGCTGAAGTAAGACTTTATACCATGTGCCTTTTACTTTTGAATTTTGTACCATTTGACTTCACTAAGCCAAATGTTATGAGAGTTTCCCAAGCTAAGGACTTAGAACTGTGTTTTTCATTGTCTGATATAGAGCATAACAGTAGATCTAAACTCAGGGACATTCCCAAGGATCCGAGACATGGAGGGATCCCAACAGATTACTGGGTCTACACGTTGCCTCTAGCCATGGCCCTAACTGTATAGACAAAAAAAAGCAACACATCATGTTAGTTCAACATGTCAGCTCTGCAACAGGCTGCCTGGATTCAAGCTCTGGCCTTGCTGGTCATTAGCCTTGTTACTTTGGGCAAGTTATTTAATCTTTCTGTGACTCAATTTCCACAGTTATAAGTAAGGGATGATTATAATAGTAATAATATTAAGAGCCTAGTACATAAAAGTGTTGCTATTATTGTTGTTGTCGTTGTTATTTTTACTGTCAACGTACCTCAGTAATTGGGGAAAGGGCTCTAGCTTCCTAGTGCTGTATCTTTCCCACCATGCTGCTAATAATACTAATAATAATAATAGCTAACATCTAATGAGCACTTACCATGTTCCAGACACAATCCTGAATTACTTTGCATACATTCACATTGAATCTTTCTTTTCTTTTTTTTTTTTTTCTGAGGCAGAGTCTGGCTCTATCACCCAGGCTGGAGGGCAGTGACGTGAACACGGCTCACTGCAGCATCGACCTCCTGAACTCAAGCGATCCTCCCACCTCAGCCTCCTGAGTAGCTGGGACCACAGGTGCACACTACCAGGCCTGGCTTTTTTTTTTTTTTTTTTTTTTGTAGCAACAGTCTCACTTTATTGCCTAGGCTGGTCTTGACCTCCTGGGCTCAAGCGATCCTCCTGCCTCAGCCTCCCAAAGTGCTGGAATTATAGGCAAGAGACACCACTCCCAGCTCCTCATTGAACCTTCTCCTCATTGAGTCCCATGGAGTAGGAACTATTATTACTTTCATTTTAGAAATGACAAAGCTGAGACTTAGAGAGATGCAGTAACTTGCCCAGAGTCACAGTGCTACTAAGTGGAGGAGTCAGGAATTGAAATCAGATACAGCACCTGAACTTCAACATTGTATTAACAACTCGACAAGCAGAATTGTCAGTTCTCTTAACAAAAAGCAGTTCAAAACGGTCCTCCTCCCCAACCCACTGCAGTTTCCTCTGTATTTCCCCACGCAGTTCCACCATGACATTTTCTACAATTAGCAATAGGAATTGAGTCACTTACTGTTCTTTTTAAAACTGAAAACATCATTATTTTGCTAAATGCTAATAATTATTAAAGCTCTCTATTCTCTCAACTCGGTAGCACAAGCACACCAACCCCACTAAAACCCAAAGCACAAAACGTTCAGGTCAAACTTTTTTTTTTTTTTTTTTTCCGAGACAGAGTCTCGCTTTGTCATCCAGGCTGGAGTGCAGTGGCGCGATCTTGGCTCACTGCAACCTCCACCTCCTGGGTTCACGTGATTCTCCTGCCTCAGCCTCCCGAGTAGTTGGGACTACAGGTGCCCGCCACCACGCCTGGCTGATTTTTTGTATTTTTAGTGGAGACGTGGTTTCACTGTGTTAGCCAGGATGGTCTCAATCTCCTGACCTCATGATCCACCTGCCTCGGCCTCCCAAAGTGCTGGGATTACAGGCACGAGCCACCGCGCCCAGCCAAACTCTTTAGTGTTAAAAAGTTTGGTTATATTATCAAGGATTGGTGTTTTCTAATGAAGACACACCTTCCATAAAGGAGGGTGTTACAGACTGAGTGTTTGTATCCCCCTCACATTTCTAGGTGGAAGTCTTCACCCCCAATGTGATGGTATTGGGAGGTGGGCCTCTGGGAGGTCATTAGGTTTAGATGAGATCTTGAGGGAGGCCCCCATGATGGGATCACTGTTCTTGAGATGGCAGCTTGCTCTCTCCCCACCAAGTGAGGACACAGCAAAAAGGTGGCTGTCTAGAGGCTGTGATGTTGGCCCTCACCAGGAACTGAATCAGCCAGCATCTTGATCTCAGACTTCTCAGCCTCCAGAACTATAAAGAAACACATTTCTGTTGTTTCATCCAGCCAGTCTATGGTATTTTGGTATAGCAGCCCAAGTAGACTAAAACAGAGGGGCTCCCTGAAGATAAAATTCTTTTTTTTTTTTTTTTTTTGAGATGGAGTCTCGCTCTGTTGCCCAGGCTGGAATGCAGTGGCACAATCTTGGCTCACTGCAAGCTCCGCCTCCCATGTTCAAGCAATTCTCTCACCTCAGACTCCCAAGTAGCTGGGAGTACAGGCGTGTGCCACCATGCCCAGCTAATTATTGTATTTTTAGTAGAGATGGGGTTTCACCATGTTGGCCAGGCTGGTCTCGAACTCCTGACTTCAAGTGATCCACCCACCTCAGTCTCCCAAAGTGCTGGGATTATGGGTATGAGCCACCACACCTGGCCAAAATTCTTTGATATTTAAGGAAAACTTGATTTTTTATAAAAATAGCAAAGAGCCAGGCAGTGTAGCAATAAGGGAGTGAGGCAAATGGCCTGCCTCTACCATTTCACATCATGCAGCAGGACACAGCTGAGGACACCAACTCCCTCAAGTGGTGCAGATATTTCCAGAGAGCTCAGTTATAACTAAAAGTGCTGGTGACAGCACAGTCACAGTTCATATCACTCTATCATGTCTTCTGTGTGAAACCCATAATGGATGTCATAGATCCTGCCACAGTCGTGATCCACTCCAGGGGATTTGAGGGTGACAGCTGTTTTGGAGGCATGGGAGAACCTGAGTATTGGACATCTGTTGCAAAGAGAAAAAGTGACTACACAGGGATGACCAACTTGTAGAGGCTTCCCTGCCCAGAGTTTCTAGAGACATATGCTGAGTGGTGTTTACTGCTCATTAGCTCAGATACCTCTGAGAGATTCTGCCTAAACTACTATAAATCTCTTATTTGAGCAGCAAGTAGATAGCCATGAATATGCATGAGGAGAAAAGAAATGCTGGTGTGTGTTTCTGAAAATAAAGATCAGCAAAAGGCCAAAAAGTTCAAAATGTATCCACATGTCCACCAGAGCATGGCTGACAAATATGCCAAACACACCTCTTCCTGGGCCCTTGGCAGACATCAGTAATCAGTCATTGTAGATATCACCGCTGAGGCTGTCTGTGACTGCAGAAATTCTTCCAGATCAGGACTCCAGGGAGCCACTAACCATCCTTCAGACTTGACTCTCCTACAAAAGTTTTGCCAACCTTGGCCTAGTTTCACCAATTAGGGACACCATACTAAGTATTTTTAGCTGTATTCTCTCCTCTTCCTCCTGCCACCTTGCCTCAAGTTCCAACTCTCTTTTCTCAGGGAACCCTTTATACGCTTCACTCTTTGTGACCTTCCATGGTCCAAAATAACCTCAAAGATAAACTTGCCCAAGAGGCACTGTCACAGTTAGGGATGACATTAAGTACAGGCATACCTCAGAGACATTGCAGGTTTGATTCCAGACCCCCAAAACAAAGTGAATAATGTCATAAAGCGAGTCACACTTTTTTTGGTTTTCCAGTGCATATAAAAATTATGTTTACACTATACTGTAGTCTGAAGTGTGCAATAGCATTATGTCTGAAACAGATATGCTTTAGTTTAAAAGTACTTTATTGCTAAAAAATGCTAACAATCTGAGCCTTCAGCGAGTCTTAATCTTTTTGCTGGTGGAAGGTCTTGCCTCACTTTTGATGGCTGTTGACTGATCAGAGTAGTGGTGCTGAAAGTTGGGTGACTGTGGCAATTTCTTAAAATAAGACAATAATGGACTTATTGATGAACTCTTTCATAAAATATTTCTCTGTAGCATGCAATGCTGTTTGATAGCATTTTACTTACCCACAGTAGAACTTCTTTCAAAATTGGGAGTCAATCCTCTCCAACCCTGCCACTGCTTTATCAACTAAGTTGATGAAGCATTCTAAATTTTTTGTTGTGATTCCAACAATGTTCACAGCATGTTCACCAAGAGTAGATTCCATCTCAAGAAACCACTTTCTTTACTCATCCATAAGAAGCAACTCCTCATTCATTGAAGTTTGGTCATGAGACTGCAGCAATCCAGTCACATCTCCAGGCTCCATTTATAATTCTAGTTATCTTGCTATTTCCACCATATCTGCAGTGACTTCTTCCACTAAAGTCTTGAACTCCTCAAAGTCATTCATGAGGGTTGGAATCAACTTCTTCCAAATTCCTCTTAATGTTGATATTTTGGCCTCCTCCCATGAATCAAAAATGTTCTTAATGGCATCTAGAATGGTGAATCCTTTCTAGAAGATTTTCAATTTACTTTATCCAAACCCATTGAAGGAATCACTACCTATGGTAGCTATAATCATATAAAATGTATTTCTTATATAATAACATTTGAAAGTCAAAATTACTCCTTGATCCATAGATTTGCAGAATGGATGTTGTGTGAGCAGACAGGAAAATAACATTAATCTCCCTGTACATCTCCATCAGAGCTTTTGGGTGACTAGGTACATCATCAATGAGCAATCATGTTTTGCAAGGAATCTTTTTTTTTTTCTGAGCTGTAAGTCTCAACAGTGGGCATAAACTATTCACTAATCCATGCTGTAAACGGATGTGCTGTCATCCAGGCTTTGTTGTTCCATTTCTAGAGCACAGGCAGAGTAGATTTAGCATAATTCTTAAGGGCCTTGGGATTTTTGTAATGGTAAATGAACATTGGCTTCAATTTAAAGTCACCAGCTGCATTAACCCCTAACAAAAGAGTCCTTTGAAGGCTGACTTGAAGCCAGGCCTTGAGTTCTCTTCTCTAGCTATGGAAGTTCTAGATGGCATCTTCTTTCAATAGAAGGCTGTTTTACCTACACTGACAATCTGTTGTTTAGTGTAGCCACCTTCATCAACTGTCTTGGGCTAGGTCTTCTGGATAACTTGCTGCAATTTCTACATCAGCATTTGCTACTTTACCTTGCACTTCCATGTCATGGAGGCAACTTCTTTCCTTAAACCTCATGAACCAACCTCTGCTAGCTTCCACCTTTTCTTCTGCAACTTTTTCACTTCTCTCTGTCTTCAAAGAATGGAAGAGAGATAGGGCCTTGCTCTGGACAAGGCATTGGCTTAGGGAAATATTGTGACTGGCTTGATTTTCTATCCAGATCAGTCAAACTTTCTCTATATCAACAATAAGACTCTTTTGCTTTCTTATCATTCATGTGTTCACTGGAGTAGCACTTTCAATTTCCTTCAATAACTTTTCCTTTGCATTCACAACTTGGCCAACTGTTTTGTGCAAGAGGCCTTGCTTTCAGCCCATCTTGGCCTCCCACATACCTCCCACTAAGCTTAATAATTTCTCCCTTTTGATTGATAGCGAGAGATGTGGCGGGGCATGGTGGCTTACGCCTGTAATCCCAACATTTTGGGAGGCCAAGGTGGGTGGATCACTTGAGGTCAGGAGTTCAAGACCAGCCTGGCCAACATGGTGAAACCCTGTCTCTACTAAAAATACAAAAATTAGCTGGATGTGGTGGCACATGCCTGTAGTCCCAGCTACTTGGGAGGCTGAGACAGGAGAATTGCTTGAACCTGGGAGGTGGAGGTTGCAGTGAGCCGAGATTGCACCACTGCACTACAGCCTGGGCCTCAGAACAAGACTCCATCTCAAAAAAAAAAAAAAAAAAAAGAAAGAAAAAAGAAGATGAGATGTGTTCCTCTTCCTTTACTTGAATATTTAAAGGCCATTGTATGGTTATTAATTGTCCTAATTTCAATATTGTTGGGTCTCAGGAAATAGGGAGGGCCAAGGTAAGGGAGAGATGGAGGAACAGGCAGTCAGGGGAGCAGTTAGCACACATACATTTATTAAGTTCTCCATCTTATATGGCTCCCCAAAACAATAAAACAGTAACGTCAAAAATCACTAATCGGCCAGGTGTGGTGGCTTATGCCTGTTAATCCCAGCACTTTGGGAGGCTGAGGCGGGTGGATCACCTGAGGTCGGGAGTTTGAGACCAGCCTGACCAACATGGAGAAACCCTGTCTCTACTAAAAATACAAAACTAGCCAGGCATGGTGGCACATGCCTGTAATCTCAGCTACTCGGGAGGCTGAGGCAGGAGAATTGCTTGAGCCCGGGAGGCAGAGGTTGTTGCGAGCCAAGATCACGCCATTGCACTCCAGCCTGGGCAACAAAAGCGAAACTCCATCTCAAAAAAAAAAAAAAAAAAAAAGAAAAGAAAAAGAAAAAAATCACTGATCATAGTTCACCATAACAAATGTAATAATGAAAAAGTTTGAAGTATTGTGAGAATTACCAAAATGTGACACAAAGACATGAAATGAACACAAGCTGTTGGAAAAATGGCACCAATAGACTTGCCTGATGCCAGGTTGCCACAAACCTTCAATTTGTATATATAAAAAAAAAAGTAGTAAGCAGTATCTAGGATGTGCAATAAAGCGAAATGCAATAAAACAAGGTATGCCTGTATATCGAACAACTGGTTCAGCCCAGGTGTTGATCAATGAGAATTGTTCTCTGCCTATAAACAGCCATGAAGACAGCCATGCACACAGAGCGCGTTACCTTGGAGAAGCATGGCGCCAGCCAGAGAGTTGGCATTTGCAGGCAGCATTCGGAAGATATGCTTATACTCGATAAAAACAGAACTGTCTGTAAATGCTAAAGGACTTTTGAGTTAGTGCAACTGCTTCTTCCGGATTCATGACTCCACGCTGACAGTGCCCAGCACGTGCCTTGTCCTTAAGAAAGGCATGGGCCAGGGTGTGCTCTCCTGGCCCATGAGGACACCTTGGTTCTCACCCCTCCCCAATTTCAACCCTCTGGACTCTACAACTAAGGCTTCTTCAGTTTGGTCCATTTTTTTGTACTAAAATATACCCTCCAAAAAGTGATTATTTGGAGGCTCGTGCAATTTGTTTTTGGCATGTAGGGTCAACAAGGGCTATTCTTCATCCCTGTTGATTGGAAAGAAAAACAATAAAGGAAAAGTGTCCAGCCAGCCAATGATGATTATATATGCCTCTTGAACGAAATGTGGGTATCTTAGAACTGTTCCCAATGTGTGTTCCTGGATCTTCTGCCTATATTCAATCCCCAGGTTTGATTCCAGGACACCCCCATGAGACCTACAGAATGGGAACCTTTAGCTAAAAAGACCAGTACTCTACTTTTTGAAATAAAGTTCGCAAACTTGAGGCTTAGGAGCATTTGGTCATTCTGCCCAAAGACTTGGCCTTTCCTTGAACAGATTTCTTAACAATGAAATCTTGAAAATTCAAAACATTAGCTTTCTTGGTCACCTTCATAGTGGAATTTAATCACAGACAAAACAGATATGAGATAAAGAAGTAAATACTGGCCCAAATGTCACTGAATACAAGGCTGATTGCTGGTTACAGTCCTGGAGGACAAACAATTCGTTTGCTTCTGTGTCATTCAGTCCAGTCAACATTGATTATTCCTATTTATAGAAAATCAAGGGTAGATGATACCACAGAAGAGATCATCGAGGATGTTTCAGTCTGATCTCTGGAATGCACTCAAGGTCACTGTGTGACTCAGGGACTTGGTCTCACTTTGTCCCTGGCTTTGGCCCCTCTTCAGACTCTCACCAACTCAGCAGATAGGAAGGCGTCATGGATGAAAGAGTCCTGTTCATCCCAGATCTATTTACAGAATTAGGCTAGTGAGGTTAAAAACTATGGACTTTGGGCTCAGACAAACCAAGTTCAAATTCAGACTTTGATGGTTAACAATTGGGGACCTTGACCAAGTGGTTTGTCTTCTTTGAGCTTCAGATTGCCCTTATTTTAAATGGCTATAACACTTCCAACCTCATAGAATTCCTAAGAGGATTGAATAAAATGATGTACATGGAAGCATCAAACACAGTTCCTAGCACGCAGTGTACCCTTAGTAAATGTTAGTGCAATTCTAGTTAAGAAGCTGAGTAAACTTCCAACACTTAGCATTACCTCTTCTAGCCAAAGTAAGTTAATCATTGACTGTCAAAACCAGGTCACAGAAGATCTAGGAAACAATAACAGGGTTGTCCTTCAGCTCAGTGTTTTAAAGCAGACTTTGAAATTTTATGACAAGTATGCATTATGGACATAAAAAAAAAAAAACAATTTCACACCGAAAAATAGGAAGCACATTATCTCAGAAGAAAGAACAACTGACAATATGCACACTCACACACTCACACACAGACACACAGACACATGCACCACATTATCTTTATTTTTCTCATTGGCTACAGATCAGACCGGATTAGACTTGGTCCTGTGGGGAGGCACTGTTCTAGAAGTAACACCGAATCTGTCTTCTCCGGCTATAGAACACCAGGAGTCAGGGCATCTAGCAACCTTCCATGGGACCCAGCAAAAGAGGCATCACAAACTGCTGGCAAGCCTGCATCTCCATACTGCCCAGAGGCCAGACATCTCCATGGAACTGACAGGGCAGCAGTCACAAATTCTAACCACCCCGTGCTAGATTTCTCTAGGCATGTGGAGAGCCAGGTGCTCTTTCCATTTCGCATGTGAAAAAACTAAGACATAAAGAGGTTAAAGGATTTTTCTAATTAACATTGATTCAGTGGTGAAAATAGGACAAGAAAGCACATTTTAAAGCTGGGGCCATTGTTCAAAGATTTGAGGGCAATGTACCCAGCCACCTATCCACTCTGCAGGCAAGACAAACAGAACAAGTAGGGCAACTATAAATCTGCTGGCATCAATCGGCACAACAAAAATAGCACTACTAGTGCCTTTTTTATTCCCAAGAAAATGTGTCCTCTATAGCCAATTATTTAAAGAAAAGTTCACATGTGAGTGATTTTTTTTTTTTTAGATATAAACATGAAGGCCAGGTGCGGCGGCTTACACCCGTAATCCCAGCACTTTGGGAAGAGTGAAGTGGAGGAAGAGGTACATTCAACTACAGAGGAGGAAACTGAGGCCCAGAGGGGAAAAGTGACTTGATTGACAAAAATTGGATTCTGGTCTTTGTTCTGCCAAAGGTTCGTTGTGAGATGGGAACAAGTTTCAGCCTTACGGTCTCAATTTAATGTTTAAACCATTGTGCTTCACATTCTAAGGACTGCTGTCACCAACAGGCTTGCTCAAATGCAAAGCAAAATGCTTTGAATTCATGTGAAGAAAGCTTTTGTAGTGAGTCAAAGCCTTATTGTTGACAAACAGTTATAGGACAAGCTACATTTGGGAGTGATGATATTTTCTGCTGCTAGTGTCTGTCCTTCAGGAGTCAGGTGAGCACTGCAGGTAGAGATAAGAGACAAGTTTCACCTGCTCAAAAATGTCTCTTTCCCCCATCGACATGTGCCAGGGCCTGCAATTCCTACCATCTGTCTCATCTTTGGGTTAAGACAGTGCTTTCATTCATTTGTTCATCCATGTATTTAACCAACGGTTATTAACCTGAGCCCCTGCTGTGTACCAGGCAGGTACCAGGTGTACGGTGGCACAGTGCCTTCATGAAATCTGTCATCTACTGAGGGAGATGTTTGTACTTTCTGCTAAGATCTATGACGGAAAAGAGAATAGCAGAGGGCTCAGTTGGGGAAAGAGACTTGGAAGCTGTTGCTGAAGGGCGGAAAGGAGTTAACAGAGTGCTGAGTGGAGGAGAAGATTTCTGGGCAGTGGCAGCAGCATTGGCTAGAGGCCAAGGCTGAGGGCAGTGAAGAGCCTGGTGAATTCCAGGAACTGCCCTTGAGGCTGAAACAAAGAATGTGAGAAGGTTAGTTGTTGTAGGAAATAAATTGGAGACTTTACCAGGGTTGGTATCTGCAGAAAGTAAATTTTTACCATAAGAATGTTGCCTTGAGTATGATATATGCAGCCACTGGCTAACTTGGCAGGAATGATTGCCTCAAGTTGGCTGGTCTCAGTAGGCAAGTGACAAAGGGTAGATCTGAGGTGGGCAGAAGGAGAAGGGAGGGAACACTGGGAAGGAGCTCCACCCCACCCAGAGGGCCTAGGTCTGGGGTGAAGACTGGTGCAGCAAGGAGTGGGAAGCCTGTTGGGGTGTGAGCCCCACACTGACATGGCTGAGTCACTTCCTAGACGGGGACTTACTGAGGCTGTCTAAGCAACCACACACTCCATGGGGCCTGGTTCTGAAATGGAAGTATAGCCGTGGCGTCTTGAAGCTGACCAGGGAGGTAGTCTAGTCCAAGTTGCTCATTTTACAGGTTATGACTCTATGACCTAATTCAAGTGAAGTGAAAGCCACAGCTGGTTGTGTTGAGCTTTGAAGACTGTTCCCTGACTCTCATGCACCATGCCATCTCATCATTGATCGTGAGCATCTCCATGTAGTTGGAATTAGCTCTCAGGGGCAACTGGGTCATATATGGAGATAGTAGATGCCCAAGAAACACTTGTCAAAATAATATATTTCTCCATATCAGTTTCCTTTAGTTTCTTTTAAAGTGTATACAGATTGAAGACTGAACCAGACCACTATAGTCCCACACTCATACAAACTTGTGATTCATCAACATTCTTCCCAGAAATTGCCATTTTACCAGTGTAAAAACAATATTTTAGATGGAGAATATTTAAGAACATGAAGTACACAAAATGCATCATTCTACCCATCAAAGAAATTGACTAGGATCTGAAACAGGTTTCTAAAACATTAATAAACTATAGGCATTGAGATCTACAGTATGTTCGTTTAAGGGGTGGGAGAAAAATTGGAGCTAGGTGAAGGGGCAAATAATGAATTATTTCACTTCTAGGAGAGATTATATTGAAGAAAAACCTAAAATCAGTATTTTTAACATCATAACAACACAGATAATAGATAACAAGTGGATGATAGGAATTAGTAAAATTCTGGCTCTGAACATGTCCTTTTAGAAGTATAAAGAACACCAGAATGTATTAACATACAGTGTGTGCGTGCGTGTGTGCGTGTGTGTGTGTCTGCATGCGCTCCTGACACATGAGAACAGTGCTGTTTCCATGGCAACGGGGGAAAGTGTGTCTTGCTATGAAGCAATCTTCCTGGATTCAGACACATTTATAAAGATCATGCGCTGGAAGCTGTGAGGGATATATTTGATTCTACTATTCTTTAAATGAGTTAGGCTGTTGTTCCTGCCTCCCCCAGCCATTCTCCTATGCTGGACCTCCAAACTGAGCTTCGAGTACATTCTTTCAATTGTTTCCCCCCATCCAGCCTAGTGACAACCTCCATCACTGTACCATCTACTGTATCCCTTGGGGTTTCTCAAACCTGGCAGTAGGCTATGACAAAGATCCCCCATTGTCATTGCTCCTGAAGCACTGACTCTGTGTGTGTGTGTGTGTGTGTGTGTGTGTGTGTGTATGTGTGTGTGTGTTTTGTAGTAGTTCTTTCTTTCTTCCAAATGTACCTCTAGGAGATAAGTCCTATTCTTATCTCCAGTTTACAGACAGGGGAACTGAAGCTTAGAGAGGCCAGGTAACATCTCCATGGTCACACAACTAGTAAGTGGTAGAAGGGAAATCTGGACCAAGTGGCCTGATTTAGGGCCTATGCTCTTCACTCAGCAGGAGGAGGAGGAGGAGGAGAGGAAGGAAGCAATAGCATAGAGTTTTAAAATGTGAGAAATTTGACTTTATATCCAAGGCTTTTATAGTAGTGGTCCTTGGTCTGTAATGTCTGGCTTCCTTTTGAGACAGCTAAAAAATAAGAGTTTTCATTTTCAGCCCTCTATTTTTATTCTTGGACTTGAGGTTCACAAACCTTTCCCTTTCTTCTGATCCCATTTTTGAGTGTAGACAAAGTTCAGTATAATAGTAAATGTTCCTTTGCCTTAAGTGAGCAAGTTGATTTCTGAGGCTCTGCCCAGACAGCAGTGATTGTGCCTGGGCTTTCTCTCAAAGACATGTAATGTGATTTCTAGCAGTGGCTTCTGATTGAACTTTTATTATTTTTAATAATTCTCACAAATAATTATAATGTGGTATACTTATTTCATTCTCTTGCCTATTAGTGGCTAGAACTTCCAGAAATAGTGATCCTGATTAATAAGAATGCCTCAACTATTAGGCAAAAACCACAATTACTTTTGTACCAACCTAATATTTAATCGTATTTTGAAGAGGCTAAGCTTAGGCCTTTATCCACAGTAGTTTCCTCATAGGAAACTTTCATCATATACTTTCTTAATCAGGAATCTGATAATGGCTGCACAATTAGCCACCAGGCAAGCAGGAAGGTACAGACCTTCTAAGTGATCTCCTAATACTCAGAACTTAATCCAATGCCAGAGTCCACTTTTAAAAGTCAGCTCCATTGAGGAGAATGCTCCCTTAATATAAAACCATCAATCCTGTAGCTGTTTAGAAAGCCAGATCTTCATTCAGCTGTGAACATTAATGATGGTGTGCACCTCAATAAAGAACACTGTCAGGCTGAATTAAAAGACTATAAACTGGGTGTACAAAGGAGAATGAGACAGTAGCAGAGTGCTGGCACATAGGAGTCAAGCAGTAAATATTGTTGATGCTCATCTTCTGCCCACACCCACCCATGATAAAAGAACAAATGATGATCCACCGAGTCTTAGCAGCAAAACACTTCCTGTGCTATATAGAGAAGGTAAAAAACACCAAGCCCACGACAACTGCCTAGGTACAACTCATCTTCCTTTAGAGTGATGCTAATCAAGTTCATCTGGCCACTTTGTTCTCCACATTAGCATCTAATAGATGAAGCCTAGAAGAAAAAAGCCATTTTTCTTAGGATTCTTATAATCACAAAGTGTCTGTAGTCATAGGGATCAGGAATGGTTAATTAATACTTGCATTATCTTGCTTCCTTTTCTCCCATTATTTATATTTCCCAATGGAGTAAAACAGGGTTCAGCTTGGAAAACAAAGAAGCAATGGTTCTTAAAATACTGTTAACTCTGTCTGTGGAATGTACTCACAGCACAATCACAAGGGCAAAGTTATAAATGATGTGGCTTTGTTAGTGAGGCTTGCTTTATTTTTGTGAATGCATTGAATTTAATGAAACAAGGAACAACAACAGGAATGTATTATGTTTTCTAGTTTTCTTATTGACATGCTTTCTGTTGGGTCTAAGTATAGTTCTTTCCTAACTAGCACTAATTTTCAGTATTCTAAGTCACCATGCATGAAATCCTATGTTCTGTTCCTCTGTTATGAAAATGGTTTTCTTAAGTCTAGGTTTTTTGAAACTCCAGGTTTCAGTTGATTTAATGACTTGGTAGTCTTGCAATGTGGCTCTACATTCAAAACACCCACAGAATCTGACCACTTCTTACTACCTTCAACACTGCCCAGCCCGAGCCAGCATTATCTCTTCCCTAGATCACTGCATTGGCTCTGACCTGCCTCCACCCTTGCCACATTAGAGTTCATCTCAAAATAGCATTCAGAGTGGTTCTTTAAACACAAAAACAAGAAAAGGCCATTCCTCTGCTCAGAGCCCTGCCAGGGCGCTCCATTTCACTCAGAGTCTTCACAGTGACATGGGGGCCTGCCATGACTGGGTCCTCACCATGCTGTGATCACATCTCTATTGCTGTCTCTTCCTCATTCACAGTTCTGGCCATGTTACCCTCTTGCCGTTCTTTCAACATGCTGGGCACTGCCTCTTCCCTCTGTCTGTAATGCTCTTCCCTATATGTGGACACAGTTACTTCCCTCATTTCCTTCCATTTTTGTGTTTGAATGCCACCTTCTTAATGAGACCTCTCTTGGCCACTTTATTTAAAAGTGTACCCTGTCTACCCCAACTCCAGCATTCCTGGTACCCTTTACTATGCTGTAAGTTTTCTTTCTTCCATAGAGTGTATCACTTGCTAACATACCATATGATTTTCTTAAATGTGTCCTGTTTCTTGTCTGCCTGCTCCAGTAGAACGTAAACTCCAGGAAGGCAGAGAGCTTTGTTCACTGATGTACCCCAAACACAAAACAGAATCTGGCATGTAGTGAGCACTCAGGAAATACTGAAATATTTGTTGAGTGAATGAATGCATCACCAGTGTCTAGAGCTATTCCTGGCACACAGTAGGCTCTTAATACTGGTCAAATGTCTCTCCCTGGAGGACGAACAGGGCTAAGTGTCAGAGACCCAGGCCGCATAGCATAGTGATTCAGAAGACCACAGGCTCTGCCTCAGCTGGAGTGGGCTGTGTCCTACTCGTATGACCTAGGCTGTTTACTTAACTTCTCTGAACCTCAGTTTTCTCATCTGCAAATTGGGAGTGATGAGTACCTCCCTTACAAGGTGGTTATGAGAATTAAATGTGATCATTTGGATAGTAAGTCTGGTAAATGCTCAATAAATTTGAGCCATTATTATTATTATTATTATTATGACATCTTATTCTTTTACCTCTTTTTTCAGGGAAATAACTTCCATGTCTGTTCTTACCCATCAGGATTATTGGGAGGAAAAATATACAACACCGTAAATGAAAAACATTTTATAAACCTTATACCACTCTCCGGATGCTGGGGATCAGTTGCACATATAAGAGGTGCCCCATGGACACCATTGACTCATTAATCTGGGAAGTCTACAGGTAGTGGGAAACAGTCTTAAGTGCTGACAAAGAAAATTACACTGGTTCTAATCAATAGCTAGGATCCCTTCTGAGATACCCCTTCCCCGTGGCATCATGGAGGTGGGAGGAGGGCCAGGCCATATTTCAAAGTCCCCCTCCTTCTCTTCCCTCTTCCTCCCTAGGCTGCCAGAACCTTTCCTTGTAGTGCAAGAACAACCACACTGCTGGAAGTGAAATTTGCAATCTGCTCTATCAGATGATTTCTGCGCATGGGCTGTTACTATGTTCAAAGCATTAAACTGCCTGAAAGTGGATTATTTACAGAGCTTCTCTCTTCCCAGAGCTACGGATAGGTGGCAATTCAGCCTCTTCACCCTAATGCACACTTTCTCACTTTCCACCGAGACTCTTTGTTTGCTGACAGCATCTGGCTATCCTGAGTACTTGCCTTAGCTGGCACAGTTCTCTCCAATCCCTAGAAGAAACAGCCTTCACCTACACTCCAGGGATGAAATAACATTTCAGCTCAAAGCTAGCAACCTTTCTCTGAAATGGTGTCACACCCAGACAGAAAAATAAATGTGCTGTTTCTTCTTAGATGATGAGAAGTCAGGCTTTCAGGCAGACTTTTGACACAGGGAGGATCAAGGTTTGACTGCCTTTGAGTAATCCTTGCAGAAAAAACAGCACCTAATTGGACAAAGGAAGAAAGGAACCAGCTGCTACTGTCAAGATTATTTAAACACCCATCCACAGTCAAAAACACTGCATTGTTTCATTACAAGTGAAATTTGATTGCCACTACATTTCCTGCTGGCCTCCCCTCTATGCAAATTGGGGAGAAGAAAGAAATTCATAAGGCACCAGAACCCATTTGGCTTCTAAATGTACTGTTTGCATATAGACATCAGCAGCCTGAATAAATCCTAGCGAGGAATGTCAAACTGACAACACTGGCTACTTTTCTATTGTTCTCCCTGAAAACATCGTTTTTAACACGTTCACAAAGGCAAGCTGGATTCTGTTTTATCAGTGTTTTAGTAAAAGACAAGTGGCGTGGTGGTTCAGTTGTGGGTATCGGACATTAATGAAAACCATTCTGGGAGAGTTCACTTTATAAAAGATTAAAATAATTCATCAACTTGCAAAACAATTGTTCTAACCCTCTCTGCTGACAGTCAATGTTTGTGCTGGGGGCTGAGTATTATATAATAATTTGTACAGCAGTTCATAGTTCCTAAAACATTTCTGCCTTGGGTCCGTCAGAGGACACTCCCAAGGATGCCATGAGTGAGGCAAGGGCAGTTTCCTTATCCTCATCCCGCAGATGAGAAAGCCAGATCTTAGAAAGATGGGGACTTTTTATTGTCACGGAACATGTCCAACCCCTGGGCATTCACCTTGCAATGCAGATTCCTCCTCATCCTTCGAAGCCCGAATACAACATCTCCCCTTTTCTGTAGTATTTCCTGTTCCCTCCACACCCCCTGCCACCAGCACCACTGCAGTTAATTCATTTATCCAGGATCAGTGAAAAACCACTCTGTCATGGGAGGAGATGCAGCAATGTCAAGGTCATCGTAAGTCCCATGACAAGGTGACAATCTCTCCTCAAGGGAAGCAAAGATGGAGACGGTGCCCTTGTGTAACACAAACCCAACTGGGCTTTCTCTGTGAGCTCAAACTGGGAAACTTAAGATGGAGAAGAGCTAGCTGGAGTTCTTCTGCGTGGGATCCTGCCTCTGTGACAGCCCCTGTATCTGCTGACAGTATCTCTTCTGCTTCTTCTCCACGACGTGAGACCCTCGAGAACAGGGACCATTTCTCTGCCAGGGACAGTGAAAGCCTGGCGCAGGACGATGCCCCATCATTGCTTCCTGAATGCACCTCTAGCGTAGTGATCCTGACAGGTCACCAGAAAACAGGGCCAGAGCTCACAGCTCTAACTCCTGACTTGGCATAATTTCTTCCCTGGGCTGCCTTATGGTGATGGCAGCAACAGCCCATCTAGAGTGGCTGCTGCCAAGACACTGGCTGTGGTGGGAAAGTGTGGCTGGGCTCCCGCTCTAGGGAGCAGGCAGGAGCCCTGCTTTCCTCCGGTGCTGCTGCAGCTGCCCTGGTGCAGCTCCAGACTGGGTGTCTCTGTGCCTTGGGGGCCCAGGAAGGTGCCCCTGCCCCCAACAGGCTCGGAAGTGCCTGCTCCCACTGCCTGGCCTCTCCCTGCTCCCAGTGCCTGCTCTGATCATACAGTAAGGTTGGGGCCAAGCCCGGGTACTGACACAGTCCAGCCAGGTGGACGCATGCTTGGGACAGTACTGATACGCCAGCCCCCTGCTCCCTCAGCCCCCTCTGAACTTTGGGTGCCAACAAGCATGGGAGGGAAGCTGAGCGGGGGGATGAGGGCAGCTCAGCACTGGCCTGCAGGCTCACCTTGGGACAAATAGCCTGGGTGCCATGAACAGCAGGGGGAGGCAGACAGGCTCCTGGGCAGAAGGGGTTGGGTCCCCGGTGAAGCCTCACCTTCAGCCTGGGAAAGTCCTAAAGCCTGGGGACCAGGCTGCCAGTCCTGCTGACCAGAGGGGGAACTCGGGGTGCTTTACCCTGGGCCCACCTATGGCTGCCCATGGACCAATCAGCATGCACTACCCCCCTGCCGAAGACCATAAAAACCCCCGACTCAGCCAGAGCAGAGTAGACTTCTGGATGACCAGCTGCAGAGAAGAGCTAGCCTCTCCAGGGTCTCCTCTCTGCTGAGAGCAGCAGACATCCAGACAACCAGCTGCAGAGAGGAGCTAGGGCCTGCTCTCAGCAGACAGAAACTACCCTCTCTGCTGAGAGCTGAACACTCATTGGGACAACTTGCCTGTGGAGAGGAGCCACCCAGTCCAAGCCTTTGCTGAGAGCTGCAGAGGTGATGGGATGACCTGCTTGCAGAGAGGAGCTACCCACTGCTGGTTTCCTCTCAGCTGTTCTACTACTTGATAAAGCTCCTCTTCAGCTTGCTCACTCTCCACTTGTCTGCATGCCTCATTCTTCCTGGATGCAGGACAATAACTCAGGCAAAGGCGCCACCGGCCACAGAGGTTTCTGGCTAGAAAAGCAACAACCCTAATAATAGTAACTATACTGTGACACATTATTCTGCAACACCCTCCTCCCACATTAAAAAAAAGAGGAGGGGGCAATAAAATTAATAATAGCTAATACACAAGAGGGCTTACTACATGTCAGCCCCCACCCTCGGTTGCACACGCATATCCCCTTAAAAGCCCCTCTGAGCTAGGCACTAATGTTCCCTTGTTCTATGGATGAGAAAACTCACCTAAAGATGCTTAGGCCATGCAGCTAGTATACAGATGGTAATTCAAACCTAAGCCCTTAACCTCACAGAAATTTAACAAAGTCAAAACAACCCAAAAGCTAAAAATTGCTTATCTAACTATCCAGAGATGTTTTCCTGCCCATAAGTCCCTGCTATGGACTCTATATGAGATGGTACAGAGCTACTCAAAGCTGGTCAGGAAACCGTCACCGGTCTATGATGGGATAAGAACAGAAATTGAGAGTAAACATTTAAAAACGTTTATGGCAACTTGATATTGCTGCTGTATCCAAGTGTGTGATCAGTGGACTTATCTTGTTCAGCAGGAGAGTGACTGTTTGGATGGTATGAACTTGAATGATGAACTGCCAGTAGTCTGGGCTGTGTGCTAGTATTATTCTGCAATAGATTGAAAAATTTCAGAAATTGATTCTTTACCAGTTTGAGAAACACTAACACTATAGTTCTATTTCAGTTACCTTGGGAGTAGAGGATGGAAAAAGTAGTCCGGCAATAGCTAGGAGAGTTTTGTCTAGTCTCTTTGCTACTGCCTAGCTGGGTGACCTCAGACAACTTCCCTTCTGATAATTGTAGAGTGAAGGGCTTACACTAGATTCTAAGTCCCTTCTGTGCTGTGGCACAATGAGCATATTTGTTACCAGAGTAAATCATTTCTTAATCTCTGCTTCCTCTGATATTGTTTGGCTTTGTGTCCCTACCCAAATCTCACCTTGAATTGTAATAATCCCCACATGTCAAGGGCAGGATCAGGTGGAGATACTTGAATCACGAGGGGCGGTTTTTCCCATGCTGTTCTCCTGATAGTGTTTATCACGAGATCTGGTGGTTTTATAAGGGGCTTCCCCCGCACTCGGTATTCATTCTCTCTCCTTCTGCCCTTTGAAGAGATACCTTCCGTCATGACTGTAAGTTTCCTGAGGCCTCCCCAACCATGAAGAACTGTGAATCAATTAAAACCCTTTCTTTCTTTATGGCAGCATGAGAACGAACTAATACATCCTCTATATAACAAAAATATTTTCAGCAGTAATCATGTAATAATCAGAAATAAGCACAATCTTCTTGATCTTTACTCTGAAAAACAAGTAATTTTAAAAGAATAATTTCCTTTTAAAAGATCACTCAAATATGCTCAAATAAATACCATACCTCACAGTTCATGCTCTGTTAGCCAATTTAAATTTAAATATAATAGAAATAAAATTTCCCAAAGTCACACAGAATTGAAGTAACTCAAATTCCATGTTTTTGTCTTTGCAGCCACTAAATCTGTGTTGCTGAGTCTGCTGTTTGCATGCAGGAATGTGAAGGACTGCTCAAGTTGGAGATACAAATTGAAGCCAGCCCCAGTTCAAAACTGTTACAAATGGAGTCTGTAGGCATGAGGGGCTGACTATATAACTCAGAGTTCTCCAGTACTTTACTTTAATAAAGAACACAATCTTTATTAAAGGATAAGTAATAAAAATGTGTTGATGTGCAACTTATGGATCTATTATTAAAACTCAACAGTCATTGCAGCAATGTTTAGAACTTAAGCAAACAAAAGTTTTGTGAGGGGGCAATTTTATCAATGACATTGTTTAGAAATGTTGGTAGATGGTGATCATAAAAAGCAGATCAATGTTTTATTTCACTTGGGTTTTTAAAAATTATTTTTAAAAAATTCTATACTGACAATGAACCCTCTTAATTCCTGAATATAGGGAAGCCCCCCCGCCCATGCCCAAACCCACTCTTGGTATGCTGCTGCTTCCAGTTATAATAGTTGGTATACTTTAGGGATTGAAAAGGACTTGGTTTTAAAGAGTTTCAACGGCAATGCACTTGCTCTTTTGGTTCAATAAGTTTAATTCTGGGCCAAGGGGAAAAAAATCCAATCAATATTAATAATAGCTAAAACTTACTGTGCGCATACTTTGTGCTGGGCTCAGTGCCCAATGCTTTGTGTATATTACTTCTTTCTTTCTTCCAAATGTACCTCTAGGAGATAAGTCCTATTCTTATCTCCAGTTTACAGACAGGGGAACTGAAGCTTAGAGAGGCCAGGTAACATCTCCAAGGTCACACAACTAGTAAGTGGTAGAGGGGAAATCTGGACCAAGTGGCCTGATTTAGGGCCTATGCTCTTCACCTCAAAGTTCTGCTGCTTCCACTTTGTGTCTACTTGCCACATACTCATCAGACAGAACAAAGCACACCACAATAGAATAATGACTCTTTGGGGGCATCTCTTCAGGGCCAGGAACTGTAACTACACTATAATATTCAATCTTCACAACAGCCCTGCTAGGCAGGCATTTAGTACCTCCCTTTTCTAGCAAGAAAATAACATTCAGCAAGGTTAATTACTTTTAGAATACAGAGTCAGTAAATGATGGAGCCCATATTCAAACCTCTACTTTTTTCTTTGCTTTTTCTGTTATCTTGCACTTCTTGCATAAGCCACCCAATGCTTCATTGAACCACAACATGAAAAAATCCTTATGCCTGAGAAACAAGATACTTTCAATCTAGTTGGAGAGCCAGGTGCCCGATTTCCCAGCCTGCCTTGCAGCTAGGAAGCCATAAATCCAGCCAATGAGATGTTAAGAGGAACTGGCTGGTGGAGATAGGTGAGTTATTGGAAAACCTTTGCCTTCCTGATAAAAGGGACAGCCTGAGCTATCAAGGACCTTCTCCTGTCCTTCGTTTTTTGCACACAAATGGCAATGCTGGATCTGCAGTAGCGATCTTGTAACCACAAGGCACAAGCAAAAGGAATCTCAGAGATGGCTACCTTAATATCACAGAGCTGCTGAGCCAATACCAATAACCATCTACCTCTGTACTTGTAAAAAAAAATCCATATTTATTTAAGAACGCTTAATTGGGTATTCTGTTACTTGCAGCCAAATACAACCCTAATTTATACAGAAACAAGACCCAGTTTGAGTAGCCTCACTTTCCATAGAACTAAGTCAAGCCTTTGATTTCTATGCCTCTTTTAACTAACTTTTCCCTGCCTTCTTAAAGAGACTACCCTGAATGTAATTTTAGACATCTTGGTGCTGTAGACATGACACCAAGTATCTGCTATGCTCACAGCCCCTTCAGAGGATAACCATAAGTGGTTCTTTATCAATGGGCCCCCATGCTTTGTGCCTGGTTACTGTGATTCTCTGGCCAATGCTAAGCTGACTTAGATATTCAGCACTTGGCCCAAAGCAGCCATGCGCAGGTTGGCTGGTAGCCATGAGAGTTCTGTCCAGCAAAGGCACTGTATAGATAGATGTTAACTGGTCTACCTATGAGACACAAGTTGAGTAATACAAGGAGAATGCAGGCCACAAGGCAAGACAAGTCAAGAATAAGCAGAAACCAAGAGGTAAAGAGAAGGAAAGTGAAAAAGTTATATGAGGCTGGGTGCAGTGGAGTCACTGTAATCCTAGCACTTTGGGACACCGAGGTGGGAGGATTGCTTGAGGCCAGGAGTTTGAGACCAGCCTGGTCAACAGAGCAACACCCCATTTCTACAAAAACTAAAATCTATCTATCAATCGATTGATATAAATATATCTGGGCACAGCTACTCAGGAGGCTGAGGCGGGAGGATAGCTTGAGACAAGGAGTTTGAGGTTTCAGTGAGCTTGATCCTGCCACCGTACTCCAGTCTGGGCTACAGAGTGAGACCCCATCTAAAAAAAAAAAATGTTATATGGTAACAGCAGTAGAATCTTAACTATGGCACAGCCTCTAGGGTAGAAGCCACCAATGTTACTGAGGGAACAATAAGATGAGCCTTTTATTCTAGATCTTCTGGAAGTGATCTAAAATCCTTTAAGGGCCACTACCATGCTGTAGCTGGTAGCTGATAAAGCCATGTCATCAAGCTTACCTCCCAAAATACATTTACAGTAGCCCCATTAGATCACATTAGTCCTGGAAGTCTGAAAGAGCATAACCAACATGTTGGCAACCCAAGTTCATCATTCTCATCACCAGTTGTCATGATGTGCTGCACATACACCTGTGAAGCCCCAAGATTACAGGCAGGGTGACTGTGGGCCATATTTGGCCCAAATATATGTCTTGTCTAGCCTATATGGTATCTTAAGAAGATGTGATGCACAGTTGGACACATTTCGATGGAGTGTGTGCTCTTCAATTTGCCATGGTTCCCACCTCTCTCCATTCCTAATACCTGCCCTACTTTGCACATTTACATTATCCATTTGGTATCTGTAGGTACTTGAGCTGCTTGCTGCCCCTGGCGGATAATTGCAGAGGGGGTTACATATGATACCGAGATGTTCCACATAGCAGGAGAGGAAGCTGCTGCTTTCCCCAGAGTCTTCTTCATTCCTGAGGGCTATACCATTGAGAGAGAGAGAGAAAGTGAGAGACAACGAGAAAGAGAGAGACAATGAGAAAGAGAGAGAGAGAGAGAGCTTATTGCCACCTCTACAGACCATAAAGCTGGTATCTTCTCTCACTTCATCATCAACTTGCTTCTCTCCTGCAGAGTGTCTGCTGCTCATAACTCCTGTCCCCACCTCTAATCACATCCAGTACCACTTACCACCACAGCTTTTTTCTCTCCAGGCCTTCTATTGCTTTTTATCATGCCTGTCTTGCTGGGTGTTCATGTGGTTGACCTTTGTGGTCACAGCCAATTACCGGGTGCTTTTCCTTCTGCCCAGCAAACCATGAATCTCGGCACAATGTGGTCTCTGGGATAGTGGCTCTGATTAGCAGCATTTGTGAGCTGGGTCATCAGGAGCTGTGCTTTACTGTCAATCAGTTCTATTTTTGTTTTCCCAAAGACTTTTGAGTCCAGAGAGATTGTAGAAGCCTGAGGGATCTAGAAAATGAGGCTAGTGCAGAGGTGTGGTTTGGCCAATAGTGAAAATAACAGCCTGTGGAAATAGTCAAAGGAGAGATGACTGTGGGCGGCAGGAGGCAAGAAAGTTTTCCTTAAGAATGAGTTAAGACAGACAAAGGATTAAAAG